>NC_000012.12:22709650-23334650 GCF_000001405.40 Homo sapiens
TCCCTCTTTTGAAATTTTTTCTCTCCGTCACTTCTTATGTTATCTCCTTAACTGGCCATCACTAGAACTAGTGGAATTTTTCCATTATTCACTGAGTAGAATTTAGTTTTGTCACTACATTCAACAGAATTTATTATAGAAAAATTAAAACCTACATGAAAGTGCACAGAATAGTATAGTAAATCTTATGAACCTATCATAGGAGCCAATCACAGCCTTCACCATAGGTCAGTCATCCAGATTCAAGGTCATAAGTTCATGGCCCCTCTTATTTCACCTGTATTCCACTCACTTTCCTGCTTCCTATTTTATTTGAAAGCAAGTTCTAGTTCAGTAACAAGTCCATCTATAAATATATCTGTATATGTCTATCATTCGTGAGGACTCTTGAACCTAATCATGATGCCAGTATTGCTCCTAAAACTAGTAACAATTTCTTAGTATCACAAAATCCAGTTAAAGTTCCAATTTCCAACTGCCCCTTAATGTCAATTAAAAATAATTTTATAATGTGTCTATCAGAATCAGCATTCAAATAAAGTTCAATTTGTGGTTGGTTGGTTTTTCTCTTAATATTTTTTATTCTACAGGTTTCCACTTTCTGTCTCTTTTTTTCAACTTGCAATTTATTTGTTAAGGGAACAGTTATTTTTCTGTAGTTTCCTTCTGTCTGGATTTTTCTGATTGCTGTCAACTTTTAAAATGGGTAGTGAAGCATTTTGTAATTTTCCAAAAAAACTTAAGATGAAGCTAACAACTTGCTTTCTTTGTTCCTGTTGCTGGGCTTCTGAACGTTGCAGAAAAAAAAAAAACTATATACCTGTACAATTTGTGGCACTAGTATTTAGCCTCAGGTGAACTATCAATATGGGTTAGATCATCATTTTTCTTGCCTCTAATAAATTTTATATTTTTCTGTTTCAAACATTTACCATGCTTTTTAAACTCTGAGGTGCATTTTATTTTTCTATCTCCTCCTGCACCACACTCCATCTTTTCTCATTATCTCAGATTGACTTCTTCACTGGTCCTGGCATTCTGGTCTCACTATTTTAAACGAATTCCTTGTCTAAATCCCGGCAAGGGCCACTGCATGATGTTGGGCAGGCTACACTCTGCACAAAGGAACTCAGCTCAAGAGGAAGGGGTGCTCCACCTGTCAGCCTCTGTGCCTTTGTGCCTCTGCCAGGAAGGGGTGTTTTTCTCTAATTTGCACAAATGGGTTAGTGAGCTGGTGGTAGCCCTATTCCTGCCTTCTCTGTAACTTTCAGCAATTCACATTGAGTCCTCCCCTCCATGCCCCACAATGTCCTCTATAAAGATTGTAATGATCATCTGGTTTCTAAATACAGATGGTCTATTTTCTATCTTCTTTCTCTTTTACCTATGTATAGTCAATAGCACATCTGATTGTCCCCAAATGCATTGGGTTCTGCTTTTCAGGATGCTTTCCTCTGGTGTTTTCAGGAACACCCTTCTCTCCCAGTTCTTTTATCTTTCTCATTATTTCTTCCTTGTTTCTTTTTCTGGCTTCTCCTATCTCATAAATGTTCTGTTTGCTCATAGTTTTTCTGCTCCTCTCCCCTGTTCTCCTCATAGGCTCTGTTTTTTTTTTTCTGCTTCCATAGCTTCAGCACCATCTCTAATTCTATACTGATGATCCCAAAATCTCTGAAACCAGTCTCCACCTTTCTCTTGTGCTCCAGTCCCAAACTTCCAACAGCTTTCCACATATGTCAATCTGGAATCCTGTAGATACTTCAAAACCTTTCTGTCTTGTATTCTTGATCTCTGTCATGATCCATCCAGTTTCCCAGGCTAGAAATTTTATAGCAATCTGTCAGTCACTCCACTCTCTCGTGTATTAAATCCAACCAACCCCTAAACTCCTTTTAGTTTACTTCATTTATGGAGGTTCTGTAAGGCAATGTCCTCAGCGCTAAGAATTCAGCAAAAATCCCTACTCTCATGGAACATATAATTTTGTGGGAGACAGAAAATAAACAAATCAATAAATAAGTACATGGTATAAACTATGGTGATAAGTCCATTGGAGACACTTTGACATGTACCTTGTCTGGTGTTTCCTTTCCACCTGCTTTCACTGTTGTCCTGGACTCCAAACAGGTGTCTCTGCTTCTGGCCTTTCTCTCTACCACACTTCCACGTGGTTAGTATTCCTTTAAAAACCCCCCAAAGTCAGGCTTCATAATGCAATGCTTTTGCTCAGAAACACTGTGTGTCCTTACCTGAAAAATAATATTTAGACTCTTAAGCATTGCCACTAGGGCCTAACCTAACCTTTTCCTGTCACTCTCCTCCTCTTCCTTCCTTTCCTCTTCCTGCCTCTATTGCCGCTATTACAGTCAGGTCAAGCTTCTTGCCTTTCCTAGCACGTGCCCTTTTCTAACAGTGTGCTTTAGGATGGCGCCTGTTCTGCTTTGAATACTCTCTTATCATGTTCACGGCTTGAAGGTCACTCCTCTGGGGAATATTTCTTCAGTCTTCTAGGCTAGTTCATATCTGCATCCTCCATGCTGGACTATAACTCTGTTCTTAGCTCTGTAATAAGTTTTAACCTGTTTTTATTGGAATATAAGCCCCAGGTGGTGGTGGAGCAGAAATATTATCTTATGCATCCATGTGACTCGTCATCCACGTGACTCCAGGGCCTACTGTGGGCTTCACCGTTGGTGAAAGAGAAGGCAGTCATCAGTGAGGACAGCCCAGGCTTTGGGGCCAGGCAGCCCAGGGTCTGACCCGCTCTTGGCACTCGCTAGCTTTGGGCAGGTTACTTACGCTGTAGTGCCTCAGTCTCCTCATGTTTAAATGGATGTTGGTAATTGAATATATCTCAGAGAATTGTTGTAAAGACTGGTAGAAATAATGTATATAAATTGCTTCACACGGTGCATGGTAGCCATAAATGCTCAGTAATCCTGGCTTTATCAGATGCTTATAAAATGAATGGAATTAGTATGACCTGTATTCTTAGGATCTCCTGTTAAATGATTGTCCTGTAAGCTAGTAGTCCCCAAGGGAAAAAGAAAAGATTGCTCACCACTGGTTTAGAAAATTCAGAGGGAGTAATTCCATGAAGTACAGTTAAGGGAATCTGGGAATACTTTGATATTGTATTAAATAAAATGGCCCATGCCATTTTATTTTTATTTTATTTTACTTTTTATTTTTTGAGACGGAGTTTCCCTCTTGTCACCCAGGCTGGAATGCAATGGCACGATCTCAGCTGACTGCAACCTCCACCTTCTGGGTTCAAGCGATTCTCCTGCCTCAGCCTCCCAAGTAGCTGGGATTACAGACATGCACCACCATGCCCAGCTAATTTTTGTATTTTTAGTAGAGACCACCATGATAGCCAGGTTGGTCTTGAACTCCTGACCTCAGGTGATCTGCCCGCCTCAGCCTCCCAAAATTCTGGGATTACAGGCGTGAGTCATCATGCCTGGGCCTCATGCCATTTTATACCTCCATCTGGGTCTAACCTGTACCCTTTTTTTTTTTTTTTTTTGAGACGGAGTCTCGCTCTGTCGCCCAGGCTGGAGTGCAGTGGCGGGGATCTCGGCTCACTGCAAGCTCCGCCTCCCGGGTTCACGCCATTCTCCTGCCTCAGCCTCCCAAGTAGCTGGGACTACAGGCGCCCGCCACTACGCCCGGCTAATTTTTTGTATTTTTAGTAGAGACGGGGTTTCACCGTTTTAGCCGGGATGGTCTCGATCTCCTGACCTCGTGATCCGCCCGCCTCGGCCTCCCAAAGTGCTGGGATTACAGGCGTGAGCCACCGCGCCCGGCCTAACCTGTACCCTTTAGTGGGAGTCAAAGTCTCAGTGTCACTTTCTTTAGGGCATCATCATGGCTGTTATGAACTGGGACAAAGAGTTTGTTTTAGAGGAATAATGGAGGTAGAGGCTCTGAGGGGACCATTAACTAGCGCAGCTGCCATTTCAGATGCAAGAAGGAGCAGGTTCACAGCATGTGCCACTCAGGGAGGGAAGAGAAAATGTCAAGGATTGTACTGGGAAGGTGTTGGAACATTTTGCGTGAATGTGGATATTTGGATGAAATGCTTCTAAGGCCTGAAGATGACACGACAGGCTGTAAATAGACAAGGGAGAAAGACAACAGAGAGGGGTGCGCTTCTTTGTGATGAGCACATGGGTTGTATATGGCTCAAATGGTGCAAGGATCCCTGGTATAAAAAATGTTAGCGAAAGCTCTGTTTTCAAAACAGCATCACAGAATAGCTACAACTCTGGATTTGTGGTTTAATGCTGCCACTGCTCCTGATGCATCTAGAATGACTAAAAATGGCTGAGTTAATGAATTCTGTTTTACAACATTAAGGAGGTTTGACACACTTGTTAAAACCTCTGGTTCTAGTGCAAAACAGAATTCCTATGGATGTTCTAAATACTAATCGGAAATGCTTCATTAGTATGAAGAGTATCAGGGTGTGTGTTTTCTTAGGTTGATTAGTAGCTGACTTATGCCATCATGTGGGGGGAATGTCTGTCAGCATCTCCCCCAGACCTTAGATACCTACTATTAATCACTTGTGTTGATGTCACCCACTGGTGCGCAGCCTGGAAGACTCTGCAAAAGGTTAATCTTTCGTAGTTTCTTGGGATTTGGAGGGCAACATTCTGAAAACCTAGTTTTAATTTTGATAAATGAATTTAGCAAGTAGTTAATCCCTGAAAAGATTCAAGATTTACAAGTCAGTCAAGAGATGAAGTTAGCAATTTATTATACATGCGGGGCTCTCCAATCACAAGATAACCCCTAAGCCCTTTGACAAATCAAATGAGAAAGAATCGAACGCCGCGTATAGAGATAAATTCATTACTAGGATTTGCCCCTCCTCTCTGCAGAGCTATAGTCTGTCTTCCCTTCATCAGGAGACCTTTTTCTGCAAACCCTGCTGCGTACGGTTCACTCCCTCATTTTGACCTCTTCTGGCTCTTAGTTTACTACTTAAAATAATGCAGATGATCCATGTGAAAAGTTTTGCTGAGTCTCACTCTCTGGAATGTTGGTTCTTCCCCTAAACAATTTTATCCTGTGGACCCAATGTCTTTGTAACTGACCAAGTCTCTTGTACCCCTTTGACTTCAAAAAAATTTAAGAATATTTTATCCTAAGTGGAAACCATAAGTGAAGATACAGTATACATTTTGGTGTGCTAACCTTCTCCCCTAAATTTTATTCCCTTCTGCATATTGACCTTTGCCCTCTCTCAACTATTTTTTCAAAAGCCATGCATGTACTTTTGTGGCATGTTAGGAGAAGACAGACATATGATTGTTTTTCTGGTTATAAGCTTTGTCTCTGGGTGTAGAATAGATGCCCAGCAATTGTTTTTCAAATTAAAGAATTTCTAAGGGCATGGCATAGTATCTGGAGGGCAACTTCCAGAGTTATTTTTGTCGCATGCTCCCCTTCCATCCCACAAATACATGTTCAAGTGGAACCTCCCTCTTTCTCCTTCTTACTGCCCCCTAGGAGCCATCTTTCTAAAGTGCAGATCTGACCATTTGATTCTGACATTTTTGTTCTTAAAAACCTTCGAGCCCTTCATTGGTTTCTAACTGTTGCTGGGATGAAGGTCACATTCCATATGTGGTTTGTAAAGTCCTCTGTGATTCTGCCTTTATTTCTCTAGCTTTCTCCTACTCATGGCCACCTGTCACTTTATGCTGCAGGCATTTTAAGTAAGTTGTGGTTTCTGGCTTAATTAAGGTATCTAGTCAGTGGAATGTGTGTTAATCAAAAGGGATATCCTAGGAGGGCCTGACCTAATCAGGTGAGCTCTTAAATGAAGTTAGAGATTTGAAGCATGAGAAAGATTCTCCTGCTGTCTTTGAGGAAGTAAGCTGCACCTTGTAGGAGGGTTAGGACCTGAGGGCAGTCTCTAGGAGCTGAGAGTTACTCCTAGCCAACACCAAACAAGTATATTGGACCCTTAGTCCTATCGATGAAAGGAACTAAACTCTGACAACAATCTGAATAAGTTGGGAAGGGAACTCTGGGTCACAGATGAGATCAGAGCACTGGCTGACAGCTTACTTTCAGCTTGGTGAGACCCTGAACAGAGGGCCCAGTTAATCTGTACTGGCCTCCTGACTCACGGACCTTGTGAAATACAAATTTTGTTTTGTATTGTTAAGGGTTTTTGTTGTTACTGTGTTTTTAGGGATGGGGTCTTTCTATGTTGCCCAGGCTGGCCTCAAACTCCTGGGCTGTAACGATCCTCCCACATCAGCCTTCTGAGTAGCTGGGACTAAAGATGTGCACCACTGCACCCAGATAAGTTTTTTTGTAATTTGTTATGCAGTATTAGAAAACTAGTACAGAAGGACAGAGAGAAAGGATAGAAGGAGGAGAGAAGGAAAATGAAAAGGAAGGAGCAGAGGGATGAAGGAAAAAAGAAAGGAAGGAAGGAAAGACGAAAGGAGGGCAGGGAGAAAAAAAGGACATTTGGTTAGGATTTTGTCTCCTTGTCTTTCCGAGGACAGAAAGGCATACCTAGCCATAATTCATACTTTTTTTTTGGTAGAGTAATAAATAAGTCTTCATGAAGTCCTGTGTGGTTTGTAAGCTTCTAGATTATAATTTATTGGAGATTTGCAAATTTACCACAGTATATCATAAGCACGTGCCACTTTTGTTTTAGCTTGATTCTTTTAAGGTTGAGGACCACTAAAAATGTTAATTTTCCTAACGGAGTTTGTGTATTTCTTTCCTCCTGGATAGGCTTTTTAGATTTTTCATCCTTTCATCCTTCTGCACTTGCCCATTTTTTGCTGGAGGGTTGTTTGTCTTTTTCTCAAGGATTTATAAGAGTACTTTATAAAATATGGATATTAATCTGTTTTCAGTTATATGAGTTGAAAATAATTCTTTCCAGATTGCAGGATAACCTTTTACTCTCTTGATGCCATCTTTTGTTGAATAGCAGTTTTAAATTTTAATGTAATAAAATTGATCAGTCTTTTCCTTTATGAGTTATACCTTTTTGCTATTAAAAACTATTTTATAAAGATATTTAAAAGACATTCCCTTACCGTTTTCTTTAGTTTTAAAGTTTTGTCTTCAATGTTTTCTTTTCCATATGGATAACCAATTTTCCTCACACCATTTACTGAATAGTCTATCCTTTTTCCAGTGATCTCTAATGTAGGATCTGATATAAATTAGGTTTTTATAGACGCCTGGTCTGTATCATATTCTGTTGATTCAGTTGTCTGTTCTCACACCAATACCACACTGTCTTAATAACTTTCACTCAAAGTTTTCCCATGTGGTAAAGCACTTTGTTCTTCCTTTTTAGGAGCATCTGGGCTTTTCTTAGCTATTGGCTTTTCCAAATGATTTTCACCCCACCGAAACATTTTGCTATTAAAAGTCCAAAAGTAGAGTTAAAAGGATTTTACAGTAAACAAACACTCATGAACCCACCACCTAGATTCTATAATTCACATTTTATTATTTTTCCTTGTCACATAAATATCCATCTTTCTATCTGTCCATTAATTCTACATGAGATTTTTTAAATTAGCTTTTAATGTCCCTTAAAAACCTTATTGGACTGTGACTGAAATTAAATTGAATGTATAGAATAATTAGGGGTAATTGACATTGTTATAATACATACCTATTCATATAATTCATGAACATGGTATGTCTCTAATTTATGTAAGTTATCTTTCATACCTTCCAGTAAGGTATTGTGTTTTTCTTCATAGAAATCTTGGGAAGCTTTTGTTAAGTTTATTCACACAACTTTCTTTTATTGTTGGATTTTAAGTGGTATTTTAAAAAGTTATTTATATATTATATTTTTGAGATGGATTCATAGTCTATTATCCAGGCTGGAGTACAGTGGTGTGATCTCAGCTCCCTGCAACCTCCACCTCCCAGGCTCAAGCAATTATCACGCCTCAGCCTCCTGAGTAGCTGGGACTACAGGAGTATGCCAGCGCACCTGTCTAATTTTTATATTTTTAGTAGAGACAGTGTTTCACCATGTTGGCCAGGCTGTTCTTGAACTCCTGGCCTCAACTGATCTGCCTGCCTTGGCCTCCTAGAGTGCTGGGATTACACACATAAGTCACCACACCTGGCCCTAAAAGTTATACATTCTAAAGGTCTATTTCTGGTATATAAAACTATAATTGTACTTCTTACCTGGGTAATAAAATAATCTGTACACCAAATCCCCATGACACAAGTTTACCTATATAAGAAACCTGTTAATGTAGCCCTTAACCTAAAGTAAAAGTTTTTTAAAAACTTAATAAAAAAATAAAATGCAGTTGCCTTTTTAATATTGATCTTCACACCAATAATCTTATACCAGGCCATTTAAAATTTTTTATGGTTCCAACATTATATATTCTTTCTAGTTTTCTATATATACAGCCATATAGTCTGTAAATAATAGTTGTTGTTGGTTTTTCTTTTCCAGTTATCACACTTGTTTTTTTTTTTTTTTTTTTTGAGACAGAGTTTTGCTCTGTTTCCCAGGCTGGAGTGCAATGGCATGATCTTGGCTCACTGCATCCTCCGCCTCCCAATTTCAAGCGATTTACCTGCCTCAGCCTCCTGAGTAGCTGGAATTACAGGCATGTGCCACCATGCCTGGCTAATTTTGTATTTTTAGTAGAGACGGGGTTTCACCATGTTGGTCAGGCTGGTCTCGAACTCCTGACCTCAGAAAATGCGCTCGCCTTGGCCTCCCAAAGTGCTGGGATTACAGGTGTGAGCCACTGCGCCCGGCCCTGTTATCACACTTTTGACTTCTTTTTTCTTTGTTACTTTACTGGCTCTGATATCTTGTATAAAGTGAACATAAAAAGTGATAGCAGGCATTTTTGTCTTAGTTCTAATTTTAAAGTTAATACTTTTACTTTTTTCGCATTGAGTAAATGTTTGCCGTAGAATTTATTTTTGCCGGTGGGGGGGTAGATGTTTTTGTTTGTTAGCAAATTTGACATTTATTTTTGAAACAGATTATGAGTTCCCATGCATATCTGAGTGTTTGGAGTTTGAAACTATAAGTTCCTCTTAGAATGAGAATAAAACTTCTCAGAGGAAGGTCTCTGTCATATTTTCATTTTTAGCCACTCCTCAAACCCCCACTCCCAAGTGCCACCTTTCCCTCAGCCTAATATTGTGTAAGCACTCAATAAACACCCATTGATTGATGTCTAGGATTTATTTATTTATTTATTTTTTATTGTTTTTATTTTTTGAGACGGAGTCTCACTCTGTTGCCCAGGCTGGAGTGCAATGGCGTGATCTCGGCTCACTGCAAGCTCTGCCTCCCGGATTCACGCCATTCTCCTGCCTCAGCCTCCCGAGTAGCTGGGACTACAGGCGCCTGCCACCACGACTGGATAATTTTTTGTATTTTTAGTAGATACGGGGTTTCATCTTGTTAGCCAGGATGGTCTCGATTTCCTGACCTCGTGATCCGCCTGCCTTGGCCTCCCAAAGTGCTGGGATTACAGCAGTGAGCCACCGCACCCGGCCAATGCCTAGGTTTTTATATGCTTCTAGTCCTGGGAGTTGATGGTACATTCTGCATAAAAAACCCTTGTCAGCTTAACATTGTTCATCCTGAAGCTGACCTATTATAGATGTCCATTTGTTTGTCTTTACATCTCAGATGAAGCAAGCACCCACAAAAAGGTTCGTGTGTGTGTGTTTGTGTTTGTGAGTGTGTGTAAACTTTTAGCTCTTTTAGTAATTCAGAGCTTCTGTGAGTTACTCTTAGAAATCTTCTTCAAATAAAATCCTTAACTTCCAGCAATGAGCACAGGTTAGAGCTAAGGTATCTAAACTGAGACAAATAAGCAGTATGAAAGAAAACTGGGAATATGAGGATTTTAAAATTTATTTCAGCCTTGGTGATAAGCAGACATTCTTTCTCTTTGTCTAGACCTTCGTATTAGTCAGCCATTGCTAAAATAATGCCGTATACCAAACTGTCCAGAACTCAGTGGCTTACCACAAGCGTTAGTTTTCTTGGTTCATAGGCCTGCAAGTGTTTTGGGGTAGATCTGCTTCAGGATGTCATTGGTGAGCCTTGGCTCTAGGCTCCAGGTTGAGTTTAGGTTTGCTCCGTATGTTTCTTCATTGTCCTTGTCCAGCACCAATCTCAGGAATGCAAGATGACAAGTCAAATTACACAATTTACAAAATTAGAAAACAGACTTTACTCTTGTATTTGTGTGACATGTGTTAACATCTCATTGATCAATGCTAGTCACGTGGTCAAGCCCAATATCAATGGGGTGGAGAAATGTACTCTGCCCACTACAGTGCATCAGAAAGTTACATGGCAGAAGGCAGTGAGTGAAGACCCGAGAGCAATAATCTAATCTACCACAGCCTTTCATATATGATGATTAAATGAGATAACATTATTATGAAGTGCTTAAAACATAGCAAATGCGCAGTAGGGTTTTTTGTTACTATTGTTATTATTTTATGTAAGATGAAGGTATTAAACTAGTTGATTTTTAGAATCCTCGATATATTTACATTTTTATGATTTTGTTTTTCAGTTTACCATTTAAGATTTCTTCTCTTTTTCCTTCTTTGTCCCTCTTTTTCTTTTCTATTATAATATAAACAATAATAACTTCAGCTTATACTTCCAGATTTTGGCTTTAATTAACAAATCTCTTTGGTATTGGTATGATTACATTCTTGTAATCTTTAATACCCTTAGAATCTTTAACTGCTGTAAAATTCAGTGCTGTGCCTGGTTGAAGAAACATGGGTTGTTTATTTACTCTTCCGTGTCTGCACTGGTTGAATGTTACGTTGTGCAGAAAACTGCTTTTGATTCAAACAGGCAACATGATTTCAGACCTAATTACTACAGAAGTAATTGCTCCTTGGCAAATGGGGCCTGCCAGTCTGCCCAGACTTTGAATGTCAAAGAGCCAACTGGAATACAGGGCATGTTCAGATCCTCTAATGGAAATCCATTGACCGTCTTGGTGTGACAGTCCAAAGGACTAGGGCTTTAGCCATCAAAATGTAAAATGGGACTCTCCAAATCCCTGTTTCATCTAAGGCCTCCAGATAATAGTTGCACCATGTAACATTTTGAGAAGATGGTGCTATAAACTGATTTTGCAGATCACCTATATTCAATCTGTGAAAGAAATGGAAGAGATCAAAAGATACTGATTGGAGATTAAAGAAAAAATCTTAGAGTTTTTAGTATGCTGCTGATACCCTGCCTTCATGGCTATGGAGTAAGAGGAAGAGGCTTCCTCCTCACCTAAAGTCAAGCAAAATAGGCTTCCCAGGGATAAATTGAGGTTTCTGATAGGATTCCCTGCTGTTTGGGGGATACAGTGGACTGGTATCTGACACATGGTTAAAGCACCTAAAAGCAAGATGCTCTGGCCAAAGCTTCCTGCTTTGTTGGTGCGACAGGGAATGACACGTGAGTCTTTTTCATGGATCAAATGTGAGCAACAAGTGAGAGAGAAAGCCATCCTTAAACTGCCCTAAGCCCTGCCCATGTATCTGATAGAGGGAAGGCAAGGAGACCTCAATAGAAAAGGCTGAAGGTGTACAGTGAAAGTCAGGTGCTCAGGGAATTGTGAATCACCAGCTAGAGGAAATGAATCCACCTAGTTCTGTAGGTGAGACATCTCCAGCGATGACAGGAGCTCTTCAAAGAACGCTTAATGCATCTCATGAGCAAGAATTAACCAGCCAGGGGGAAAGAGGGTCAGGTTGCATCAATATTGGTCAGGTAAGACCTTTCTCTCTGTAACCTTACCTCTCTTCCTTTCCTACCCCGGCCCCTAGTCCCACCTTCAATCTTGCATGGGGGAAGGACGCTTATTGAGTGAGGGAGAAGAGATGGAGAAGCAGGAGGGGAAACTAAGAAGAGGTTGAAGGTGCAGGCCCAAACTGGGGGAGGAGATCCCCAGTCGGAGAGGAGAGAAATTTTAACTTTAAACTCTATGGTTTTTGACTTGACTTTTAATTGTAACATGAGACTCTTTCAGGCAAAATGATTTTATTATCTGAAAATGCCAGGAAAAACCAGTTTCACCTTCTCAGAATTTCTTCCAGGAGCAGAGGAAGAACTTGCCCCATAGAATGAACCAGGGTTGAGGTGGGTGTTGATAACAGTTGTTTTATATTTGCACCCAACTAGTTCACACTATCAGAGCGAGAGCATTTTGTTTTGTTTTGCTTCGTTTCTCTCCAGGCAGTTCCCTGACTCTCCATTCCAAAGACAGTGTTTTTCAATTCCTACTCACCCCGTGTACTATATTCCCTCTCCAGCAGAAAGCACGGAAGAAACTTGGAGGTAGGAGCGGAGGATGTATGAAAATTGAAAAGTTACCCAACCAATGACTTCCATTTCTAGCACCAGCACCTCATTTGAAAATTTCTCCTACAGATAGACCATTAAAGATTCCTTTAAATAGTTCCCCAATGTGACCATCAGAATCACTTGGAAAGATTTTTTTTAAATGACGTATTTCCCTTTCTGGTGGTGACTACATATCCATGAGAACATGCCTCTCACAAAAGACCTCTTTTATCCCTCTCCAGAAGAGGAAACACAAGGAGTGCCTGATGCAGAGCCCCAGGCACTTCATGGATATGAAATACCCAGGATGCTATAAAATCGCCAGGGTCTTTAGCCAGGCACAAACAGTAGTTTTATGTGTTGGTGGCTCCACTGTTCTCTGCCAGCCTACAGGAGAAAAAGCAAGCCTTACAGAAGAATGTTCCTTCAGGAGGAAGCAGCATTAAATCACCCTCTATCAAGATGAATAGGAACCATCTTGATAAGCATATTCTGTATTTAAAAGGAATTACAGATAACTATGCTCCATCCTGGATCCACTGACTGAGAATCTCTGGGAAGTTTAGGAAATGTCTTCTAAATCTTTTGAACAATTGTGGCCAACTGGGCTACAAGTTGGGCATTTGGGAAGATGGGTGGGACATTTTGAGGGTGCTGGAATCTGCGGTAAATTTATTGCTCTGAAAAGACCATGTATTCAGGTGAAAGGAGTCAGGCGTAAAGAGTTTTTGCTGTTTTCTATTTTTTCCCCCTTCATCTTTAGAACATTTAGATTGCTATTTTAAGTCACTGGATGGATGTTAGAGTGTTTACTGGATTGGTCTTTTTCCACTGTATTGGAATATTACTTCTGTTCTAGTGGCTTTTTGGCCATCTGGTAATTCTGTGGATGGGAGCAAAAATGGAAAACAGAGGGCACTATTAGCCCGCAACTCCAAAACATAACAGTTGTCTGACTTTCCACCAATCCTGCCAAAACTAGGCCAATGACAATATTGTTTCTAACCCACATGCCTCCCTCAGGCCAATTTGGAAACCCATCCCTTGTAGCAGAACAAGTCTGTCACTAAATGGAAAAGGATCAATAGGTTAAAAAATAAAGATTAGGTCCAGGAGTTTTGCCAGCATCAAGAAATATGCTCCATCAGGAAAGCTGGGTGTAGGAGAATAATAATTCTAATTTTCTTTGTCTTTTTCTTTGGAACTCTTTGCAGTTGTTGAATAAGGACCAAATGAAATGCAATGCACTGCTTTATTAGTGTTCTCTTAGCCAGTATACTAATTATTTTTCCTGACAAATGTCTGTGAAGAGGGTGTTAGAGTAGCCTGATTTATGGCTACTTTGCTTTGCAAGTCATATGCTCATGTTAGGAAAGCACAAATAGAAGAATATTTTAAGTGCCAAAAATATGAAATGTTAAACTTTATTTTTGAGTGACTTTATTTTTGTTCTTGATTTAGAAGCATTAATATATTTTTTTGACAACTGAACAGTGAGGGAGATCTTTTGGCTGGTGTGAATTCTTATAGGCTAGAGAGAAATACATTTATCTACTTCTTGAGTTTTGAGTAGGTTGTTGAGAAATTTTAGATAACGTACCTTCTATACCCACTTAGACACTGGGAGATAGGGGGACTGGGGAATGGCATTTTATTGTACCCAGGTTGAAGGACAAGAATTGGTTTGTTTGAGGGGTGAAGGAAAGAAGGTGATAATTATTCTTAAATGACTGAAGGGTTGTCATAGGAAAGACTTTTGCGATGCTCCAGGGGACAGAACTACAACCTTCTCCTTCACTGCCCATACTGAGTTGATTACTAAATACTGATGAGAATCTTATTTCATATCTCTCGGATCTGTTGATTCATCCACATCCTCACTTCTGCTACCTTAGCCTAGACATATTTTCTCTTGCAGGAGGAGGGAACAGAGAGAGGGCAGGAGGAAGAGTGGGGAAGAAACTCATACACTGTTTACAGGTATCCTCTTGTTCTTTCTTATGTTTTCTCTTTTCTCTGATTCATTCTCTTTACTTCACTCAGAATAATTTTTCAAGTCAGAAAGCGAATCATGTCACTTGTTCACATAATATTTTCTACTGACTCCCCATTGCCTGGGGAATAAAGTCTGAGCCCCTCATTGTGATGTACAAGTCGCTTCTTAATATGTGTCTTACAGATTTTTGCCAGTCTTAGCATCTACTCCACAACTTTAATTTTGGACATACAGAGCTACTAGAGGTTTCCTAAATGTCCTTCTCTTCTATGCTTCTGTGCCTGTATCCATACTCTTCCTGGTACCTGGAATGTTGTTTCTCTTTTGATTCCTATTCATCTTTTAGGGCATCCTCCTCCAGTTTCTCAAAGCATTCTGTACATCCATACATTGGCATTTATTAATTCTGTCATCAGACCCTCTGTCCCTACCTCCAGGATACCGTGAGTTCCCTGAAGGCAGTTGTGTCTCTATCCCCAGCTCCTAGCACAGTGTGTTTCTGCAAGAAGCTCTGTTGAAGCTATTTACAGGAGGATTTCATCTTAATGTGGGTTAGAACTTTTAATCAATTATGGCTGTTCAAAAATTGAAGAGGCTGTCTGATACAGAGGAGGTGCTTAGCAAATAAGTAGAATATTGAATGAGCTGTGAACACTTGAATTTTCCTATCACCAGGAAGTACTCAAGTCAACTTAGACAGGCTTATTGAAACACTGTAAGAAGTGTTTCATGATGAACCATTGAAAAATTTCCAAGAGTTATTGCACTGTACTTTTACTATATATATGTGTAAAATACACATGCACACATGTATTTTGAGCTATATAGATCAGATTATATAAGAAGTATAAAATAATATATATTTTGTTATATATAATTTTGTATATAAAATAACATATATTTTATGTTATATATAATTTTATATATAAAATAACTGATTTTTTCCAGGTCATAATTCTTTCCCTTTTTTCTTGTTTGAAGAACAGTCAACTGTGAATATTATCTAAGATATTATTTTTCTTACTTTCAGCACTAGGGCTGTTTATACCTTTTCAGTTCCCTTAAACAAGTCTTCAGGGTAATTCTGGCTGCTATTGACAACTAAAGTACCTACATGATGGGAGCAGATTAGAAAAAGTAAATAGTTTGGAGAGGAAAAAAAATCCCATATTTTCTCCTCAAAGTTAGAGAAAAAGAAAATTATGCAAAAAGGGAAAATATGTAAGTCTCATAATTTTTAAGACTAACATATATGACAATTTATAAAATTATCTCTTTGAATATAGCACATTATGTCGCTTTATTGTTCATCCAACTTATCAAAACATCACAAGTTATATAGGAAAGGTACTACCAATTATTATGATGTGTCCCTCAGTATAGGCAAATACTAACCTTGACATGTAGTGGTAATCTTGATACTATCTTTGAGATAAACCGTATGTCCTGAAAGAAACTTGTCTATACAAGGTCAGGATAATATTACAGACAGGCACAATGGAGGTATAATTAGAGATAGATGAGGTGACAAAAATTACAAAGTCTCAAGCAAGACAAGTTTATTTCTCCATCATATAAGAGCGTGGAGAGAGTCCTGGGAGAGTAGGTGACTGCTCGAAAAACATATTCAGCCAACCATGTTCCAACTGATACTTTGCAGTCTGTGCCTGGATCACCTGGAGGGTTTTTCTTTTAAAACACAGTGCTGGGTCCCAACTCCAGAGTTCCTGACTGAACAGTTCAGGGGTGGGGCTTGAGAATTTGCATTCTCAAGTTTTCGGGGGAAGCTGTTGCTGCTGGTCAGGGAAGTACACTTGAAAATGCACTACCCTATGGTGCTGTCCTCATCTGGACCAGCCCATGGGAAAAGAAAAACAGAAAAAGATATGATCTGGAGATAATGCACACTTTTTTGCTGAGATTCTTTTAGGCAGATCAGAGTCAAATGGCCTCACCTATCTCCAAGAAAAATAAAAATGCAGCAGCTTCCATTATTAAAGGGAAGAAGAAATCATTCCAATATTGAGTCTTCTGACATGTGAACAAGATATAGCTCTCCAGTTATTAGGGTTTTCTGTAATTCTCTCAGCAATGTTTTGTGGTTTTCGGGTACAAGTCTTTCACATCTTTTATCAGATTTATTTTTAAGTATTTCATAGTTTCGGTGGTATTACATGTGGTATTTTTAATTTTTGAGTGTTTCTTACACATATAGAAATACAATTCAATTGTCATTCTCTTCAAATTGATCTAAAGATTTAATACAAATCCAATTAAAGCTTAGCAGGTCTCTTTTTGGGTCAAAATTGACAAGCTGATTCTAAAATTCATGTGGAAAGGCAGAGGACCTAGAATAGTCAACATGAAGAAATTGGAAGGCTAATATCACCTGATGTCGAGATTTATTATAAAGTAATCAGTTATGGAGATGGAATATCTAGTAAAAGCACTGTTGAAGTAGAAATTATCACTATTACTACATCTTTCCTTCTTCTTATTCTACCCTCAGACTCTCAGGGCATGAATACTATGGTTTTATGGACTGAATGTTTGTGTCCCCACCCCCACACCCCCATTTACATGTTGAGGCCCAAAGGGTGGGGTCCTATGATGAGATTAGTGCCCTTATAAGAAGAGGCACCAGAGAGCTTGTTCTTTCTCTCTCTGCCATGTGAGAATACCATGAGAAGCTAGGCTGTCTCCAACTCAGGAAAAGAGACTTCACCAGAAACTGACCATGCTGGCATCCTTGTCTCAGACTTCTGGCCTCCAGAAATGTAAGCAAATAACTTTTTCTTGTTTAAGCCACACAGTCTATGGTATTTTGTTATGGCAGCCCGAGCTAACTAAGACAATGGTAAAGACATAAGGATAGACAAATAGGTCAATGAAACAGAACACAGTACAGAAAAAGACCCACATATACATGGACAACTGATTTTTGACAAAGGTGCAGAGACAATTCAGTGGCGAAAGCATAGTCTTTTCAACAAATGGTGCTGGAACAATCGGACATCTACATGCAAAAGAAACCAAACAAACATCAATCCAAACCTTAAACTATATATAAAAATTAACTCAGAATCCCAAATTGAATCATAAACCTAAATGTAAAGCCTAAAACTCTAAAACTTGTAAAAGAAAACATAAATAAAATCTTTGTGACCTTGGTTAGGCAAAGATTTCTTAGATATGACACCAAAGGTTTGGTCTATAAAACAAAAAGATGGATAAATTAGATCTCATCAAAATTAAAAACTTCTGCTTGCCAAAGGATATTAAGAGAATGCAAAGACAAGCCAGAGACTGAAAGAAAATATTTGCAAAGAATATATCTGCTAGAGAACATGTATCCATTATATACATAGAACTCTCAAAAGTCAATAATATAAAAATAACACAACAAAAAATGGGCAGCAGATAGACTTAACCAAAGAAGATATGTGGATTTGAAACAAGCACATGAACAGATGCTTCATATCATTATTCATTAGGGCAATACTAATTAAAACCATAATGAGATACCACTGCACATTTGTTAGCACTGCTAAAATTAAAAAGATTGATATACCAAGTGTTGACCAGAATGTGAAGGAATGGGAATTCTCATACTATGGTGTTGGGAATGTAAATTGGCATAGCCAGCTTGGAAATGCTTGGCAGTTTCTTAAAAAGGTAAACATACCTTCTCAGAAGACCTAGCCATTCCACTGTGAGGTATTAAAATCATATGTCAATAGATACCCTTTGGCATGATTGTTCACAATAGCCTCAGACTGGAAAAAAATCAAAAGCCTAACAATAAGTGAATGAATAAGCAAATTGTGTCATGTTCATATAATGAGATGCTACTCAGCAACACAATGGGAGGAACTATTGGTAATACAACAACATGGCGATATCTTGAGATTATTATGCTGAATGAAAGAGGTCAGACATAGAGTACATATTGTATAAGTCTATGCTTATAAAACATTAAAAATGAAAATTTATTTCATTGACAGAAGGTAGATCAGTTGTTTCCTGGGGTGAATGTGTGGGAAGGGGTAGACGAGAGGAATTACCAAGGACGTGAGGAATTTTGGATGTGTGGAACATACAGTTGCCCCTCCACATCCGTGAATTCTGCATCAGTGAATTCAACCAACTGTGGATTAAAAATATTTGGAAAAAATTTGTGTCCATATTTAACATGCACAGACCTTTTTCGTCATTATTCCCTAAACAACATAGCCTAACAATTATTTATATAGTATTTACATTGTATCAGGTATTATGAGTAATCCAGAGATGATTTAAAGTATATGGGAGGATGTGCATAGGTTATACACAAATACTACAGCATTTTATATAAGGGAGTAGAGCATTTGAGGACTTTGATACCTGAGGGAGATTCTGGAACCAATCCCCCAATGATACTGAGGGATGACTGTATTGACTCTCTTAAATGTGGTAATTATTTTATGGGTTTTACATATATCAAAACATCAGATTGTATACCTACTGTGTTTATAGTATGCCTATTTTATTATACCTCAGTAAAGCTGGAAAAAGAAAAAAGCATACAAGGAGATAATGGCATATGACGTTATCACAGATTATATATATTTTTAATGCTAGAATTCACTTGAACTAAATGGATATCTGACTATTTTCAACTATTTTTTTAAACAGATTCATGTGCATAAAAGCCTAAGTACGGATGTGGCTCAAGGGATGTTTTAGTTATGTTATCTTCCTGTTACCAAATGGGAAACACATATCTAGAGTAAGAACGATTGAGAGGAAGATATCAGCAGACCAGGATTTCAGTTCCAATTTCCCCAAATGCATGGGGAAATTTATCTGACCATTCTAATTTTGCCACTTGTTAAAATGGCCAAAATAATACTTAACGCAGAGGACATAATGGAAAAAGGAGAAGAAATATCTAGTAAAAGTACTGTTACATTGTTTGAAAAAGGAATTATTACTATCACTACATATTCTTTTCTCCTCCCTTCTCCTTAGTTTTACCAGTCCCTGGAAATCTTTTACCATTCAGCTTCAGTTGGCATCTTTCCTATTTAAAGCAAAATGTGTTGAGTCGGCAGATTTGACTGACTTCTAAAGCCTCTAGTGACTTGAAGCTGACAAACTCTTAACTCTTTTTGGCCCAGAAACTGAAGCTAAGGGATTTGTCAGTTTCAAGTTGCTTTTGAGGCTACTGTGGCTTTTCCCCAAGCTTGGTCTTGCCATAGTGGCAGATTGATTGAAGAGTGAGTGAATTAGTGTTTATGTCTAAGCTGAAGCTTTGACTAAAGATTAGCTACCGTAAGAAGATTAGGAGGGGAGGAATGAAATGCATTCCTTCACAGATGGGGATGTTAGGATTTTCCAGAGGTGTCTATTTAGGGCGAGCCATTTTGGCTGTCTGTCAGTGCCCAGCACAGGGACTGCCCACCCATGAGACGCTTGCATAGGTGCTTCAGAAAAATAGCATCGGCATGTCCCTAAGTAACATTACTGTAGCATTATTACCAAGCATGAGGGTATAATGAGCAGCCTATGAGGCTGACAGAACATAGAGGATTATGGGCATTTGTAAAATGCCTCCCCGGTGACGACCTCTCCCTTTCTTACAGGATGGGGGAGTGCTTCAACCAGTAGTATACTGGTAAATGTTTAACAACTGGCTCTGGGGAGTGGGGAGAGCCCTGATTTTTAGTGTTTGCCAATTTCCATGGTTTAAATATTATTGCTATGGCCAATTTTAAGCTTCCAACATATTGTCAGTTGGCTCACAAAATTCCTGAAGATTTAGGTTGGCTCTCAAAAGCTGGTGAAAGCTGGCTCCAGAGCAATACTGGATCCAACAAACCAGCGGGCGAGGCCCACCCATTAAGTAAAGGATAGAGCCATTCTCTATATCTTGCTCCCAGCTCTACCCTGGACACTCAGGGCATGAAGAAATGCCTGTTACGGTTCATGAATTGCCTAAGGTAACACAAGCTCTCAGAGATAGAAATGAAACTTTAAAAATGAAAGCATGGATGTGATACTGTCTTTTTCCTTCTCATCCTTTTTGATTGGCCATCAGTGTGTCTTGTACAGTTTGAGTCATACCAAAGAAGATTTCTCAACTAGCAGGATCAAAGTTCTTTTTAAAGAGTTGATTTTTTTTTTTTTTCCGGAGCTAAAATGGTCTCCCCAGCTGCTAAGAAAAGAGGAAACTGTGGTGTTTTCTCTGGAACTTTCCCCAAGCACTCTAGTTTTCAGTGGGGTCAGTGTGATACCATTCCCTAAGAATGTTTTGGAAATTCACTGGGAAGATGTTTAATCATCCCAGTGATTTTAGGTTTCACAATGGCTTGGCTATTAACAATAGCATGCGAGAAGGCAGGAATGCTAAGGATCTTGTGGAGCATAGGACAGTCTCACACAAAGAAATGTCCTGTGTTCTGTACAACTTCAAATGTTCCCCCCAGCCATTCTTGCAGGTGAAAAAAGCCACTTACAATTTTCTAAGCTTGCAATATAACTTCATTTTACCTATGGACATGATAGGCCCTTGTACCGCCTAAACATACATGAAATTTTTTAAGAATGCAGCTGCCGTGTAAACTGAAGGGAAACTACCTGACACTTTGTTGAGAACATTATTGAGCATGACATCATGTTTAAGGGTTATCCCCCAGTTTGGAAAAGCATATCATTGCCAATAAGATGACCCAGCATTGGTAGCTGTTACACATTCAAGGTGATTTTAAGTAATAGGAATATAGTTATTAATTACCCTTTGTTTAAAAATGTCAAATATAAATTGTCTCTTAAATGCAAAGATTTATTACAAATAAATGCAAGCACGTGACTGCTTCCTTAAGTCTTTGGACGTAATTGTGTTTGAATATTTTCCTTTTGAAATACATATAATGTTATTATATTTAATTGGTTTACTATCTGCTCAGACTACTCAGAAAATCCTCAACCTCTCTCTTCTCCTTATTCCTCAGGGTCATTCATTTAAGTTCTGTTGGTTCTATTTCCTAATTTTGCCTTCTCTTGTTTATACCAATGCTACCTTAGTTCAGGCTCACACTCTTTCTTGCTTGACTATTCCAAAGTCTACCTTCATTGTACAATTCCTTACTGTACAGTCTTTTATCATCCCAGTCCATTCTCCACATAAATGTTAAAGTGATCTTCCTAAAACACAAGTCAGGGAGTGTTATTTCCTCACTGAAAACATCACTGGGTCCTAGCTGAATAGAGAATGAAACCCAGACTTCTCAGAATGGCACATATGACAATCACTGTTGATCTTCATCGGCCTTCAAGCCATGTGTCAGCCACAGTGACCAGGCCACCCATGCCATTCATTTGTTTAGGTTTGAGCATGCTATTGTCTTTGTTTGAGGAATCTTTCTCCTCCCTCCTGTCAGCCTGGAGAATTTCATTCATTCTTTCTGACTCAATCCAAGTTTCTATTCCAAAACTCACCGACTTGAATGGTTTCAAGTGATCTGTGTAGTCATCTTTATTATGATGCTTAGTGTACTCTATTAGAACAGGCCTATGACCACCAGGCACGACCTGAGCCCATTGCCCACCCCTAATTTGTCTATATGAGAAGACTGGGAAGTGGGGGAAAGAAAGACACCAGGATCCTTTGCCTCAAGGGGAGGGCTTGGAATGTAACTTCATTTTACCTATGGACATGATAGGCCCTTGCTTTCCCAGCATGTCAAAGACAAATGAGGAGGGATCCAAGAGGACTTCTTGGAAGAAGAGGACCACCTGCATCTTGACCTCTGCCTGGATGCTTGCTGCACGACAGAATCCATAAGGTCTCTGGGTTGCTTTTATAGTAAAGTGTGCCAAGAGATTTCTTGCCAGAACAGCAGTAATAAATACCATTCATCAAGAGGTTGTTGTGTACGAGCATATTGCTGGTACACAATTTATGACCCACAAAAAAACCTTCTGTGGTAGACATGATGTTCTGTTTTGTAGAGATGAGAAACCTGATGCTTTGTGAAGCTAAGTTACTCTTGGTGACCAACCTGTAAATGGCGAAGGAGATCACTCTGTTCTAGGGCTGCTGAAGTAAACTTCATCCACTTTCTACTATGCCAGGCCACAGAGTTTACAGGGTAGGAGGAAAAAGACCTGGTCATTTTTAAAGATATGCCAATTATATCAAAGTAATGAAACTAAAACTGAGACAAAATAGGCAATCCAGAATTATTACCTTTTGCAATTTTTAAAGCCATTCTATAGCAGGTACAGCAGTATTTCCGTTTCTAGTTTTAGAAAGGACAGTAACTAAATAATATGTTGCTAATGTTGTTATTTTAGTTTGTTTTAAATATTTCTTTCTGGCATGTTTTAAGAATTTCTAATTTCTCCACCATTTCTAGAAAACAGAATATTTGTGTTTTTGAACTAAAAATCATATTCCTCTTCATTTTTTTGTAGATTTCAGAGCACATATACAAATATTTGCTAATTTGTTCCTCACAATCACACTATGCTGGAGAGAGGTGGCTATCAGTATCTTATTTTGCACATGATGAGATCCCGGGTGCAAATCAGAGATATTCAGCAACTCCCTCAAGGTCACACAGTGATCCAAAATAGAGTTGAGACTCAATCTTACATCTTCCCTCTCAAAACCTTCCTTGTCATGACTCACTAGCAACACATATTTTTTATTTACTGAATAAGTATATTTCATGTAGCTATTTATCAGAATTTAGAAGCTGGAAGCTGAGGGTATGCACAAGTTATTTCTGAAATTCCACTTATAAAAATGAGTCTTAATATAAATTACAGTTGCATTACATGGTTGTCATAGCTAAAAGCTATGAGGTTTTCTAATGTTTAAATTTTTGAATAATTAAATGAACAGCAGCATGTACAATGTAAATTCCTTAAATTTAATTAAATGATACCCCTATATAAAGGACTATTGTGAAATGTATGTGTAATGATTAAAGGGTTTAGTACATACAGAGTAATTTTCCCTAGTGCTTAAAAGGTCACCAGAAAGAAAAAAGTGACAAATATGCTGTTTTAAGCTTTTTTTTTTTTGCCACTTTAAAAATGTCACAGTGAGTGAAAGGAAAAAGCTGCCCGATAGCAGATGAATGGGTATTGACAGCTGCACCAGTGTTAAATGCTGCATGGCAGAAAAATCTAGTGAAGAAAAAACAAACTGTATTCACGTTTCCATATTGCTTTTTATTAAATTTAAGTACAGCGACTTTAACTTTGATTTATATCTGAATTTGGTAATGAAGGCAATTTGTTAGACAAATCTATGTACACACAGAAAAGATAGGTATATAATATAGGACATTTTAATCATGCACTAAATATAAAATTATCTTGACAACACATGTGATATTTTATGGTGTCCATATGGTATTGCATATGCAGTTTATAATATACAACTGGTATCTGGATAACATATGATATAGATATAAAGCACACCCTACAAGCTTAGAATTCTATGATTACACGTACACACACACACACACACACACATACATACAGAGACGCGATATTCATGGTTTCTCTGCTTTAAATATACATTTAACCTCTGCACCCATGTATTCATATTATGAAGGGCTCGAGTTACTTCTGGGGGTGTGTGAGATTTCTTTTGGCTTGAACAACTCTTTCCCCAGAAGCCTGGAAAATTCATCATATTGGATAGCCAGGTGTTCTCCATTTGCAAATATTATTACCTTATAGGATTAGAAAACGGCTTAATTATGAGAAAGGGAAAATAAACAATGCAGTCGGCAGAAAATGTCACCATACTCCATAGTCAGGCAGTGTCCTATAGATGGCATTGTCTTTGGGCATTCATAATGCACGGGGTAGGAGGTAACTTTTAAGCTGGAAACCACAGAGTTTCTGCTGGCAGTCTCTAATGCTGTCAGGCTGCCGCACTGGAGCTCTGAAACTAGACTTTTTGCTCTTTGTCATTCTTAAACATGACCATCTTCCTCTGAGGCAGGCCTGACTAATGTTTTTCCTGAATAACCATCGTTCCCAGGAGAAAGTCATCTTCAACATGCAATCTTAATCACCACAAGCAAATTTCTTGTGTATCCGTCTACCCCACTAGACAAGAGCAAAGACCCGTCCTGTTCATTCTTGGATCCCTACCACCACAGTGCAGTACCTGTCATCTAGTAGGTGCTCAACAAATTAATTCAATGAATGAATGAATGATTGCAATAGTATTTCTACCTAAAGTGGAATACCTTTCTGGAGTTCTTTAGTACTGGGGGTAATTTGTTGTACTTTTGTTGCCAGAATCACAAATAAATGAAGCCTGTCTTCAATTTTCATGAGTTTCTCAACTTTAGGAGTCTATTTTTGAAATAACTCTTTCATACTCTGCTGTCACAGTTGGCTCTGGTAACAATACTCCTGCAAAGATGATGTTTCTCCTTGTGCTTGGGGCGTTTGGTTAGGCAGATTAAGAAAAAGACTTGAAGAATGAACAAACATCACCTTAAGCTACATAGTTATAATCCATAAGAAAATAGTGAATAGTGCTAATGGAAAATACCTGAACTTTGGAGTTTTAATTTATTTTAACTTTGCAAACATCTGCAGTGTAAACTAATATCAAAAAAATTACATGAACAAAATTACTTTGTTGTATAATTAGAATATTCTACCAGCATACATAAATTTTGAAGTGAATGCTGTCATTTTTTTTTTATTTTTTTAATGTTTTTTTTTTTTTTTAATTATACTTTAAGTTTTAGGGTACATGTGCACATTGTGCAGGTTAGTTACATATGTATACATGTGCCATGCTGGTGCGCTGCACCCACTAACGTGTCATCTAGCATTAGGTATATCTCCCAATGCTATCCCTCCCCCCTCCCCCGACCCCACCACAGTCCCCAGAGTGTGATATTCCCCTTCCTGTGTCCATGTGATCTCATTGTTCAATTCCCACCTATGAGTGAGAATATGCGGTGTTTGGTTTTTTGTTCTTGCGATAGTTTACTGAGAATGATGGTTTCCAATTTCATCCATGTCCCTACAAAGGACATGAACTCATCATTTTTTATGGCTGCATAGTATTCCATGGTGTACATGTGCCACATTTTCTTAATCCAGTCTATCATTGTTGGACATTTGGGTTGGTTCCAAGTCTTTGCTATTGTGAATAATGCCGCAATAAACATACGTGTGCGTGTGTCTTTATAGCAGCATGATTTATAGTCATTTGGGTATATACCCAGTATTGGGATGGCTGGGTCAAATGGTATTTCTAGTTCTAGATCCCTGAGGAATCGCCACACTGACTTCCACAATGGTTGAACTAGTTTACAGTCCCACCAACAGTGTAAAAGTGTTCCTATTTCTCCACATCCTCTCCGGCACCTGTTGTTTCCTGACTTTTTAATGATTGCCATTCTAACTGGTGTGAGATGATATCTCATAGTGGTTTTGATTTGCATTTCTCTGATGGCCAGTGATGATGAGCATTTTTTCATGTGTTTTTTGGCTGCATAAATGTCTTCTTTTGAGAAGTGTCTGTTCATGTCCTTTGCCCACTTTTTGATGGGGTTGTTTGTTTTTTTCTTGTAAATTTGTTTGAGTTCATTGTAGATTCTGGATATTAGCCCTTTGTCAGATGAGTAGGTTGCGAAAATTTTCTCCCATGTTGTAGGTTGCCTGTTCACTCTGATGGTAGTTTCTTTTGCTGTGCAGAAGCTCTTTAGTTTAATTAGATCGCATTTGTCAATTTTGGCTTTTGTTGCCATTGCTTTTGGTGTTTTGGACATGAAGTCCTTGCCCAATTTTTTGTTTTTAAAAATATATTTTGTGATGGATGAATAATAATCACACCTGGAAACAGTTTTATAAATAAAAAATTAAATTGCATAAAATTATATTCAAAGGTGCTATTGAGTGTCAGAATTGGTTAGAAAAGATTATTATTTAGACCCTAAATACAAGCTTATGTGTTTACTAGATGTATTTATTTTTTCACAGCCAAATATGCTGTAATTTAAATGCGTAGAAACGGCATTAATGCATTCTGAGCTATGGTCATTTTTGTTGTTTTCTATGACAGTAATGCCTCTAACTCTATTACCAAATAAATCTCCCCCTAGATTTTGTAGATCTCTTGAGCTATGTGTTGACACCAAAACAAGCATATGAAAAACCAAAACCCTGTCAATCTATTAATGCCTATGTGATGTCAACCCATAGCCTCAACTCATTTTTCCTCACTGAATTGACTGATTTTTCAAATGGAGTCAAACAAATATCCAACTATTTAGTTTCCTATTACACACTTGTAAGACTGAGGATGACTGAAAAATTATCTACTCCATGGCTTCCCATTCCAAGTTTTAATGGAGACTGGTAGTCCACTACATGTATTTACCTTACTGGCCCAGCCACTTGATGTCATGTTGGTCTGCACCCCCGTAAAGAGTATCTACCCACGATGTTCTTAGGAAAAACGTAAAGATCATATTTCTGAGTTAGGTAAAATAATGAAATTGTTTGGTGTTTTCTAACCTCCACTTCTGGACCAGTAAGGCTAATGTCTGTTTCCAAGGGGAGTAGCAGCAAGGCTAATTATTTATTACCCCTTCTTCCAGAAGGAGTCGAAACTCAACAGCTTTGCTCCCTATACTTCCCCTTCTCTCTATCACAACTGGAATGGTCTATAGAGAAATTAGACAGCTGTAAATGAACATCTGTCAATGTTCTGTTCATTTGATCCTGCCAATGGACTAACTAAAGACACATCTCTTACTAAAAAGGCTTAAAATATGTAGATTTATATTGTTGAGTGTATGATAGTTGAAGAGGCTTATTCAAATCCATGAAGACTTCTGTGTTGTTGAGTTAGACCAGAGAGAGTTTATTTTGGGGAGATTTCCCGCAAGGGAAGCTTGTGGTTGGGAGAAGCATATTAGCTCAGGGTGGTTGTCCTTTGGGAGTAGGCCACTTAATCTGAGGGAATTTGGGAAGGGTAGACTATAAATCCCTAAATTAGAATTTGGCTGGAATACTAGGATCAATACCTCTCTTTTTAATAAAATTACCAAGGGACTGTTAATAATCCCTGAAGTCTGACCAAGAGCCAGACTTATAGAGGGCTTATTACTTACTAAAACTCTGACTACATAAAACCAATAAGTGAACCATTCTTTATTTAATTGGCTTTGCTTGCCAATCATAATGGCCATTTGGACTAGCCACATGGTCAATAGGTTCTGTCTTTAATCTGAATATTTCAGATTGACCCTTTTCCACTCTTTTGTCTTTAAGCAGGTGAACACAGTGGCCTAAGAGTGACTTCCACTTGTTTAGTTGGATTTTCCAAGTGGCCTAAATTATTTGTCAATAAATTGATTAGCACTATTGGGAGTCACAGGAACTCTTGAGTGATCAGGAGACTATATGGTTTCTGGAAGCCATAACCTGAGCCCAGGGAATAAATGAAGTTCTGAGAGTAATTTAGGAGCTAAGAAAATTTAGTACATCAGATAATAACTTACTCAACAGTACCCTGGAGGTTTGAAGAGTTAATGTAATTTCTGAACCTGTGTAAGTTATTGCCAGGGAGTAGCTTCACATGGATGGAAGAGAATTCAATGTACCATCATAATCTTTTACAGTATCTGGGTTCACCTTTGACATCTATTTTGGACTTGCTTCATCTCTAGTTTTAAGTTTATGAAATGTGGGCTTCTTGGTAGCATTTTTAATCACCTCACCACCTTAGAAATCCTTTCCCATTCATACTATCTTCTCAGAATTTATAAAATAGATTTCAGAATTCACTATAATAAATTCCTTGCTCTAAATTTCATTTGGATTCTAATTATTTTCCAAGTAGAAATGGTCACTGGTTTTTAGTCATATCAACTGTCTCTGAAAAGTTTCCTTTGAAATATCTCATTGTTAGAAGCAATTTTAAGAATATATTTTAAAAGATATGAGATACATGAGTTGCATGAGATATACAAGTTTTGTGTATTCCCAATCTGTATTTTAATACCACATATACTTCATATATATACTATGTGTATATAATACTACATATTTTTATACTACATATATAGTAGATGCAGTGTACATCAAAACACATAGTAACGTTTTTTTTTTTTTCTGGGGAGAAAGCAGGAGAATTGGACTAGTATGGGAAATAGAAGGAACTTTATATGTGGAAGGTTTTATTTCTCTCAAAAAAGTATCACAAAATGTTAGCATTTATTAAAACTGTATAGTAGATATATATGTGTTTATAATATCATTCTTTGCACTTCTCTATATTCTTAAGAAATTTTCAGTAGAAGAAAATGATTTAGAATGTTTTCCTTCATGATGCATTCTTAATGAACTCTTTCTTGGAATTAATTTTCGTTTAAATTCTTAAATTTTTGTACTTTTTTCTTCTTTAAAATCAGAAAGTTACTTTGGCATTGTTTAAAGAATGATGAAAATCTCATTTAGATCTGGGTTGAAAAATCCTTTCTAATTCATCAAAGCATTTATATTTTTTTAAACATTAATTTAAGTCTGTCCCTCAGACTGTCACATCTTTCTTAAGGGGTTTCTCATAGTCTTTTGACTACTCCATCTGCTCTTCTAAAAGGAGAACATCAAACTAGTTTGTTTGACGTGACACAATTAGATCTCAGATGCTCAGTTGCCTGACCATTTGTAAAAGCATTTTCTAGAAATTAGGAATAGACCAAAGAACTTCTGACTTTCTCTAAGGCCTTTATTTAGTTGATTTTCCATCACTTTGGTTTGTATTTCTATTCAACATCTTCAGTTGAAAACAAATAATTTTTGTTCAGGGTCCTTTTTCCCAAATAGCACTCCCATTGGTAATTAATCAGTGGTTATTTCTCCTCCTTTTCCACCTTTTTCTTTATCTTTTTGTTGAATTGTGTACTTTAGCATTAATGGCATCTAGCCCATAGTCAAAAGATGTGCTTCCTGAGTTTTAAAAATTGTGTTGGCTTGGGAAAACAATGCATGAAAAAAATGAACACACATATATTTAGTTAGACACATAATAGCTATGTCATCTAGAGAGGTGAGGAGGTCAGCCACCTTCCCAACAGAGTCTCAGGATGGCAATACTTTGGTGTGGTTACCACATTTTAGGTCGAATAACTCAACTTTGACAGCTTAGTCATATGAACAGACTTGATTTATTCCAACTCACAAAACACTGATGTATAAGCCAGTTGCCAATTTATTAATTTATTCTGAGAAAGCTATGAAGTGATGCCAATGGTTCCTTCATTCCTTTCTTGTAGGGAAAAAAAGAAAACATAAAAAATAAGGCCATGGGCCAGGTGCGGTGGCTTACTACTGTAATCCCAGGATTTTGGGAGGCAGAGGAAGGTGGATCACCTAGGTCAGGAGTTCAAGACCAGTTTGACCAATGTGGTAAAACCCTGTCTCTACTGAAAATACAAAACATTAGCCGGGCATGGTGGCGAGTGCCTTAATTCCAGCTACTCGGGAGGCTAAGGCAGGAGAATTGCTTGAACCCGGGAGGCGGAGGTTGCCGTTTGCACTCCAGCCTGGGCAACAAGAGCGAAACTCCATCTCAAAACAAACAAAAACAAATAAACACAAAAAGAAATAAGACCATGACCAGGAAACTTGGTAATTATGGTATTAGAGCAAGAGGGGTTGGTTGAATGGCCTTGATCTGAAACATCCCTCTCTGAGACCAAGCGGTTTGGACGGCTCACACCATTTGGCCAGAGTGCTGTCTACCCTGGACTATCCTGAGTAAACCTTAAGAAATCCTTCCTGTTTCTAGGCTTTTTTTTTTTTTTTTTTTAAATGGAGTCTCGCTCTGTCGCCCAGGCTGGAGTGCAGTGGCGCGATCTCGTCTCACTGCAAGCTCCGCCTCCTGGGTTCACACCATTCTCCTGCCTCAGCCTCCCCAGTAGCTGGGACTACAGGTGCCCGCCATCACGCCCGGCTAATTTTTTGTATTTTTAGTAGAGACGGGGTTTCACCGTGTTAGCCAGGATGGTCTCAATCTCCTAACCTTGTGATCTGCCCGCTTCGGCTTCCCATCTAGGCTTCTTGATGTTGTTTTTTCAGACTGGCTGAAGTAGAACTGAGCATGACCATTTATTTATATTAATAGTTTAGATGATGGATATGAAACACTCAGCATCAGGTATCGAGGAATAAATGTTGCTTGCTGGTGCTAGGGAGTCTACATCTTAGTGGCAAAAGCTTGGGCTCTGCAGACAAAGCTCAGATTTGAATTCCAGTTCTTCCCCTTCAAGTTGTATGGCCTCGAACAAGTTACTTATCCTGTTTATGCTTTACTTAGGGATAAAATGGGGAAAATAATTGCACCAATCTTATAGGATTGTTGAAGATTAAAAGAGACGAAGCACAATGGCACTGAGTGTGCATTTAATATTGCTAATTTTCGTTGAGATTACACTAGTCAGTCATCATTGGTCTTTTGTTCCTTTTAAAACTCATCTATCACTCATAGTTTTTCTCTTCGGTAATTATGCATCCATCTTGTCATGCATTTCTTGTTGATGCTGAAAATATTTTTTCCTCTGGATTTGCTAAGTTCCGGTATGGAGATGTTAAAAAATAAATGTAGGCACATTAAAATTTTAACAGGTTTATTTGAGCATTCAGTGACTTACCAACCGAGCAGTGCCAGACCGTGAACAGTTCAGTGTTCCACTGGGGGGGTGGAGGTGGGCAAGAGAGAAAACTTTTACAAGGTGTTTGCCAAACCAAGACAAAGAAAATACATTTATTGGTGAAAGTGGAAAGTCCCTAGTTGGAGGTTAGTTGGCAGTTTCTGGTTAGTTCAGCTTAAGTGTTGTTTTACTGTTTACACTGGAGTTTGATTTGGTTTGCTCCTATAAGAACCCAAGGCATTGGAGCTGTCTCAGCCTAATGGCTTCCCAATTAACTTTTTTTTCTAACAGCAACATACCAACTACATATTCTATAGGTTATTGTTGTAATAAAATAAGACTCCCAGCAAGGTAACTTGACTCATTTAATGTTATGAATGCTCCTTATTATAAAGCAGGATAATTGGGGAAATGCTTAGAAGCTTACAACATGAGACAATCATTTCAGTGGTTTTTACAGAGCCAGATGGATAACCTCATTCGTTCTCTAGCAGTTAATGAATAGCATCGATATTTTCCTGAGGCAATATGTTTTCATCTTCATTGTTATTGTCTATATACCCATAAAGATTTAAAGATAAATATTCTTTTCTTTTCCTTTTTTTTTTCTTTTCTTTTTTTTTCTTTTGAGATGGAGTCTCACTCTGTCGCCCAGGCTGGAGAGCAGTGGTGTGATCTCAGCTCCTGGCAACCTCTGCCTCTCCGGCTCAAGCGATTCTCCTGCCTCAGCCTCCTGAGTAGCTGGGATTACAGGCATGCACCGCTGCAGCCGGCTAATTTTTGTATTTTTAGTAGAGACGAGGTTTCATCATGTTGGCCAGGCTCGTCTTGAACTCTGGGCCTCCAGTGATCCGCCCGCCTCGGTCTCCCAAAGTGCTGGGATTACAGGCCTGAGCAACCATGCCCGTCCTTAAAGATAAACATTCTAGATCAAAATGAGCTGGAATCCACTTGCCCTTTTTGGCCTTCCTGCATTCTGCCTCCTGCAGTCCTCTCCTGTGGGTCCTCTTCTCTCAAAGGTCCCTTCCCAGACTGTAGAGTCGCACAGCTCCAGGGACACCTTTCACATTGCATTCTATGTTTATAACGCTCCCTGGAGCTGCTGTGCCTCAGGGTTGCCCTGAGGGTGGCAGCTCAGTGGCAAGTGCATCCTGCTTTCCGCCTCCCATCTTTCTACCTACCTCTTGATTGGCACCTGAGGCTTGTGGCCCAAGCCCTGGAGCTGTCACTGACAATCTGAGCTACTGTAGGAAAAGGGGAGACATGAAGCAATTAAACATCACATCTCTGGTGAAGAGTGAGAAACTGGACATAGCCACAGTTTCTGCGTGCCTCACCCGACCCTCCCCGTCCCCGGCCCATACCTTGAACTCCGGTCTTTACGTTTTTTGTGTTTGTGTAAATTTGAGCTCAAAAGATAATTTTAGGGGCTAAAATGAGAGATTTACCTAACCTCTGGGCCAGTAGCCTACTTGAATAGATTCAGTCACTCTGACCCTGAAACAATCAATATTTTCAAAAAGGGGCAATCTATTTGACAGCATCTTGAGCTTCATTGGTATGACGGCCATGGTGAAGAATGATGAACCCAGGCACAGGGGAGGGGCCAGGCGAAGTAGGAACCATCTTTGTGTCTGCAGTGTTTGCAAGTCTTGGAGCAGAGGGGGAGGGATTAGCCTTAAGGAGTGGGTAGAGTGAGGGAGAGAGAAAGGGGCAGCCAATTGGTGCGATCTGTGATGCCTCAATCTGTGATGCTTGAACAGTCTCTTTCAAACTCCTGAGTTCTTGGGGAGTTGGTCTCCTGTGGTTGTAGCCAAGGTCTCTCTCCTCTAGGACATGAGGATCCTCAAGAAGGTGCCAGAAGGGAGGCATCTCATCCAGCCTCATAAAGCTATGAGGATGGCTATAACATGACATCACGGGTAAGAAGACAGCCCTGTTCCCTACATATTTCTCCTGCTTTGCTCACTGATTACTGAAACTTTTTTTTTTTTTTTTTTTTTGACAGAAGCAAAGGCTTTCACTTTCTGGAGTGAAAAGAGAAAGGGAACATGGACATGCTCCTTGAATGGTTAATCACCCTGCCCCCCACTGATGCCTGTGTGACCCAAGCTTTCCTCCTTCCTTGCTAGTCACTTGCCCCAAGACTTCTACACATCAACTCCCCGCTCTGGAGTCTCCTCTGTTGTCATAAACCATTGGGTTGTCCAGAATCTTGGCTCTCAAAACATGGTCCATGAACCAGCAGTATTAGCATCACCTATGAATTTGTGTCCAACTTAGACTACTGAGTCATAATCTTCATTGTAACATGATATGCAGATGATTTGTAATTTGTATGAACATTAGAACGTTAAAGTTTGAGAAGGTCTGGCCTGAAACACTTCTTCATATCAAGCCTTAACTGAAATCTGATTTATAATGGTAATCATGATTTATAATGATACCATGATTTATAGTGGGGGTAATTATCACTATACTTTTAAATAGTACATGTGTTAGTTAATTTTATCATGTTTTCAGCAAGTGCCTACTGTATTCCAGGTACTACAAGTGCTGCAAATTGGGGATATAAGAATAGTATCCCCACAGAGCTCACGGTGTAGCAGGCTTATGAAAACAAAACAAAACACTCAAACAAAAAAAATCACAAAATTGTATTTCAAGCTGTACAAAGCTATGCCCTCTAATTAATGCTATATTTCTCTCTTCACGTCTTTCACTTTTCTCCCAGAATCCATGTATTCTGTGAGAAAAAAATCTGACTTGAAATGTTACCCTCTTTCCACTTCTTTTCCATTTCAATGCTGTTGTTGCATTGCTGGCACAAGCCTCTAGAAGTAGTATTCTCAGGCCCAATTGGAAAGGCAAATCAACAATTTTTTAAAAATTGGATTTTAAGAGAGCATTTGTGTTCCATTTTCTCAGATGACTTTCTATGTATGTATCTCATCTTCAATTAGCAATGCTTCTGCCATTATTACAGGGCATATTCTGGAATTTTTCTTGTTTTGGTTTTGTTTCTGTTGTGGGGTAGGGAGAAAAGGAATGATTGAACATGTTTATTAAATGCAGCCAAGCTTGTTTAGGTTTTGGAGATACCAGAAGGTTATGTTTTGTAAAATATAATTGACACTAGCATCACAGGGCATGGGCTCCAAGGATAACATTACATCAGGACCTTAGTGTGTTTACATGAGCATAAAAGAGCTGGTTCTGGTGAATCAGGAAATGATTTGGAAAGAGTAGTGCAAAGAGGCTAAATCTTCCATGGGAAGATGCTGCTGCTTCTGTTGCCAGGGCTGCTGCAGTTCTTTGAAGTCAAAATCTGTAACTGATTTGAGTTTAGGTCTCTTGATCAATATCAGATAATACAAAAAACCTGATTTTCTTATCTTATGGGAATTTATGGCATCTCCCCTAGTCTCGAGATCACTTCCTAGCATGTATTTCAAGATAGTTTTTTGTATATGATCTTATACCATTTTGTATATGATCTTATTCCACCATTTTGCTTTTCCCAGAACTGAATACTGATATAGTTACTAACACAGCACTCAATGAAATTTCCAATATTTTGGCTTCTCTTCAGTAGTTTTTGCCTTCTTTGACTTTTACTGCCTTTGTTGGCTAGAGTTTTAGCTGGCACCGTGCTGACCCAGCAGGTCACTTCAGTTTGGAAAAGAGTGAGTAGCATTTGTGTTGCTTACTCAGCATGTTATTTCTCTTTGGAGCAAAGTGCAATGGCTTCTGGTCAATTTTTGAATTGATTTTAGGATGGTTTTAATGATTTATAAAGGAGCATTTAATCCCATACATCTAGGCTTTATTTGCCTCATGAAATCAGCTACTACATGAAATTGTCTAAGGTTATATAGTTCATCCCCTAAAAACAAACACACAAAATTACTCCTTGGAGAAGAGTTGGTGTCAATTTCTGCTTATAATCAAAGCTTCATATGTGGTCATTTGACTTTTCAAAAATTGAATTTCAGGCATTTCATCTTTCAAAAATAATATATTTCAAAAGATAAAAAATATAACTTATATAAGTACAAAATGAACATGCATCAAACAAATCATTTGTGTTTCTGCTGAATATAAATCTGTAAGTTAGCATGTAACTTCACGTGGGTTATAATCAATGGCAAATAGTAAGTCAAGCACAAATACATTCTTGCAGAGAATAAATAGGTTTTGGGTGGGCCTATTAGAGAATGCTATGTTGTGACAGTGAGAAGATTAGGGGTCATTCTTTTGCTTTATTTTCAAGTTTTGGATAATTTTTCTTAACAATCCTCCTTTGTCCCAATAATAAATAATACCTGAAGATTATTCTTGATCACATGAGAGGTTAGTTACATTGTGTTTTGTCCCTGTTCATTTATATTGATGCAGCAAGATATGAGAATTTTCATACATAGGCCTCTTTGGAGTATAGTCAACAAATCTAGAGCCATGTGGTATTGAGAGAATTAACTTCTATCTGGTCACCTCTGGGTCTCCAGTTACACATATTTATACAATTCGATATTGTTCTACAAGTTCTTGAGGCTTTGTTTACTTTTTTTCCCAATCTTTTATTCTCTTACTGCTTCACATTGACTAATTTCTGTTGTCTGTCTTCTAAGTTTGCTGATTCTGTTTGTAAAAAATAGTTAAGGGCATAAAAATTCAGCACAAAGTAGATAAAGTTATTTTGGTGAGATACAGAATCCTGTTACCTGGGCAGATAACAGAAAACATGAAGAATACTTTTTTTACTATCTCTTATTAAGAGCAGACAAATTACTCTAAGAATAATTTTTCATTTTCAAAGTGAGAAACCTAATTCTTAGCCTTTCATTAAAGCATTATATTTGGAGTTAGTATATCAAACTAAGCAAACTTTGCTGATTTTCTTTTTACATATTGCATTTCTTCTTTTTAATTTTTTAAAACTATAGATTCGGGGTGTACATGTGCAGATTTGTTGCATGGGTATATTGTGTAACGGTGGGGTTTGGTCCTCTAGTGAACCCATTGCCCAAATAGTGAACATGGTACCCAATAGGTAGTTTTTCAACCCTAACCTCTCTCCTTCTTCTCCCCATTTTGGATTCCCCTGTGTCTATTATTTCCATCATTATGTCCATGTGTACCCAATGTTGAGCTCTCACTTAAAAGCAAAAACATTTGGTATTTGGTTTTCTGTTTCTGCATTATTTCACTTAGGATAATGACCTTCAGCTTCATTCATGTTGTTGAAAAGCACATGATTTCATTCTTTTTTTAATGGCTGTGTATACGTATACATATGTATGGTGCATATATACCACATTTTATTTATCCAATCCACTGTTGATGGACATGATTTTGATATTGTGAATAGGGCTGTGATAAGCATATGAGTGCAGATGTCTTTTTCATAAAATGATTTCTTTTCCTTTGGGTAGATACCCAGTAGTGGGTTTGCTGGGGTCCGTGGTGGTTCTAATTTTAGTTCTTTGAGAAATCTCCATACTGTTTTCCACAGTGGTTGAACTAATTTATATTCCCACCAACAGTGTATAAGTGTGTTTCCTTTTCTCTTCATCCTTGCCAACATCTGCTATTTTTTGACTTCTTAGTGATAGCCATTCTGACTGGTGAGATGGTATCTCATTGTGGTTCTAATTTGCGTTTTTCTGATGATTAGTGATGTTGAGCATTTTTTCATGTTTGTTGGCCTTGTGTATGTCTGCTGAGAAGTGTCTGTTAATTTCGTTTGTCTACTTTTTAATGGGGTTGTTTTTTATTGATTTTTTAATAGATTCTGAATATTAGTTCTTTATCAGAGGCATAGCTTGCAAATATTTTCTCCCATTCTGTAGGTTGTCTGTTTACTCTGTTGATTGTTTATTTTGCTGGCAGAAGCTCTTTAATTTAATTAAGCCCTATTTGCCTATTTTAAATTTTGTTGCATTTGCATTGGCTGTCTTAGTCATAAATTCCTTGCCTAGGCCAGTGTCCAGAATAGTTTTGCCTAGGGTTTGTTCTAGGATTTTTTTATAATTTCAGGTCTTAAACTTAAGTCTTTAACCTATCTCGAGTTAATTTTTGTGTTCAGTGACAGGTAGGAGTCCAGTTTCATTCTTCTGGATATGGCTAGCTAGTTTTCCCAATACCATTTATTGACTAGGGTGTCTTTTCCTCATTGTTTATTTTTGTCGACTTTGTGGCAGATCAGTTGGTTGCAGGTGTGTGGCTTTACTTCTGAGTTCTCTGGCCTGTTCCGTTGATCTGTGTGTTTATTTTTGTACTGGTGCAATGCTGTTTTTGCATTTCTTTTTAGACATTTTTTGCAGGTATTCAAAACCAAAGCAAATAACATTGACTTTCCATAGCCTTCTACAACTTTCTATATCCATTTAAGTTTTGTCTTTCATTAATTTCTTCCAAATTCTCAAACAAGACACTTCAAAACAAAACCATTTTCCTTTTCTTTTGAAAAAAAAATCTCTCTCTCACACACACATCTCATTTTCTTATGCGTTTCTTATGCATTTCTTATGCATATTATTCTAGTATAGCATCAACAACTCAGCATTAACAAAGCAACTAACTCCTATTCATCAGAACAACATTGAAGGTAGGTAAATGTCAACTGTCTGTTATATACAAGCACTATGGCAAACTACAAAATACGTGAGTACATGCAACCTCTACAGCTACACACTCCCTTTTATACCTTCTTAAAGTAGCGCAAATGAATACATTTGTTGACAGAGCTCAGAGGCATAGATTCCCTAAAATGTGTAAAAATAAGAAACAAAAGTACATACTGTGTATTAAAACTATGCGTACTTAGAAACTGAAGATATACAAGAATTTTCCATCAATTAACTCAATTTATTATTAGTATTTTTGTCTAAAACTTAAAAAATGATCTTGGAAAATCAGTTTTAACTGACACAGTACGGGACATAATAACTCTTGATATAAAATGCTTATCAGAATTATAATTCTATTTCACCGAACATATAATTTTATATTTTCCTCAATTAAAAAATGTATGAGAGGAATAGTGGCTTATCTGAACTTATAAAGCAGTTAAAAAGTCTAGGAACTTCAGATTCCTAGTTTCTTAGTGAGCAGCAAATACAGTTAAAAAAGTATTTTTTTATTATACTCCACATTGATAAAATTAGGAAAAAGATGCAAAGCTCTTTTTAAGCAAAATCATGAAAATTCATTTTGATTTGTCCAATGATATTCACATTTATTACATGAACTTGGATGCTTCTATAAAAATGCTTCTGAGTTGGCAGTTTCTGTAAAAGGTTTTGTTTTTGTTTTTTAAAGGCTAACACACTCAGGACTAGAAGTTCAGTTTCTTTATTTTATAAGAATTCTGTAAACATTAAATTTATGTGGTTCTTATTGTTCTCTATGAACCAAGCAGAACAGAGCTTCTTTAATTTAAGAGGTTTTATAGCTTAATGTATTAATACCCTCCAGAGGTAGGAAATATTTCATGCACACACAATAAAAAGGAAATGCCTTTCTCAATTATTGACACAGAGACACACGGAGAGCTTGCTGCTTCAATTCTACAACTACAGACAAAGGTCTAAAGTAAACAGAAAAATAAAATTTACTGGTAACCTCAAACAAATTTTCTCTTTTCCAGTGGGCATAAAGTTTTACCTAACTAGGTTAAGCTCACAAAAAGCCAAAGCAACAAACCCAAAAGTGGAACAATGTAGATGATCTTTCATCTCTTATCTGGCCAAGAATGAGTTGTCATTATATTGAATAACGTTGTCAAATAGTCATACCATAAAATCAGATTTCCAGTGGTCGTTTGTTCCAATGGGTAATAACTTATCAGCCATGTATAGACCAGACTCATGTGTACACAGGGTGTTCCATATACTACCTAAGGATTCATTATTTACTAATAATCCCTGGCCTTGATGGCAGAAAAAGTCATGGCTAAAACCATAAATTAGATGAAATACAGACAACAACAGCAACCAGAATTGGCCAAGAACAAAAAACAAAAATAAAAACATAAAATCAGAAGAATAAAAAACAGAGATTCAATGAAGGAAAAGTTATATTGCCCTTAAGATTCACTCCAAGATCTCCATAAAGATGTTCTCAGGAGGAAACAGCTTATAATGTGTACTTCTTGGACAATACATTAGAATAGACTGTAGCAGACAAGTCTATCTTAGTGGGAAAACCCCCACAAAGCTGGGCCCAGGGGTTCATGCCTGTAATCCCAGCACTTTGGGAGGCTGAGGTGGGTAGATTGATTAAGGTCAAGAGTTCAAGACTAGCCTGGGCAACACGGAGAAACCTCGTCTCTACCAAAAATACACAAATTAGCTGAGTGTGGTGGCATATGCCTGTGGTCCCAGCTACTCTGGAGGCTGAGGTGGGAGGATTGCTGGAGCCTGGAAAGTCAAGGCTGCAATGAGTTGTGTTTGTGCCACTGCAGTGCAGCCTGCATGATACAGCAAGACCCTGTTTCAAAAAATAAAAATAAAATGAAATTATTAAAGTATACTTTTCAAAAAATTATAAACATGGCATTATTCTCATACAAATATAAAGTAAGATGTCAAAGATTCATTTACCTCATGAATGAGGTATGCAGCTGGAAGGTAAAGCTGGTCTAAAGAATAATTTGAGGGACAAAGATTTATATAGTCACCCATGAATAGTGTGATGAAATAAACTTATTAAATTGAGAAAGTTATGGCTTATGCAGCTATAAAATTATAAGAGTTAGGATCATTTTTTCTATTGGAGAGAAATCATCACTTAAGACAAAAATCTGCAAATAAACATTTATCTTCATAGAGCCTTGGGGCTGTAATGAACACTAAATAATCAGTCAAACAAAGATATATTTCCCTAGAAAATTAAACAAACCTTGGGAAGACCTATTAGACCAGTGGTCCCCAACCTTTCCAGCACCAAGAATTGATTTTGTGGAAAACAATTTTTCCACTGACAATTTTTTCGTGGTCCTCCCCCAACATCCGTGGAAAAATTTGAGCGTGCAACCTAGATCCCTTGCATGCACAGTTTATGACAGGTTTCACAGTCCTATGAGAGTTTAATGCTGCCACTGATCTGACAGGAGGCAGAGCTCAGGGACTAATGGGAGTGATGGGGAGCGGCTATAAACACAGATGAAGCTTCGTGCTTACCTGCCACTCACCTCCTGCTATGTGTCTTGGTTCCTAACAGGCCATGGACAGGTACTGGTCTGTGGCCTGGGGGTGTGGGACCTCAGTGTTAGATAATGCTCCAGTATAACATTGAAAAGTAATTCTGGCATATTTTGCCTTATTTCCAAGTTTTGGATAATTTTTTCAAACAGTTCTAACTTCTTTGAATCCTAATAACATTAGCCAGTGTTTCTCAGTCTTACAAAGGCTTATTAGAGAAATGTTTAAATAACATTCATTTGCTACATCATGAAATGTTTTTACATCTTTGAAATCCTTTGTTAAATTAATTTACAAAGAAAGTCCCAGAACTGGATAAGGCTTAATTTGGTTGAGGCTTATGTCGGTTAAGGGAGACCCATTATTTATTTGTACTATTCAAAATTTCATTGGTGATTTTTGGAAATGTTCCCAAATTCTTTGACACTTCTTTCACTCCAAGAAATGAAGGTAAATTCTTCTCCTCTTGTGGGTGGGCTGGACATAGCAACTTGCTTATAACAAATTGAATATGGTGGAAGTAATGGTATAGAGCAAATAAGGTGAGATCATAGAAGACATTTAGCTTCCTCCTTACTCTATCTTAAATCACTTGTTCTGAGAGAAGTCAGAAACCATGTTGTGAGGACACTCAAGCAGCCTAAACAGTGAGAAATGGAAGCCTCTTGTCAACAGCTAGTAAGGAACTGAGGCTTCTAGCCCACAGCCATATAAGTCAGTCATCTTAGAAGGAGATACTCCAGCTCCAGTCAAGCTTTCAGATAATTACAGTTCCTACTGACATATTTTCTTGAATTTTCACCAAAGACTTTACCATACCACTCAGCTAAGCTGCTACTGAATTCCTGAACCATAGAAAGTATGAAATAATAGATTTTTGTTTTCTAAGCTGCTAAGTTTTGGAGTAATTTGTTGCATAGCAATTAATATTTAATATAAGCCCTCATAAAAATTGTCCTCTCTTTTGGAAGGTGGAAAAGTAAATTTTTTTCTCAACTCTTAAATAAACCGATTTTCTCACACACTAGAGATAAGGAGGCTTACATTTTGTGTGGTTCCAAACTGCTGTTTGGTTCTTAGGTGATCTTGAGTATGGCTTCCTCTTTGTTACCACTTGCTCACTGGACATTGCTCAAAACACGTCTAAGATGGACTTCTGAGTCTACATCTAGAGAATATATAGGCTGAGAGGTTGAACACGATATTGAGAAAACCCTCTATGGTGATTATCTTCTATGTCATGAAACATAAAACCTAAACCCCAAAGCTGGGTTTGATTCCCTTTTTGAGGGTTGAGCCCTATATTTGTTTGGATAGCTTCTCTCTCCCCATCTCCCATGGCTAATAGGCTGGGACATGTATCCATTTATTATGTGTGATATGTTGACACTTGTAGAAATACATTTTTGGGCAAATTATAAACTTAGATTCAGATTTTTCATTTATTTTTTAGACTGGGAAACATCTTTAATGTGGTAGAAAAATACAGATAAATTTCTGACAAGATAGTGAACCAACATGTCTTGCTCTCTCCCCCCAGAATTTAAACCTAGAGAGCCACATAAGGAAGAAACAGTGTCCAGATACATAAAGTAATGACTATAAGAAACATTCAAGAAGAGGCCCAGCGTGGTGGCTTGTGTCTAATCCTAGCGTTAAGGGAGGCCAAGGCGGGTGGATCACTTGAGGTCAGGAGTTTGAGACCAACCTGGCCAAGATGGTGAAACCCTGTCTCTACTAAAAATACAAAAATTAGCCCAGTCCCAGCTACTCAAGAGACTGAGGCAGGAGAATCGCTTGAACCCAGGAGGTGGAGGTTGCAGTGCACTGAGATGGCGACAGTGCACCTCCAGCCTGGGTGACATAGCGAGACTCTGTCTCAAAAATCAAACAAACAAAAAAATAAACACTTAACATGGTGAAACCCCGTCTCGACTAAAAATACAAAAAATTAGCCAGGCGTGGTGGCGGGCGCCTGTAGTCCCAGCTACTCAGGAGGCTGAGGCAGGAGAATTGCTTGAACCTGGGAGGTGGAGAGGTTGTAGTGAGCCGAAATTGTGCCACTGCACTCCAGCCTGGCGACAGAACGAGACTCCGTCTCAAAAAAAAAAAAAAGAGGGAAGGTGTGTGTGTGTGTGTGTGTGTGTGTGTGTGTGACTGAACTGAACTGGGAAATGAGTTGGGAGAGAACTTCTGAGTTGTATACTTTTCCTTCTGGATATATTGCCCTGGATGGATTAACGTTTGCTCACACGTAACTGTGGAAGAGAGAAAATGGTAGAGCCAGCCTAGTGCCTTGAGGGCTTTTGTGGCAACAGAAGGGCAATTCCAGAGACTGACCTGAGTGAGGAGCAAATAACAGCAGATAAAGAATGACTTGCTGCCCCCCAAGCATGTCCTCCTGCTCTTTCCATACCCCTTCATGCCCCAAGTTATGCCAATATGTCGAGGAAGAAACGTCCTCTGAAGAGAGCAGATTCAAAGTTAGAGGAATAAGAATATCCCCCAAGGAACAGGGTCAGCAGGAAAGAGGGCAATAAAAAGGACTGGGGAAGACCCTGGGCTCCCAGGCCTAGAGTTGATTACACCTCATAAACCTATGAAGAGAGCAGAAGCTGTGTGTGAGCTTTGCATATTTCAGCTAAGATTAATAATTCTTTTTTTTTTTTTTGGAGATGGCGTTTCAGTCTTATTGTCCAGGCTGGAGTGCAATGGCACGATCTCAGCTCTTTTTGGAGATAGAGTTTTGCCCTTGTTGCCCAGGCTGGAGTGCAGTGGCGTGATCTCGGCTCACCCCAACCTTTGCCTCCCAGGTTCAAGCGATTCTCCTGCCTCAGCCTCCCGAGTAGCTGGGATTACAGGCATGCACCACTATGACTGTAATAAAAAAATACTAAAAATTTTGTATTTTTAGTAGAGATGGGGTTTCTCCATGTTGGTCAGGCTGGTCTCGAACTCCCGACCTCAGGTGATCTGCTCGCCTCGGCCTCCCAAAGTGCTGGGATTACAGGCATGAGCCACCACACCGGGCCTGATAATTCTTTTAGGGGAAGATAAGCTTCAATTGGCAGCAGTAGCCAGATAGCTGAGAAGTACAACATGCCTAAAGAGAGACAACAAACTAGGCTGTCTATAATAGGTAGATCAGAACTAATGAAACAGATACAGAGTTTAGAATAAATATAATACGTGTCCTCAAAGAGATGAGAGAATTTTGGTTATATGAAACATGAAGGAGCAGTTATAATGAAAAGCCAAATGGAAAGAGTGAGTATAAAAATTATAACAAAATCAAGAATTTCAGTGAGGGATAAGTAGCATGGAGGTTATAGGCATAGGCAAAGAATAAACTAGTAAACCATAAAACAAGTCTAAGAATATTTTGCAGAAGACACAAAGAATTAATAAAAAATTAAAAAAAAAAGAAAAAATAATGGTAAGAAGGATAAATAAGAAGTGCAAGTATATCCATGGCGTGGTCTCAAAAAGATAGAAAAAAGTATAATAGAGGTGAGGAAACAAAAAATAATAACCAAGAATTTTCCAGAATTAGGTAAAGATGAATGTCTTAATTTATTTTCTGTTGCCTATAACAGAACACCTGAAACTGGGTAATATATAAAGAAATGACATATGCACATGAATGTTCATTGCAGCACTATTCACAATAGCAAAGACATGGAATCAACCTAAATATTCATCAATGACAGATTGGATAAAAAAAAATTTGGTACATATACACTATGGAATACTATGCAGCCACAAAAAAGAATGAGATCATGTCTTTTGTGGAAACATGGATGGAGCTGGAGGCTATTATCTTTAGCAAACTAACACAGGAACAGAAAACCAAATACTGCATGTTCTCGTTTATAAGAAAGAGCTAAACAATGAGAGCTCATGAACATAAAGAAGGGAACAACAGACACTGGAGTCTACTTGAGAGTGGAGGGTGGGAGGAGGGAGAGGACCAGAAAAAATAACTCTTGAGTACTCGACTTAATACGTGGGTGATGAAATAATCTGTACAACAACCCCACTGTGACATGAGTTTACCTACATAACAAACCTGCACATGTACCCCTGAACCTAAAATAAAAGTTAAAAAGATAAAAAGAAAATATATTTCTTACAGTTCTGGAGCCTGGGAAGTCCAGGGGCATTGCTTGGTGTCTGATGAGAGTCATCTTCCTTGTGGGGACTCTGTACAGAGTCCTGAGGCAGTGCAGGGTGTCACATGACAAAGGGGCTGAATACGGTACTTGCTTACTCAGGTTTCTCTTCCTCTCCTTATAAAGCCACCAGTTTCACACCCATGATAACCTATTAATCCATTAATCCTTAAACCATTAATCCACAAGTGGATTAATCCATTCATGAAGGCAGAGCTCTTGTGATCCAATTACCTCTTTAAGATCCCACCTTTCAATATTGCCACATTGGGGATTAAGTTTCCAACAGATGAAATCTGAGGGACACATTTACTCCATAACAATGAGTAATAGTTATATTAAAGAGTTTATGGGGTACCAAATAGGAAAAATAAGAAAAATCTCACACCTAGAGATGGGAAATTTAAGAACATCAAAGAGAAAATTCTGAAAGCTTCTAGATATAAAGAGTTGATTCACAAAATTAAATCAGATTGAAATTAAACTTCTCATTAGCAATACCGGAGGCAAAAAGACAATGGAGTAATAATGCCAACATGTTAAAGGAAAATAACTTCAAACTATAATGTTTTATGTTTTCTAGTGGCTACCATTTATTGAGTACCTGCTACATTCTAACTACTTTGCACACATCACCAATTGCCCTGGCAATGCTGCAGAGTAGATATCAGCATTCTTTCACTACAGATGAGAAAAGTGAGGCTCACGATGTTAAGCAACTTGCTCAATGTAATACAGACAGTGGTAGAATGGGGATGAAAACCCAGATCTCTAATTCCAAAGTCTGTTTAAAGTATAGTTTTATATTAGGTTAAACTATCTTTTCAATGGAGAATCCCAATACAAATATTTTCGGTTATGACATGGTCTTAGAGTTTTGACACATAAAGACCATATTTGAAAATTTTCTTGGAAGAAGTGCCCAGGAAGAAGAGAAATAAATCCAAGAGGATGCTTAATTGATACAAGAAGTACAGGTTATAAATAATGTAGGAAAGCTTATTATGATCCAAACAAGAAAGGTCTCCTCATAAAGAAGCAGAAGTGTATTATTATAATTCAGAACTAAACTATAGTATATACCAACATGGCCACAGATGGGAGGTAGGGTACAGCAACTACAGGGAGAGTATTATGAATTGAATATTCGTGTTCCCCATCCCCCTAAATTTGTTTGTTGAAACTTAATTCTCAATGTGATGGTGTTTGGAGGAGGGGCTTTTTAGAGATAATTAGTTTGTAAGGATAGAGCCCTCAAGAATGGGATTAGTGCCTTTATAAGAAGAGGCCAGGCCAGGCGTGGTGGCCCACGCCCGTAATCCCAGCACTTTGGGAGGCCGAGGCGGGTGGATCACCTGAGGTCAGGAGTTCGAGACCAGCCTGGCCAACATGGCGAACACTCGTCTCTACTAAAAATACAAAAATTAGCTGGGCGTGGTGGTGGGCGCTTGTAATCCCAGTTACTCGGGAGGCTGAGGCAGGAGAATTGCTTGAACCCAAGAGGTGGAGATTGCAGTGAGTCAAGATCACGCTACTGCACACCAGCCTGGGTGACAGAGTAAGACTCTGTCTCAAAAAGAAAAAAAAAAAAAGAAGAGGAGGAGGAAGAGGAAGAAGAAGAATAAAAAAAGAAGAAGAAGAAGAAGAAGAAGAAGAAGAAAAGAAGAAGAAGAAGCCAGAGAGCTAGCTCACTCTCCCATGTGAAGATACAAGGGGAAGTGGGCAGTCTGCAAATGGAAGAGGCCCTCACCAGAACCCAACCCTGCCAGCACCGTGATCTCAGATTTCCAGCTACCAGAACTGTAAGAAATAAACTTCTGTTTTTTATAAGCCACCCAGTCTGTGGTACTTTGTTATAAAAGCCCAAACAGACTAAGACAGGGAGTGTGATAAAAATACTTTTTCCTTTTGCAGGAAAATATTCTGAAGTATTAGATATTTAGTATATTGATAGGGACAAATGGACATGAATATGGGCCTTACTAAGATAGAGGCATCTGCCAGAGAATCCAAACAAAATTCTTAAAATTTTCTTCAGTAGAAGAAATTTTGATTTCCTGAATAGGAGATAGAAAAGCAGGGGAAAAGGTATAAATAAGTGAATAGAAAATATGAAATGAGATAGCAGGAATATCTTATAATATATTAAAATACAATAATATATTGTCTATAAGACAGAAATTTTAAAGAAATGAAAATATTTGCTAGGTAAATATGAACTAGAAATGATTTTAATATCAGGCCAAAGTCATAAAGAATGAAGAGAGACATTATACATGGCAAAAAAGGTAAACAGATAAAAAGATATAATAAACACACACACACACACACACACACATATATTTAACAATATAGGTTCAAAATATACAAAGCAATGACAGATATATGAGGTGAGATAAATGGCTTAATAATCATGATTGGAATTTTAATTCACTTTTCTTAGAAAACAATAAATCAAAGAGATAACAAAACTTTGTAGAACGTTTGAATAGTATAATTAATTTGCTTAAACCTATACATAAAATGTATTACTGGATATAAAGTTTTATAGATGTCATATATTATTTATATACTGTAAATCTATATGTCAACATAGATTTCTTCAATAGCAGGAAATATACACTTTTTTTTGGAGACAGAGTCTCACTGTTGTCTAGGCTGGAGTGCAGTGCTGCTCTCTCAGCTCACTGCACTCTCCAATTCAACCAGTTCTCATGCTGGAAAGAGCAGGAGGAAATGCTTGCGGGGCAGCAAGTCATTCTTTATCTGCTGTTATTCAACCTCCAGTTCAACCAATTCTCATGCTTCAGTCTCCCGAGTATCTGGGATTGCAGGTGTGCACCACCACACCCAGCTAATTTTTGTATTTTTATTAGAGACCAGGATTCATCATGTTGACCAGGCTGGTCTTGAACTCCCAACCTCAGGTGATTCACCCCCGTAAGCCTTCCAAAGTGCTGGGATTACGGGTGTGAGCCACTGTGCCTGGCTTAGGAAATATACACATTTAAAAAGAATGCAAGAAACATACACAAAAACTGTGACTTGTAAAGGAAGTTCTAATAAATTCTAAAGAATCAAGATCATGCTGACCATATCTTCAGTCTACCAGCCAATAATAAAATGATAACTTTAAAATCTCCTAAAGCTGGGCCAGGTGTGGTAGCTCACACCTGTAATCCTAGCACTTTGGGAGGTAGAGATGGGAGGATTGCTGAAGCCCAGGAGTTCAAGACCAGCCTGGACAACATAGCGAGACTCCATCTCTTTAAAAAAAACAATCACTTAATCACTTAATTCTAGAAACCAGTATTGCTATAAAAACCATTATAGTAAACATAAAATATTAAGTAAATTTAAAAAGAATGGGAGAATAGTGAAAAATTACATGATATAATGTGTATAACAGTTAAAGTACTTATACTGTTTTTACACTGAGCTAAACACTCAGCTCAAGAAGTTCAAAAGATACTAATATAAAAGGCCCAAAGGAAAAAGAATAAAAAGCATAATGACAGAAATCAATGAAATAGATGACAATAAATAGACAGTAATAGAACTCAAAAAGTTTTTCTATGAAAAGATACATAAGTCTTTGGCAAGACTAATCAAGAAAATTAAAGTGAAAGTGCAAATAAATAAATAAAAATGAAGACATTGTTCTAGATATGGGATTTAAAAAATGTGAGTATATGCCAATAAATTTGATGACAATGTAGATACATTTCTGAAAAAATATAAGATGACAAAAATGAAATAACAAGAAAAAGTAAATAACTGGAAAATTGAAATGGAAATCATGTATCTTCTCTCTCAAAATCCTCTGGCTCAGACAATTTTTCAGATAAGTTTTATCAAAATTTTAAGTATCTGATAATCTCTCTCTTATTGCTCCATAACAGAAAACAATTTAGAGCTGCCATGCTTCCTTTACATAACTAGAATAACCTTAATCTCAAAACTGCATAGTGAAGTACTCTCACTCACTACATATAGAGATATGGTGTGTGTGTATATGTGTGTGTGTGTGTGTATATGTATATATATACACGGTGTATGTATGTGTGTATATATATATATACATAGTTTTATATATATATGTGTATGTGTGTATGTGTATATATATACACACACCCATTTAGTGTATGCACATAGATGTAAAAATCCTAAATAATATACTAGCTAGTTGAATCTAATGATTCATTATTAATATTTTATCCCAGGAATGCCAGGATGATTTAGCAACAGAAAAACAATCAGCATAATTTACCAGCTATATGAAACAAAGAAGAAAAATTTTATCTTAATAGATGCAGAAAAAGCATTTAACTATGTTCAGTATCAATATGTAATTTTTAGAAATCTTATAAACCAGTAATGGAAGATATTTTCTTAGCTTTATGAGTAATATATACTGAAAACCTTTAAAAATATTATTTATAGAGGAGAAAATTTAGCTACATGTCCATTAAGGTCAAGAACAAGACAAAGATAACCAGTATCACTACAACTGTGTAACATGTTTTTGGAAGTCATGTTTAATGTGATAAGACAACAAAAATGTATGCTATATAAGATTTGAAAGGAAATTATTATTTGCATATGATACGATGATCTTCATAGAAAATCCAACAGGACCAACAAAAAATGCTACTAGAAATAATGCTAATAACAATTCAGCAAATTTACCAGATAAAAGATCTAAGGGAAAATCAGTAGTGTTTCTCTACCTTAGCAAAAATCAACTAAAAATGTTACAGAATATAAGATAACATACACATCACAACAAAGTCTATGCTATATCTAGGAATCAAACTCTCAAGAATACATAATAATTTAGTATAAATAATTTTGTAATCTTATTAAAGACATGGAACAGTACATGGAACAATATTTCATAATTGGTGGATGAGAGAATTTATCAAAGTAAAGGTGTCAATTCTCCCCCAGTTAATCTACAAACTTAATGCTAGACTCTGACTGAATTTTTGAGAAACTTGCGAAACACATCCTAAGATGTATAATAAAGTTAACAAATGGCTACATCAAATTTAAAAAAGAAGAACAAAATGAAGATTCCTGCCCTATGAAAGATTTGAGAAATACCAGAAGAAATATAGGTGTGATTCAATAGGTGTGAGGACTAAAAAGAAAGTTGTTTGAAAAAGATGAGAAGTCTAAAACATGAAAGTTAGGTAATGCAATGTCAGGTAAAAATCAATGAGGGAGGAAAGGAGTGTCTTAAATCCAAAGTAGCATAAGAGCGCCTAAATGCTCCAAGTTTTAAAGAACTTATGCAAGTGAAAAAACAAAAAAATAATGTTGGCTGGCAAGAACCTATGAGAAGAAACAGAATAGCCTGTCACCCAATGTGGTGACATCCTCTCCCTGGAGAGCTTTTTAGTTTGGGAGGAATGCTGGACTACATTACTTTAGTGTCAGTCAGAATACCGCAGGAGTAGATGGTATGCTCAACTAGATAAAGGAGAAGAGATTAATAAGGAAACTCTCACAACCATTTAGGAAAGGAGCAGGAAAGGTGTAGGACCTCAAAGTTAGCAATAGCAGCAGGCTGTTATTATTCCTAGGTCTAGAGAGGCAAGGGATGGAATGAACACTAAGCCCAGAGGGAGATGGTATGGAAAAGACTGCTTGGCAGGAAATGTGGCCTTTTCTAAAGGGCTGAACAGCACAACGACCCAGCAATGAGGAATCCAGGGAAATCAACACCCCATTTCATTTTCCTCCCTTCCTCTTATCTCCTGCTGGCGACTCCCATTGACCAAATCACACTGGAAGCCAGAAGGCAAGGAAATCTGTGGACATGGCTTGGAGTGTCAGCCTCCTGTGGAGCAGATAAGGATGGCGGATAGATCTGGAGGGGAAAAAATGGAACATAATTCCCCTTCAACTCAGACGTTCCACTACTTCATGATACTATTTAGTATCACCCGTTCTCAACCTGGCAAAGCAGATCAGGCCATAGTAAACATGAAGCTGCAACAGCTCTGTAGCTGTAATTACTTCCTAATTTCCCCTTTCAACATGGACATACCTTGTTTTCTTTCACTCTCCTGCCTGCAATCTTCACTGCTTTGACTTCACTCCCTGTCAGAGAGCTACTTTCCCTGATCTATTTGCATGAAGATTCTTCCTCCTGGCTCAGATCTTGGCAGAGCTGCACTCTGCTAATGGATCCCTCTTAGCCTAACTTGCATGTTTTAGAACTTCTCATTTCTTTCAAACAATTTTCCCTTTAGTCCTTATGCCTATTGAATCACATTTATCATTCTTCTGACATTTCTCAAATCTGCTTTTCTCAAGTATGCTGTACTGAGAAAGGAAAAAGCAGCTCGGAATTGACCTGGCACTCTCAGCTAGGCCACAGTGTTCTCTTGTGAAATGTAAACAACCCTAGAGAACAGTAACATTAGACACCTCTACTCTGTGACCGTGATGGATCAAGCCAAAAATAAGACCACTCCGCAATCATGTCCAAACATAGCAAAAACATGAGCATTTTCCAAAGTCACAAAAATGCCCAAACATCTCTTAATTCTGGCTAGTATGAGTGACAACTGCTTCTTTTTGAATCACAACTTTAGACTCACTCTGTTCTTTTCACCTTATAGATTCAAATTATTAAGGTACCCAATCACAAGAATTACCTTTATGTACTGAGAGAATTGAATTCAGAGAAAAGCCTCACTTCCTTGAATCCTCCCCAAAAGCACCTATGACAAGCTCAAATTCTATAACACACTCAAACACCTTCTTACTGAGATGCCCCACGGTCTTCTATGGTGTGTGTTCTCCTGAATTGTAATATGTCAATAAACTCAACTTTGTTTACCCGCAAGTGTGTTTCTGGTGGTCTGAGGGTAGAGTGGTAGCCAACCTGAATAGAGATGACCTTAGGCCTATTCTACCCAGAAAGGAGAATCCAAAAAGATAGACCATAGACAGTACATATCTGACTATTCCTAGCATTCATTGTTTTTTATTTTCTGGATTCCGAGAAGACATATCATTTTCCTATAAGATTTCCATTATTAATTCACTGATGGGAATTAAGCCTAGAGAGACGTTCCCTTTATTGCCTCCTTAACATGTGAGTGAAAATCCTTCTAAGTGATAAAATGGCAAGATTAAGCTCAATCAATGTTGTAGAACTTAGTCTAATAATGCTTTCAGCTTTGTGTAAGGGGGCCCTTTCCAAAGCTTTTCTCTCTTTACTGACCCTTCCCCAAAGGCTCCTATTCCCTAGCTTTCATCCCTCCTTGACATCTCCCAATAAGTGTGCCGTACTGAGGGATACTTGTGTTTAGAAGGTAATTACCGCAAAAACTCTGTATTAAACACCAAAAAGAAGAAAAAGGTAAAGGAAGGTTGGGATGTGGGTAGAGGTGAGGGCCGAGAGGTGATAATGAGGTCAACAGCCTCATGCTGAACTTCATACATATAGCTAGTCATCTCTGTGCTTTACCACAAGGAAATTTAATTTGAACCTTATCGCATTGAGACTCCAAATCGTCTTGCTAATAGGATGAATGTATCTGTTCCAATCAACTAATAGGAAGGTGCTGTACTTGTTTTAGGTAACGTTCATTTTTACTAGGTTTGTTTGGTTTCAATGTCTTTACTATGTTTCTCACTTAATATCTCTAAAGGTAGAATTTTGGGCCAGGAATGGTGGCTCATGACTGTGATCTCAACACTTTGGAAGGGTGAGGCGGAGGGATCACTCAAGGCCAGGAGTTCAAGACTAGCCTGGGCAACATGGCAAGACCCCATCTCTAATTCTAAAAAGGTAGAATTTTGGACTATGGGGGAAATTTGGAAAATATCAAAAAGCATAAAGCTGCCTTATCACCCTATAGTTACGGCAGACCCAGATTATTGACTACTTGAAGATATGGAGAAGGAATAGTGAAGAGAGGCAGCTGTGACAACCCTCACCTCTGCTCTTATCCCCCAGTCTTGGCTTTCCTCAATTTCTCTTCAAGCATTTATGCATGTTTACTCCAAGGGACCTCAAATGTTTCCCACTCACTCTACCCAAGAAAGTGCTGACAAGAGATGTGGCCAAAGATATGATTAGTCCATGGTGCAAAGCGATGGAGGTATCCATGTGTTCAGGAAATAAATAAAAACCTTTTGTTTTTGTTTGGTGTAATCTCTTGACCTTTCTCATTTCTCCACTCTTAAGCTCCTCTTTTTGGATTCGCCTTTCTAGGTAGAATAGGCCTAATGTCATCTCTACTCAGGTTGGCTATTACTGTACCTTAGCATCCCAGTCACCAAGAGATTAAGGGTAAACGCTGGTATAAGACCAATGATGATGTCTCCTTGTCTAGGCCAGGGTTTGGATTCTGACCCATGAGCCAAATGTGGCCTAATATTTGTTTTTGTAACTAAAGTTTTATTAGAAAGCAGTCATTGCCCTTCACTCACATATTGTTTATGAATGATTTTGTGCTACAACAGTAGAGTTGATTGTGATATAAATTGTACAGTCTGCAAAACTGTCAATGTTTACTATCTGGCCATGCTATAGTCTAAATGTTTGTTTCCCCCCAACATTCCTATGTGAAAATCTTAATCCTCAAGGTGATGATATTAGGAGCTGTGGCCTTTGTGAGGTGATTAGGTCTTGGGGGCTGAGACCTCATGAATGGCATTAGTGCCCTGATAAAAGGGACCCCAGAGAAACCCCTCACCCCTTCTACCATGTGAAGACATAGCCAGTGGGGAAGGGGGGCACTGTCTATGAGGAAGTGGGCTCTCACCAGACTCCAAATCTGTCAGCTCCTTGACCTTGGACTTCCCTGTCTCCAGAACTGTGAGAAATAAACACAATGTTTGTTTTTGCTAAGTAATCCAGTTTGTGGTATTTTTTTTTTGCAGCATCAACAGATTAAGACAGGTCCTTTACAAAATAAGTTTTCTGACACCAAGTCTAAAACATTGTTTCATGAAGTAAGATACACTAATTCCAAGACACAGTAAAGATTATTACACAAAAATGAGTTCTATGGTTAAGTAAGTTTGGGAAATACTATGGTCATAAAATTCAAACACATTTCTTAACAGTAAATCTTTGGTGCCTTGAATATATATAATCAATATATACTTATTTACATGAATTGATACAGACATTTACATAACTATATACATATATGTAATAACCGATGTAATTATTTAATAATTTAAATAAAATAAACATATAAAGTATGATTCATGATTCTCTGAGAGATGGTAACAGTATTCAAAGTTTTCCAAAGGCACTTGCCCATATGATCCTTTTTGATATGGATTATTCTGTAAGACTAGTGATCCATAGAATATACTTTGGCAAATGTTAATCTAGATTGCTTAGACTTATTATTATCCAAGAAAAAGTATTCCTCTCTGCTTACATCAGTTCACCAGGATCAAGGTTTCCATGCACTTGTTTAGGACCTAATCCATAGCTAGTAATTAATAAGTAATGTATTTTCCTGATTTCCTCTATGTATGCTTTTTTTTTTCTCGGATGTGGTAGGTGTAGCTGTGGATGCTCTAGTGTTGAATCCGGGTCTCCTGCATTGTTCCCGGGTTCTCCTTTACAGCAGAAAAGATCCTGGGTCTGGCCTTAGCTTAAACATGAGTTTCTCTAGGGAGGTTCTTCCTGACACCCTCCCCTCCACAGCTCAGACTAGGCTAGTGACTATTCCATAATATTATATTATAGCACTTTTCGTACTTTAGCTAGTGACTTTTCTGGTTTTCTTCACTCATCTGTGAACTCTATGATGGCTGAAACCCTAGTTTTTGCAGTGTACATTGTGTACTTATTAAATGGCTGTTGAGTGGTTGTTGATTATATCTCTGCAGACCAGTTGGCCCCAGAGATCCTCCTGCAATTTTTTTTTTTTGAGACAGAGTCTCGCTCTTGTCAGGCAGGCTGGAGTGCAATGGTGCAATCTCAGCTCGCTGCAACCTTTGCCTCCCAGGCTCAAGCGATTCTTTTGCCTCAGCCTCCCGAGTAGCTAGGATTATAGGCACCCAACACCATGCCCAGCTAATTTTTGTATGCAATTTGCTTTTCTCCTGTGTGTTTCAGTGCCCAGGCCTAGGCTAATGCTTTTTTTTTTTTCTTTTAAATCTTATCTTACAGCCTCTTCCGGAGGTTCTGGGTCCTGCTTTAGAACCTCAGGAAGGTAATAAGGGTCATAAGGCTATTGCTGTTTTTGCTGTGTATGGACTTCTTTCCTCCCTCCCAGTGACTACAACTTAAATAGATAGATGGTCTTACATGAGAAATGGCTGCACTTGGAACTTCCAAATATCAATGGTCTTTTGGATTCCATGTCTCTGTGCTGGGACCTTGCTACCATCTGTTGCAACCTTGTGCTGACAGTTTCCTAAATCAAGACGGAATTTGCCACTCTTTCTGGACATTTGCCTTGCTTGACTGCTGGAGCCCCTGCTGTTGGCTGGGTTCGTGTCTTGGCCCTGGTAGGTTGGTGTTGTACAAAGTCCTGGCTTTCTCACTCTCCTATTTTACTCAAGAAACCACTGTTTGTCCATCTGTAGTTTACCCCCAGAAAGGATTCAGACTTTCTAAATTTCTTGCTGCTACCTTAATAGAATTTTCTTTACTGCTCACTCCTCAAGGTCATGACTCTCAGGATCAGCTACTATTATTTACTATTATTATTCATGTAATTCTTATGAATTTAGTAAAAGCAAGGTTTAAAAAAATCCTGCTTTATCATTAGGAAATTGAATCACAAAGATACAGCCTTGGGTTAGAAACACAGAGAGACTGTAATTTAGGAAACAAATGAACAGGGGGCCTGAGAGGGTTTAGATTAGAGGCTGGGAGGGATTAGATTAACTTTTATTTTCCATGCAATATCTGTAAAACAAACAAGTGAAGTGTAGAATTAGAGAAAAATTGGAGTAATTCAATTAAACTGTGTGTTATTGAAAAAGAATAAAAGAAGAGGGCTACTATTGTGAATGACTTTATTGTTAGATATTCTGCTAAATGTTTAGTATTTATCTTCATTTTTCCTGTATAAACTCAACGAATATCATGATGGAGTCCAACTTAAAAGATACTATCTTCTTTATAACTTGTCATAGAAATTTTTTTTGAGGTTTTTTTTTTCTTCTTTTTTAGGAAGTATAATTCAGTCAAATAAGAATGTAGACTTAGGAATGTATATTAGAAGTCCATGGTACTTTATCTGAACTCAAAGAGCTTATTCTTAATTCTTACCAGGAGTTGAGACTATATAATAAAACAAACAAAATTTATAAAACTGTAAAAGGCTAGATCAAGGTCAAGAGCCCTATATTAAGTCCTACTGCTGCCCCCAGTCTCAGTCACTATTATGGTGCCAGAACTATTTAGAAGACCAAGAAAGAACTACATGTTTTAATTAAATAACACATGGCAGAAAGCACAAGATACCAGCTTGGGTTTATCAGGCAGAACAGGAGCTATCCTTGTGCTAAACAGACAGGCACCAAGGAAAAGAGAGAACCCGAGAGACAAGTCTAAAAAAGCTTGGGAGCTATTTAATACAAGATCCTAGGACAAAATCTAACGCTCCCCGTCGACGCGAGGGGAGCCACATTTAAGGAAGGCAGCCTGGTGTAGAATAACGATGGAGTAAAGTAAATGACACGGAACTATGACAAATTCAAAACCCAACTGGAAAATTAGGAAAGAGAATGAAGTGTCGTGTCTAATGACACCCTGACAATTACCCTCGAGCAGTGGGGCATGTCCTGTTGCATTTACCTATCCTGGTACTCGTGAGCTTTGGTGTCTGGGTTTTCTGTTTGAACAAAGAGGCTTTGTGGCCCATTTTCCATCTCTGTGTCTCTGTCAGGCATGGGGCTTAGCAGGGCTGGCTTCTGCTGCTTGTTAAAAGGAGTTCAGGAGAACACGCAGTGTCGGGCCTGGAGGTCAGCCGTATTCAGATCTTTCTAAATGACGACAGGATTTAAAAAAAAAAAAAATGGAGATGGCTAATGCTAAAAGCCATTTATGAAATTCTACAAGTAAAAAAACCCCGAAAAAGAAACTGACTTCTAGACCTAGACGAGGTGTCAAAATTTAAGATTATTTTATCCTCCTGTATACAAAATCGCAGAGAAAAACAAAGCAGCAGGAGGTCCAAGCATATCAATCAAAGAGGAGACAGCACATTCTAGACTGGGAATATAATTAAGTAGAAGATATAAAAATAGGATTTCCCAACCTGGCAAGTGGAAATATAAACCAACTGGCAGAGGAAGGGTGGAGAGGATAATCCTACCCTTTTGGAATAACTATAGAAAAATATGAGGAAACAGAAAATGGAAATCGGTGAAGGAGTGAAGAAAGGGGAGGCGGATGAAGAAACCTATTAAGTGTGCGGAAGTGATGAGTTTGCCAAGACCTGATTTTAGCCTCTAGCTAACAAATTTAGGGGTGAAGATATTGACTTTTTTTGTGTGTGTGAAAGATTCATAAGTGATCATCTTCAGAGTTTACTGATATAAATTTAGCCGCTAATCAAATTAGCCCCTTTGCTCGACAGAGAATGAAATAGAATCATATCTTGAAAAAAAATATTTTTTTCCTTCACCATAACCATTAGTATGAAACGTTAGTCACTTTTAACGTGAACTGCGGGAATCAGCAACACGTACTCTGCCTGCTTTCACCGAAACCTGTGTTCCACACTGCGGTTTGTTCTATTAGTGGTATTGAATCCACTCTACTCCCCACTCCCTTATATTAATTGCATTAAAAAATAAGGAAGTACAGATATACGCATTGTGCTCCGTAAAAGAGGCTGCGATGAAATGAAAAAGCTGTTTAATAAAATATAATGAAAGTATTTCACATTCATTTCTCCCACGTAATAAGTGGAATTATAGTAGGAGGAGGAGACCTCTCACAGCTGGGCAAGCCCTAAGAATCCTTCCCTTATTCTCGACTTAAAAGCTATCAATTTAGAGCTGTCCTATGTATTGCCCTGTGAATTGAACAAGGCTTTTCAGTCTTTAATTAAGGGTGAAAAACTCTTTGAACATCACAGCATTCATCTGTTCATGTGTGGAAAGCCTGGTGTAACAAAAGAATTTAATCAAACTACAAGCCTAATAAAGACTACATTGCCTGAACTAAATGATGTTATTGCAGTAGCGGCTCATAGTTTTACATTTAAAAAAGCGGGTCAGAGTGTTCATTCGTCTTGATTAGCAATGCCAACCTAATTACTTCTGGAGGAAACAGTAATTAGCTGGAGTCTCACCTCATTAATCATGACATTCTTGTAGCAGACTATTTTTATCTGATAAATGGCTTGGATTGGAACAAGGTGTATATTTGAATTCTAGTTAATTGTACACAGCTTGCTGCATAACGTTTCACATTTTTATCATTTAACTACTTCCTTTCTGTGAACCTCTTGAGGAGCTTTTTTGGTTACTTGGATTCTTATAGTGAAAAAAATCTGACTTGATAAGATCAATTGTTCTTGTTAGTTAACATATCAGAAATGGAGTCTGGATGAATTGGAGGAGAGGAAGAAAGATCTCCACGTGTAGATGAAGTCATTCAAATTACTCTGGGACAGATACTTATACAGTTTCTGCAGTGAATTCAAAATGAATGATAGCATTGTATAACTTGGCACAGTTGCATCCATGTGATCGATAACAATCATGGACAACAAGTGGTATTATATTTTAGGCAGGGTATCTTAATAAATTCAGTCAGATTCTCAGTGTTCCTACACCAGTGCCCAAGTATGGACCGTGTTTAAAAAGACACAGTAATTGGATTCTACCGTCTTCAGTCAGCTATGGCTAGGGCCACTCTTTTCTGGAGTCACATGGCTCTGACTATTTCTTATTTGTTCCTCTCAGTTTTGTATTTTCTAGCATTAAAACACCTAGTTAATTTGTAGATCATATGTGTTGCTTTCCTCTGGTTCCTCTCCAATGTATGAGTCTTCTGGTGGAGCCCAAGAGGACCACCACTGAGTACAGAGAGAATTCTTGAATTACTCCTTGTAGAAACGTAGAATACTTGCCTGCTGCTAACAGTGATATCAGGGTAGGTCAGCAGGGATTGCATGGTGGCCTTAGTTACCTGGGCCCAAAGTCAGCTCATCAGTCTTGCGTTGTCTGTATAACAAGAGAAGATCCATCTCTTAGGAGCTGACTCATATTAACCAACTTTAGGAAGACTGATGTCTAAAATAATGCCAGTTTTTCAAATTTCAATGAAAAATGACCTCAGATGTATGGATCAATATGGATTTTCTCTGTTGTCAAGTTAGACAGAAAGCAAAATAATACTCAGCCAATTTAATTGTATACAATATGAAATTATGCTTACAAGGACCAGAATGTTTATCATGTGCTTCATCAACATAGCATTATGTCTCTGTAGGGATATCTACATAGGAAGCCAGCTCATAATCTGAAGGTTGCTTATTGATTGAATACATAGAATAAGAAGAGTTAGATGAATTGCATGTTTAATGGAATCAGCCTGACATAATAAGATGTATCCATCTTTCCATTAGAGTTGGCCTTAGCTACAAGGCTAGCATGTTCAAAATCCATTAGCCTTATCTCCTCTCTCCTGGACAACACCAGGATAAACTGCCAGCCTTTGCCTCAATAATTCTTCTATTAATATTTTCCACACTTCCATCTTGGATGAGCACTCCTTTTGCTTAATTTGTTCTTTGTTTGGATGAGTTAAAACAATTAATGTATTTATATTTGGTCTTGCTGTCCCAGGAAACTTGCTACCTCCTTCAGGTGACTTTGCATATCTGTGCATGATGTCTTCATTGGGTGGTTTTTATTTTTCCTTTTTCCAAGTTTTCTGGGGACCTCACTGAAGCTAAGAACAGAAGCCTCTTTACTTATAAAAAATTTTTCCTAAGTCCATTTGCACATAAATCAGAATGACACAATACCACATGAAAAGTATAACATAGGCTTTTGGACTAACTTTATAATGAACAGAAAGGCCATAGTAATATTCTTGAGAGGGGCTTAAACTTGCATTTTTCTCAGCACATTCTCACAAAATATGTTTGAAGATTTGAAACAAGGCATGCAATTCTCCCTATTGGTAGGCAGTCTATCAGACACTTTTTCTCAAAATAGATAGTTTTGTCTCCACTGCAAATCTATTGAGACCGTTAAAACTCCCTCTCTGACTCTCCGTAAGCATGGTGGGGGACCTCCTTAGTGCTTCTGGTGAAATTGCTACCGTATTTCCACTCCATAGGAAATTGGACTGATTCAAAGGAGGCCTTGACCAACAGATTCATTCATGGTTTGTAACAAAGGTCTAATCTGCAGCATGCTTACCACACTTAACATTTAAATTCTCAAATAACCAATCTTGATGAATTGGGTTGCCTGACACCAAGCTTTGATGCTCCTCTTCTGGCCATGTCTTCAAAATTTCCTGCCTGTTTTCTGTATCCAAATCTGTTATCATCTGCTGCTAATGTCTGTTAATCAAATAGATCTGGCATTTTTCAAATGTCACATGATTTGTTCTTTTACCTAAATAATTTTTCTTATGACCCAATGGTTCCTCTCACCTGCTAATGTACCACTTCATCATCTTTTCACTACTTTAACTTTTAAAAATAATTTTCTGTGTTCCCTTCCATCATAATCATGTACTTCTTAGAACTATACTTTAAAGTTGCTGCTTTTTGACTGGAAATGATACGGCTAATAATAGCTGTATGACTATAAAATACCTCAATACCAGACACAGACACAACAAACAGGTGCTCTCTGAGACAAAAATGACTGTGTGTGTGACCACCTACATCATCTCTTGGTAACATAGTGGATTTCTTATTTGAAGTGGAATGTTGTTTTTTTCTTTTCTCTGAAAATTCATAAATGTACAGGTTAAAAGTTGTGGATTTTATATTCTGTAAAAACTGGTCGATGACAAATTTTTGTTATTGTTGTGAATTTGTTTAATATTATAAGCAGTAAAACTAGTTACCAATTCTTTTTAATGTTTACCAGGGTCCAGGTGCTGTTCTAAGTGCTTTACATCTATTAATTCATTTAATTTCCACATCAACTCTATGACGGTTTTTAATTCCCATTTTACGGATAAGAAAATTAAGTAAATTACTCAAAGTCACCCAGAGAGTAACAGTAGAGCTGAGATTTGAACCCTAATGTGTTGGCTCCAGAGACCACACTTAATCACAGTGTTATGTCACTTCTCCTGTAACTGGCCCTTTGTCACAATATCTGAAAACACAGAAAACTCCAAAAAAAGAAAATAATGTTGACTGACAGTCTCACTATTCAGATAAACTATATCATTCATCTTTATATTTTGAAACATGCATCTTCAGATTTTTTTCAGAACAAATTTGCTTTGTGTTTCACTCAGAAAATATTGGGAGTATTGTTACATGTGTGTAAATATATTGGCTGCATCAATATATTGCATTTTGGTATTTCTAGCTTTCATATTTTACTGAAACAATTTGCTTCTCATTATAAGCAATGACACAATGCATGATCTTATAGAGAATTCTTTGTTCACAGTTATTTTCTTTTTTTCTTTAGGAGAATTTCCAGTAGTGGAATTACTGGATTGAAGAAGAAAATGGTTATTTTTAAGGCTTCTTATAGCTATTGCCAAATTCCTTTCCAGAAATGCTATATCAGTTTATACTCCTACCATCAGCATAGGAGATGCTGCTTTTCTGTACCCTGCAAATCTCGGGGTTCTAGCATTCTTTATCTTTTTCTTTTTAAATATGTGCCCCATTTTGAATTTGTGCTTTTTATATTTTTTGCTTAGGGATATGACCCTTTGGTTGTATTTACTGTGGTTACTTTGCCTTTCTATTTCTCAGATTTCCCACTGTAGAAATGAGGATAATAATCGTAGCTACATTAGGGTTGTTGTGGGAGTAAAAGTTTACCACCATATCTACTTCGCAGAAAAGTGCCTGCTGCAGAGTGCTTGCTATCATTATTATTATTTATTACTTTTGCTATTATGGTTTTTCTTATTTTTGTGTGTTATATAATTTAGCTTTTCTTGGCTATTTTGAATTTTAATGCAGTTCTCCATGGTGTAGTCATCTCCTCAAGTTCAATCCACTTATTCTCTTTTATAGTTGGCTGATCCATGATTTTTAAAATAAATTCATATGTGAATTTATTTTTGTACCCAAATAGGGAACCATTTTTTTTTCCATTTTAAGTCTAATGTTGAAATAAAATCTCTGCTGTTTAATTTAAAATTGTAACATTAGAGATAATCTTCTGCAAGGTCCAAGATCCATCATAAGGTAATGGACTTTTTCTCAAGCGTCTGCTACCCCTTTTTTTCTCACTGTTGGGAAGATTCAGTACCTCTCCTAACCCATACATCCCCAGAGACTCAGTTTTGTTTCACTTACTGGGCTAGTTCTGGTGTCGGCAATAGACATGGCAGGTCAACAGCCTCAAACTCAAACTCTTTGATAGGGTTTAAGATCTGGTACCCTGACATAAAGCTGTGGCACCATCTTTCTTTTAGAGTGGCCTGGCTGCCCTCAGGCCAGAGACTAGGGCCAAGAGACTAAGATTTTAGGTCCTACTTTTCCCTTGAGTTTTGTTCTAGTGTACAGATTCTGGACTTGGTTTTGACTTCTTCATTCTCTCCAACAACTCTGGGTCATCAAGTGAGGACCACCATGCCTTTGTCTATAGCCCAAACTATAAATCTTAAGATTAAAAAAAAATGCTAAAAGCCATATAGTCCACTTCTCTCTGTTCCACGAAAAGGCCATATATGCAAAGTGGCTCACAAACACAGAAGGAACCTGGAAACCAAAGGATGAGGCAGATAAATCCACTTTGGTGGTATAGGGCAATATAGGGGAACTTATAGACAGAAGCATAGCCTTGGGTGACTGTAAGACAGGTATATATATACATATATATATATATATATATATTTTTTTTTTTTTTTTTTTTTTTTTTTTGAGACAGAGTCTCACTCTCTCTCCCAGTCTGGAGTGCAGTGGTGATCTCAGCTCACTGCAAGCTCTGCCTCCCAGGTTCACGCCATTCTCCTGCCTCAGCCTCCCGAGTAGCTGGGACTACAGGCACCCACCACCACGCCCGGCTAATTTTTTGTATTTTTAGTAGAGACGGGGTTTCACTGTGTTAGCCAGGATGGTCTCGATCTCCTGACCTCATGATCCACCCGCCTCAGCCTTCCAAAGTGCTGGGATTACAGGCGTGAGCCACCGTGCCCGGCCAAAACAGGTATATTTTTACACTGTAACCTCCCTGACCCCTGACTGAGAGCTTCTATCTTGGGGAAGAAGTATACATGCTCTGGAAGGAATGTGGAGGTGGCTGTAGCCTATGATGTATGCAACATCAAGTACTGTTTTGGAGAAAAGGCAAAACTTACAGCGAATAGGTGTTTCTACATAAGAGTAATACATCAGCTAGACATCTTGGAGACATTCCCGGACTTGGGGTCACATGGTGGATTAGCATTTAAAATAAAGTCACTCTTGTCCCTACATTCTCTCTTATGAGTCCCCTCTACTATATTTCCATTAAGCATTTGTCACACTTCTGTTGGGACACACCAGCAACAGGCAATTCACAAATGTCAGTGGCAGCCCAGCTTCAAACAACTCTGTGAGCATCAGTTCAGGCAAAGCCATACTTCCTGGAGCCTTCACTCAACCCAGCTCTGTTCTGTAGAAGTTTATTTCTCCTTCCACAGGACAATCCTCCAAATATCTGAAGACCACTATTGTGCCTTCTCAGTGCACCCCCTGTAGACTAAGCAGTCTTAGTTTCTGCCTCATTTCTTAAGGCTTCGTGACACAATTTCATGCCCCTTCACTCTACTGGTGACCATCCTATCCAGCTTGCTAGTGTGTCTTTGAAGAATGGCCCTTAAGGCAGAACACAGTTAGCAGAGCAGATATAGCCTATTGCTTCCACTGTCCCATATTCTATAATTCGATTAATGTCTAAGAGCATATTAGGACTTTTTTTTGTAGCTACATTGTACTGTTGATTTATAATGAGATTTTCCCCCAGATCTGAATTTTTTGCACATACGGGTCACTGCTACTAACTTTTCTTCTCCCTCAACCTACCCTCATTTTGCATTTGTACCTCCCCTCAACTGTATGTAGAATTTTACATGTATTATTCAACTTATAAACAACTTATGGTTGCATCCAATTGAAATCATTTTGGATTTTGATTCTATAAGATGACATATTGATGACCTCTTTCCATTTTATAGTATACATAGTTTTGAAAATAGACACCCATTTTTCAGACAAGTCAATGATGCTGATGTTAAGGGCACCATTAAGGACGGAACTTTGTGTCACCCCATTGCAGACCTCTCCAAGTCAGAACTCTGTTCATGGGTATGGTGGATCTAATAATCAATACACTTTCTACTGTTGATTTTATTCAGCACATATTTCTTGTTCCAATAAAGCATTTTCCAAATTTCATTTCAAGATGATATTAATAGATTTACCTAAGCAGAAATAGGTGCTATATTAGAAAAAGTTTGGGAGATGGTGCACACTATATTCTCTTCTTGGAGAGCTACAATGCATGTTATCATATACAGTATATTACTCTTCAAAATACTGAAAAAAAATATATTTTGTTTAACTCATATTTTCCAAATGTATTTGTGTACACTCCTTACATACCTATGAATATCCTATGGAAGTCTGTTCTTTGCAGATACCATTTTGGGAACTACTCCCTGCAAGGGTAAAATAAGAGAGCCTGTCAAATGCCTAACTGAAATTCAGACACATATGTCTTCAGCATTTTCCTTGTCTCCCGCTCTAGTAATTTTATCAAAAGAGAAAATGAGTTAGGTCTGGCTTGAATTGTTCATCCCACATCCATGCTGGCTCCATATTGATCTCATTTGATTTTCTCAATTCCTGCCTTGCCCACAATCAACACAGAATTTAAAAGAGTTTAATTAATGAAACCCACACTCTCCTGCTTCTCATCTTTTAAGTATATTAACTCAACCTTAGCTTGTCTCTACCTTCTAATGCCTTTCCTTTTCTCCAGTTTTCCTCAATGCAAATTCTCATGGGTTTAGCCACTTCGTTTTGTGATTTCTTTCAGAAGCCTGAGATGGAATTCACCTGGTCAGGAGCACTTTGCTTGTTTAATATAGTTGGCTGCCATTTTTGAGCATGATTCTGCCCCATCTTGTTCTTTAATTCTACCTTTGAGGTTCATTCTTGCCTTTTGGGGTTTTCTGGCATTTCTCTTTACAGAAGATACAAACAAAACAGGAACTGATATCCTAGGCTTTATCATTTCTTCACTTTCAGCAGCTTCAAGCCATGTACCCCTTCTTTTTATTGCCTTCATCTCCTTCAAAATGAAAAAAAAAAGCCCTTTTTGTTGATTGATAGCATTTTTGAAAGCTTTTTCTTATTCTTGTTTTTAGCCTACTAGACTCTGGTTTTTTTTTTGTTTTTTTTTTTTTTTTTTGGTGGTGGTGTTTTTTTTTTTTTTTTTTAGTTCCATGACACTTGTCTGCAGCTCACCTACATTTGATTGCCATGTCTTTTTCTTTCTTTTCCTCAGTAGGATTGTTTGACATTGTGTTGTCAGAATTGTATTTCTGTGAGTTTTTCTTCCCTCTTGAGCCATCTCCCTTCTCAGAGTTTCTGTCTAAGGAATCCTACCCAACTAATCTTTAAAAATCTATTTTCTTAGAGCTCTGGTCTTCCCATCGCTGGCTGTAACATATTCTAAGATGAAAACAATTGCTTTCTCTCACAGGTCCTTCCTTCTCCTCCCAGGTTTACTTCTTAAACATAATTATATTCAGACTTTCCTTGTCTCTTTCATTACTTCTTCCTTCAGAGAGATCAAATGATTGGTGGCTCAAGTCAAGAATCTATTTTACCAACAGAAAATGGCATCGTATTTATGTTGGTAGAAGAAACTCCTCAGCAATTGTCCAGCAAGCATTTACTCTTGGCAGACAGGCTTATAGTTTATCTTACCATACAGTGCTAGAAAGGTGTGAGTCGTGGAAAGGAAATGCAATTAAAAGAGACACATAAATAAATAAAATAAATTAAAACTTGTTTGTTGTGATAATTAGCTTTGTTTACAAAAGGGTATGTGGATATTAACAGGCCTTAGAATGCTTTAGGGCAGTATCTTCTTTTTTTTTTCCTTTTCTTTCTTTTTTTTTTTTTTTTACTGTAGCTCTTGAGGCCTTCTGTAAATATATTTAATGAATGAGTTTTGCTAATTGATTTTTTAAAAAACATTATACAGTCCTGGAAAACACAAGAATGAGTTTAATTTACAAAATATATTAATTCTTTTAGTTCTCCTTATTGATCAAGCATTGAACAATAGTGGTTAATGACTTAGCCAATGAGAGGCGTGGAGAATGTCTGATGTTACCAAGTACAAGTAAAAGGGCTCAGCCAAGAAATCATAGGCCATATGATCCTTCCTCCAGAGATGTGGAATTTTGGCAATGGGGAGGGTTACTGAGAAAGTGTTATGGTTTAATAAAATTCTAACTCCTAGATAAACAAGATAAACTAATGTTTTCCAAAATTTTGCCAACAAAAAATAGACTTTATTTTTCTCTCATAGATTTCTTATTTTGAAACATTGTCTTAGAAACTGTTGTTAAAAGTTTCCCATTATTTTTAGTTATATATGTATGTATATATGTATATATATGTGTATATATGTATATATGTATATATATGTGTATATATGTATATATGTGTATGTGTGTGTGTATGTATATATGCATATATGTATATATATGTGTGTATATATAGAGAGAGAGAGAGTGAGAGAGAGAGAGAGAGAAAGAAAGAAAAAGTGCCATTCAAAACTGCTGACCATCATGAGAGAATTCATGATGGCTGACTCAGTTGATATATTTCTAATCAGAAACAATTAACTTTGATGCTTTATTTAACCTTTCAGCTTTATTATGAGTAAACTGATCATAAAGCTATTTATATTTATGACTTATTTAGAATGAGTTCATGGGTGCTCGAGGACCCCAAACTGGAAGAATTATATTTTCACTGTTCACTGGGCACTCAGCTTTGTCTTGTGATACAGAGTATGTCCATCATCAGCGACTTTCAGCAGTTTTAGTCAACACATGATAATGTAAGGGGAATTTGGAAAACCAAAAATAGATAATGAAGGAACCTTAATTTTGCAAACAGTCCTTCATGGTGAAAGTATTAAAGAGGAGAAAAACATAGAAAACACATGTGGTAAGAGGCAGAGGAAGGGGAAGGGGAAGCGGAAGGGAGGCAAGGGGCTGAGGAAGCCAGAGAGTCACCAGTGAGGCACTGAGTGACAGACTTGGTTCATTCATCTTCTAGGACAGGCTCAGTATGACTGGGAATCTTCCAGGAGGAATCGAGTTAGGTCCTTAATTGTGTATTTTTAAGTATATGGGAGAGGAAAGCCTATGTATCTGAAAAACGAAACTATTTTATCCCAGGCTATCATTATTAACCAGATTTTTAAAGTAGTTGTTTTATTGGTGTGTAATTACCCAAGTTGTAGTTAATAACTTAATTTCTAGAAGTAATTGAGCTAGGAATAATGCAAGTATAGCTACCATTTATAAAGTACCCTTACGTGTGAGGCACATCACAAACATTTTTCTAGTCCTTATAGCCACAGGGTAAAGCAGTTTTTATGTACACTTAAACACTAGGAAATGAAATTTTGGAACCTTCAGCAACTTGCCCTAACATCACATAGCAAAAAAGTTTAGAGTTTAAATTCAGCCTCAGTTCTCTTTGCTTTAAGGCCCATCTTCTTTTCCTTCAATATTCTGTCTCTCTTTGTAACAGATAGCTGTGCAGCTCTGGCTCTTGGTAAGCCTTTTGTTTAAACTTAGGTGTGGTTTCTTCAATATAACATTTTAAATCCCCGAGGATGTTTTTGAGGTCTTTGGATTTTGAAGTACCTAGAACTAGCTATTATCTCTAGCACTTTAAGAAAAATGCCATTGCATTTTTAAATTTCGATCTCAGAATTAAAATGTTCTTGGGTACACTTTAGAAAGGAATCTCAAAGGAATTTGACTTGAAAAGAAAAAGACAAGCAAGTAGTAAAAATAGATTTTTATTTTTTTAAAGCCTACAGAAGAGCATCGCAGTGTTAAGGGATTCCTGAGACAGAGTTCTGGAGGTTATCGGGGAGAAGTAGGCCAGCCTTTTTAAAATCGTGTCTGAGTTTTCTACTAGACTGTGAGTTTTTGGGGGAGACAGGCATGTCTTTTAAAAAAATCTCTGAATACCCAGGGCTTCACACAGGCATGCAAACAGGTTTAATGAATGCATCAAGCATTTACTAGATGTTTCTGATGTGATCAGTTCAAAAGTCAGTTGTCTTAAAGAATGGGGGTATAAAACTTTAAGATTCCTCTTTGCAGGAAATGAACAGATTTTAGCTGTGAGAGTCAGCAGTCATGTCAATTATGGGCAAGACCCCCAATTTATCTTGACTGACAGAAGATAGCAGATTGAGCATTTGTAATTTATGGGAGTAATACCTAACGCAACTCATCCATCACAAGCACCCTGATGACAGAATTTTCCTCTCTCTTCCATATACATAGACACACCCCAGTTTCTGGTAATACATCAAGGGTTGGATTGGCCCTTTTCTTCTACAAAGCTACTCTACTCAGCAAAATGACACAAAACTGTAAGGAATATCTCCTGGCCATATGTCAACCAAAATCATACTGGTAGCATAAAGCACATTTCTAAACACGAATGCCATGCATTTTAAATAAGTTTTCTCATGCTTTGTTTTGTTTGATTTTTATTTTAACTAATCCATTATTTGATTAACATGATAGAGGCAGTAAGAAGTTAGGCAGAACTAGAACCATGGACATGAAAGGGCCAGAGGCACAGGTGAGGGGAGAGAGCAGCACCTGCCTGAAGAATACACTTGAGAAACTGGCTGCATGCACAGGCCTTGTTCTTACACAGTGTGGGGCTAAGATCTGCCAGAGGTAGCGGCTTACTTGCTTGGGGGCTGATGCCCACAATAGCATGTTTATATGAAGTCTGCTGTGGCCAAATACTGAATTGAAGAGTCAAGAGGAAATGACAATTTTTTTCCTTTACTAGACCCTGAGGCTAATGACAATACAGTGAAGGCATGATATGCAACATTTAACTTGTGTTTCCATCCCCATTTTAGAAAAATGTGTTTCTCCTCCTCACACCTAAAGCCCTGCAGCGAGGGAGGTAATTGCCTATCCTAAAATGCTTTTGTGAAGTAGAAAATCCAACACATTGTTTTAGAGGAATATGATTTCTCACACAAGTCATTAAAATGTTTCAGAGTTCTCTCTCTCCTTCCGGTAGCTGACATCCTAGGCTAGTGTTTCTCAAACTTTGATTGGTATCAGAATCACCTGAGGAACTTGGTAAAAAATATGAAGGCCCAGATCCTCTCCTACTTCCAGGGCCAGCTTCTTTGTCTTTTGGAGATGGCCTTTCTGTATTTTATTAGACCTCCAATTGATCCCGATATTCATCCAAATTTGAGAACCAATGCTCTAGGCAACTGGGTGGGATTCCCTTCCTTCTCTTCACTTTTTTTTTTGTGTGTTTGAACATTCTTGATTTCTGCACAATTTTGTTTTCCATTTCCTGGTCCTAGTTTCTTTATTTTGTCTTTACATATTGACTCCAAATTCTGCTGACTCTTTTTAATCTGACCCCATCCTGACTCCCTTGGCATCTCCCATGTGCTTTCTGCTTTCGTGCCCCTTGGACTCTAGCTTCTTCCTGCCTGCCTTGCTCACCTGTTTCCTAAGACTCAAAGGACCTTGCACCTACTCCTTGTAAGGAGGGTGAGGTGAGGGAAGCATTCGGATATTCATCACATTAATTTTACGCACTTGTATTCTGCATTGACCCAAAACGAATTCATGACTTTCTTTTGTTTTAAAACTATATCAAACATGATATTTAATGAAATGGGAGAGTTCCCTGACCCCCCTCTCAGGACATGTGACAGGGGTGTGGCTTGTCTGTTTGGCTGCTGTGCTCAAAACCCTCATGGGAGAGGAAGCATGCAGACAGGCAGGTGCGTGAGCTGGGATGAGTGCTTTTGGGCTCTGGCCCCACAGTAGTGTCTAGGGGTGGGTGTCTGTGACTCCCGAAGCCCCAGTGAGCATGTTACAGTGCTCCTTTAGCTCTGCTGTCTGCAGACGGCTTAAGTGTTAACCAGCTCAGTGTCCTCTTGGTACCTGGATTCCTGTCCATTGTCCAGGAAGAAACAGATCACACAGACAAATTGAAGGATAGTAAATGCAGTGATTTTATTGCTGGATAGAGGTGACTGTCAAAGGGATGGATGGGGAACTGGAAAGGGGATGGAGTGGGAAGATGATCTTCCCCTAGAGTTTGGCCATCCCACAGCCGATCTCCTCTCTGACCATCCCCAGCCAAACTCCTCTCGACATCCAGACACTCCTTCTCTTCTCTCTCTCTCTGCTGTGCCACTCTTCTACACCTCTGCTCTTCTGCTCATGGAGCCTGGGGTTTGGGATTTATATGGGTACAGGATAGGGGGGCATGGCAGGCCAAATGCAACGTTTTGGTGTGAAAATAGGAATGCCTGTTCCCATGTAGGGCTGTGGGTTTCCAGGCTTGAGGGTGGGTACTTTGCCAGGCAACTGCCCTTTTCTACCCGTTATATCCCTGCGTCCTGACTGTATCATTAATACAATACCTTAAAATACAGTTCTCCCTCTAATTTCAATAGAAATTCATTTATGAGTAAATCATTTACAAAATACTCAGTAGATTCATTATTAATTAATATAATGTGTCATAACTGGGTAAATTTCAAAAAAGGCAGGGGGGCAAATACCCATAAAGGGGAGAGAGAAGCATATTTCTCCAAAGTGACTGCTCATGGCTCCTTTTTGTTGACTTTTTGAAAACAGTGATACAGGCCTTATATCCAGTCAATGAGTATTTATTAATTGCCCATATAGTGCATAATAGATCATTGAGAATTTGAAGTTAAAAGAAAATGTTAGGCAGATGTAGGGCTAACTTCCAAGGAACTAGGAGAACCTGTTGAAACAATGCTGAGAAAAGTGCCATCTAGGATTTATGGTTAGGACCCATAAATACTGTCGTACAATGTTTGAAATATTCTTTTATCTGTAATAAATAATTATTCATCATAATGTAAAGTTTTAGATTTTCTTCTTTTACTAAGCTATCATGTGCCCAGGAAGGTTCTCTAGCTGTGGTGTATTCAGAATACATTTCAGTGTCTATCCAGAATACATCTTTTGGCACATCCTCTGAGAAAATATCACTGGATGCAAAAACGGAAGGAGCAAGAATGAAGTTATTGTGAGCTAAGTCAGGAGACATGAGGAGCTGGGCTTTTCCTTTGTAAAAAACTGGAAATCTTCACTTTGTCCATCTCTGTGCTTACAGTTTTAGCAGGGCCGTAGAAGACAGGAAAAAGAAATCACCCTTCTTAGAAGATTTTGATTCAAAAAGATTTCCTATGTCCACTGGTATGTCTCATATTCAAGGGATGTTTTATTTTATTTTATTTTATTTTATTTTATTTTATTTTATTTTATTTTATTTTATTTTATTTTTGAGATGGAATCTCACTCTCTTGCCCAGGCTGGAGTGCAGTGGCACTATCTCAGCTCACTGCAACCTCCGCCTCCCAGAGTCAAGTGGTTCTCCTGACTCAGCCTCCTGAGTAGCTGGAATTACAGGCACGCACCACCACACCCAGTTAATTTTTGTATTTTTAGTAGAGATGGCATTTCACCATGTTGGCCAGGGTAGTCTAGAACTCCTGACCTCAAGTGATCTGCCTGCCTTGGCCTCCTAAAGTGCTGGGATTACAGGCCTGAGCCACTGCACCTAGTCTCAAGGGACACTTTATATTTCTAAAGAAGAGAAGATCAATTGTTGTAGTAAATAGTTGTTTAATCTTTTTGGCTACCTACAATCTCAACTTCCTTTCCAATATCTGGAAATTTCCCACATTATGAGGCAGAAACTCCTTCTTATTATACAGTTGGGTATGTCAGATAGTCTCATTTCCAATGGTCCTTGCAGGAAGAGTAATGAGCACATGACCTAAAATTTCCACCATGCACACACACTTCTGCCCAGATTTGTGTGGGAAGCCGATGAAGAGGAGAAGAAACTGTCCAGATTCTAGTCTGAGAGAAGTGATGATAGGGAGGGCAATTGCATCCTGTTCCTAAAGGTGGGCGGTGGGAGAGCATTAATGTGTGTCCTGGTTCAGTGCCTGGTATCAGTAATGTCTGGCAGTGTTGCCATCTGCAGGCTGTTGGGAGTAGCATTGAGGGTGGGTGAGAAGTAGACAGATGGCAGCCCAGGTCTAAGGGAGATAGATGCTCTGCCACGGGTCAGGGTGGCAGTCTGTAGTTTGGACTTTTGAGGCATATATGGGAATTCCCAGTGGCAGCAGTGGTTTTAGGATTTTGGATTCTGTTTTGGACTGATAGGCTCCCAGGCTTGATTCTCCAGTTTTCTTATCTGTGAATGCCCAATATCCTTTTAAAAAATCTCCTTTCCACTTAAATAAGTCAAGGTTAGTGCCTGATGCTTACAAATAGGAGGCTTGACCAACACAGTTACTTTTCTTTACAGGTTTTCCTTCAGAAAACATAGCTTCCCAACTTCAAAATATTTAAGACAAGTTTTAGGGGTAAACTTCTACTTTTTAGACCAAAATGATCTTTCCAAAAGGCAACTGTTTCCATTTGTATTGTAATGTTGGCACAAAACCTATTTCCAGTTTTAATTAACACACATGAAATGGAGCAAAAGTGAGAACAGATGAACCGCATAGTTGAACAGGTCCTTCTCTGCCTGCTTGCTCCATGAGAGACTCAAAGTGAAGAGAAGATTTCGTCTGGGAAGCTAGGCTTTCTGGTTGGAGATTGCATTTTTAGGATTTTAGAAGTTCTGTTCTTGAGCCATCCAGTAGCTGAGGGCATGGGAGGAAATTGTCTTCTGTAAGTCTTCGTGCAAGTGACACCCTAGAAAATGGTGGCCATGAACCTGCTCATGGCACACACATGCATTCTGTGGTGCTGTGTCTTACACTGTGGCATGATCTGAAAGATGCGCCACGAAAGAGCTATACAGGAGGCCTAAATATCCAGGTGAGTAGTCCTTTGAGTACGTGGTTTCATTTAAGGGTGAAAATTAGAGTGTTTTGAGAAGCAGACAGACAGCTCATCCTTTAGGCAAGCCTCCTACAGTATTATAATTGAAAATTAGGTTGTGATAAAGAGTTTAAGATTAACTTTCTGGAAAATACCTGAGAGTTGAATGCTCTTTTCTGAAAATTAATGAATAATTACTCCACGGATGTATGCTTGACATCTGGGCAAAGAAAGGAGCCTGACTATGTCACTTGCCTGAAGACATGGCTGCACCATCTCAGGAAAGAGAAGCCAAGTGGGATGTGGGGTCAACAGCAGGCTGTGACTTCCAGACCACAGCTTTATTCCCTGGAGGGTGAGTTGCTAAGACAACATGTTCTATGGCTATCGTAACATTGGTGATATGGCCGTGATTATTTGTGTAATAATAAAGGAGAGGAATGGAGTGGTAAACAACTGAGACTATAAACTAGTTTAGAATAGATCTGTGAGGCCGGGTGCTGTGGCTCCTGCCTGTAATCCCAGAACTTTGGGAGGCCGAGGCGGGTGGATCACCTGAGGCCGGGAGTTCCAGATCAGCCTGGCCAACATAGTGAAAGCCCTTCTTTACTAAAAATACTAAATTAGCCGGGTGTGGTGGCACATGCCGTAATCCCAGCTACTCGGGAGGCTGAGACAGGAGAATCACTTGAACCTGGGTGGGGTGGAGGCTGCAGGGAGCCGAGATCACACCGCTGCACTCCAGCCTGGGTGAGACAGAGTGAGACTCTGTCTCAAAAAAATAAATAAATAAAATAAAATAAATTAAAAAAAAGAATATATGTGTGAGAACACATTTAATTATATTTAGCTCAAATATAATATAATATATTTAGTTTGAAATATATTTGTAAGAATGAAAATGGAAACCTCAAAAGATTTGCCTCCTCTCTTTTTTATGTGGACATGCATGTGTCTCTTAGAAATTGAAATGCAGTCATCACAGCTCACATTTGTTGAGTTTCTACAGTGCTTAAAGGCAATGGGCTGGGTACTTTTTCTATGTTATTGCACTTGGTTCTCAGAGAAACTCCAGGAGGAAGGTACTGTTGTTTTCACATATAATTCTGTAGAGTTTGTGTGAAGACCCTGCCCAGGAATGTCACCCAGCATCCCCAGTAAACCACAAAATCAAATGGAAAACACAAAGAAGGCACAAAAATTAAAGATACAATTTTCTTCCAATTACTTACTAATTAGTGAGCTCACAGGTTTATTTGTTATCATTAACACTGTAGATAATCAGCTCACGGTTATTTGAAGATTTGTTTCTACTGAATGTTTCTGTAGGAAATTTCATGATGACTGAAGAGGAAAAAAATCAAAGCAAATATTTCAGAGAGTATTACCTTGATTGTGTTTAGCTGTGCAGAAACAAAAATTATAACCAGATATACCTATTCAATAATTTTCTTTTTCTAAACCACATTGGCCCTGGGCTGGGAGTATTTACATGGGCACCATCTTTTATGCTCTTTAACATATCTAGGTATCATGTCAACATGGTAATAATCCTAATTTTTAAGTTAGTGGTGATCAAACTTTCATATGCACAAAAATCAACCAAGGTGCTGTTAACAAGGTATATTTATAGGTTCCACCCCAAAGTTTGTGATTCATCACTTCTGTTTCTGATGCAGGTTGTTTCTGGGCCCAGTTTCTGAAAAACTCTTCCCAGGTGAGAAATAATAGTGGCAAAGACTGGGGCAGTATCTCAGGGAATAGGTCAGGTACTGGTGGGATATTCATAAGGCATCATGTTTCTTTGAAGCCTTTTCCTTGACTATTTCCTATTTCCTCCCCAATCTCTAGTTCCACCATCTCAACCCAAGTTTCCAATGGACTCTTCTCCCTAACCATCAAATCTGTTTATGATACCAAGAAGCAATGTCTTGCTGGTTGACTGTCCAGACTCAGCCTCTCAGTGAAGGCTAAAAACTATGTGCAAGTATTTCACCCACATCTGGGCCTTCCCAATCAGAAACCTCTGAATAAGTAAACTCATTCTGAATTAGTAATGATTCTCCTCCTGCTTTAGGCCTTTTTAGGAACTGTGTGTTCTACTCTGTGAGCAGGGACCTGTACTGGGGACCATAAAACCCTGAGTTTGAATCAGGGCTTCATCACTTACAAATTGCACGATTTTGAGCAAGTAGTAATTCATGTTTTTAGACAATCTGTTTTGTCAACTGTGAATGGAAATAATCTCTATTTGGCTTGGTTGTTGAGATAACTCAATATTACTCCTTCATTCAACAAATATTTATTGTGCACCTCCCATGTGTCAGGTTCTAGTGGGGATATAGTTTTAAATCATATAAAGTCCCTGCCCTTGTGGAGCTTATATTATAGAGGGAAAGACAGACAATAGTAAATGGTTAATATACTAGTGTGTCAGAATTAAGTACTGTGAAGACAAATAAAGCAGAGTTGTTGGATAGAGAGGGGTTGCCATGGGTGATGGGGTGAGCTATTTTAGGTTGGAAGGCATTTGTGAGATAATGTGTCTAAAAGCAAAAGTAAATACTTGTGTAAATGTTCAGGTAATTTTGATTAAATTTGAACTCACCCAAGTTTTCCCTGTTTCTCGTTCATGTTTTCCCCTTCTGTGGAGGTTAAGCATATTTATTATCTTTCAATTATTTGATTTCCTGTCAAATGTGACATTCCTGTTTGTGTGTAATTAGCATTTATAGAACTTTTTAGTAACATAAACTATACATGAGATATATCTTGTCTACAGCCAAAAAGAACATATACATTGATTTATTTAATTCATTAATATTCATTAATTACCTATGACATATCAGACATTTTATAGAAATTGCAGACATGGAGGTAAACAAGACAAATATGGTACAAATTGTCCTTGAACTTACATTCTAGCAGGGGTGACAGGCATTCAACTACCAGGAAAGACGGATATTAAATGCCAGTTGCACAATTTAAGTTCTATAAAAATTAAAAGTGATCTATAAATAACAGAAATATCTGACCTACTTGGGGGTGGTGGTGACAAAAAAACATTTCTTTGAGGAAGCAAAATTTGAGCAATGCTTCAAAAGCAGAATGTGAATTAAATAGGCCCAAGTGAAGAAGAGTGGGTTGGCAAGGGGCGAGGTTTCAGAGAGGTTAGCACATGTCTCCCTGAGCAGGAAGGAACATGACCCTTCTAAATGACCTGAGAAAACTTAAAAAAAAAAAAAAAATTAGCCTGCATGTTGGTGGGAATGGACTGGAAGAGGTAAGTGTGAAATGGAAGAACTGGGAGTTTGGACTAGGGTTTAGAAATATTGTTTATGAGATAAAATGAACAAGTCTTATGATTGATTAGATATGTCAGGTGGAGGTGTGTACCATCTTGCATGTGTCTGGCTCTCCGTGTACACTTGGGGAAAGGGACTGTTCATCACAACATTGCTGATCTGGTCTTGTTGCCCTTAGGTAGTAGGAATAATACTTCCTACGGCTTTGTTCTATTTAGCATAGTGTCACTAAAAGAGCAGTGGATGGGAAGTCAAGGAAATCCATGTTATAATACCAACTCTCACTAACTAGTCTAACAAGTTTCTTAACTACTTGGTATGGATTTGGTGTTATCCTTTGCAAGATATTGGATCATAAAGTATCTAAAATTCTAGATCTAATGAGGTTAAGTAAATTAAAATTTAAGCAGCGATTTAAAAAAAGCACATATTAAGTCATAGTAAATGTTAGTCAGGCTAAAACTCTAGGCATTATTCTTGAATCCTTCCAATCGCTTAGTTAGTTCTACCTACAAAACATGTCTTGAATCCTTCCAATCGCATAGTTAGTTCTACCTACAAAACATGTCTTGATTTTATCCATTTCTCTTTATTGCTGCTACTATTACACTAGTCCAATAGTAGTCCCTATTCATTCTTTCCTAGACTACTGCAATATTATCCTAACTGATCTCTTTCCCTCTACTCTTGCCTCCCCAATAGCCCACTTTCCAGGTGGTAGCTAGAGGGATCATTAATTATCATTAAAAATGATAAATCAGATCATGCAACTCTAATGCCCAGACCCTCCACTAACTTCCTGTTACACTTGGAATAAAATCCGAGCACCTTATTCTTTCTTACAAACCCCTCCTTGCTTGGCTCCTTTGTACCTCTTCTTTCTCATTGTCCCTTGCTCCTCTGTTCCACATCTAGGCTCTAGCTACACTATATTTCTTTTCCTAGAACATGCCAGTCTCCTCTGTGCCTTAGCAGGCCATTACTTTTGTCTAGAGCCATTACTTTTGGCTCATGGCATGACCGGTTTCTCCTTGTCATTCAGTTCTTATCTTAGATGTTACTTCTTCAAACAGTGCTTTCCTGATCATCCAACTAGTGGCCAGCTGATAACTCTCAATTACAATGCCCTAGTTTAAATCTCTGAAGAGTGTTTGTCACTCTCTGCTATGTGTATTTGATTGGTTATCTTTTCCTACCAGAATGTAAGCTCAGTTAGAGAAGGAGACTTCAGTTGTCATTATGTCCCAGGTGCAAAACAGTCTTTCATATATAAAACACACAGAGAGAATATATGATAAATGAATAAATGAATAAGGCTAAATCAGGAAATAAGAGATCCTTACATTCATGGGTTTTACAATCTAGCAAAAAATGTACATAATCTGTTATGCTGTCAGGGTTTATGAGCGGTCGAGAAGTTAACATTTCTTAACTTCAACCTCAAAGGTCTTTCCCACAGTCTGTGAAGCCTGTTTAGTTGCTACTACGTTAAACGCACATTCTATTTCCTTTGAATTAGGTTATATCAGCCTATTAAAAAAAAGAAATAGCTCTTAAACTACACACTGATGAAAATATGATTGTACTCTCTATTATATCCAAATAAGCAATCTGTGTCCCCAAACTCTTAGTACTGCTTTTTAAACCACAAAAGCTTTGGTAGGATGTCAAATATTTTTCCAGTGTTTAATAAAATAGTAAAGAAACATTTTCTAAAAAACTCTGTAAGAGATTCTGGCCTGGGCTCAGGAGAGTTAGAATACTTAACATCTGTTTTGCCTGTAAATTTTGTCACCTCTGGATCCCTTTGTCCCTTGGTTTTCTCATCTATTAAAAAAAATTACAACAGAAATCTCTTATTTTCAGGTAACACAGGAGGCAACACAGATTCTTCAAGTCTCACAGCTACTCCCTAGGGATCACTGGGGAACTTGGAAAAAATCTATTGGCTCAGCTAGTGAGCGATCACTTCCTGTACCACTGTTCTGAGGGCGGACTTCCAGCTCAGGATCATGCGAGGGCATTTTGTAAGGTCTTATTTTTCTTAATGCTATTTTCCCCACCAGCCTGCCAGAATGTCTTAAACGTCTACCACAAGAATCGTTCCTTTGGGTTAAGAGGTTATCTCCAGGGAGACGTGTTTAAAATGAGCTCCTTGTGTAGATAACACATGAGTGCTGTTCAGCACATCTGCACGAACTGGAGTATTAGAATAGAGGTTGCCTTTCAGAAGAAAACTTGAGCTAAGGGAATGGAATATGTTATTTTCTGTTTCTTCCTTCCGTGGAGCTATTCACCCTTGAAGCAGTTACAGAGTACTTCAATAACCAAAAGCTCTGCTAGGCCGTAGGTAGAATTAGCAACAAAAAAGTAACAGCCTCTCTCTCAAGGAACTTTTGGTGTGATGGGGATGATGAGTACGTAAAAATTAACTGGGCCGGGCACTGTGGCTCATGCCTGTAATCCCAGTACTTTGAGAGGCTGAGGCGGGTGGACCACTTGAGCCCAGTTGCCATCCTGGGCAACACAGGGAGATCCCTTCTCTACAAAAAATACAAAAATTAGCCAAGTGTGGTGGCATGCTTGTAGTCCCAGCTACTCCGGAGGCTGAGGCTGGAGGATTGCTGGAGCCTGTGAGATGGAGTTTGCAGTGAGCTGAGATCATGCCACTGCACTCCAGCCTGGAAAACAGAGCTAGATCCTGTCTCAAAAAAAAAAAAAAAAAAAAAAAAGTTATCTGTATTACGAAGACAAAATGAAATAACCAGATGAGATTATAAGGACAGGAGCAACTCAGGTAGACATAGAATAGTGGGAAGAGCTTTTTGAAGGAGATGGCATTTTCCTTGAGCTTGACTGAGACTTTGGGGAGCAAGAAGACTTTTGATAGACAGGTGAGATGACAGGAATAAGTATAGGAAAGGAGAGAGAGCTTCTTAACCTGAGAGAACAGCAAAAGCAAAGGCAGAGTGAACTTTGGTGAAAATCAGAATTTGGGAAATATTTGGAGAGTGAGCTGTTCCCTGTGAATTTTTTTCATTATTGAGGTGTGATTGGCATACAATAAACTGCACCTATTTAGTGAATGCAATTTGATTAGTTATATGTATGCACCTGTGAAATCTTCACCATAGAACATTCCATTACTTCCAAAAGTTTCCTTGTGCCCCTTAGTAATTCCTTCCTCTGACCCCCTTAGGCAACCACTGATCTGCTTTCTGCCACTATAGGTTAATTTGCATTTTACAGAGTTTTCTTTAAGTGGAATGATACAGTATACTCTTTTTTGTCGTTATGATTTCTTTAACAGCATAATTATTTTGAGATTCATTTATGTCATCTGTATCAATAGTTCATTCCTTTGTATTGCTGAATAGTATTCCATTGTCTGGATATACCACGATTTATCTGTCTATTTACCTATTAGTGGGAATTTGAGTTGTTTCCAGCTTATGGCCATTATAGTTAAAGCTGTATGAACATCCATGTACAAATCTTTACATGGATGTATGCAGCTGTACCATTTCACATTCCCATTAGCAGTGATGTTGAGTGTTTTTTCGTATACCTGCTGGTCATTTGTATGTCTTCTTTGGAGATGTCTATTCAAGTTCCATTTTTAAATTGGATTATTTTATTTTATTTTTTTTACTATTGAGTTGTAGGCATTCCTTATATAGCCTGGATATTAACCCCTTATCCACAGGTTGCCTTTTCACTTTGTTGATTATTTCCTTTGCTATACAGAAGCTGTTTAGTATGATACAGTCCTGCTTGTTTTTTTTGTTTTTGTTGCCTGTGCTTCTGATGTCATATTCATGAAACCATTGTCAAGACCAATATTATAAAACTTTTCCCTTCATTTTCTTCTAAGTTTTACGATCTCTTGTCTTATATTTGTCTTTAATGCAGTCTGAGGTTGATTTTTGTGTATGGTGTTAGATAAGGGTACGATTTCATTCCTTTGCATATGTCTATTCCGTTTTCCCAAACCCACTTGTTGAAGACATATTCTCTCTTCATTGTGTATTATTAGCATCCTTGTCAGAGATCAAACATTCTTACCTTGTCTTGACCTTAAGGGAAAGCATTGTCTTTTACCAGTGTTATGGGATGAGTTTTGTTCCCCTTTGCCAAATTCACATATTTAAGTCCTAACCCCATATATATGTGGATTTATTTCTGTCTTTTGACCATTTTTAAATTGGATTTTTTAAAAATTGAGTTTTGAGAGTTCTTTGGATACAAGTCTTTTGTTGGCAATGGGATTTACAGTGTTTTTCTCCAGGCTGTGGCTCGTCTTTTAATTGTTTAAGAAATGTTTTTGAGGTGCATGCATTTCTAATTTTGATAAATTATAGTTTATTAATGTTTCTTTTTATGGATAGTCATATCTATATTTTTTTGTATCTAAGAAATCTTTGCCTAATCCAAAGTCACAAAGATTTTCATTTTTTTAAAGAAGGTTTGTGGTTTTTGATTTTACATTTAGGTCTATAATTCATTTTGAGTTTATTTTTGTATATTATATGAGATTTGAATTAAAATTTATTTCTCTTAATGTTCTGTTTGTTGAAAATGGTACCATTTGTTGAAAGACGATCTTGTCTTTGCTGAATTGCCTTTGCATTTTCTCAAAAATCAGTTGTCCACATATGGGTAGAAGTAATCATGGTTTTTTGTTCTGTTTCATTGGTCTATTTAAGTATCTTTAGTAAATAAAGACAGCTTTGTTTTTATGTCTTGAAATCAGAATTATTTAGTCAACTTTGTTCTTCCTTTTCAATTTATTTTGGCTACTCTAGGCACTTTGCATTTTCAGAATCAGTTTGTCAGTTTCTACGGAAAAGCCAGCTGAGTTCTCATTGGGATTGAGTTGAATCTATAGATTAATTTAATGGGAGTTGACATCCTGACAATAGTGGTCTCTAATCAATAAAAAATTTATAGCCATTTATTTGGGTTTTCTTTAAGTTCCCTTAGCAATGTTTTCTTGTTTTCATTGTACAGATCTTGCACAAATTGTATGAGATTTATTCCTAAGTATTTCATGGCTTTTGATCCTGGTATAAATTGTATTTTTTAAGTTTCAAAATTGTATTTTTATATTTTAAAAATACAATCCTAAATTGTATTTTTTGATTGTTCATTGGCGGTACATATACATTCATTTGAATTTTCCTTTCCTATTTAAATATCTTCTATTTATTTTTTCCTGCCTTACTGAAATGACTAGAACCTCTAGTACAATGTTGAATAAAGTAGTGAGAGCAAATATTCTTGCCTTGTCCTGACCTTAAGGGAAAGCATTGTCTTTTACCATCGTTATGGGATGAGTTTTGTTCCCCCTCACCAAATTCATATTTAAGTCCTAACCTCCAGTACCTCAAGATGTGACTATTTGCAGAGAGAGCTCTTAAGAATGCAAATAAGGTAAAATTAGGACATGGGTGGGCCCTAATCCAATATAACTGGGGTCTTTATAAGAAGACATTAGGACCTAGGTATGTGTAAGTGCAGAGGAAAGACAATGTGAAGACAGAGAGAGAAGAGAGCCATCTGCAAGTCAAGGAAAGAAGCCTCAGAATGAAACTAGCCATAATCTTAGACCTTGATCTTGGACTTCCAGCCTTCAGAACTGTGAGAAAATTAATTTTTGTTGTTTAAGCCACCCAGTCTGTAGTATTGTAATATGGCAGCCCTAAAAAATGAATATAACCATTAAGTATGATGTTAGCTGTAGGTTTTTTTGTAGATGCCTGTTATCGGGTTTAGACAGTTCTATTTTATTCCTAGTTTGCTGAAAGTTTTTTTTTAATATATATATATCAGGAATGTACGTAGGATTTGTCAATGCTTTTCTGAATATATTGAGAAGACCATATGGTTTTTATTTTTTAGTTTGTTAATATGGTGAATCAAATGGATTGCAACAGTGATTTAATATGCCATAAAAATTCTTATGTTCAGGAATTAATGATATTTTCAGCTCTTCCTATGGTATAAATGAAGACAAAAATGTAATTAGCCACAACGCAGCCTATGTAGATTGGTAAAACTCTCAGCAGGGTTTCATAAACTAAAAAGGAAGCAGTGAGATTGGATGATGAATACTTATACCCAAAATTGATCGTAATCTGAACCCTCAATTTGTTAAAAACTTTCTGAACTTGGCTTTAAAATAGAAAGAGGATAATAGGAAATGAGGACTGTAGCAAAAGCAAATAAAACCCACATATTTAAAATATGATCTAGAGCTTAGTTTGCTTTTTGTTAAATTTCTTATATATACCTATGTTCTTAATAGGTATGTGAAGAACAGGTACTTGTGCAGGAGATAGTTAAGGAGCCTCAGGAAAATGTCTTCCTTCTCTACCAAAATACCCACAATGTTTTATTAGCAGTTTATTTCTTTGGTTTAGCTTTGTCTCTTTTAAAATTTGATTTCATCTGGAGAACCAACACTTTGGGCTGTTGAGTGTTCACTAACAGTTTCTGTTGATTTACTTTTCCTCAGGGCTATTTGGCTGAGGTCAGAGCACTAAGGATCTAAGCATTTTATTCAACGAGGGAAGGATAATCGTGAAGCATAGAATAATCTGATTATAGGACACATCTGGCTAAGGGGTGGGGCTAGGAGCTGGTAGGAAGAAGAAAATGACTCATTCTAGGAGATAGGCTGATGTGTAGAAAGGGAAATGGGAAATCATTTAAGGTGTTATTGAATGAAACACTTATGTGTGGTGACTCGTTTGCCAGGCTTGTGTCTGGACATAGGTATGAATAGACAGTACCTTTAAGTGAAAGCGAGGATGGAAGTGGAGGTGAGAAAGGGTGTGAGGGAGAAGCAGGGAGATTGAGTGGAAACAAGAGAGTAATGTTAAGTGTCAAGACTGGTTACAGAGGTATATTCAAACTCAGGCTGGAGCATAGTGGAGGCAGTTGCTGAGAGGGTGGCAGAAAGAGGGAGTTGGTTAAGAAAGCCTTGGAGAGGAGGAAACAGATGAGTAGTTGTAGTACAGCTTTAAGGATGACCTGATATTTCCATAGGATATTTATTTATTTATTTTCAATTTACTTTTAGTTTTTAAAAAATTTTTGTGGGTACATAGTAAGTGTATATATTTATAGGGTAACTGGGATGTTTTGATACAGGCATGCCATGTGAAAGAAGCACATCGCCTCAGGATATTTCATCATAAAGGAAGATCAAATTATTTTCTGTGTTCTGTGTTTACTAGGTCAAGATGCTAAAAATAAAAGAGTTTGTAGGAAGAGTGGAATATCCATGTAACACTTGGGGGATCAGTCTATTGGCCCCAGTCTCTGAGTATTTTGGTTAATTGAAGACTCATTAATATTGGATCAACTTTAACCCATTAATGATGTTTATTGCTAACCGTGTGCACAATGACATAGTATAATAAAGTACTGTAAGGGCAAGGGCACTGAGCTATGTCATCTGGGCTCAAATTCTGCTACCACCTGTTATTACTTGTGTGACTTTGGGAAAATTATCCTTTCTTTGCTCAGTTTCCCATCTGGGAAATGAGGTTAATAGAATTTTTCTTTCCTTTTTTTTCTAAATGAGGATCATGCCAGGTGTTGTGGCTCACGCCTGTAACCTCAGCACTTTGGGAGGCTGAGGTGGGAGGATCACTTGAGTCCAGGAGTTCTAGACCAGCCTTGGCAACATAGTGAGACCTTGTCTCTACAAAAAATAAAAACAAAATTAGCTGGGCGTGGTGGCGCACAGCTATAGTCCTAGCTTCTTGGGAGGCTGAGGTGGAAAGATGGCTTGAGCCCAGAAGGTCAAGGCTGCAGTGAGCCAAGATTGCATCACTGCACTCCAGGCTAGGTGACAGAGTAAGACACCGTCTCAAAAAAAAAAAAAAAGAGAGAAAAAGAAAAAAGGGGCCGAGGTGGGTTGATCACATGAGGTCAGGAGTTCCAGACCAGCCTGACAAAAAGCGCGAAATCCCATCTCTACTAAACATAAAAAATTAGCTGGGTATGGTGGCGTATGCCTGTAATCCCAGCTTCTTGGGAGGCTGAGGCAGGAGAATTGCTTGAACCCAGGAGGTGGAGGTTGCAGTGAGCCGAGATTGTGCCATTGCACTCCAGCCTGGGCAACAAGAGCAAAACTCCATCTCAAAAGAAAAAAAAAAAAAAAAAGATCAATTGAGTTAAATATGCAAAGTGCTTAACATAATGCCTAGCACATATAGACACTCAATAAGTATGTATTTTTATTATAGTTTGCCTGTGGAATATATATATATATGTAAAACCATATATAAAATATTTGTATTGATATTTACGTGTGTGTGTCTGTATATATATATATACACATGTGTGTGTCTATATAGACACACATAGAGGGAAGAAGAGAGAGAGAATGAGACAGAAAGAGAGAGAGAATGAGTATCAGTAGAGAACATGGGTTTGCAGGAAAGGCAGAACTAAGTTAAAATCTTGATTCTGTTAGGTACTTACTGAGCCTCAGTTGTTTTTTGATTGCGCAATGGATATAATAAACTTTTTGGGGTTATTGTGAGAGTTAAGTGACAAAATATACAAAATTGCCTAATCAATTATCTGGTTATTAGTGGACACTTAATGGCTGTCTATTGTTATTACATATTTTTAAATAGTCATCTCTAATCATATTTTTGTTGGAATGATCCTCATAAAACTATTGCCAGGAAACAATAAAGAAGTATTCTGGCTGGGCCCTGTGGCTCACACTTGTAATCCCAGTGTTTTGGGAGGCTGAGGTGGGAGAATTACTTGAAGCCAGGAGTTAGAGACCAGCTTGGGCAACATAGTGAGACCCCATCTCTACAAAACATAAAACATTTGCTGGGCTTGGTGGCTCGTGCCTGTAGTCCCAGCTACTCAGAAGGCTGAGGTGGGAGGATTGCTTGATCTCAGGAATTTGAGGCTGCAGTGAGCTATGACTGTGCCACTGCACTCCAGCCTGGGTGACAGAGCAAGACCCTGTCTCTAAAAATAAATAAATAAATAAATAAAAAATATTTCTGTGTATTTAGTAATTTCCTTTATATGCTATAGACTGGGCCAAAATTAACTTTAAAAAATGTTCATTTTTATCTAGGGAGTTTCAAGCAAGAGAGAATTGAAAGCATGATGTATGGTAATATGATTGAAGCACTTAGCTACAAACTAGCCTTTTATTGACTGAATCTTACAAATATATTTATTTGTTTTTTTAAACATTTGTGTGGATCTCTAATCAATGGGGAGAAGAAGGAGTAAGTTTCATTAAACAATATCGATATTGGGATGATAAGATAGTTTACTGGGAAAAAATAAAGTTTAATCCATAGCTCACATAGTATATTGTGAAAAACTTCAAATGTATTAAAGGTATAAATGTAATATATGAAACCATAAAAGTAATACAGTAGAAGAAAAAAATGGGTGAATTACTTTTTAGCTTTGGAGTAGGGAAGCATTTCTAATATGATTAAGAATTCAGAAATCATAAAAGAAGAAACTGATAAATTTGACCACATTACTGTATATATATATATATATATAGTTTATATATCATTCTATATAGTTTATATATGTAGTTTTTGATTATACATATATAAGTTTGATTATATACAGATATCTGTATATAATCTGTATATAAAAACTACTATAGATAAAAACTATCATAAGCAAATTAAAAGATGAATAACACATTGGGAAAAAATCAGCTTAAAATTTACAATAAGATTTGCAACTCTTATAATTTTTATTATGAATTAAAAAATTAATCTCCCTAATATTTGCAGAGATCCTAGAAGTTGATAAGAAAAAGACTAGATGTGTTTTCTTAAAGTGGATAAATAATATGAACAGACTCTTCACAGGAAAGGAAATAGAACTTGGCCTTTAAGACGTAAAAAATGTTCAAACTCGCTCAGAATAAGACAAATGCAAATTAAACTGAAAAGCATTTTTTTTTTTACTTATTGGTTTAAAATGGCACAATAACTATAAAATACAATTTAGTATTACCTATCAAAATTATAAATGCATTTTCCCTTGGACCCAGAAATTTTGCTTATGAAATTTATCCTATACATAAAACTGCAAACACAAATAATGAGTTATAGGAAAGCTTATTTGTTGTAACCTTGTTTCTAATACAAAAGGTTGATAATAACCTAACTGTCCATCAATAGAAGACTGATTAAACAAATGGTGGTCCTTCCCCTACAATGTAATACAAGGTAGCTCTAAAAAAGAAAAAGAAATTCCCTATATACTGAGATGGAAAGTTTTTCCCTTCTATTGGGTGGTAAAAACAAAAAAGAACTGAAAGAGTATATTTCATATTCTATATTTTGTATAAGACAGTGGGAAGAATGTGAATATAAATGGGAAGAATATGAATATATATTTACATTTGATTATAATTGCATAAAGAAACTCTGAACAGATACGCAAGAAACTAATAAAACGGGTTACCTTTGGAGGTGGCAGGTGGTGAACAGGGCAGATAAAAGCAGGGGTGGGAGTGAGGCCTTTTACTGCATTGTTTTTAATGTTTTACTTTATAACCAGGTACATTTATTATCTACTCAAAAGTAAAATAAAATAAACTTAATTTGTCTTTTGAATCAATAGTTGTAATCTTTCCACAGTCATGGGAAGCTACAGATAATCAGTTATTTTTCTTGAATTAGTTTAGTTTTGCCACTTCCCATTTCCTCTTATTATTAATTTTCCACAGTCTCAGAAAACATAATGAATTCAGACCCCATCAGGAGATGACGATGTGGTCCAGTGGGCCACAGGCAAACTTGGACCAATTAAAAAATTTTCCTTCATATCCCTTAATAATTTCAATTTCCTTTGTTAATCCTATTTCCCTAAAAAAGCAAATCACTCAGAGGGTGCTAATTTAGCATTGGTTGTAGACAGGCACACTGGACGGGCAATTGCGTTAGAGTAAGTTCTAGCGTAAGTTGTCTTATGACAAACTAGATCATTTCTTACATGATTATTCATTTACGATTGGAAATAGTGCTCCATGTCATGTATGGAGTTCAAGAATTGGCAAAGGGAAAAGAGATTTTACTATGAGATATTTTACTGGAAAAGGCCAAGTGTTTGATATTTTTGGCCTACAAAGCTGATTAGCTCAGTAGAGTCAAACAACAGATTTAATTTTATCAAATTAATCTATGTTAAATGTACAGAATTAAAAATGATTTTTTTTCTATTTATTAATGTCTTAAATGTTACCCCTTGTACTTTAAAATAAAATGCAAGGCTCAACCTTATGATTGAAAGATTAGATGAGGCTTGAACCAGTAAAAATAGATTTTTTAAAGGAAAAGTTATTTTGAGTGGAGTGCTAGCTGTACTAGACAAATTCAGTCGGGCCTCCTCTTCAGTCTTGTCAAAGCTTAGCACAGTCCAGAAGGCACTAGTGTGTATGCCAAAAAATCAGAGCAGCAGCAGTTAAAAAAAATAAGTGCACTAAGAAATATTAAATGGAAAGCCAATGCCTATAAATAAAGAGGCAAGTGAGCACTAATCAATCATAAGTAACTGAACAGAAAATAGGAGTTGGAAGGGTGAGAGAGATTTCACATACAACATATGAGACTAGATACAAATGATTTAATTAAACTGTGTTCCTTCTACACAAGACTCAAAATCTCTAAATGTTAAGAAAAACTGGAGTATAGAAATGCAACGTCTTGCTTTGCAATCTATAGCGGATGAGTAGCAAGGCATATGCCAACAGCAGAAATAGAAGCAGTTGATGAATCCTGGGTGAGTGGAGTGTTTCATTATCTGTGTCTGTTTCTTGCTATTCGTCTCAGATTTATTGCTCTCACTAAGGGACCAAACCCTGTTCACTATGAACAGTAGCACCCACCACACACTTGGAGGTTGGGGTAAAAATCATTAAACAGAATATAAAACTAACTTGAATGAATATTGAATAAATGCAACTCAAAGTTAAAATAATTTAACTAATAAATAAAATAAGTGTTACAGCAACCAGAGGGAAGGTAGGAGGAAGGGGAGAGGAAGAAGGTTGGTCAGCACAAGTGTGAGGAGAGAAAAAAAGGCATTCATGGCTGTCTACCCACCAGCCTCAAAAAAAAAAAGGAAGTTAACGCTAGACATTGTCTAGTTGACCTTAAAGGCAAGTCTTGTCTTAAGTAATTACTTATGCTGCTCAGCAGAATTGGACCATATGGCCTTCTCTCTAGAAGGGAACATGAATCTTTTCAAGTAAGAGGCCCACTCAGCCCTACGACATTTAGATTCCAAGAAATAGATAAGGTTTATAAAAATAAGCTCTACTGGCTTCTTGGATATCCATGATTTTATGTCTTGAATTAAGTCAGAAAAAAATGGAATTATTCTCTCTCATATACACTTAGGTTTTAAAATAAAGGGGATTTGAAATTCTGGAATTAAAATCTGAGAGATTTTCTAAGATCTATATCTATATTTATGTCTATGTCTATGTCTATGTCTACGTCTATGTCTATGTCTATGTCTAGGTCTGTCTGTGTCTCTCTATATCACTGCTATTGTTCATTCTCAATTCTATGAAACGAGAGAATGTGGTGACATACCAGAGACCGGAATGAGTTTTACTCTATCACAAACACAGGAAAGCATAAGGCAAAATCCATATATCAAAAGCAAAAATCAGTTTTCCAACCTAATAAATGACAGCCAACATGCTGAAGGAAAGAGGGTTATTTTTAAAAGCAAAGATGATTTTGATGGTGAGTAGCTCTGATAATGGTTAGCAAAAATGGCTCATGGGAAAGGCGCACATACTGCTAATAGATTGACTGAAAAGAAAAACATTATTATTGGTGTTTTTCCCCCCTACCAGATCCAGTGATATCACTACTGCAATCTGTTATTTATATAGAAAGGCAGTAAACAGTGGAAAGGAGAGTATCTGTACGGGAACATCTTCTCTGAGAAGTTGCTTGAAAAATAAGCATGTGATGAACATGTGAAAAGCATTTATGCAGTTGGCAGCATATAAATTCTCAGAACAGTAGGGGATAAAAATGGGGCAGATAAAGAAAACTAAGGATTAGATCCAGATAAACAATGGGACGTTTGTAACATATTTGTTTAACAAAAGACTGAGGATATAAGCATACACCTTAAATGAAACCTAGCCTGAAATAAAAATTTAAAAATTAGATTTAGACTAAACATTTTAAGACTCTAAAATTTTACTTTAGCTTATATTGTAATTTACAACTAACAGGAGGGTATGGCTGTATCTTATTTCTATGCCTCAAAACAACTAAACAAACCCTCCCTGGAAGACCAGTTTATATTCAGGCTTTTCGACTTTGGTACTATTGACCTTGTGTGCCAGATATGGCTTAGTTGTGGAGGACTGAGCTGTCCATTTTAGGATGGTTAACAGCATCCCTGGCCTCTACCCACTATGTGCCCGTAGTATCACTACAGTTATGACAACTAATAAAATATCCCGATATTGCCAAGTGTCCCCTGTGTGGCAAAATCTCCCTTAGTTGAGAACCACTGCTCTGTATCTATCACTTACCAGAAAATAAAGCAAATCTAAGAGTTGTAAAATGGCCTTTCCGATGAATATGTACTTTAAAAATCATGAATTTAGGTTTAAAATGAATGTGTAGGAACAGCGTGAGTGATCATACAAATCAATAGGTTGAGAACATTTCTTTAGTGAAGAAAAATACTCAGATGAAATCTTCCACACAAATGCATCACTCTAAACATATTTTGTTTTCCAATTGTTCCCTTTCCCTATTGGCATATTATATAGGCGAAATTCTCCCTTCCTGATCCCCAGGTGTAGCAAAAAGTGCCTTCTAAATGAGAAGTCTTGAATATTTGTTATTTTTTTTTCCCAGAGGAAAGCTAGATTTTCACCTTCCCCTTTCACTTCCCTCTTGGGCTAATTAATACACATCAGAAGTGCTGGGGCAAGTGGATGTCATCAGAAAACCGCTCAATTCCTTTGCCTCATTGCCTGGCAAATCTGCTCTCTAGGACAAGTGACATTCTTTCTGGTCACTGTTGGCAATAAAAGTTGTTCTGGTCACTGTATTCTCAGTTTAGTAATTGATACTGTCAGTTCAGTGTCATAATCAAAATGTGTAATTTTATTGAAATTTCCCTCTATCACACTTTGTGTCTGAGACTTGGCTTCCTGTAGTTAGAATAGCATGGTCAGTTTCTTTTCTATTTCTGCCTAGAGGTTCTATTCCACTTACTAGGCTGATTTCTGGACTGTCTTAGAATTGCAGCAGGAAAATGAGTAGCCACAGGCAGCAGAAAGGTTTGACTTGACATACAATTGTTGGCAGAGTCAACACCATCTGAGGTTTCTCTTAGGATGCTTTTTATGAGTTCTTTGGGAATTACCCTCTCCCCTCCCAAACCCTTGACTCTGGCTGGCTCCTTGCTAACTCCTTGCTTAGCCCCTAGGTATATAGTGGTGCCCTGTGCCTCCAGACGACTTGGTTTAGCAGACTCTGAGACAACTCCAAGATAGCTCCCCTTGCACAGCCCATGTATGGAAAGCAGGAAATACTCAAGCATGTATTGCCTGACAAACCTTGAATGTAAAGGGCACCCCCAGTGCTGCTCACTCTCTTTATTCCAACAGTGGAGCCACCAGCAAGCCACAGCCATTCACCCTTTAGAGTTTACATCCCAGAGTATTCCCCATGCTGTCAGAGACACACATCAAAACTCCAAGGGATCCTATGAAGCCTATTCCTTAGGCTTGAGAGGAGGAGCAAACTTAGGCACCTTCCCCAAGGAGGTGCATGGTATGACTCACAAGCTAGCTTTCTTCAAAGAAATCCTTCTCCAGGTTCCTACTTTACCCTTTTATACCGTCGAAATACACTTTTCAAAAATGTTAAAAGCCTAATTCTCATACAAATATGCAGTGAGCACATGCCAAAGATTTATGTTACTCATAACTGAGTGATGAAAATGAGGGATGGTTCAGTTGAGGATAAGAGATACCGAAGCATGTAAGTATAATAAGGTTGGTGAAAGAAAGAATGCTGAAACAAGATAGAAAAGTTAGATACAAAACTGGCTAATGTCTTATGGAGCAATGAAATGGTATCTTTTGGCATTATTTTTTTCTATCAGGCAGAAATCATTTTCATCTCTACTGAACAAAAATAATTTGTAATTTATTAATCATCTTCAACTGGGTATCTAATGTGTCACAGATTCCCGGCCCCAAGCTAAGGTAAAGAGAAAAGGTATCTTGCTCTAGAGCAAGGGTAGGCAAACTACAGCCTGCAGGCTGAATGAAACCAGGCCTATTTTTGCAAATAAAGTTTTATTGGAACACAGCCACTCCCATTCTTTGATTGCCTATAACTGTTTCACACTGCAGTGACAGAGTAGTTGAGATAGAGACCATATCTTGCAAAGCCTCAAATATTTACTATAAGACCCTTTGCAGAAATAGCTTGCTGACTTCTACTTTAGAGCATCAGGTAACCCTTAGGTGGTATTGATAGGCCATGGTTCTGCATGACTTTGAAAAAGCACACGGTCACCTTTTTGCTGCATTTCCAACTTTTGAATAGTTTTTCTTAATATAACTATGTTATAAGTAAAAGGCTAAAAGTTGCAAACAGGTTTTTGGCCATCTTTTTTGTATGCTGGTCTTGTCCCTCACTTTGGAATTTGAAAATAGTTGGAATTCTCAGCTGAAACTGATATGTAATAGTTCCATATAGATATTATATTGAAATATTATCCCAAATAACTTATGACTTGGTTTTGGAGATCATGATTTTGTGTTTCATTAAATTAAAATTTCTCAAAACTTACAAAAAATTACCATTTTTTTTCTTGGAATTGGCAATCAGTGAAAATTGGAGGCGGCAGTAACAGCATCTGATTCAAGATAATTGTTGAAAATAATTTAGCTTCAAATTTTTTGTCATTTTGATTTTAGCTTTCATTGGGAAAGCAGTTACAATTTGGTATTAATTAAATTTAATATTACTGAATCTAGTTTTCTACTGCTCATTTTCAGATAGTTTTGTCAGATGGCTATGGTGTTTATTGGCAAGCAACTGAATACCATTTTTTGGTGATTTCTTTTTAGAGATATGTATTTGTTTTTAAGTCATAATTTAGTTTCTAATGATGCATTAGTTGTGTCTCTTTCCTTAGAAGTAGCTTGACAATGGGGGAATTTGGTGATGGAATAGATTTACTTAGCTACATCTGTATTTTCCTGGGCAGCTCATTTAACTTATCTGCTCCTTTTCGTAAGTGTTCAATAGGGAAAACAACAAGAGATGTGGTCTCACTTAACCTCCACCATATTTGAGACATGCTTCATCAACTGTGAATTTCTGAGCCAATGTTAGTTGTGTTATTATTGGTGACAGCAGGAATTTGAGAATTGTTCCAGCTATATTTTACCCAGTTAGATCAATCGATACATCTCAGGCTCTGTTGGTTGTAGAACTTGGTTATCACTTTCTCCAGTGTCCCTTCTCAGATCTCCTAGGATTGTGGTTAGGAATTGGCCTGTTTGCTTATCTCTACCTTACTTCAAAGCACCATGTGTCTTTTTTTGGTTTTTCCGATAGATTGTCAACTCCTTAAAGACACAATTCTACCCCTTATAAATACCTGGAATTTGTGTCTAGTATTGGTTTATGGCTTAATAGTTTGTATTAGATAGAAATATAAAAAGGCAGACAACATGAATTAGACAAAGATATCTAATTGCAAAGCAAAAGATACTTGGACTTATAAAAAGTCCTTCCCCTAACAAAACAAAACAGAACAACAAAAACCTGACAGTTAAATGGTAGAAAAATGCTATTGCTTATTAGAACTCAATGAAACTGGGAGCGGGGCTGAATGGGTGGGGTGTGGGCAGAGAGCAAATAGGCATACCATGAAATAGCATACAAGGTGCTTCGTGATTGCCTTAATGTTCATGGCAAGACTTCTGTTTCTTTTGGTAGCCTTTCATTTAATACAATACTATTATGAAAGAGTTAAGTATGAAAGAGTTAAGTATAACATGTGCTGTGGAGGCATCTGACTTAAGACCTAGTTCACACCATAGTTCCAGTGGGGGGTTTAGAGATCTGGAAGCTTTAAAGGCTTTCTGATTAGCTTCTTGGAAAGTACTATAAACCCTACCTTGGTCATAACAGGACGAATGAAAATAAAGTCACTTGGGATATACGTTTAAAAATTATTGGTGCTTTGTTAAAACATATAAAGTTCATGTGGAATGCTGTAGTGGTTCCTATTGCTGCTGTAACAATTACCACAAGCATAGTGGCTTAAAACAACACTAGAGTATTATCTTACAGTTTTGGATATCAGAAGTCCAAAATAAGTCTTACGAAACTGAAGTCAAGGCAGTGTTCCATCTAGAGGCTCTAGGAGAGAATTTGTTCCTTGTCTTTTTCAGTCTCTAGGGGCTGCCCACATTTCTTGGCTCATGACCTTCTCTGTTGTCTGCTTCTGTCCTCACACCCTCTTTTCTGAGTTTGACCCTTGTGCCTTCCTCTTAAAAGATCCTCACGATGACATTGGGCCCACCCAGACTCCAAGATAAACTGCCCATCTCAAGATACTTAATAACATCTACAAAGTCCCTTTTGCCATGTAAAGTAACATATTTACAAAATCTGGGGATTAGGGCATGGACATCTTGGTGGTTGGGGGGCCTTATTCTGCCTGTCACAAATGTTTAGAATGCAAAACTTTTCTGGAATTCTACCACCCCAAGGGTAAACATCCTTGGAATTTTAAGTATGTCTTTTTCAGTACTTAAAAAACTATGTATTTATATATTATATATTTTTTAAAGTATGTTTTACTGTTTTATAATTTTTTTAATTATTATACTTTAAGTTTTAGGGTACATGTGCACAATGTGCAGGTTAGTTACATATGTATACATGTGCCATGCTGGTGCGCTGCACCCACTAACTCGTCATCTAGCATTAGGTACATCTCCCAATTATAAAATTATAAAAATTTATAATATGTCATAATTTTTCCTTATGAGATATCTTTTATTGAATCCTTTAAAAGTGAGACAAGATTGTTCCCTTGACCTTGACCCCCTTGGTGGGCAGGAACTGGAGTGGCTCATCTCACTCAGCCTGCTGCTGGCCACTCCTCACAAGGGGGAGCGTGTGAGCAAGTGAGTGCAGGAACCGGGGCAAATGAATGCTGGAACTGGCCAGTCGCTCCTCTTTGGCGGGAGCAGGCCCTGTGTAGGCCCCACAGCAACATCCAAATGTGTTACAACCATTGCTCTTTCAGCTCTGCTGTCCGAGGATGGCCAAATGCCAACCAGCTCAGTGGAGGGTCATGGTAGCCGCCCCTGCCTTCTTGGCACTAAGGTTCTTGTCTGGCATCCAGGAAGAATCAGATCACACAAACGAATTGAAGGGTAGTGTATGTGGAGGGTTTAACTGGGTGATGGAAGTGGCTCTCAGCAGGATAGGGAGTTGGAAAGGGGATGGTGCAGGAAGAAGGTGATCTTTCCCTGAAGCCGCACCATCTGAAGTTAGCTGTGTCTATCCATAGTCTCTGATGCTCAGTTGCTTCTGTGCTCGCCACTCAGCTGCTTAAATCCCCACCACTCAGCAGCTTGTATCCCTGATGTCCAGCTGCTTTTATCCCTGATGCTCAGTTGCTTGTGTTGCTCTGCCAGCTGAAGTCTTTTTATGGGCACAGGATAGGGGCATAGCAGGCCAAAAAGGCAACATATGGGCAGAAAAATGGAATCAGCGGTTTTCACTTAGAGCTGCAGTTCCAGGCTTAAGGGTGGGGTTTAGCTGGGAGCCCAGCCCTTCTGTATCAGAGGCTTTATAGTATTCCACTGTATAGATTAAAGATAATTTAACTAATCTACCATTGATAAATATACACAATGTTCCTAGTGTTTGTTATTCAACATGCCCTTACTTGTGTTGATTTTACCATGTTTTTATGACTACAAGAGGCCTCAACAACTGGAAAGTGTCCAAATACAAATACAGACTATGGAGGCAATAGCTACTTGCTGAATGAATGAGTGAATGAGCATATATCAGGTGTCGCTGACAACTCAAGAGGATCAAAGAATTGGTTTTCAAGTGACACGAGCTAGTTCTTGGCACTAGGCTCCATCTCCTCCTTTCCCATTACAGTGTGCTCGCACCCACTTCCACCTCTCTCACCTCTTCCACTGGCCATGAGAACCAAAGACCCCTTATTCATTTTGGTGGGCGACACAGCTTCACAACTCCTTGCTGCTTAATGTAATTCTCTTCCAATTCCCTCGAAGCTCCACTACAAACATATCAAAATGAATATAATCAAAATCTGCACCAAATCTTTCTAAATTCTAGCAATCCCTGCTTTAGAAATATAATCGATTGGGTTCATGGTAAATTATAGGAGGCAAAACTCTTAACCATTCTTCCATAGGATAATTTTATCATTTCAGAATTGTACTTTTGCAGCTAAAACAGGACAGAACATATTCTTTAGATTTTATCACAGACTTTCAACATTTTGAGACATACGTAATAATGAAGTCCCTGATGTTACTCATCAATGTGGCTAGTAAGAGCAAAAATGAATTGCTCTTCTAATTTTTTTTTTTTTTTTGGTGACAGAGTCTCACTCTTTCATCCAGGATGAAGTGCACTGGCACAGTTATGGCTCACTGCAACCTCTGCCTCCCAGGCTCAAGGGATCCTCTCACCTCAGCCTCCTAAGTATCTGGGACTACAGGCATGTGCCATCATGCCTGGCTAATTTTTTTGTAGAGATGGGGTTTCACCATGTTGCCCCGCCTGGTCTTGAAGTGGGCTCACGTGATCCTCCCACCTCAGCCTCCCAAAGCGCTGGGATTACAGGCATAAGCCATTGTGCCCGGCCTGCTCTTCTAATTCTTTGTATGGTAGAGTATTGAGTATTGAGGGACAGAGAGATCACAGATACACACCACTTGGAAATTAAAACACGAAACAAACTTTTGATTAATGTTTTATTTTGTGGCAGTAATTTTTTTTTCTCTAGCAAACTTTTCATATTAACTGCTAATAAGTATCTACATTATTTCACTTGAAGTTCATTTATATCCCCATGTCCCTTCTACACTTTGATCAGGAATTCACAGTTATCATTATGATTAATAAGCAGGAGAAGCAAAGGGTCTAGGTAAATGGGATAAATTGCCTTTGAATAACCAAGAGTTCATTTAAATCATTATTTTGATGGATGGGTGGAGACTAATCTGTTAAATTCAAGCAAAGAATCATGGTACTTTTTTTTAATAACCACAAAGTCTGCATTGCAATGTATAAATACTGAGTTTCATATGGTCTACCTTTAAATGGTATTCGAAACAGCATGGCCTTGTTACTTAAACTGAATCAACACAGCTGTCTTCTTGTTACTTCCTTTGCATTTTTAGGAAAAGATACTTTTCTGAGTCAGAAGTTTTAGCCCTTGTAGGTTGTCTGACCAGACTGTAGGTATTTACTGTGAAAATTTCATCATTCTATCTAATTGAACTTCCCAGACATTTGCAGAAGTGGGTAACTAGTTTCTTAGTACTATATAATGAATTGGATTCAGCCTAGTTCTCCAGCCCAGGTTTGTCGCAGGATGTTTCACTTTCCACTCAACAAGTCATTGCCCATTTATACAAAGCATAGGAAGTATCTAGCACTATGCTACATGTTGCAAAGATACAAAGAAGGAAAATGGGTCCGCTTAACTGGAGGGGGTTTCCATGTTCAAAATATACTCTTCAACCTTGTAGGAAGGATTAAGATGAAGTGGAACAGTATGAATTTAGTTGTTAGAAAGACCTAGGTTCATATCCTGATTTTGTCATTTATAAAACATAGATGACACCTCCATTATAGTGTGGCTGTGAGAGTTATATACAATATTAAAAACTCTCCTGGTTTAGAACCTGGCAGCTAATAGATTCTTAAAGATGCAAGTTAAAATCACTAGATTATAGGAGACCTCAGGCTATTTCCAAAATGCCCTTAGGTAGCATGTAGCAAACTTGGAAGTCTAGGCAGTTTTTTTTTCCTGAATTATTCTACTAGCCTAGTTCTGACTGTGGGAACCACAGTCTTGTCATTATTTATTTTACAACCATCTCTGGTAGAACTGGGGAAAGCTGGGTAATTTTGAAGATAATAAAAAACAATTTGTTGAAAATGACTAAAAATGAACTTTATAAGGTGTATTACAAATGGTATTTGGCAAATTGCCTGTGATAATAAATTTTAAATATCAGTCTCTAATTTCTCTTTATTAAATAAGTGATGAAAACACTTAATCTAGTATTTCTAAGAGGTAGGTCTCCATTCAGGTCTATGCTAAACTCCTTCTCATTTTGTTTTGTCTAAGTTCCACTGATTTTCTTCTTCATATTCTATTTTGCTCTATTCTAAGCTAGCCTACTCTGAACTGTCAGTTACTTGTTTTGAGGTACTTAGTGGATTGAATGGTGTTCCCCCACCTGCCAAATGGTGTGTCTACCAGAAACATCACACTGTAACCCTATTTGGAATAAGGGATTTTGCAAATGTAATTGTTAAGGATCTTGAGAAGAGATCATCCTGAATTAGGTTGGGCCCTAAATCCAATGATGGGTGTCTTTATTAGAAACAGAAAAGAAGCCACAGAAACACAAGAAAGAAGGCCATGTGAAGGCAGAGACAAAGATTAGAGTGATGCATCTATTGGCCAAAGAACGTCAGTTGCTTGTGATATGGTTTGGCTGTGTCCTCACCCAAATCTCATCTCGAATTGTAGTCCCCATGTGTTTAGATTGGATCATGGGGTCAGTTTCCCCCATGCTGTTCTCCTGATAGTGAGTGAGTTCTCAGGAGATGTGGTGGTTTTATAAGTGTCTGACATTTCACCCACCTGCACTTCTTTCTCCTGCTGCCATATGAAGAAGATCCTTGTGAGATGCGAGAGGACCCTGGACCCCTTCGCATGACTTACAACAGGGGTGTGGCTTGCTTACCTGGCCTCCGTGTTCAAAGCCCTTGCAGGAGGGGGAGCATGCAGGCAAGTGGGTGGTAGGGCCAGGGCGAGGGCTTCTAGGCTTCAGCCCCATTGTAGCATCCAGGGGTGTGTTACAATTAATGCTCTTTTAGCAGTTGCTGTCCACAACAGCTAAGTGTTAATCAGCTCAGTGGAGAGTCAGGGTGACAGCCCTTTACACCCTGCCCTTTTGGTACTTGGGTCTTTGTCTAATGCCCAGGAAGAATCAGGTCACATGGACTTGAAGGATGGTGAATGTGGAGGTTTTGAGTGATGGAGGTGGCTCTCAGTGGGATGGGGAACTGGAAACAGGATGGAGTGGGAAAATCATCTTTCTCAGAAAGAGCCGAACTCCTTTCTGACCATCCAGTTGTCTCTTAGATGTTCAGACGCTTCTTCTCTTCTGTCCTTCTCTGCCACACTGCTCTGCTCCTCTGCCAGTGGAGTTTGGGATTTTTATGGGTACAGGATGTCGGAGTGTGGTGGGCCAGGGTGGTTTTGGAAAAATCAACATTCAGGTTAGAAAACACGGATAATTGTTCTCATTTAGGGCCACGGTTTCCAGGCTTGAGGGTGGAGCCTTTGCCGGGGATCCTCCCTCTTCTACCCAGTATTTCCCTGCCTCCTGTCCATATCATTTGTTTCTCCTTCACCTTCTGCCATGATTGCAAGTTTCCTGAGGCCTCCCCAGCCATGCAGAACTGTGAGTCAATTAAACCTCCTTTGCTTATAAAAGACCCAGACTTGGGTAGTATCTTTATAGCAGTGTGAAAATGGACTAATATCGCTGGCAAGATCCTCCCTCAGTGTTTCCAGAAGGAACCAAAATTGCCAGCCTCTTGATTTTGAACTCCTGGGTTTCACAACTGCAAGACAAGTAATTTCTATGATTTTCAAGCCACGTAGTTTGTGGTAGTTTGTCACGTAGCCCTAGGAAGTGAATATAGGATCCTTAAGGTTGTTTGGAATTTTAGAAAATACTGCTGAAAATTCCCTTTAAGAACCAAGTCTGGTCCTTAGAATTTTAAGTGGGTTTTCTCCACCTTCACCACTGCCCCTCCTGTCCCAAGTCTCCTAATGCTATTTGCATATTCCCCTGATTAATTACTCTGCTCTTTGTTAGAGCACTGAGTTTGCCCCCACTCCCACCATTGCCTGGTGTTCTACTTGTGTGTTCCTTCATGCTTCAATTGCAGCAGTTGACAAAATTTCATTCTTTTTGGGAGAGGGAATGGTAGATAGCTTTTTGATTGGAGGTTGAACAGAAAAGAGTCATCACCAGGGAGAACTACAGACTCTTAGTGAATGCCCATGTAGCTTGACTGCTCCAGCTAAGGATTTTTCCCCCTGCCTTTTGAGTTATATTTGCACTTGTATCCAGTTCCGGATAAAAGTGGCTGTTCTGCATAGGCGAATACTTGAGTAGTCTGGGGCTATGTAATCCTGAGGGGCTGGGGGGTAATTTCCCTAATGTCTGTGCATCAATAGTAACTGAAGGAACTGAGTCACATGGATCTGTAATTAACACGTAGGTATTTTCAGAAATAGTAAGGCAAAAGACCTTTTCACATGGGCTCTAAAGCTGTTCTTTTTGACTGATTTTTTTCTTCCAGGAAGGAGTAATGTTTTTTAACAAAATATATAGTACTCACTACATGCCAAGTACAATTCTAAGCACTCTATAAACATTAACTCATTTAATTGTCAAACAAACCTGTAAGTTAGGTGCCATTATTATCCTCATTATACTGATGAGAAAACCCAGGTACAGAGGCATTAAATAACCTGCCCAAATTCATGTAGCTAGTAAGTGACTGAGACAGGATTGGCACCTAGACAGGGTTGCCAGATTAAATATAGAACACTCAGTTAAATTTGAATTTCAGATAAACAACAAATAATTTTCAAGTATAAGTATGTCTCAGTATTGCATGGAACTTATACTGAATTTCAAATCTAACTCAATGTCCTGTATTTTTATTGCTAAACTTGGCAACCCTGTACCTGAGGGTTGTTTGCTCTTAACTACTACCCTACGCTGTTTCCTAGCTTAAAAAAAAAAAATAAAAAAGAATCTTTCGGGGAGGAAAAATAAAAATTATCCAGCATGAATTGCCCTTGGTTCTGAAGTCCCAATGAGTGTTCCTAGATACAAAATTTGGTATGCTTTGTAGAGTCTATAGTATGAGCTTACTTCCTGGATCAAGCACAGGCTATTATTTTATCATGCAAGTGAGCTTGTGCTGATTTTAAAATAATCCTCTTCCTCTGAATTTATTTGTAAGAGATCAAATGTACAATTACATATGCAATGCAGTTCTTTAAGGCTTGTCTCAGAGGCACTCAAGTTTTCCATAACTAGCCTTTAATGTCGATTTGACTTTTAAGTAACACATAATAATCACTCGTCATTCCTTTTTAAAGCCCAAATTAATTAAATGTATGTTTCTACAGTGAGTATTGTTTCTAGATTGTTTTTTCAAATTCCCAATATAAATAGCTTTTTATGTAGATAATTAAAACCATCTGCTTCCTGATAACTCAGTTATGTTTACAGCAGCCCCTTTTATTTGGGGAATTAAACTGCCATAAGTTTTTACTTCAGTGGATGAAACATCACAAAAATGCTCATGGCAGTATAATTCCTCAAAAAGAAATGGAGACTATTAAATGTTCTTGGAAAAAATTGCTTTCAGTTAATTCAGAAGGCCTTAGAGTTCTACATTTTTTCTAGGGAAACATGTTTAAGGGAGTCCTACATTTTTTCTAGGTAAACATGTTTTAGGGTTTATTCAATCAAAAAACCTAAATGAATAAATAAACGTTCTAACAAAATTTTACATTGAAATGAAAGCTCTCAAATCACTCTATAACTAGTACTCTAGTAAAATTTCACTGAGTTTCTAAAGATATCAGAAAAATGTGGTGATATCATAGAATATTATAAAAATCACCAAATAAGTTGAATAAATTGGGCAAGGTCTCACACACACACACACACACACACACACACACAAAATCAAAAGCGATATAGGATTAACATTATAATAAATGTTTGCAGTCTCTGATTCTAATAAAGGCCTTCACCCCCAATTTCGTGTCTGAAAAAAAAAGCACCTGAATGAGTGCTCACTAGTATTTTTATGATATTTAAATTCTCTCATATTTCCTTATTGCCAAATTGGAAAACATTTCCTAAAAACCCCAGTCACATAATTTGCCATCATGGACATATCTTTAAATGCCAGTTACATTTATTAAAAAGAGAGATCAACTTGTCAAAATAAAGGCTGAAGTTTGGTAATTAAATTGTACCATTCAAATGTTACTCAGTTCTTTTCTTCATTTCAGTCAGTTCCACATCACAAAGATGAAGCCACTTGACCCCATCTGTACTTGGGCACTTTAGAGAAATCGCTTTTAAATAGAGAAATGATATTTCTTTCATAGGAGGGTATATAAGAAGCCTTCTTGAAAATTATTCAAGAAAGCGGAGTGAAATTCTGTCCCAGCGATTGCTAACAAAGTTTGTTTTCTGTGTAATTACCAAATTTGGAATTTCTAAACTTTCATATCTCTATAGTTTGAGTGTGACATAAAAATGTTCTTATTTGAATTAAATCTTGAGGAATGTATTATACCTACGAGATTAAATTCTTGCTCAAGCCTGTGTGGGCTGTCCAGATAGCTGTCCAGATGGCTGTCCAGAAAATTTTCAAGAAGATGCTAGTTTTTAGTAAACATGATATTGATGAAATGGGCAAACCTAGGTCTGGGGCAGCCCATCCCTGGATTGTGGACCCTTGACATGCCTGAAGTGATTGGATTGCTTAGAGAAAAAATATTTTTCTTCAGAGGAGGATGTTCCTCAGTGTGTTCAGTAAGAAATAGATTTTGAAAATTACTCGAATTTCATCTTTTAGGACAACTTTGTAATAAAATGGGGAGAAAATAAAATTGTTTTTTTTACCACAAAAATGTATGCTAACTTAGCAACTAGTAGATACTGGTCAGACATTTTCTGTTTGGAAGGTTTTTTTCCTTCATGGAGAAAATTTGTCATCACAGCAGAGTCCAAATCTGGATAAGATGAATTAATCTACAGTTTATTTTTATTTTTATTTTTTCAGGTTAAAGAGTGACTTACAAAGTCATTTATTCACTAGCTCTTCTTCAAGGCTGATCACTATGAAGTAACAACATTGCTGTTAATGCTATTAACAATGTTGCTGTTAATAAAATCAGAACAGTGAATGAAAGTATTTGCTTATGGGGACCAGGAGCCATGTGCATTTGAACCCCATATCTTAGGAGGAATCTTGGTGGTGCAGCAGGGCTGGTGGCTCATGACTGTAATCCCAGCACTTTGGTGGCTCATGACTGTAATCTCAGCACTCCTGAGGCAGGAGGATTGCTTGAGCCCAGGGGTTCAAGACCTGCCTGGGCAACATAGCAAGACTCTGACTCTACAAAAAACAAAAATAAACAAGTTAGCTGGGCATTGTGGCACACGCCTGTAGTCCCAGCTACTCTAGGAGGCTGAGGCGAGAGGATCGCTTGAGTGTAGGAGGTCCAGGCTGCAGCGAGCTATGGTTGTGCGCCACTGCACTCCAGCCTGGGGGACAGAGCAAGACTCCATCTTTAAAAGAAAAAAAAAATCCAGAATCTTGGTGGAAGGTATATCCCGCCTCTTACTGTGGAATTCAAAATTGCCACTTACTTGCTTTCTTAGTCTTCTTTGCTGCTGAGGTATAGGACAATTGAATTGCTGTTCGGATGTACTTGCTTTGAACTTTGAATTGGGCATAGGTGATGCAATGAAGTAGGGAACTCATGTTGCTGGTGGTGGCAGCAGAGGAAGCCACACCAGTGTCCAGCGGGCAGTGTGGCAGGGCCACAGCAGCATCATCAATGTCGGGCTCTTTTGTTGGTGGCGGCACATGCTGTGGTGACTAATGTGTGGGGTGGCGCATCTGTGTCCTCACCAGACTGGTTTAGTGATGTCACTCTGAGCTGTTTTTGGAAATCCTTTGTTTCTCTCCCTCTTCCAAAATTGCACTTTCATGGCAATTTTGAGAGGTACTCAAGATCTTCTTAATACATTCCTCCTCAAGAGTGTGTTTGCAACTGAGGACCCTAATAAAGCTGATATACTTTATTTACATGGTATGAGTGCTGGCAGTTAGAGTACCAGAATTTGTTATCTTTTTATTTAAAAATAAGTACCTTGTTGATGATTGTACTAAAAAGGTAGATAAGAGTGGTCATTAAATCGGACACATGTTCAAACTGTCATGTGTCATTTGGTCTCTTAGAAAAAAATGTATGCATTGAAATGGCCATTAATAGTATGTTGAAAACAGCACTGTACTATGTTTTTGGCAATATTCGGGGTGACTGTTCAGCAATTACATTAATATAGTTTGTAGAACAGTGAAATAACAGTTGTCATAATGTCTGAGCCTGAGTCTCCAAAGTTTTGTGACACTAAGAGAGAGGAAAGACATTTCCTAGATGCCTGGAAATGAATTAATTTTGAGGCAATGGGTAAAAAAGTATACCTTTTTGAGGAAGGATTTTTATATCTGTAAAACAAATGAGTCAAACTTAAAATATGTATGATTCAGTTCAACTCTAAAAATCTATGATTCTGATATATGTGCTATATGTATGTATGTATATCTATGTATGCATATATATAATCTCTAAATAGCCTTTTGAATATGAAGGGAATAAATGATCTAAAAAATAAACAAGAAATCAGAATTCTCATTTTAGAAAAAAAAGAATGAGGAAATAAGTCAGATTTTTTTCAAAGATATTCACTGAAAAGGGCCATTCTACCAGAGTCCCTATGTCATTTAATTGGCTCAGATCTTTGTAATGGATTAAGTTGGCTATAGTAAAATTTTCTTGCAAATAATTTTAACCTATTTGCGAAGGATACTTAATACTAGTGAAATCCACAAATAAAGATTTTTATTTTTAATCAAGTTTTAGAAAGAGTTTTGTTTTTTAAAGGACAAGACTCATATAATTGCATTTCCCTTTTTTTTTGTAGCCACCCAAAAGCTCAGAGTTCAATCTGAGTCCTTATTATAGGAACTCCGCAGAATTTAATACCTGCCTTCTAGTCCCATATGACCCAGCCTGACACAGCGTGACTTTCTAGTATATTTATTTTGTTAGTATTTTTAATCTATTTTTATTTTCTAGTATCTTTTAGAAAATAAACTTTTAAATTCTTTATTGTGTCAGGGAGGGGTATAGGTTTAATTTTCTTTAATACTGACAGGTGCTCAGAAGTCTTTTATTTTTTCATTTATTGATGAAAATTTCAAATTATTGGCTTAGTTTAAGATCTTTATTAGTTTATTGAAATGGAAATAATATGGATAATTCCATTGAAATGAAAGCAATGATCTATACCTAGAACTGCATGTCCCCAAATAAGGTCATACATCATAAAATAAGGAGCACAGGGGTGAGAGCAGAGCACTTTTATTTCTCTTGATTGTTCCATTGACTTACCCTGAAACTGAAAACGGATGAAGTCTTGGTTTTCACATCTATAAGATAAAGGGGGTAGATTCAAAGTGCTCCAAAATTCATTCTTGCTTGAAATCTCTGATCCTGCGCAGCAGAAGTGAGTTGCTTTTTTTCTCTCTTCAGTGCTGGGACTACCGACCCTTGCAGCTGGCCCAAGTGTAAAAGAGAAGGGTATGGTCAGCTTGACTGGGTGACTGAATCTGTAGTTTGGGTTGATTTTGAAGTCTGCCTTACTTTTTTTTTAGCCTCCAGGATGGATACTTTGTAAACTCCACATTTACTTTCCTTTTTATTTCCTCTTCAACAAAAGTAATTTAAGTTCACAAGAACGAAGATGATGACAGCAGCCTGGGCTTTAACTTTTGAACACTTTCCAGTTTTATGTCTTATTAAGCGATATTGTAAGTAATATGCACATATTTCAATAAAATACATGAAAAACTTTGCACATTGTTAAGACATTTTTTCACAGTGTATTTTGTCAATTCTGGAAGTCTGTGAGAATCTGGCAAACTGTCAGGAAGTGGGGTAGTCAGAGAGGACACTGAAAATGAAGAATCTCTGATCAGGTGATGGTAGTGGCAGGGAAGGTTTAGGGAGCATGTTAAAATAAAATACCAAGAACACTAGCATGAATTTCATTTAAAACATATGTCTTAGCATCCTTGAGACTGCTTTTTCATTTTAAAGAAGCAGGAATGTATATATTACATTTACATGAAACAAGTGTATTAATATTCATTGCAAAAGATGTCTTATTGCAGAATACTGAGATTAAAAATGTCTTTAAAGCCAACATTGAAGTATAATGTAAAAATGCTAAATAATTTCTATTTTAACACATAAAATTAAGGAGAACTTATTCTATGCCATATATTGTGTGAATCTTACTATCCAACACACAATGAAATAGATCATTTTTGATAAAAAATAGCCACATGGGTTTGTTTTGCTGAAGTGAATCACTTTCTTCACTATTGAGCAGATCGGAGAGCTTATAAAAGAGTATGTGTGTGACAGTATCATGAAAGAGATAAATAGTCCTGGGAGGGGGTCGTAGTGGAGACACTGTTTACAATTATGCAGGACCTCTTCCTATGTCATGCGAATTCAATGCTATATTTGATGCAAGAATATTCACGAAACGTATCTCAGGCAACCTATCTAAGCCTTGGTTTTCTAAGCCATAAAATGGAGTGACCAACAGCATTTGACTCATGCTAGTATAAAAACATTAGGAAAGTTAATGTGTAAAAATCACCTTTTGCAGAGCCTAGCCCATAGGAAGCCTCGATGAATGTTAGCCACTTGGACTACTTGCCTTGTTCTCATTAAAGCAGAAAGTAGCAGAATATAAATCTGGCTTAGTTAGAATAGTGTTATTTCAGGTTTTTCTGTGTCATTTTCATACCTGTAAGTTAAGACTGCCTTTCTTCAAAGAAAAGAGTTTCTGCTTGCATTCAAAGGATGGATCAAAGCATTAGTTTATATTCAGAAATAATAACGATGCCAGCGCCACAACATGATTGAGTGTCCATGTTGCCAGCTGTGAGTTTGCAAGCTAATGGTTGTCTTTACCACAAAATATGTGAAGTAAGCAATGACGTTAATTGCCAGGTAACTAGAGAAGCCAAAGTTGAATAATGCCTATTTATTTTTCTATATTTATTATTTCTGCAGAAATTTTATGAATGCATTTTGACCACAGGGGACACAAATGTTTAGTTTTATGTAATAATAAATTGTCCATATTTGGGTTTTTGAATGATAATGTTTTTCCACTTTCTTTTCATAACCTGATTTCTTCCCTAGATATAACCTTCCCTAAAAACTTACAAATTTCCTCTCATCCCACATAATTGTTAAACCATTTGAAAAAGCGTTATCATGATATCAATAGAAAAAGTGAGAAGGAAATACATTTTCTGTCTCTCAGTGGAGACATTTCTAAACTTGAGAGAAATGGCAGGAATCACAAAGCCCTTGATAGTTTTGTCTATTGAAAAAATTTAAACTTCTAAGGTTTCCAGGTATAAGGCAGCTTGAGTATTTATATATATAACATATACTTAGATATCATATAGAGTATTTATATGAATATACTTAAGCTGCCTTATATATAAAATATGTAATATATAAACAATTTACATATTTATGTAGAAAGATAAATAATGCATAATACAAATATATATATATATATATATATATATATATTTTCCTAGATTCCCAGTCTAATGTCTAAAGGAAAATATATAGTAAACACATGGTATCAACACTGGAAATGTGACAAAGGTGAAAACCATATACGACAACTTTGAAGAAAGTTTGTAAGAAAGGGATGGAACCAGGAGAAAGAAGGGACTGGGGTGACCTGCATGTGAAAGAATGGCAGGCGTTGGAAATGAAAGGCAGCTTTGCCACTGAATCCCACCAGAATCCCTAACTCTATGTAGCTGTAAGTCAAGGGAGAATGAGGAGAGCTAAAGGGCTCTTAGGCAGGTGCTGGGTGGGTGAACTGAGCACCTCAGAGCCCACTGGTGCCTATGGGATGTGCACTGGGCATGCCTAGGAGGCATGCAAAACTAGGAGCCTGGTGCATCTAATGGGAAGGGCTGTGCCCGCAAAAGAGCTGACATTTCTATTTTTTCATGAACCATGAATATAAATCAAAAGCTCAGAGTTCAATCTGAGTCCTTATTATAGGAACTCAGTAGAATTTAATACCTGCCTTCTAGTCCCATATGACCCAGCCTGACACAGCGTGACTTTCTAGTATATTTATTTTGTTAGTATTTTTAATCTATTTTTATTTTCTAGTATCTTTTAGAAAATAAACTATTTTAAATTCTTTATTGTGTCAGGGAGAGGTGTAGGTTTAATTTTCTTTGATACTGAAGGGTGCTCAGAAATCTTTTATTTTTTCATTTATTGATGAAATTTTCAAATTATTGGCTTAGTTCAAGCTCTTTATTAGTTTATTGAAATGGAAATAATATGGATAATTCCATTGAAATGAAAGCAATGATCTATACCTAGAACTGCATATCCCCAAATAAGATCATACATCATAAAATAAGGAGCACAGGGGTGAGAGCAGAGCACTTTTATTTCTCTTGATTGTTCCATTGACTTACCCTGAAACTGAAAACGGATGAAGTCTTGGTTTTCACATCTATAAGATAAAGGGGGTAGATTCAAAGTGCTCCAAAAATCATTCTGGCTTGAAATCTTCGATCCTACGCAGGATTCATGATTTATATTCATGAACTGTGATGTAAATCATTACATATAATTTTTCTGGCTACCTCACCATTACTCCACGGAAACGGCTCTTATTAAGTCATCAAAAGCCTTCATGCAGCTACATCCAAAGGGTAGTTTTTCAGTATTTATCTTATCTGTCTTTTGATCACCTACTTCTTTTTGAAATATTGTTTTGTCTCCTGAACCTAGATTTTCCCAATTTTCTTGCTGCCTCTCACTCTTTCTTGGGTCCTTTGTGTCTTAGTGTCATTGCAGACATTAAATATTGGAAATTTAGGCCAGGCGTGGTGGCTCATGCCTGTAATCCCAGCACTTTGGGAGGCCGAGGTGGTCAGATCACCTGATGTAATAAAAACTCCATAAAAGGGAAGCCAAGTCCACTGGGAAAAGTGAAGAGGAATTTATAGGACTCTCATATGTGTAGGACCACAAAGGGCTCAGGCCCCTCAGAGGTGATGTTTGTATCACCCAAGCAGGCAAAACCCCCAAACTGCTGAGGTGCTGGCTAAGAGCAAAGGAAACATAGAGTGGATAGTAGAAGAAAAAAGCTTTGGTAGTGTGCATTATTGGCCCTGATTCTGCAGCCTTTCTTCCATCATGCCTTTTTCCCCTTGATTTTAGATCTGGCCGTGTGTCTTGCTTTTGCCAATAGAATGAGTTGGAAGTTATAATGTACAAATTCCAAGCCTAGGCCGTAGGAGATCTCACAGGTTTCCACTTGTATTCTTGCACTTTGGTCATACGTATGAAAAGAATATGCTGGGGCTGGCCTAGCCCAAGGGGGACCCACACACGAAGCATTGCCAACCCCAGCTAAGCACAGCCTAGAGCAGCCAACTCCTAGCTAGCCACAGACATGTGAGCAAGTCCAGCTGAAAGCAGCAAAATTGCCCAGTTGGGTTCAGCCTAGGCCAGCTGACTTTAATTGACCAGTAGACTCATGAACTAAATAAATAAATGCTGCTAAAATGTCGTGGTTATTTGCTATGCAGCATTATTGTAGCCATACTCAACTGATACAGAATTCACAAATGCCAGCATAGACTTGCAATGAGAACTTGGAAGTAGTCTCTTCATATTTTCTCTGCTGTTTCATGTATGCATTTTAATTAATTTTTCATTTGCTGATTTTCATGTATTTATTTATGTAGTATATTTTGGTTGTTGTTAACTTAGCAGTTTAACTTATAATTTGCAAAATGTCATGGTTGGAATTGCAATGATACTAAAGGAGGATTAGATACTACGATGCAGGAACAAATGATTTTTTTAGTTGGCCCTGTCTTTGGGCAGAGGGTAAGGGCATTTTCTCTTATGTAAAGATAGTTGTTTAATGATAGTTGAGAACACTTTATTGTTGTTGTAATGATATTGTTATATTTACGTATGGAAGAAGAGTGTAACTGATGTTGGGAAGTCAAGGAATAGGTTATGGTAGATATTTGTCATGATTTTTTGGTTAGCCACTTTTGGAACATTCTTCTGATGTTTGGGAAATGTCTTAGCTTATAAGTCCTGTCTTTCTAAGGTTTAAACTCACTTCCTAAGTCTCCTTGGTATCTGCGACACTGTCATATGACCTCAAATCATGGGCCACCAAATCACTGTGCGTCCTTAGGTACCCTGAACTGCATATCCTCTAACCCACCAAGCCATGAAGCTGAGTGTGCACAGTAGAGCTCCATTATTGAATGGAAGTGATATATGCAGTTTGACTCAAGCAGGCCTCAAAGGCACAAGTGCTCAAATTCCCATGGCTTCTACTCCTGCTACATTTTAGCCCACATCTACACTCTCACAGATAATTCTCTATAATCAACCGATTGAGGGGGAAAAAAACCTCCAGCCTGATTGCATACTGTCTAAGCACCAATGGAGAGTGGATGGTTGCAGCACTATAAACACACTCTGGGGCAGTCCTGAAGGATAGTGGTGAAGGGAAATCCCTCAGTGGGTAGAACTCTGAGCAGTGTACCTGGTTGTTCATTTTATTTGGGAAGAGACATAGCCAGATATGAGATTATATACTGGTTCTTGGCCTGTGGCCAATGGTTTGGCTGGATCAGCAGGGACTCAAACATAATTGGAAAATTAATAAGAAGGTCTGAGAAGAGGTATGTGGATAGATCCCTCTGAATCGGCCCAGAATGTGAAGATATTTACATCTTAAAGGGTGACCTCAGCAGAGGAGCATTTTAATAATCAGATGTCTAGGATGACCAGTTCTGTGTATCCCAGTCAGCCGCTTTCCACAGCCACTCTCATCATTGCCCAATGGACTCATGAACAAAGTGGCCATGGTGGCAGGAGTGGGGGTTATGGGGCTCAGTGACAAAACTTCCACTCACCAGGGGTAATGTGGATATAGCCACTGCTAAGTGCCCAGTCTGCTATTGCAGAGATCAACACTGGGCCCTTAATATGGCACCATCTCTGGGGTCATCATCCAGTTACTCAGTGGCAGGTTGATTATGTTGGACCACTTCCAGCATGAAAGGGGCAGTGCTTTGCTTTTACTAGTATCAACATTTACTTGAATGTTGATTCTCCTTCCCTGTCCACAAAGGCTCTGCCAATCTACCATCTGAAGACTTACAGAATGTCTTATCCACTGTCATGGGATTCTATTTGGAATCATTTCTTTTTTTTTTTTCCTTTCCACCAGTCTCTTCCTCTTTTATTTTTTATTTTTTTAATTTTTTAAAATTTCATTATTATTATACTTTAAGTTTTAGGGTACATGTGCACAATGTGCAGGTTTGTTACATATGTATACATGTGCCATGTTGGTGTGTTGCACCTATTAACTCGTCATTTAGCATTAGGTGTATCTCCTAATGCTATCCCTCCCCCCTCCCCCCACCCCACAACAGTCCCCAGAGTGTGATGTTCCCCTTTCTGTGTCCATGTGTTCTCATTGTTCAAGTCCCACCTATCAGTGAGAACATGCGGTGTTTGGTTTTTTGTCCTTGCGATAGTTTGCTGAGAATGATGGTTTCCAGATTCATCCATGTCCCTACAAAGGACATGAACTCTTCATTTTTTATGGTTGCATAGTATTCCATGGTGTATATATGCCACATTTTCTTAATCCAGTCTATCATTGTTGGACCTTTGGGTTGGTTCCAAGTCTTTGCTATTGTGAATAGTGCCGCAATAAACATATGTGTGCATGTGTCTTTATAGCAGCATGATTTATAGTCATTTGGGTATATACCCAGTAATGGGATTGCTGGGTCAAATGGTATTTCTAGTTCTAGATCCCTGAGGAATCGCCACACTGACTTCCACAATGGTTGAACTAGTTTACAGTCCCACCAACAGTGTAAAAGTGTTTCTATTTCTCCACATCCTCTCCAGCACCTGTTGTTTCCTGACTTTTGAATGATCGCCATTCTAACTGGTGTGAGATGGTATCTCATTGTGGTTTTGATTTGCATTTCTCTGATGGCCAGTGATGATGAACATTTTTTCATGTGTTTTTTGGCTGCATAAATGTCTTCTTTTGAGAAGTGTCTGTTCATGTCCTTTGCCCACTTTTTGATGGGGTTGTTTTTTTCTTGTAAATTTGTTTGAGTTCATTGTAGATTCTGGATATTAGCCCTTTGTCAGATGAGTAGGTTGCGAAAATTTTCTCCCATTTTGTAGGTTGCTTGTTCACTCTGATGGTAGTTTCTTTTGCTGTGCAGAAGCTCTTCAGTTGAATTAGATCCCATTTGTCAATTTTGGCTTTTGTTGCCATTGCTTTTGGTGTTTTAGACATGAAGTCCTTGTCCATGCCTATGTCCTGAATGTTATTGCCTAGGTTTTCTTCTAGGGTTTTTATGGTTTTAGGTCTAACATTGAAGTCTTTAATCCATCTTGAATTAATTTTTGTATGAGGTGTAAGGAAGGGATCCAGTTTCAGCTTTCTACATATGGCTAGCCAGTTTTCCCAGCACCATTTATTAAATAGGGAATCCTTTCCCCATTTCTTGTTTTTGTCAGTTTTGTCAAAGATCAGATGGTTGTCGATATGCAGCATTGTTTCTGAGGGCTCTGTTCTGTTCCATTGATCTATATCTCTGTTTTGGTACCAGTACCATGCTGTTTTGGTTATTGTAGCCTTGTAGTATAGTTTGAAGTCAGGTAGCGTGATATTTGGCATCATTTCTGACCAAGAAATTTGTTTTCACAGTAAATAGAGTATGCCAATAGGTTCATAATCATGAAATTCACTGATCTTGGCGCATTCACCATCATCCTGAAGCAGCTGGCTTAAAAAAATAGTGGAATGGACTTTTGAAGACTTAAGGTGTCAGCTAGATGACAATACCTTGCAGTGCTAGAACAATGTTCTCCAGGATGTGGTATGTGCACTAAATCAGTGTCCCATATATGGTACTGTTCCCTCCCATAGCCAGAATTCACAGGTCCAGGGATCAAGGAGTAGAAGTAGGGGTGGCCCTCTTTACTATAACCACTAGTGGTCTATTCATGAAATGTTTGCTTCCTGTCCCTGCAACCATAGGCTCTGCTGAGGTCTTAGCTCCAAAGGAAAATATTTCCAAGTGGAACAAAACAATGACTCCATTGAACTGGAATTTGAAACTGCCACCGGGCCACTTTGGGATTCTCATGCATCTGAATCAACAGGCAAGGAGGGAGTTCACTGTAATGGTTGAGGTGATTGATCCTAACTATTAAGTGGAATGTGGGTCGCTATTACACAATGCGGGTAAGGAGGAGCGTGTATAAAATTTAGGGGATTCTCTAGTTTCTTTTAGCATTCCTGTGTCCTGTGAATAGGTTAATGGGAAGCTGCAATAACCTAATTCAGACACGACTCAATTGGGCTGTTATGGTTTAATTGTTGTGGGCCTAGACCCAGTAGGCAACCTGAGATGCTTGCAGAAGGCAAAGGGAATACAGAATGGGTGGAGAAAGAAGGTCATTATAAATATACAGCTATAACGATGTGCCCTGTTACAGAAAGAAGAGCTGTAATATTTGTATTTCTTCCTTATTTTGATATTAACATGTTTGAATATATGTATATATTAACCTAACATTTTTGTTTTCTTTTTTCTCTTATCCTCTTATCATTTAACATAAAATGTGTTAATAATTTTAAAAGAACATGTATTATGCTATTGTTGAATGGAGTGTTCTATAAATGTCAATCATGTCAAGCTGATTGATAAGGTTGTTCAAGTGGTCTACATAGCTGCTGATTTTCTGTCAATTATTGATTGAGTTTGTTGAAATTTCTCATTATAATTGTGGATTTGACTATTCCTCTTTGTAGCTCTTCCAGTTTTTGATTTGTGTATCTTACAGCTCTGTCATTATGTGCATATGTATTTCGAATTGTTATGTCTTCTTGATAGTTAACCTCTTTAATCACTGTAAAATGACCTTTTTTATCCTCAGTAATATGAATTGTTCCAAAATATACTTTTTCTGATATTTAAATAGCAACTCCAGATTTCTTTTGGTTGGTTTATCTTTCCTCATCCCTTCATTTTATAAACTATTTGTGTTTTTATATGTTATATTTGTTTCTTACATGTAAGATGTAGCTGTGTCTTGCTTTTTAAAATCCAATTCAACAACTTCTGCCTTTAATTGGGGTGTTCAGACCATTTACATTGAATGGGATTGTTAGTTATGTTGAGTTTAAATCTACCTACCACTTTGTTATTTTTTTTTCTAAGTATCCTCTTTTTTGTTCCCTTAAACAAATTCTGCCTTCTTTTGAATTATTTTTATTATTCCATTTCATTTCCTTTATTGGCTTATTAACTACAATGCTTCTTTGTGTTATTTTAGTGATTGCTCTAGGGTGTATTGTGTGCATCTCTAATTTATCATTAACTCATTGCTGTCTACCTTCAAGCGATAATGTACTATGTATAGTGTAGGAATGCCCAACAGGGTACTTTCAGCTTCCCCCTCCTGACTTTGTTGTTGTCGTATACTTTATTGCTGTCATATAATTCACATGTGTCATATATACATGGGTCATAAATCCCATACTACATTGTTTTACTTTTAAATGGTCAATAATTTTAAAAAGGGATTTGAATAAAAAAATTATTTTCTATTTATCCAGATATTTACCATTTCCAGTATCATTTATTTCTTTGTCTAGATGTAGATGTCCATCTGGTATCATCTTTCCTCTGCCTGAAGAAATTCTTTTTAACTCTTATTGTTGTGCAGGTCTGCTGCTGATGAATTCTTTCACTTGCTGTCTGTCTAAAAGGTCTTTATTTTGCTTTATTCTTGAAAGATATTGTTGCTAGGCCAAGATTTCCAGTATAAGTTTTTTCCTTTCTGTATTTTAAAGATGTTGTTCATCTCTTTTTTTGCTTGCATTGTTTTCAACAAGTGATCTGCTGTTATCCCTATTTTTGTTTTTCTGTACAAATGTGTCTTTTTCATTGGCTTCTTGTAAAATTTTATCTTTATCTTGTTACATGTGGTTAAAAATATTTTTTTGAGTTTTTACTATTTTAGACAGTAAAGCTATCTAAATAGTTAAACTATTTTAGATAGTTTCTTTTTCTGTTTTTAAGTTCACTATCATTTTATCTGCATTGACTAAATATCAGTTTACCCAGGCCATTGCATTTTTTTTTTTTAAATCTCATACTTGGTAGTTTTGATTTTTATAAGTTTGATTTGGGTATTTTAATATAAATTATGTCTCTGTTTAATTTATCATCTTTCTTCTAGCTTCTTAAATATGTATCATAATCATTTTAATGATCTTATTTACTAATTATCTCATCCGTGTTGTTTCTTTTTTTTTATTAGTTCATTTATTTTTATCCTTTTTGTAGGTCATATTTCCTTATTTGCATGCTTAGTAATTTTTATTTGGGTGTTAGACATTGAGAATACCACTTTCTTGAGTTCTGTATACTTTTTGTATCCTATGGTATGTAAAATTTTTGTTTCTTAATAATTTCAACTTTTGTTTTAGATTCAGGGGGTATATGTGCCAGTTTGTTATATGGGCATCTTAAGTAATGCTGAGGTTTGAAGTATGAATGATCCCATCACCTAGGTAGTGATCATTATAACTAATAGGTAGTTTTTCAGCCCTTGCCTCTTTCTCTCTCCCTTCTAGTAGTTCCCAATGTATACTGTTCCCATCTTTATGTTCGAGTACTGAATATTTAGCTTCCACTTGTAAGTAAGAACGTGCTATATTTTGTTTTCTGTTCCTGCATTAATTCACGTAGGATAATAGCCTCCAGCTGCATCTGTGTTGCAGAATAAGACATTTCATTCTTTTTGTGGCTGCATAATATTCCTTGGCATAGATATGTATATGTACCACATTTTATCTAATCCACCATTGATGGGCACCTAGGTTGATTCCATATTTTTGCTATTATGAGTAGCACTACAGTGAACGTATTAGTGCATGTGGGGTTTTTTCTGTAGACTGATTTACTTTCCTTTGAGTATATAGCCAGTAATGGGATTGCTGGGTTGAATGGTAGTTAAGTTTTTACTATTCTGAGACATCTTCAAACTGCTTACCACAGGGGCTGAACTAACTTACATTCCCACCAGCAGTGAATAAGCATTTTCTTTTCTCCGCAGCCTTACTAGCATCTATTGTTTTTTGTCTTTTTAACAATACTCATTCCGACTGGTGTGAGATGGTATCTCCTGGTGGTTTTGATTTGCATTTCTCTGATTAATGATGTTGAGCATTCTTTCATATGTTTGTTGGATGCTTGTGTATCTTTTTTTTTTTTTTTGAGAAATATCTGTTCATGTCCTTTGCCCCCTTTTTAATAGGGTTGTTGCTTGTGTAGTGAGTCGTTTAAGTTCCTCATATATTCTGGATATTAGACTTTTGTTAGATGTGTAGTTTGTGAATGTTATTTTTTTCCTGTTCTATGGGTTGCCTATTTAGTCTGCTGATAGCTTCTTTTGCTGTGCAGAAGCTTAGTTTTACTAGGTCCCACATGTCAATTTTTGTTTTTGTTGCAATTTTTTTTGAGGACTTAAATTGCTTGCCAAGGCCAATATCCAGAATAGTATTTCCTAGGTTTTCTCATAGGATTTTTATGGTTTGAGGTCTTACATTTAGATCTTTAATCCATTTTGAGTTAATTTTTGTTTATGGTGAAATGTACAGGTCCATTTCATTCTTCTGCATATGGCTAGCCAGTTATCACAGCACTGTTTATTGAATAGGGAGTCCTTTCCCCATTGCTTGTTTTTGTTGGCTGTATAGAAAATTAGATGATTTTAGGTGTGCAGCTTTATTTCTGGGCTCTCTATTCTGTTCCATTTGTCTCCCTACAATACTTTTATGCCTTTACTGGGATGTAGTTAAGTTACTTGGAAACAATTTGATCCTCTTCGGTTTTGCTCTTGAACTTTTATTTAGGTGGCAAGGCTGCATTTAATCTAGGGTTAATTTTGTCCCATAACTGAGGCAAATCTTTCTGAGGCCTCTATCTGTTGTTTCTGAATTAGAAGGTTTTCCACTCTGGCTAGTGAGAACAGGGACTATTTTCTGTTCTTAGTTAGGTCCTAGGATTGTTCCTTTTAATTCTTCCAGGTGGTTCATCTCACCAGACCTCACACTCATGTTCTGATCAGTACTTAGCTGTAGTCTTGAGAAGGATCTTCTGCAGATTTTCGAGGTCCTCTTATCGCGTAACTCTCTCTTCTCTAAGGCTCTGCCCAGGGGACTTTAGCTGTCTTGGCCTCTCTTGGCTTTCAGTAAGGTCTCCTCAGCTCAGGCTAATTACTAAGCTTTTTTTGTGTTCCCTTTCTCTGTGTTGTGGCCTAGAAAGTCCCTTGAGAAAATACACTGAAGGCTGGGTGCGGTGGCTCACTCCTGTAATCCCAGCACTTTGGGAGGCCGAGGTGGGTGAATCACGAGGTCAGAAGTTTGAGACCAGCCTGACCAACATGGTGAAACCCCATCTCTACTAAAAATACAAAAAATTAGCTGGGCCTGGTGGCACGTTCCTGTAGTCCCAGCTACTCGAGAGACTGAGACAGGATAATTGCTTGAACCCAGGAGGCAGAGGTTGCGGTGAGCTCAGATTTCACGACTGCATTCCAGTCTGGGCGATAGTGTGAGACTCAGTCTCAAAAAAAAAAAAAAAAAAAAAAAAAAAAAAGAAAAGAAAATACATGGAAACAATCGTAGAGCTCACTTTATTTCTTATCTTTCAGGGATCTCTGTCCTTCGTTAATTAATATACAATGTTATGGAAATGAGGACTAAACTCTGATTGTCTTCTCTTGTCCAAATTCCTACCTAAGGGGCCTGAGGAGTCATGCCCTACAAACCATAAAATCTCATCAGAGGAGTTTCTATTTTAACCCTATATAGTGTGGTCTGCTTTCTAACCTGACTCTGGCATAACATCACATAATAAATAAGGGAAGAAATAAAAACATTTTAGCCCCAAATATATTTCCTTGCTGTATCTTGAAACTGCCCTGCAAGGTTGTCTCTTGTGGGAAAAATCTGCATTCTATAGAGAATCTCCTTTTCCCCCCCTTTTATTTCCCTTTCCCTTTTTTTTCCAGACCCAGGAGATAATCAACTAAGAGCTAGGCACCCTTTTCAGTCTGATAAGAAACATTTTACAACCTACTCCTTCTGAAGTCCACTATCTGAGAGTTTCCTCTGCACAATAAAACTTGGTCTCTACAACCTTTTATTTTAACCTAAACATTTCCTTTCTATTGATCCCAGGTCTTCAGGTAAACTCAACAAGTTGTCAACTGGAAAATTTTAAAATCTACCTATAACATGGAAGCCTCCGCTTTGAGTTGTCCCGTCTTTCTGAACCAAACCAACGTACATCTTAAATGTATTGGTTGATGTCTCACGTCTCCCAAAACTGTATGAACCAGGCTGTGCCCTTACCACCTCAGGCACACGTTCTCAGGAACTCCTGAGGGCTGTGTCATGAGCCATGGTCTCTCATATTTAGCTCAGAATAAATCTCTTCAAATATTTTACAGTTTGACTCTTTTTGTTGACAGAAACCATTGCTTTATATATTTTGTCTGCTTTTTAGTTGTTTGCAGCAGGAGGGTAAATCTGGTTCTTGTTCTTCTGTCTTGGAAAGAAGTAGAAGGCTCCCTCTGTCATGTTTTTGAAAAGAAAAGGAAAAAAGCACCTTATTCCTTTTAATATGGAAGAGAAAACCATTTTCCTCTCCTTTCAATTACATTAAATGTACTCTGGGCTATAAGGGAAGTAGCATGATCATTCTGTGATGGATGTAAACGTGCTGCTTTTAGCGATATTTTCTTTCATTCTCTTGCCTTATATAATGTTGAGATAAAAGATAATGTAGGGGTTGATGGTTCAGTTTGAGGGACTAGATGTTATCCAGGAAGCTGTTTAGATGTTTTTAGGATAAGAATTAGACAGTCCCCAAATGCTTTTCCCCTTTGAGGAACATTCTTTGATTATATACTTGTGTGAATGGAGTTTTCTCTTTCTGAGATTTCAAGGATGAATGTTTGTTTATTTTAAATCACTATTTTAATCCAGATTAGTCATTTCAGTAGTCTGGTGGCAGTTTTAGTGCAGTCATGTGCTACATAATGACGTTTCAGTCAACGACAGACAATATGTACTATAGTAATCACAGTAATGGGCTATACCAGAAAGCCTAGGTGTGCAGTAGGCTATACCACTAAAATTGTCACCATACTAGTGAAATGACTAGGTTTGGGTAAATACACTCTATAATGTTTGCACAGTGACACAACACATTTCTCAGAAGATATCACTGTTGTTAAGCAGCACAAGACAGTAGTTACTTTCGAAAGTGGTTTGGAAGCAGCATAGGAGATTTTTGTCTACTTATTTTTGTGGGTTATTTTAAAATATATATTTTTTCTAAAGCAAAGCATGTTCTCACTTGTTGAATGGACAATATCCAACAAACCGTTAGGATTTTGATATGATTTGGCTGTGTCCCTACCCAAATCTCATCTTGAATGGTAGCTCCAGTAATTCCCACGTGTCGTGGGAGGGACATGGTGGGAGGTAATTGAATCATGGAGGTGGGTCTTCCCCCATACTGTTCTCATGGTAGTGAATAAGTCTCACAAGAGCTGATGGTTTTATAAATGGGGGTTCCCCTGCACAAGCTCTCTCTTTCCTGCTGCCATGTAAGATGTGGCTTATTTCCCCTTCACCTTCCGCCATGATTGTGTGGCCTCTCCAGCCATGTGGACCTGTGAGTCCATTAAACCTCTTTCCTTTATTAATTACCCAGTCTCAGGTATGTCTTTATTAGCAGTGTGAGAATGGACTAATACAGTAAATTCGTACCAGGTAGTGGGGCACTGCTCTAAAGATATGTGAAAATGTGGAAGTGACTTTGGAACTGGGTAACAGGCAGAGGTTGGAAGAGTTCAGAGGGATCAGAAGAAGATAGGAAAATGTGGGGAAGTTTGGAACTTCATAGAGACTTGGAGGGCTCAGAAGACAGGAAGATGTGGGAAAGTTTGAAACTTCCTAGAGACTTGTTGAATGGCTTTGACCAAAATGCTGACAGTGATATGGACAATAAAATCCAGGCTGAGGTGGTCTCAGATGGAGATGAGGAACTTGTTGGGAATTGGAGTAAAGGCCACTTGCTATGCAAAGAGACTGGCAGAATTTTGCCCCTGCCCTAGAGATCTGTGGAACCTTGAACTTGAGAGAGATGATTTGGGGTATCTGGTGGAAGAAATTTCTAAGCACCAAAACATTCAAGAGGTGACAGAGCATAAAACTTTGGAAAATTTGCAGCCTGACAATGCAGTAGAAAAGAAAAACCCATTTTCTGGAGAGAAATTTAAGCTGCCTGCAGAAATTTGTGTAAGTAATGAGGAGCCAAATGTAAATAGCCAAGACAATGGGGAAAATGTCGCTAGGGCATGTCAGAGACCTTCATGGCAGTCCCTCCCATCACAGGCCTATAGGCCTAAGAGGGAAAAATGGTTATTTGGGCTGGGCCTAGGACCCCCCTGCTTTATGCAGCCTCCAAACATGGTGCCCTGCATCCCAGCTATTTCAGCTCTAGCCATGGCTAAAATGGGCAAAGTACAGCTCAGGCTGTTGCTTCAGAGGGTGCAAGCCACAAACCTTGGTGGCTTACATGTGGCATTGGGTCTGTGGGTGCACAGAATTCAAGAACTGAGGTTTGGGAAGCTCTGCCTAGATTTCAGAGGATGTATAAAAATGCCTGGATGTCCAAGCAGAAGTTTGCTGCAGGGCAGGGCCCTCATGGAGAACTTTTGCTAGGGCGTGTGGAAGGGCAATGTGGGGTTAGAGCCCCCACACGAAGTCCCCACTAGGGCACTGCCTAGCAGAGCTATGAGAAGAGGGCCACCATCCTCCAGGCCCCAGAATGGTAAATCCACCAACAGCTTGCACCATGTGCCTGGAAAAGCCACAGACACTCAACACCAGCCTGTGAAAGCAGCCAGGAGGGGAGCTGCACTCTGCAAAGCCACAGGGGAGAAGCTGCCCAAGGCCATGGGAGCCCACCTCTTGCATCAGTATGACCTGGTTGTGAGACATGAAGTCAAAGGAGATCATTTAGAACTTTAAGGTTTAATGACTGCCCTATTGGATTTGGACTTGCCTGGGGACTGTAGCCCATTTGTTTTGGACAATTTGTCCCATTTGCAATGGGGGTATTTACCCAAGGCATATACCTCCATTGTATCTAGAGAGTAACTAACTCGTTTTTGATTTTACAGACTCATAGGCAGAAGGGAATTGCCTTGTCTCAGATGAGACTTTGGACCATGGACTTTTGAGTTAATGCTGAAATGAATTAAGTCTTTGGGAGACTGTTGGGAAGACATGATTGGTTTTGAAATGTGAGGACATGAGATTTGCGAGGGGCCAGGCATGGAATGATATGGTCTGACTGTGTCCCCATCCAAATCTCATCTTGAATTGTAGCTCTTATCATTCCCACGTGTTGTGGGAAGGCCCAGGTGAGAGGTAACTGAATTATGGGGGTGAGTCTTCCCCCATACTGTTCTCATGGTAGTGAGTAAGTCTCACGAGATCTGATAGTTTCATAAGGGGGAGTTCCCCTGCATAAGCTCTCTCTTGCCTGCTGCCATGTAAGACATGCCTTGCTTCCCCTTTGCCTTCCACCATGATTGTGAGGCCTCCTCAGCCATGTGGAACTGTGAGTCAATTAAACCTCTTTTCTTTATAAAGTACTCAGTCTCGGGTATGTCTTAGCAGCATGAGAACAGACTAATACAGATTTGAATTCTCAATCAATAATGGAGAGGAAAAACCTATTATTATTATTGTTAGTGACACAGGATTTTCAGGTCCTTGTCTCACAACTGGGAAAAATTCAGCATGCAGATACATTGAAAGGTGAGGAGGATGGAATTTATGTAGTGAAAGGAAAGCTCTCAACAGAAAGAGGTATACTGCATGCAGGTTTCCACCTCACAAATTGAAAACCACACATGAGCAGAAGAGGCCAGACTCCTTCCCTGCATAAGGTGTGAGTTCTTAGTGGCTCCACCCTGTTCCCCCAATGCATGTGGGTCTCCAGTCCATTGTGGGCATGCCTGGGCAAGACCCCGTGAAGGTTCCCTTATCTGTACAAAGACATCTGGTGTATATACTTGTGGGGCAGGTCAGAGATTCCCTGGGGGGCCTTTCCCTATTTGCCCAGGCATTTGGCTGTCTCTTGCCTCTATCACTAGTATCATACTGATATCATCCTAGTGTTTATTTGCACTCTATAGATTTCAAAGTGTTTTGTTGTTGTTGTTGTTTGTATTTTTGAGACAGGGTCTTGCTCTGTCATCCAGGCTGGAGTGCAGGGGTGTGATCTCAGCTCACTGCAGCCTCCACCTCCTGGGCTCAAGCAATCCTCCCACTTCAGCTCCTCAAGTAGCTGGGACCACAGATGCATGCTTCATACCCAGCTGATTTTTGTATATTTTGTATAGATAAGGTTTCTTCATGTTGCCCAGGCTTGTCTCGAACTGTTGGGCTCAAGAAATTCACCCACCTCAGCTTCCCAAAGTGCTGGGATTATAGGATTATAGGTGTGAGCCATTGTGCTTGGCATGTTTTTTAATTTTTTTTAAATGCACTATTTCTTCTAATTTCTACAACTATGCTGGCAGTATGTATTGTTATTCACATTGATGAACCAAAAGACTGAGAATAAGTAATTAGATGATTTGCCCAAGGTTATGTTGGGAATCAAAGGAAGTTTCCCAGTTATTTTGATTTGAAATTTATTGCCCCCTTTTCAGCCTAACTGTGCCTCATGACTTTAATTTGAAACTGGAAGTCATCCTTAGAATCAAGGTAGATATGTCAAATAAGCCATATTTGGGGGCCAATCTTTTTCAAGGGACTCATTTAAACAGACCTAGTATCTTATTAATTGAAATTTAAATGAGTATCATTTTGAAAAGACCGCAGAATTGCTTAAGATGGATAGATTAAAGTGGATACCTATCTCTGTTCTCCCAATACACTCTGATGTACAGAACTGTTAAAGTAATCACCTTCTGGAAATAAATTAAATACCTGAATACCAAGTGTTAGTTCATTAAAATTCTTCTGGTTTATTAATCATCGGACTTCATGGTATTTAATGAATATTATATTACTAACAGGTATGGGAAAAGGTGTCAGAACTGTGTTATATTCACCTTGGAAATAATAAATTCAGCCAATCAGTGGGAGGATCAGGCAAGTTTTCTTCAAATTTTTTTCAAAAGCATAATTTATGAATTACTGGCTTAAAACCTCTCTTCCATTTGGAGCTAAAGAGACACACGTTTCTTTACTTGTTGAGCATCTACAGTTTTAGGTGCTAGTAACATGGCAGCAAGCAAAACAATGTTCCTGTCCATATTGACTTTACATACTAGTTGGAAATATAGTCAATGAAAACAATAAGCAAATAGATATCTAATTTTATGGCTGGTAGGAATAAGTGCTATGAAGAAAAATAAAGCAGAGTAAAGGGATGCAAAATGATGGGTGGGGGACATTCTTTTTGAATAAAGTGAGGGAATCAGGCATGTGAGAATCTGAGAATAGAGCATCCCAGGCAGGGTAAGCTGAAAGCTTAAAGGCTCTGGTGTGAGAGTTTGAGGTGGATGTTTGTTTTGTGAAGTGAACAGCCAGGACTAGTGTGATTAAGCGAAGTAAGTGATGCAAAATATTATGAGATAAGGATTGGGTTTTTATACAATACGTATTTTAAATATTCTTGTGGTTTGAATGTTTGTGTCCTCTGCAAAACTCATATATTGAAAACTAACCCCCAAGGTGATGGTATTAAGAGATAGGGCTTTTGGGAGGTGACGAGGTCATGAGGGCTCCACCTCCATATATGGGGTTAGTGCCCTTATAAAAAAAGGCTTGGCCGGGCATGGTGGCTCTTGCCTATAATCCCAGCACTTTGAGAGGCTGATGCAGGCGGATCACAAGGTCAGGAGTTCGAGACCAGCCTGGCCAATATGGTGAAACCCCCTCTCTACTAAAAATACAAAAATTAGCCAGGCATGGTGGCAGGCACGTATAGTCCCAGCTACTTGGGAGGCTGAGGCAGGAGAATAGCTTGAACCCAGGAGGCGGAGGTTGCAGTGAGCCGAAATCGCATGACTGCACTCCAGCCTGAGTGACAGAGCTAGACTCTATCTCAAAAAAAAAAAAAAAAAAAAGAAAGAGGCTTGAGGGAGCCCTTTTGCCCCTTTGCCATGTCAGGATACAGCAACAAGGCTCTATCTATGAGGCAGAAAAGGAGCCCTCGCCAGACACCAAATCTGCCAGCACCTTGATCTTCCACTTCCCAGTCTCCAGAACTGTGAGCAATAAATATATGCTGTTTATAAATTACCCAAAGGTATTTTGTTATAGCCCAGATGGACTAAGACAAATATATTTACAAAAATTTATGAGTTTTATCTTAAATCCATTTAAAATCTCTCTTATGCCAAAAAATAGGCTCTTTCTGGTTTGATACTATTTTACTTACCTCTGTGAGTGGCACAAAGTAAGTTTTCAATAAATGTGAGTTGAATTAATTACTGAACTCAGCAAGATATTGAGACATTCTTATCCAGTTTTCCATCCATCTGTTACTGGTAGTAGTTCTGAACATTCTAAGGCTATAGATGAAAAATAATGGTTTTTGAATTTTAGGAAAATGATGTTGGATGCTTTTTAATCTACTGGGGATCCATGTTATTTCTTAACAAAATTAATTAAATAATTTAGTAGTGACAATGATCATTTGTTGAGCAACTACAATGTACTGTCTTTTTGCTACTGGGGATACAAATGGGGTTCACATATGTTTTCTCCTCTTCATTGCCTACCTTGGCAATGAAATTCCAAGGAGTCCATTGCCTAGCTTTGAAAAAGATAGGTGCAAAAAATTACTATGAAACAGAAGAAAAAGTTATGGCATTGAGATATGTAAAAAGTTATATGGGCCCAATGACAAAAGAGTGACTAATTCTACCTAAGAGTGAGAGGTATTGGAATGCTTTTAGAGGGGCAGACCTTGGAAGGATGAGTAAGAGTTTATCAGGAGAAGGGCCGGGCACAGTGGCTCATGCCTGTAATCCCAGCACTTTGGGAGGTCGAGGCGGGCAGATCACGAGGTCAGGAGATCGAGACCATCCTGGCTAACACGGTGAAACCCTGTCTCTACTAAAAATACAAAAAAAAAAAAAAAAAAAAAAAATTAGTCGGGCGTGGTGGCAGGCGCCTGTAGTCCCAGCTGCTTGGGAGGCTGAGGCAGGAGAATGGCATGAGCCTGGGAGGCGGAGCTTGCAGTGAGCCCAGATCGTGCCACTGCACTCCAGCCTGGGCGACAGAGCAAGACTCCGTCTCAAAAACAAACAAACAAAAAAAAGAGTTTATCAGGAGAAGAACATGGGTAATTAAAAAGAAGAATGCCATTTATGTGGAGAAGCACAAAAGTAGAAAATGCTCAGCCTGTTTAAAGAACAAGGAATTATTTGGTGTAATGAAAACATAGGGTAGGTGGAGGATATAGGGAAATGAATTTGGAAAGTCAGATTAAGTTCAGGTTGCCAAAAGGTTTGAACTTATTTTGGAAATCCATTGTCTCCAAAATAAGCCAAATAGACAGAAAAGATTAAAACTTCTACTTACATTCTTTTTTTTTTTTTTTTTTTTTTTGGAGTGCAGCGGCGCTATCTTGGCTTACTGTAAGCTCCGCCTCCCGGGTTTACGGCATTCTCCTGCCTTAGCCTCCCGAGTAGCTGGGACTACAGGCACCCGCCACAGTGCCCGGCTAATATTTTTTTGTATTTTTAGTGGAGACGGGGTTTCACCATGTTAGCCAGGATGGTCTCGATCTGCTGACCTCGTGATCCGCCCGCCTTGGCCTCCCAAAGTGCTGGGATAACAGGCATGAGCCACCGCGCCCGGCCTCATTTTTTAAATAAAAAATAAGAAGAACATTACACTTTACTAAACTTTTTGTGATGCGCTTGTTTTCTTTTCTTCCAAGGTTTCTATAATTGGTCTGTGTCTTATGATTATTGTTGTCCAGGCAGTGTTTCTGACAAAGTTGTTGCTACCTGCACATGCATATAGAAACTTGCAGAATGATGGTATGCAGCTTGGAAGAGTACTCAGAAGCACTCTCTCAAAATATGCTGTATGACCAACACTCATGATGGAATGGAGTAGGATATTGTATAGAAAAACATGAACACTGATGACACTAGGTCTAAAAGTTATGCAAAGGGTCAGAAGCTGAATGTTTCTGGATTGCTTATTTATTTTCTTTGTATTTTCCTTCTTATATATGTATAACAGATCTTTCAATCAATGTAAGACAGAAATTCTAAGTGCTAAGAATCCATCGTTCTATAATCAAATTGGCATTATTCTTCATTTCTTAGTCATGCATACATATACTGTTGTAAATGGCTTCTTTAATTAGGCGAAATACAGTAGATGATTGGACAGTGGTGCCTTGACCCAGTCTGCGTGTCAGACAGCTATGTGTTACATGTAGTACCTGAGATAACTCGAAGAAAGAAAGGAAATTCCAAACATAAACGGTTGACTGGTGTGGGCTTGTTTGTTTTCTGTAAGCATATTGTGAAGCATCACAGCTTATACGTGCCTGGTTATATTGATCACTCCTCACAAAATGGACAAGTGCTTTCAAAAGATTTGTACAAAGAAACCATAGATTGAAGGTGATGTAAATAATACAAATACAAATGAGCAACTAGACAATGGTACAGTTTAAAACTTCCACTCATAGTTCAAATTCTTTTTCAGGTAAGAAAAATGGTGTAATCAGAGTTGACAAAAGTTAGCCTAATACATTTGAAAGTATGTAGAAGTCTATTTAAAATATTAATTTACATCCACTATCATTAACAATCAACTATTTCTTAAGTGTGTTTAATGAGATGTTAGCTATTGATTGAGATACGTTAATGCAACTTTTAAATAAGTAAATATTATCAAAGATCCTGCTTTAACAATCAGCTGATAGGTGTATGCACTCAACCTTATAAACAAAGATAGGATAGGCAATTTACAAAACAAGAAACAAATTGGTTATAAACATAAAAATGTACTAATTAAAAACAATTTTTTTGAGGTGAGGTCTCATTCTGTCACCCAGGCTGGAGTGCAGTGGTGTGATCATAGCTCGCAACCTGGAACTCCTAGGCTCAAGTAATCCTCCCAATTCAGCCTCCTGAGTAGCTGTGACTACAGGAATGCACCATCATGCCGAGCTTGCCATAGTTTATTAGGAGAGTTTATATATTTGTCTCTCCAACTAAACTGTGCTTATTCGGAGGAGGGTGATTCATTTTTGTAACCTTTAGCTGCCACAGTGCCTGTTCTTCAGTAGGGTTCAGTAAATGTCACATAAATAACGTTCTGGAATAGATAACTTACAGTTTTTAATATCAGTGGATTGTTCATTTTCATTTAACCTTGTGATGCTCAGTTTTATGTGTCAACATGGCTGGGTGATAATATTCAGTTTTATTCAATCAAATGTTAATCTAAGAGTTTCAGTGAGGGTATTTTGTGGATGTGATTAAAGTCCGTAATCAGTTGGCTTTATGTAAAGATTATCTTAGATAATTTGGGTGGCCTGAGCTAATTAGATAAAAGGCTTTAAAAATAGAACTGAGAGGCCGGGAGTGGTGGCTCATGCCTGTAATCCCAGCACTTTGGGAAGCTGAGGCGGGCGGATCACCTGAGGTCAGGAGTTCAAGACCAGCCTGGCCAACATGGAGAAACCCCGTCTCTACTAAAAATACAAAAAAATTAGCCAGGCATCGTGGTGGGTGCCTGTAATCCCAGCTACTCGGGAGGCTGAGGCAGGAGAATCGCTTGAACCTGGGAGGTGAAGGTTGCAGTGAGCAGAGATTGCACCACTGCACTCCAGCTTTTGAGACAGAGTAAGACTCTGTCTCAAAAAAAAAAAAAAAAAAAAAAAAAAAATAGAACTGCGGTTTCCCTGAGGAAAAAGATATTCTGCCTATGGAGTACACTATCTGGTTCAGCCTGGAAGTTTCTAGCCTGCCTTTCTTGATGACCAACGCTGTGGATTTCTGACTTGCCTAGCCAGCTCCTACAAATCACATAGCTAATTCCTTGCAATAAATCTTTTATACACACACATACACATCAGAGTCCACTGGAGAAACAACCAGTAGGAGATTATATGTACTCGTGGCTTGTGCAGTGGGCCCTGACTGATACAAGCCCCTTGCTAGTCATATAGCTCCCACTTACTAAGTACTTGTTATCTGCCTGGTCTTGTGATTAGCACTTTGTATTCATTGTCTTAATTCTCAAAAGGACCCTTAAAAGTAGAGATTATAATCCCTGTTCCGCAGTGGAGGTAAGTGAAGTTTAGAGCCAGTCAGTAGATTTTCTAAGGTTTCAGTTAGGTATCAGAATCAAGATTCAAATCCACGCTGGTCTAATTCCAACTCTTGGTCTTAACTTTTATGCTACTGTGCCATGGGGAGTTTAGTGTTATAAATTCTTTTATCTAAATCCAAATCCTTTCCTTTCGTGTGTTTGTTTTTATAGTTTATAGAACAGAAAAGACCGATTCACAACTGAACCAAGTCTCTAGCCCCTTCCTTTGGGCAGAGTACTCCTCATGTTGAAGTGGTGTTATTCCAATCAGTCTCTGTCCTTAACAGTGGAAATATTCCTAGATATCTCCCTGAATTATTTAGATTTTTAGGTATTTAGGCCATGTCCAGTTCAAATTAATCAAGAAGGTGATATACCTAATATACCCAAGTCCACTCTTAATAATCAAGATAAATGTATATACTGCCTTAATGTCAAATAATGCCTTTAAAAATACATTGTTCTTCCCAGATATACTCATGCTTTAACGGGTCTAATGTGTACACACACACACACACACACACACACACACACACACACACACACACACTCTTAAAAATTACCTTTAAACCAGAGTGGCAAATTATCTTTCTGTACTGACTTATACTAGAAAAGATAGCCCTGCATTGGTAGATAGCCTGGGTTGATGAAAAGATGACATTGGGTTGACAAAAGATAATCCAGAATATTTCTAACTAGATGTCTTAAAAAATTTTTTTTTTTTGGAGACAGGGTCTCACTCTATCACCCAGGCTGGAGTGCAGTGGCACCATGTGAACTCACTGAAACCTCCACCTCCCGGGTTCAAGCAGTTCTCCTGCCACAGCCTCCCGAGTAGCTGGGACTACAGGCATGCGCCACCGTGCCTGGTTAATTTTGTGTGTTTTTTGGTAGAGATGGGGTTTCACCACATTGCTCAAGCTGATCTCGAACTTCTGACCTAAAATGATTCACCCACTTTGGCTTCCCAGAGTGCTGGGATTATAGGCATGAGCCACCGTGCCTAACCTATAACTAGTTGTCTTTGGACATTTTACACTTACCTCATTGTCCTCAACTTATGCTCATTACAAAGTGAGGAGATGGAGTGAGCTTATCTGTAAAGTACCTTATAGCTCTCAGATTTTCTGTTATTATTTTAATTTAAAAATTTCAGTAGTGTTCCTCATCTTGCCCTCTATTTCAGAGATACCCTATCACCCACAAAAAAGTACCTATCTTTTTACAACTGTTTTTTCTGGGATTTAGCAAACTGTTCTGTTGACCTTCTACCATTCTTCTCTGCTAAGTCTCGTCTTCTCTAAATGGGAAGAGATGAGGATAACTTTGTTTTTTTAAATCTCTTGTTTATTTATTTATTTATTGAGACAGGGTCTTGTTCTGTTGCCCAGGCTGAAGTGCAGTGGTGCGATCATAGCTCATTGTAATCAGGAAAGAGCTAGCTTTTTAACTAATGGATTGTGGAAAGATTGTTGTGGTTTTTACTGCAGAAAACTTCCCACTTATTCAGCTATAGAAAATACTATGCTGGCTGGGTGTGGTGGCTCATGCCTGTAATCCCAGCACTTTGGGAGGCTGAGGTGGGCGGATCAAAAGGTCAGGAGATCGAGACCATCCTGGCTAACACGGTGAAACCCCGTCTCTACTAAAAAATACAAAAAATTAGCCGGGCGTGGTGGCGGGCACCTGTAGTCCTAGATACTCGGGAGGCTGAGGCAGGAGAATGGCATGAACCCAGGAGGCGGAGCTTGCAGTGAGCCAAGATCATGCCACTGCACTCCAGCCTGGGCGACAGAGTGAAGACTCTGTCTCAAAAAATATATATATACTGTGCTAACAGAAATAGTGTGCTTTTAAATAAAATACTCCAAAGTTTATGTGTTTGTATAACCTTGAGAATATTAGACCTTCTTAGAGAATCTATTCAGAGAGTAAAAGGTATAAAGGAATTAAATAGGACTCTGAAGTCCTGTTTTCTAGCTGAAGACAAATAAAGCTTAGAGAAAGGAAGTTAAGTATGCATGCAACAATCAAAACCAGAAACAACGGTCAGTAGCTGCAAAGATTGCTACCATTTACTCATAAAGTCTTTTCAGATTAGGTGTATTTTGCACCTGCTTCATTGATTGAGATATATGTGCTACAATGACCATGTTTTTGAAACTTATGGTCTCACAAAAAATCTGATCAAGGTTCAGATTATAAAATCAGGACCACCCCAGATAACCTAGGAAGCATCATCTTTGAGTCATCACTTGGTGGCATCCCCACCCCATGTCATCTTTGACACCATCCCTAACAGAAATAGGAGAAGACACAGGAAGAGATAAGAGTTGGCTCTTTGTCGCGCCATTGCACTCCAGCCTGGGCAACAAGAGTGAAACTCCATCTCAAAAAAAAAAAAGGAGTTGGCTCTCCATATCCTTGGGTTCCACATATGTGGATTTAACCAACTGTGGATAGAAAATATTTTAAAAAAGGATGATTGTGTCTGTGCTGAACATGTACAGATTTTTTTTGTCATTATTCCCTAAACAATACTGTATAGTATGTGTTTACATAGCATTTACATTGTATTCAATTTTGTAAGTAATCTCGGGATGATTTAAAGTATGTGGAACAATGTGTGTAACTTATATGTAAATATTATGCCATTTTATATTAGGGACTTAAGCATCATGGATTTTGGTAACCATGAGGGGAGGAGGAGTCCCACCACCAATCCTCCACAGATACTGAGGAACAACTTGCTTTATGTACATGAGGATCATCAAGCCTAGACGATTCCTTAAGGCTACTCTGGTCAAAATGTTCTCAGAATGTTAATAGATATTATATGCCTGAATGGTTTGAAATATCCTGGGATGAACAATTTCTTCTCTAATGACTGGGAGGTTTTATCCTAACAAGCACTATGAATTTTATTGAGGCCAATATGGTGTTCAGTGTTTCCAAAACATTTGACCAGGAGCTTTTGAAAGAGATGGCCACACCTTGGAAAACACTGCTTATTTGCTGATTTCTTCCCTTTTTTTGCCCATAGATTTTTTAAAAAATATGTATTAATGAAATTAAAGTCAGCTCCAAATAGGAGCTGAAATAGGAGAAGGTGGTTATATTTTACTGACTAGCTACCATGTATTCATATTTAGTGTCTCATTTAATCTTCATAACATGTGTTGAACAAAAGAAGAAAATAGAATAAAATGGTTAAATAAGCTGTCCAAAGTTGCATAGTCAGGGAGTGTTGCAGCCTCGTGTGTGTGTGTGTGTGTCTGTGTGTGTGTACACAAGTATATGTGTGTGTTGTGAGAGGGAGAGAAAAAGAAATAAAAGCTAAATTCAGCAAATATTCATTTGACACCTATTCTATGTAATGTTGCTATTCTAAGCACAAGAAGATATTTAGATGTCTCTGAACTCTGAGAGTTTATAATCTAGTAGGGAAGGTATAGTATAGACAAGTATTCATGTAAGACAGATTGTGGTAAATGTACAATTTATTAGAGATAATTATAACTGGGATCAAGCCAGAGGAAAGGGCAAAGGCAGTGTCTCAAAATTGGAGTACCTAAGGGATTAGCCCTTGGAGGTTTTCCATTCTCTGTCTGGACCCATTTACTTGGTGGTTTCCTCTGGTCCCATGACTTTAAATATTATCTTAAGCTAAAGACTGACATATTAATTCTTCTATTCCCTCTCCTGAAATCAAGATCACTGTATCCAATGGCCTATTTAACATTTCCACTTGGGTTTTTAATAGACATTTTAACTTGTACAATTGAACTCCTAATACCTCCACTCCCATGCCACACCTTCTAAACCTGTACCACCTGCACTCTTGCCTAACCCAAGTAATGGCCACCTCAGTCCTTGGATATACTCAGTCCAAAACCTTGGAGTCATTCTTGACTACTCTCGATTTTCTTACATTCTACATCAAATCATTAAATTCTATTGGGTCTCCCTTCAAGTTATATATAGAATTGCACCTCTTTTCACCATTGCTGCTACTGCCCTTGTACACCACCCTAACACCAACATTTCTTTCTTTTTGAGGCAGAGTCTTGCTCTGTCACCCAGGCTGGAGTGCTGTGGCACAATCTTGGGCCACTGCAACCTCTGCCTCCTGGGTTCAAGCGATTCTCTTGCTCCAGCCTCCTGAGTAGCTGGGATTACAGGCATGCACCACTACACCTGGCTAATTTTTGTATTTTTAGTAGAGACAGCATTTCACCATGTTGGCTAGGCTGGTCTTGAACTCCTGACCTCAGGTGATCCACCTGCCTTGGCCTCCCAAAGTTCTGGGATTACAGGCGTGAGCCACTGCGCCTGGCCACCAAAATTTCTTGCCTAGATTATTGTAGTAGCCTTTCAGCTGATCTCCTCATTTATTTTCTTGCCCATCCACCTTACAACGTAGCATCTAGGGTGATCCATGTAAAACTCTTCATCAGATCATGTCACTCGTGCGCAAAACCTTGCAATAGCTTCCCATTTTACTCACAATAAAAGCCAAAGTCCTTAAAATGCTCTACACAGTCCTGTTTCCTCTTTGTTTTCTCCTCCTTCTCCTTTCTTCTCCTCCTCCTTCTCTTTTTCCCTCCTCCTCCTTCTCTTTTTCCCTCCTCCTCCTTCTCTTTTTCCCTCCTCCTCCTTCTCTTTTTCCCTCCTCCTCCTTCTCCTTCTCCACCTCCTCCTCCTCCTCTTCCTCCTCCTCCTCCTTCTCCTTCTTCTTTCCTTTTTTTTTTTTTTTTTTTTAAGAGACAAGGTCTCTCCCTGTCACTATTATCCAGGATGGAGTGCAGTGCCACCATCATAGCTCACTATAGTCTCCAACTCCGGGACTCAAGCAGTCCTCCCACCTCAGCCTCCTGAGTAGCTGGAACTCTTGAACTCCTGCCCTCAAGCAATCCTCCCACCTAGGCCTTCAAAGGTACTGGGCTTACAGTCAGGAGCCACCATGCCCAGCCTCTTTCTGCTATTCTAATGGCTCATGCTGTTCAAGCCACCAAGCTTCCTCCAGTTCCTCGAATATTTTATGGCATGCTCTGCTTTCAGGGCGTTTCCATTGGCTGCTCTTTCTACCTGGATTTCTAGTCTTCCAAATATCTTCACTGATCACTTCCTCATCTCTTTGATGTTTTTTCTCCAATGCCATTTTCTCAAACTTACCCTGGCTTGTCTGTTTAAAATTGTGATTGTTCTGCATTCCACATTAACACTCCCCCTTATTCTCTTCTAATTTTCCCATGACACTCATCATCTTCTAACATGTAATATAATATACTTGGCTATTGTGCTTATTGTTTTTCATCTATCTCCACCACTCATTTGCTATCCTTGTCTAGAATGTAAACTCGCTGAGCTCAGAGATCCTTATGTGTGTCTGGTACTGCAGAATGAAGGAAGAGAAAAAAGTCTTCTTGATGGAAGGGATCTGGAAAGGCCTCATGGAGAAACAACATTTCACTGCCAATAGCCTTCAAGGTCTTGGTGGTGCAGAGTCATACTGGTCAAATTTGGGAGACATGGTGCATTAATTTGCTAGAGCTGCCACAATTTATCACAGACTGGGTGGCTTAAATAATAGAAATTTATTTTCTCACAATTCTGGATGCTGGAAGTCTGAGTTCAAGGTGTTGGTGGGATTGGTTTCTTCTGAGGTGAGGTCTCTCCTCTTGCCTTGTAAATGGTCCACTTTTCACTGTGTCCTCACATGGTCTTCTCTCTGTCCTTCTCTGTGCCATAATCTCCTCTTCTTATAAGGAAACTAGTCATATTAGGTTAGGGCTCACCCTAATGACCTCAGTTTAACTTAATCATCTATTTAAAAACACTATATCCAAATATAGTTACATTCTGAGGTACTGGGGGTTATGAGTTCAGCATATAAACTTGGAGGACAGCAACGCAGCTCATAACACACTGTGCATCATCGGGTCTGTGTCTGTGGCTCTGGCTCTGGCTGCTTTGACTCAGCCACTCCTACCTGGGATTTTTTCTTTTTTTTTTAGTATAAACGTTTTGATGACAATTTGACTTTGCCCCCAAATACAACAAACTAAAAAACTTTCAACTCTTAAAATGTGACAAAACAACAACCCAAGAATCCATCAATAGATGAATGGATAAACAAAATGTGGCATATACATACAATGGAATATTATTCAGCCATAAAAAGGAATGATGTCCTAGCATGTGTTACAACATGGGTGAACCTTGAAAACATTATGCTAAGTGAAATAAGGCAGACATAAAAGGATAAATATTGTATGAGTCCATGAATATACTTAGAATAGGAACATTCACAGAGACAAAAAGTTGAATGGTGGTTACCAGGAGCTGGGGGAAATGGAAAGAGGGGGAGTTATTTTTAGTGGGTACAGTGTTTCTGTTTGGGATGACAATTCTGGAACTAGATGGTACTGGTTATACAATATTGTGAATAATGCTGAATTGTATACTTACAAATGGTTAAAATGATAAGAAAAAAAAGTTACAGAGTAACATATAAGGAGACAACCTTTTTCTTGAGTCTCTGTCTGAAGTGTGGGGTGAGAATATGATGAGAGTGAAGGACAAGGAATGTGGTGGTAAATAGGCCAAGTCCTCAGCATCGCGAGGCATTTAAAATGCACGTGAAGTGCATTTCAGGAAGGGCCAGCCATCCCTATAAGCCAAATGCCTGTTAGTTTAAGAGAATTAACTTGTATCTTGAATGATCTATACTTCAAATTCTCAGATTAACCTTTGAAAGTTTAGGATGTTGAAGATATAATTTTGGAGCCATTGTGTGATTATTTTTTCTTACTTCCTAATAACCCAAGAAAGTCTCTCAAGTTTTCAACACTTTTTTTTTTTAGCACTCCTAGTAATGTATGTTATATTTAATATAATGAAACTCTTTCACAAGGATGATTATGGGTAAGGGGATTGATATCCTCTGAAAGGCTAACATAGTTATAAAGAACTTTTAAAACCTTTATTTAAAATAAAATTATTATGAATATAATATATTAGAAGTCCTCTTATCTAGTGTAGCTGAGACTTGAGGTTGGTTGATAAATTGAAAAATGTGGTGAAAGCCAGGATCATAAAAGTGATAACATGCATATCGTAAACTTTTTAACTTAAAATACACAAATGTACATTCATTCATTAATCTTTTCATACAAAAGCAAGGCTTTTCATTGAGTGTGAATTTGCTGATTGGAGTTCTGTTTGGTGTTTCTTTCCTAAAGGATATTCATAATTCCAAAATGCAGTTTCATTGCATTTAAAGTGGAGGAAGAAATTGAAATTTTTCATGAACAAATATGGAAACCTTCTAAATTTTTATGATCTCATTTCACCTAATTTAGCTAATTTTTTTCAACTTGGCTTTATGAAGTCTTTCCAAATATTCAACTTAGTTTCATAGAAATAGCCCGCTTTCTCTTCATGCTCGTATTTAAATATTTTATTAACTTATATAATTAAGAAAAGTACAATTGGCTTAACAGGTGGGGAGACAAATGGAGTAAACTTTTGGTAAGCATGTGGAAAGCCTGCTGATCTAAGCATTTGGATGCTATGGGCATCAGCCAGGAAGGTTTAGAAAGGGTATGGAGAATATTCATTCATTTGGCAAGTTTGCTGAGTGGACATTGTCTAAGGGAGTTTAAACTGTATGCGCTCCTAAAACCCATATAACACTGAAATGAACAAAGTAAAAGTCTTCCATAATAGATGGGTTGGGGGCAGAGGAAGTGATGTATATTGAACAGGATCAAGAGCTACTATGTTTAGGTACTTTTTTATGATCTACTTCAACATGGCCAATGTAAAGTACCTATACTCAAATGTCTCTCGAGTCAAAATGGGACATGAAATTGTCCTGATTCATGAAAATAGCCCCAAAGCAATGTCTTCTGTGGGCTCCCTGTGAACAGAGACAGTGAAGTTGCTTAGGCAACGCTAAGATTCTTAAGCATAGATATTGTGGACAGTGGGAGGATCTTCTTCTTTCTCCTTCCTTCTTCCTTCTTTCCTCTTCCTCTTCTTCTTCAGGATCTCCCTTCCTTCCTTCCTTCCTTCTTTCTTTCCTTCTCCTCCTCCTCCTCCTTCCTCTCCTCTTCCTCCTCCTCCTCTTTCTTTTTCTTCCTCTTCCTCTTTTGCCACTGCCGCCTTCTTCTTCTTCTTCTCCTTCTCCCTCTTCCTCTTCCTCCTCCTCCTCCTCTTCTTCTCCTCCTTCTTCCACTTCCTCTTCCTCTTCTTCTTTTCTTCTTCTTTCTTCTTCTTCTTTCTTTTCAAGGTGGGATCTCACTGTTTTTCCCAAGCTAGATTTGAACTCCTTGGCTCAAGTGATCCTTCTGCCTCACCCTTCTAAGTACCTGGGACTACAGGTATTAGCCCTTGTGCCTGGCTGTTTTTTCCCCACTTCGGAGTGAAAAAGAACTTATCACACATGGAAGGCATGTGCCTTTGGCAATGTAGATGTGACAGTTACCCTAGAAAATTCTAAGGCTCCTAGGTAGAATTAGGCCTGTGGGATTAGGCTTATGGCTCAAGGATGCAGCCCTGACCTTTTAGCGTCCTGACATTTTTTTTTTCCTCTTTGGCTACTTGCCTTGGCAAGAATTTTAGCCTTAGCATATGACTGGGTGTCCTAGCTTAGCTAGTCAATCTGACGAAGGGGTAATTTTTACCACCAGCTAGAAAGATGAACTTCTTCCTAAGGTCTGCTGAGTCTCAGCAGCTCAGAGAGAGCCACAGAGAATCACAGTTGTGAGCCTAGAGTGGAGGCAGCTCTCTTAACACCAGGCCTCCTGGACTCAACAGCTCTGTGGGGTTTTCTTAAGTGCATTGTGAAGGTATTGATAGAACTGAGGGGCTGGAGAGACTCATCTCTCCCAAAATTTGGCCTAAGGGTAAGGTCTAGCATTTAACTGTTGTGATCTCTTGTGATTCCAGGCAAGGAATCCATACAATAAGACAATTTATACCCCGTGCTCCCTGTCCTCCCAACCCCCCAACCCCCACCCCCACCACTTAATACTAGAAGAGTGGGGAATTCTAAACACTTAGTAAAAGACAGGAGAAAATGGTTCCTCATAAACCATCCTTGCCATCTTGTCCCTGTGGTCATATAATCACAATGAAAATTATTCATGGTTTTACAGTTTCATCTCCTTCCCACTTTATGAAAATTAAGATGAATATACACTTCCTATAAAGCAAGTGTGGTTTTATATTGCTCTGTGTAAGGTCCTAGAGGCTTTATACAAACACAGAAGAAACACATTTCACTCACCCAATATTTTGTATAATAGTAATAGGACAAAAAACCCACAGGAACACTCACAGTTTTACAAACCAAGAAGAAAATGTCACCAGCCATTGACTGTCATATATGAACATATTATTTGGCATGTAGCAGGCTGACAAATCTACAGCATCTACACAGTCAAGGGCTTGGTGTAATACAATTTCTCTAGGTTAAAATTAACTCCAATTTAACCTACACCAATGTTGCTAATTATTCACATCCTTATTGATGACAAGCAGATAAAAACCTCTAATTTCCAACTAGAGGTGTTATCTCAAAACGATGAGTTGACCAGATGTTTAAAATAGTTAGAGGCCTTTCTGGCTAGCACAGGGAAGATGGCACACATAGATATGTAGGACAAATCATCTTGGGAAAACAAGTTGGCCTAAGACATGCTGACTGCACAGGCTCCAACAGAAGAAACAACAGAACTGCTTAAGGCTCAGGTCTAATAGAGATTTGCTGGTTCTTCATTTTATTGTTTCTTTCTTCTAAATTTTTGAGATGAAGCTATTCAAGAAGAATGGGTATGCCTAAGTTAACAAAAAGGTTGAAAATGTTGAATATTTTCAAGAAAGCAACATTTTAAAGTCCCATTGTTGTTAGAATAAAAATATAGTGGGCATTGTTGAAGATACTATTTATAGAGGATGTTTATAAAACTGAATGAAATTTTAGACCTGCTGTCTGGAATTGGGGTAAAAAACTCAAATGCCTTCAGGGACAGTCAGTTGTCACAAATGAGTGAAACTGACTAGAAGTCAAATAATAGGAAGTAGTGGGAACCAAGGAAAGCAAGGGTTGCTGCTCTGTCAGGAGTGCAATGGGTGCTACCCAGCAACAGCTGATTGTTGCCAGGACAGAATGCAGGCCCAGTGTAATCCAATCTTTTGATTTTTCAAAGGAAATGCACACTCTAAAGAGAAATCTGGATTTTCATGTAAAATCCTCTTACATATAAATATTGGCAGCCAAATCAAAATATTAAAAGAAAGTTGTAAAACAAACAGTACACATCTATGGATGAAATTTAGTCTGATGACCTACAGCTTTGACCCCTGATAAATGCTTTAACAAGTTTTGGAGTAACATTCATGGCCATTAATCCAGTGATGTATGATCTTCTTAATCTTTTTTATCTTCAGCATTAAAAATTAATACAAAGCTTTTATTTGCACATTCTTTCTACATGTAGTCTTTCCAAACTGTCTTCCACACAGCAGCCAGAGTTACAACAAAGATCTTAACTGTCACCCCCATTCCCTGAGTTCTAAAACCTATGATGATTCCTTAGTGCCTGCAAGAGATTTTCCACACATACAATGACCTTTTCAATTTGAATTTAACCTATTTTTCTGAATTTATCTCTGGACATTGCTGCCCTGCCTCCCTGTGTTCTGGTCATACCAGATTACTCATCATTCCCCCAAACTGGAAGTCACTACCCACTTACGTGACTTTGCTAATGCTATTCCCTTCTCCTGAAATGCTTTTCCTCCCTATTCCTGGTCAACACCCAACTCAAATACCTCCTCCTCTTTTTAGTCTTCTCGGATTCAGCCATCCTCAAGAAGTTTAGTTATTCTGTGTTCCTATTAATGAAATGCATACTTTACTAGGGAACTTATGACATTGTAGTATACTGATTTGTTTTTGTGTCTGTATTTTCAGACAGGTAGTGGGCACACTGCAAGATATATCCTCAACTCTTAAAATTGTAGGTACAATTTTTTATTAACTCAAATTTAATACAAGGCTATATAAAAACAAATAAAAATGTTGCATATTTAATCCAACTGATGGACTCCCAAAAGATTGTTTATAAATAAAAATAAATGGAATCAGACTTTTATACTGGGAAACTTATCTAGAAGAGTTATTTTGTAAAAAGAAGAATGCATTTGAAATTCCCAAGGCTGGTCATACGTATACCTACTTATACATTGTGATTTGAGGGGACAGTAAACCTCCCAGTATTTTGGATCTGTCTAATATAGTGCCTGATGGACTTAATTACTCCTTAAGGGTGCACTGTTCAGCATGGTAGCCATTGACCACATGCGGCCACTTAATAAAAAGTTAATAAAATTTAAAATTTATCAACATTTTTCAATCACACTAGCCACATTTCAAGTGTCCAGTAGCCACGTGGGCTAGTGGTGATTATATTGGACAGGAGAGATATAGAATATTTCTATCTCAGCAGAAATTTCTATTGAAGAGCACTGTCCTAAGAGATTTCATCAAGAGATGGGAATTACAATAGGGGGAAAGGCAATTCATCTTCTGGTAAAGATGGTGAGTTAGCTGGTAATCACTCCTAGGTAATAGTCTGTATCAGGAGCCAGTGAAGTACAATCCATGGACTAAGTCTGATCCTCAACCAGTTTTGTAAGTAAAGTTTTATTGGAACACAATCATAACCTCTTAATTAACTTATTGTCTATGGCTGCTTTCCAGTTCAATGTCAGAGTTGAGGAGTTGAGATGAAGATTATGTTGTCTGCAAGCCAAAAATTTCTGGCCCTTTAGGTAAAAGTTTGCTGCTCTTGGTTTATATGATTGATTCCATATTTATTTTGCCACTAAATAAAAAAGATTAGGAATAGGGACTCTGATGAGCTTAGAAAAAAAGGAGAAAGAATGGAGGGAGGCTTCTTAGTGACTGAGATTGGGGAACTAAAAATGAACATATCCAACATTTACTTTGATACATCTGGAAATACCAATAATGACTTCTCAACATTGAAATTAAATAACAGGATGATAATTTAGGAAAATTTCACCCTTTAAATTTCTGTGCTACACAGAGCAACATGTTTAGTTTCTCTGACTAAATCATTAAAATCTTTGGGAAATTCTGGGATTAATAAGTATTTGTTAGATGAATGAATGAATGAATCTGTAAAATTAGGAATTAAAACAAAATGATCTCCAAGACGTCTTCTGGTGAACAGATTTATCTTGGTTGGAAATTTTACATGCTAGATTTAAAAAAAAAAAACAAGCTATATCTGAATAAAGATCCAGTTCCTGCTCTCTGAGATGACCCTGGGCAATGCTGAGGTAGACAGGCATCTCCAGGTTAAGTACATGCAAATCACACAAACTAACCCAGAAACACAGGCATCAACACAGCACACTGCTGACGGTGGGTACATTTTAGAGGTGAGATGTAAGGATAGCCTGGAGATTTTCACATTTAGATTTCATAGAGTGAAGGGCAAAGGTTAGGACACTTCTTAAGCAACCCAAGAGTCTGAGGAAGCTTATTCATTTTGAGTTGCTACTTGTGTGAGGGTCTGTAGTAATAACTGAGTGCCAAGTGAAGTGGGAGATGCTCTCTCTGTCCTAAAAACAGAAGGAGACTTGGTAATGCAGGATATTTTTTTGACCCCGTTGTGAGATTCGCGACAGGGGTGGCCTGTTTACTCAGCCCACCCTGTTCAACCCCTTGCAGGAGGCAGCGTGTGAACGAATGAGTGTGGGAACCAGAGTGAGCAAGTGCAGGAACCGGCCGGCTGCTTTAGTGCCAGCAGGAGCAAACTCCATGCAGCCCCTGTGGCAGTGTCCCGGTTGGGGGTGCTTATGACCCCAAGGCTCCAGAGGGTGTGTTACAATGCTCTCTTAGCTCCACTGTCCACAGACAGCAGAGTGTTATCAGCTTAGTGGGCTCTTTGCCTCCTCACATGGGGCAGTTGCCCTCCACCAGCAAGGGCAAAGGGCCAGTGAGACAGCCTTTTTGGGTACCCATACTTGGTGCATCCTGAGTTCTTGCCTGGTGCCCAAAAGGAATGAGGTCATGCAGATGAATTGAAAGATGCTGAATGTGGAGAACTTTATTGAGTGATCAAAGTGGCTTTCAGCAGAGAAGGGAGTTGGAAAGGGGATGGGAATGGCAGATTGCTCTCTCCTGAAGTCAAGCCACCTGTCTCCCTCTCTTCCAAAGTCAAGTTGCCTCATTCTGATGTCCAGCCATCATCTCTGAAGTCAGGTCACTTCTCCCTGATGTCCAGGTGCTTCTCCTCTCTACTGGCTGAGTCTGGGGTCTTTATAGGCACAGGATAGTGGGCAGGGGTGGGCCACAGGTAGTTTTGGAAAAGGCAACATTTGATTGGTAAAGACACTATTCAGAAAGAACCAATCAGGAGAGAGAGCGGGCACACACGGATGGAAGTTCTCACTTTGGGCCACTGGGTTTCAGGCTTTTCAGCTTGAAGGTGGGATTTTGCCAGGGACCTGCCCCTGTCTGCCTAGAGTTTCTCTGTGTCCTGTTTCTATCATTGGCAGATTCTTTGGGTTGATGCAACACGTGACAACCAGATACGGGGCTCAAATTCTCATCTTCCCAATAATTTTCCTTTATTTCACAGTTTGTGAAAATGTGCCTGAGCAACACCTCTGCTGTGGTGTGCCACAGGAGAGGCCTTGACAATTTGTAAAATGATAAGCCTTTTGTTATTGAGTTTCAGAAATTCTTTTGATTGGCTTTGTAGTCTCTGAAAAAAGATCAAGTCAGGGATGAAAATAAACACAAGACTTCAGGGAAATTTGTACTGTTCTGTCTTTGACATACTGACGTTGGAGCAAAATATAGGTCTTCTTTCTCAAGGATCGCTACTTTGATAACATTTACTATTACAAAAATAAACAGAAGTTAAGCCAGGAGTGGAGCGTTGCAAAACTTTTGCCAAGGGCATTGTTATATATTAAGCCTTATGTTCCTGTGAATCATTTCCTTCCTTCCTTCCTTTCTTCCTTCCTTCCTATCTCTCTTTCTTTCTTTCTCATTCTTTCTTTCTTCCTCTCCTTCCTTCCTCCCTTCCTTCCTTCCTATCTCTCTCTTTCTCATTCTTTCTTTCTTCCTCTCCTTCCTTCCTCCCTTCCTTCCCTCCCTCCTTCCTTCCCTCCCTCTCTCTCTCTCCTTTTCTTTCTTGTCCCTTCCTTCCTTTTTTCTTTCTCTCTCTCTCTCTCTTTCTTTCCCCATCTTTTTCTCTTCTTTCTCTCTCTGTCTCTCTCTCTCTCTGTGTCTTTCTCTCTTTCATTCTCTTCTGTCTTTCTCCCCACTTTTCTTTTGTCTCCCTCTCACTCTTCTCCTGGAAATATTCCAATGGATTACATAAAACACCTTCTAAAAAGCAGAAAGATATTAAATTGGACCATGACAGGTATAAGGTACAAAGAAATTCTTCAACATATCTGAAGGAAGGAAGAAATAAACAGAATCAAATTCTTGTTTACATATTGGCCAGCAACTCATTTTCCCCCCTTTGTGATGTTCTTTTTTGCCATCTTGGAGGTCCTTTTACTGTTGATATTTAGTTATTTCATCAGTTACAGTAATTGATATCTCTGCTTGGGATTATCACACAACATCAACATGTGGTTCTTGTGTAACTATGAAAACTTTGCAGATAAAATATCAAAAAGAATACATAGAAAGCTATTGGAGTTCTCAATTGTCTCCCCACCTCCACCCATTTCTCCAAATAATAGTTTGTCTTTTTATTAAGAAATTCAAAGATAGAAATATTTGTGACAGATTGAAGGAGAGATTTAAGTGAAGTTAATTAACTATAAATCATTGATTAAATACATTTTTTAATAAACCACACAGTTTCCTTTCTGCTGCTAATCACTAATTAACCTGAAATCATTCAGTTAAAAATCCCTACAAGTTTAATTTTGTTTTTCATCATTTAAACTAACCCATTTAATTAGAAGTTTACTCAATTTTTTAATATTCAGTAAAAAGATGGTGTCTGATGTGGTCAGGTAAAATTTCAATCTTTAGATTCAAAATTCTCAGCTGGATCACAGACTGATTTGAATGCACCACACGTGCTTTTCTGGAGTCCCCCGTTGGACACAGAGTACTAAGACAGACTCAAAAAAGCATAAACATTTATTAAATAAATATGTACCCTGGCTCTTCAGCAAATGACACCTTAAATTAGACATTTTTATAAACAAAGTTGAAAAATAAATAGAAGATGTGATTTTACCCAGGAAAATAATTTTAAAGTGCACTGGGGATTGGTGGTGGAAAGACTATTAACAAGCAATAAAATGACTGAAAGTTGAAGGGAGAGGAAATAAGAAGAACTGAACATGAAATGTTCCCAGATTATCAAGTTGTAGTTTTCGCATGTGTGTGCAAACACAAACTTGTGTGTATGTATAAATTGCACACCTTATTAATTTGAGGTTTCCAATACTTATAGTATATTAGACTAAGCTGGGCTCTGTTAGCATCTGCCCTCCTGACATTCTAGTCATTTAATACCTATGTACTGTACTCATCGCCTTGTCCAGGTCCTCCAATTACCACCCACACCTGCCAATTCAGCTGGGCTGGGATTGAATCCTATTTCCATAGAACTTTATAAAATCTCTCAGCCTGGGTCGGAGTTACCTTTGTTTTCTGAAGTGCTTTTCAGGTAGCAGGAAGTGGGGCTAAGTCTTGCTTTGATTGTGTGCTTGAATGTATTTTTTCCTTTTGTGGATCTCTGGGTTCTTATCCATCTGCCTTGCTCTGCTGTCCTTATTTTTGTGCTGCCTACCTTGACTTCTCACATGCTATTTGAATTCTGAAATAAAGTCTGGTCTGGAATTTGGTGCCTGGATGAGTCCTTGCTCCTGGATGCTTTCCTTATTCAGGGATCTCACCTCTGCCTGACCACATACTTCTGGGACAGGCCTTCCCTGTCTGTCGTCACACTTCCCTGTGGCTATCGTCCAGTCTTTATTCCTAGCCCTAACTTATCCCTTTGGCCTGAGTCCTTCTGGACTTGATGGCTTCCTACGGTCTCAACCCTGGTAGCCCCATACCCCACAGCATTATGGAACTCAGTTGTCATGTTACTGGCCTCCAACACCCCTAATCTTTCTGAGGCTTTTTTTTTTTTGTCTGCGATTGAGGTTAGACTAGTGTTCTTTGAGGTCCCTTCCAGATCTAATGCATGATGATTCTATCTACTTCAATCACAACCTAAAATAATAGGAATGGGGAGAAGGCTTTAACAAAACTTGTTATGACTAAGAACTTTATCCTGTGTGGATCAGGAGGAGGTGCCCATGCGGGTCTACGGTTTTCCTGCTATGTTTTTGGTCCTGACTTGCCTGAACAGCAGCGGGTATAGAAAAGGACAGTGAGTGACTTGTCCTGGGATTAGGGTTCAGCTTTGAGTCTCTTGCTCATGATCTTTCCTTCAAGACCTATAGGTCCCTTTTTATTGTTATGCTTTCCAAATAAGTGGTTTGTTTTCTTTCTTCTTTCTTTCTTTCTTTCTTTCTTTCTTTCTTTCTTTCTTTCTTTCTTTCTTTTCTTTCTTTCTTTCTTTCTTCCTTCCTTCCTTCCTTCCTCTCTCCCTCCCTCTTTCTTTCTTTCTTTGTTTCTTTCTTTCATTCTTTCTTTCTCCTTCCTTCCTTCCTCCCTCTTTCTTTCTCTCCTTCCTTCCTTTTTCTTTCTTTCTTTCTTCTTTCTTCTCTTTCTTTCTTCTTTAGTTCAACTTAAGCTTTTTCTTCTTCACTTAAAAAATCCACCCTGAGCTTCTCGACCTGTATTTGATACATGGTCCAGTGCTTTCATATTCTAGCCTCCAGGTCTGACTGTGGCAGGTGTACTTAAGCATTTAGGGATTTCTCCATCAATGAGGATCTTTCAAATGTTCCTGAGAGATAGTTTGAGTAGGTCAATAGCTAAGATGAAAATAGGATTTGGAATAACTAGAGAGTTAAAATTATTTTAAAAATAAGGAAATGTTGGCCAAAGACTAATGTATGATAATAGTTCTTTTATTAAAAGAACTGGTTATTTATGATAGCAGAAGGCAGCCTAATTTGTCTTTTAGTAATGTAAAAAACTACCCATTGAGAAGCCATGTTAGTTGATGAAATGCTATTCAGTTGTCCTTATTCATGCATTGTCTTTATTTTAATGACTTGGAAAAGCTTATTGAGAAAGATGTTCCAATAATAATTTGGAGGTAGGGACTAGGATTGTAGAGTTTGTTACATGAGAAAACCATGAAAACTTTGAAACAGTTCTTTTCATATTATTGTATAAAAATTGTGGGTTTATGCTTTGAGCAGGTTCACCCCCCTTTCATATAAAGAACTATAAAGAGTTGCTTTCTCTTTATCATGGGAGGATATTATGTTCTGTTTATTCACCTTCATAATAATCACATAGGTCTTCTGAAATAATTGTAATGCACGGCTTTCAAAGTAGCCTAAAATAGAGTATATAGAATTTCACAAAATTTGCAAGGTGGTTTCAAATACCATTCTCACCATTTTATAGTTTGGTAGAGTGGAATGGTGCAGATTATGATTTTAGGTGAGTTTCTCCAGTTGTCTTCTAGTAACAATCAAGTTATAAAGAGATACCATTCTGTCTCCTAGAAATTTCAGCTTGATGCCAGCACTAGAGCGTGTATTCATGTTCCTTTTAAGGTGTATAAAATTGGAACGCTAATTTTCATCCCTGACCTGTACTCTATTAATTTCTCATGTAAAGTGCCGATCACAGTGCCAGATACAAGAGCAGGTACATCATAAACTCTAGTTTCATTTCTCCTTGCTTCACTTTCAGGTACTCTAAATACCAAAAGACTCTGAAAAGAATGCACATCTTAGCCTCCTTAGCTCCCTAGAAAATCATATCCAGCATGAGTTCAGATCAGGTGATATTCTGGAAAGCTTGGAAAGCCTCAGATTTGTCCGTTACTTGGAGCATTAAAAAATCCTAGCATGTTCCAGGGTGGGACTCTTGCCAAGACCATGTGCCTGAGAGGTTGCCAGTGCACAGTAGGATGTTTCTCAGCTTTTGAATGTGTTAATGACCATGGAATGCTATTGTGTAGATCAGCCTGAAAGTACTGTTTAAGAAAGCAAGATCACAAACGATGCATTTAAGTAAGTCATTTCTTTGCACTATATTGGTTATTCATAAGTTGCATCAAATTGAAGATACAAGTTCACAAAAAGTAAATTGATCCTAGATTTTAATCGAATGCAGGCTAAGTAAATGCTTATCTTGGAACTATATTTCTATTTCTTTATGAGAATATTAGAGTTAAAAGTTTGTTACTTTAATATAGTATAGTTGATTTAGTAGTAAAGATTTGGAAAAAATTAAGTCCCCAAATATAACAAGTACTAATATATTTAAAATATAGAAGAAGATTTTTTTTTTTAAAAAAAGGTGTGGCTAGCTGAGTAGTTTTTGAATTACGTTAAGCACACGTTGCCAATGTTTATTAGTAAAAGTTCAAACCTGTGACATATTTGTTGGCTCAAATACAAATACACAAAACTTCAACTCAAATATATTTTCTTGCACGACAAAAATCTGACTAATGAAGCAACAACAAACATCTTTTGGGAAAGAAGGAAAATCGAGTTAAGAAAAGATGGGGAAATATTTTTTATTGTCCACTAGATGTCAGTACTGAACTGGCAAAACATCTGTGCCATGGTGCTCTTAGACAACATGCTATTAATTTATAATAAAAGGTATCTGACAGCTTTATTCTGATGAATTATGGGAATCCAAAGCATAATTCCCAGCCTTTGGTTTATAAATTGTCATTGATTTTAATGTTCTTTGTAAAGTTGTGGCATGCAACAAATTTTCCTGCCAAGAGCTGTTAAATAAATAGTCATCCTTTGCTCTGAGTAGTACATTGAACTTGTTAGACTGATGAGCAGAACCAATTGATGGTTATCCATAAACCATTTATGACAGATGCACAGCAGCAATTCAAACAATTATTGAATGCATTCATTATGTATTTTTAAAAAAATCTCAAGTGAACCAAAAGGAATATCACAGGTAATAGACCGTAGCAATGCCACACAATTCTTTATGAGCTACTTCCTGATTGACAGGTGACTAGAATTGTTGTAGGATTTTCTGAGGGCTCATCAAACCTCACTGGAATTATTTGGTTTTCTCTATTGTGCGATTTGGCATCCCAAAAGTATATTGCATGCCTTTTCTAAAGAAAGATGGTTATTGTAAAGACAGAAGCTTTTGTTCATGTAAAGATCTCTTACAAACTGGCATGAGAACAAAAGAAAGCTTATGCCTGAGATATAATTTCAGTGCATTTGGAGATTCAGTTTATGTATATGGGAATGTGAAATTTGGAGGTCTATGATGACCAGTAAGTACTTAATCACTTTAAGCAAAGGTTCTATCTCCTAGAAAAATTCTCCACTGGCCTTATGCTGTTGTATTTGATTTCACTCTCTGAAAACACTTAACATCCTTGGCGGTTTTCAGAAGGACCCTCGTTTGCCTTTGTTCTTTGTTTGAAACTGTCCCGCATGTTCTGTTGCTATGTCAGGGACCACCTCTCCTCCCCAGAAGTGGCTTTCAGGGATGTAGCCTCCAGTCTGTTGTTTGTACAATGTTTTAAGACTTCTTTGGGATCAAAGTAAAGTGACCTAAGCATGTAAAATTCTGTTAATGGTGCTATTTGTAAAAGTACACCAGCAGACTACCTTTAGGCACGGTTAAGTAGTGAAACAGTACATTAAAGACTGAGGAGCTGACTCTAATGTTCTATCCTTGATTTCCTTTTTTAAAATCTATTGCTCTAAATGTTGTGATATGCCAGGAGTGCACAAGCTGGACATGTCTCCCCAGTTTCTCTTTGAAAAGGATAAGTCCATGGGCTGAGGACCTCTGATCATACTCTGAATTCCTCAAAAAAATTGGAAGATAGTATTCATTTAGTGTCGTGTTCTTCAGATTTAAAAATAAAATATTCTTTTTAAGAAAAAAACATTAGGAAGACTGAGAGCTTGATACACATATGGCTGCCTTTTACAAGTCATTATGATCTGTCATATAAATACTGTATTTACTGACATTTCAAAATGTGGACTCTAATCTCCACACACATTTATTTTTTTAATAGTTGCTTTTCATTGCAAGCTTCAGTCCAACAAATAACATGAGAAAACATGCAACATGGTCCATAGGTTCGACTATCAATGTCATTACTCTTTAAAAAGCTCAAAGACAGTCGAATTCAGAGTATAAAGCATTTAAACCTAAATCCAGTTAAACTAAATGGAGTGGGGTGGAAAGTTAGTGAGAGGAGTCACTTTGAGCCCTGATACAGTTCTTCACTGCAAGGGATGAATGGTAGCTGTGTATTGCCGTGTATTTTTCCAAAGCTATTTTAATACTGGTTCCTTTACCTAACTCTCAGACTTTCACCATCTCTTCTATTTATCAACAGCGAGAACTCTTGAGCTGCATTAATCAGCTGCAGTGGCATTTCAAACAGGCAGTATTACTCTATGCAGTTACCAGTGTTTAAAAATGTACATTCTTTGTCCAACATTGTGACCACCTGTGGCCAATCAATTTGATCCATAGACTCAGCAGCTTTTTCTGTGCCGAGGGTAACTCGAAAAGACTGTTTCTCAGGCTAATGCTTCTGGGGACCATGGGCTCAAGCAAAAATTGGGTGTGGTGAAATGGGGATGGAGTAAAATAGTCTTTTAGAATTTTGTTGAAAACTTGTGTGACTAGTATTTTGGATAATTTTTACTCATGCAAATTATCCATATAATTCCCTTGAAGTAAATACTGTAAAAATGTTGCATCTAAAAGTGACTAAGGCTAAATAAAATAACTGATCAAATCTAGAGAGGAAAAAAAATAATTCTTTTGACGAACTGAAATGTTCATTTTTCAATCAGTTTATTTATTTAGTCACTGAATATATATCAAGCTCCTGCAACAGGCCGGGTACTATTTCTTGCACTGGGAATATAGAAGTGGAGAGAAAAAAAGTTTCTTCCTTCCCTGGAGCACGCATTCTGGTGAAGGGAGGCAGACAATGAACAAATACATATAAAATAAGTCATCAGGGGTGAGATGTGCTGAGGCAACAAAGGTGAAACAGGTCAAGAGGGTTAGAGAATGGGGTTCTCAGATGTCTACCATAAGGGGCTTTCTCTGAAAGAGCATACAGATTTGGGTTGTGTGCTCATTTAGAGAGAAGCACCTTTGGTAGGCATCTGAGCAGAAACCTGGAAAAAGGGATTAAGCTGGCCCCTGTAGCTAACCAGGGAAGGAGGATTTCAGGCAGAGGAAACAGCATGTGTAAAGCCCTGTGGCAGGGACAGGCTTGGTGTGGGAAAAGAAGAACAGAGAGGTGAGTGTGGTTAGAGCGTGTGAGTGAGGGGAAACTTCTGCCATATGAGGTGGGAAAAGTACGAGGGAACGTGGTCAGATGACGTAGACCTTTATGAGATAGCGTAAGAACTCCAGCTGTTTGTTCTAAGTTATCTGGAGAGGGCTTAACGGAGACAAGTGAAGAGAACTGACTTACACCTTAAAGAACTGCTGTTTGCTCTGTAAAGGTAGCGAGGTGGGAGATAAGGGAACTAATCAGGAGCTCATCTGGGAAATGATTACAATAATCCAGGCAAGAGATAATGGTGGCTTTGCCAGTGTAGCTAGGGAGACACGGCCAGATTCTGGCTATATTTTGAAGGAGAGCCAACAAGACTTGCTGATGGGTTGGAGGGGATGAGAAGAAGGGAGGAGTTAAGGATGACTAAGGATTTGGCCTGAGCAACTTCCTAAGTGCTCGTGCTATTTGCTGAGTTGGGGAACACTGGAGAGGATCAGTTTTGGGAGTTTAAGGAAGAATCAGGAGATATTGAGAGGCAAGTACAGTAGTCCTCCATTATCCACGGTTTTACTTTTTGTGGTTCCAGTTATCCACAGCACAGTACAATAAGATATTTTGAGAGATAGAGAGACCATATTCACATAACTTCTCTTACAGTATATTGTTGTAATTGTTCTATTTTATTAATTATTGTCATTAATCTCTTATTGTGCCTAATTTATAAATTAAACTTTATTGTACATATAGGAAAAAATGTAGTATATGCAGGGTTTGGCACTGGTTTCAGGTATCCACTGGGGGTCTTGGAAGGTATTGTCTGCAGACGAGGGATGACTGTAAATATACAATCATGAATTTAGGGACAAAATCAGGTTTTATCGGTTTAGTGATATCACATAGTGTCATGGGACTGAGTGAGATAACTTGGGAGGAAAGGGAGAACAGGTGTGGAGCCTTAGTGCATGCCAAGTCAGATGTCATGAGGAAAAGGAAAACCCAGCAAAGGACACATTGCAAGAAGAACATTAAGAAAGTGGGAGCCTAGAACAGTGCTTCTCAAAGTGTGGTCTGTGGACTTGTAGCAGGTATGGGCTGGGAGCTCTTTAGAAATGTAAGCACTCAGACCACACCCAAACTCACTAAGTAAGAAACTCTGGAGGTGGATCTCAGGAATCTGTGTTTTGTTTTTTGAGATGGGGTCTCTCTCTGTCACCTGGGCTGAAGTGCAGTGGCACGATCATAGCTCACTGCAGCCTCAACTTCCCAGGCTCAAGTGATCCTCCTACCTCAGCCTCCTAAGTAGCTGGGACCACAGGCATGCGCCACCATGCCTGGCTAATTTTTTATTTGTAGAGACGGGGTCTCTCTGTGTTGCTCAAGCCTCTCCTGGGCTCAAGTGATCGTCCTGCCTCAGCCTCACAAATGCTGGGATTACAGGCGTGAGCCACTGCACCTGGCCAGGAATCTGTGTTTTAACAAGCTCTCCAGGAGATTCTTTTACCCAGTGAAGCCAAACCAAAGGAGATGTTTCAGGTGTATCAAATGAACAAAGGAACACTATTTGAAGGACTCATTTCAATTTATTTAATTAAAATATCAAATTTATTTTATACTTCAATTTATTCAATATGAAACATTAAAATTTCTTCATCTTTGAATATATTTTTGTTAGGCAGTAGAGCACTGTATTTAGTTAGGAATAGAATTTGGGAATCTGTATTCCAAAATGAGTTCAGAGATCCAAAATAATCAGCTAAGAAATATCATTGCTGAAGGTGTCAATAGCATTAATTGGGATATACATCACTGCTCAAAGACCTATTTGGATTCTAGATCAGCTCCTAGAGTCCTGATTTTCCACAGCATATGATAATCAAAATAGTGGCTAAACTCCCAAATCTCCTGATTTTAGCCCCATATGTACTGTAAATGCATTGACCTTACCCTTATATCAGAGATCATGGAGGAATTGTTGACCTGGGGCATGAATTGAATTACATTTTTTTTTTTTTTGTATGTGAGTACAGGTTGTGGCCTGACTAGATTTCTCTCATATAGGTTGCCCTTCATCACTCAGCAGTGAAGAATGAAAATCAACAGAGCTTTCCCCAGCCTGCTGCTTAAGCAGCTGCTAGCAGGCTGAGGCTGCCCAGCCTCATTAACCCATTAGATGCTGCGTTCGCCCGGGAGTCATTCTTAATGAGGCTGCTGCAGGTAAGCCAGACATGCACCAAAATGTTAGGGCATTAAATTAAGACTCTTAAATGTGGGACCTATAATAGAGTTGTTTTTATGTCAGAAACAGATACATCAGAGAGCACTCTTAAGGCGAGTAAAGCAAATGATACTATTACCATCTGTGAATCTATAGTGCTTTAAAGATGTTGGAAATTTTGAATTCAGGAGGCACTTGGAAGCTTGTCATTTTCCCAAACATCGTGTCCCCCTAATTAGCAACTCTGTTCTCTAGAATAGGCACCAGTGTACAGAATCAAGTCAGATTTCATATCACAGCTGAAAGGACTCTTGATCCTCTAAACTTCCTGGTTCACAATTTTCTCTGGATAGAAAAATAATGATTGTAAGCAAAACTAAACAACAAAACTAAACACCACTTTTTTTATAGCCCAGAGGAAATGAGGATTTCTGTTTGTGCCAACAAAAATTTTTTGCAGTGATGGCAGTAAGACTTGGGAAGCAAACTGTGCCACATAACTGACCATGGATACTCTGGCTATGGGTGGATTTTTAAGGTCTCAGATTAATGTGTACTTGTGATTGAGTTTTTGACAAGACTCCTAGGGTCCAGTGTTATAACTTCCTCATCCCTAAAATCTTGCAATTCCCCTTTACCTCTTAATTCGAGTCTCCTTTTATTGGAGAAAATAATTGCATCTATCTCTCTACTTCTTTCATGTGCCTTCTTCTGTTTTTCCATTCCAATCAGGTCTCTACGAATATCTGATATTTTTAAAAAATTAAAAAATGCTGCTCTTCTTTATTGTTGCATGATATTAGAGAGAGAAAGCCATACGTTTACGTTTTCCTGTTCAAGAATATGCTGGATAAAGTTAGCCATCCTTTCCCAGGAGCATGAATGCTATTAATATTTTAGATTGTAATCTAATAAAATTTCATCTTATCCTATTGCTTTTCTTAACCACCCCCCAGCAATCAAGTACATAGTCTTAACATCTGAGGCTAAGAAAAAAGGAGTTCATCTATTGCACAAGTGTTTTTCAATACATTTTTTAAAACTTGGAGGAGATGGTGGTGGGGGGTGGTGGTGCTTCATGTAATTTTATAGGACCTCTGAGGCCCAGAGTTTTTAAGTAATCTTTTTTGATGTTTTTAGACAGACCATTAAGCTGAGGATAAAAGTCCCTGTGTTCAATATCTGGATACATTAAGCATTAGGTTTAAAATTTACAGCTTTCATTTTGACAAGAAAAATGACACGTTTGGTCTCAAGTGCTACCTTGAACTGTTTTTCAACACGGAGACAGATTGTCAGGCTGAGGGTGGAGGTCTGTGCTCTTAGTCCCTGAGACGCTCCATGGGGTAAACTGCTCCAAGTCATCAGGAAATGCTGACTGAACCCTGGGCAACTGGCTGGTGTCTGGTGGGGGCAATGGCAGAAAGCCACCTGGATGCTTATCCCCTCATGGGTTGAGGTCTACTCAAATGCCTTCTTCTGTAAATGCAATTGATCCAAAAGAGGAAAAGAGTGAGCCAGACAAGGAGAATGTCTACATGTAGGGGTGGACTTCAAAATACTTCCATTTTTATTCTGCCCATAAGAAGTTCTTCAATGGATCCTCTTTTTCCTCTGACAAGTTAAAGTGCATCTGGGGACTAGGACTTCAGGGAGTTGTCTGAACTAAGTGACACGTAGGGGTAGAAGGTGGAGGGGAAGTCAGGGAGACTATGCTGGGCTGTAGGAGCAGTGAGTAGGTAGGTACAGAAATTTGAGGAGAGTGTGGTGTGATCCAGGAGATGCAACTAGTATCAGAACTATGGATAAAGATATAACTCTCCTGCCTCCCCTTACTCCAACAGAAGAGGGAGGCTGGAGAGGTGGGCATGGAAAAAATGGAAAGAGTTTTCTAAGCTAGGATAAGGAATGTGAATATTACTTCGAAGACAAAAGATGGAGATGGCAAGATTAGATGTTGTTTTTGGAAAACGAGTGGTGCTTCTAGGTGCAGAACAGACTGGGGTGGTAGGACCGACAGCCTAGCTGGGAGATGCCTGCAGGAATCCAGGGTGGAGGTGATGAGTTGGCGGAGAGCTACCCTGTGGCCAGGGAGGACTGGCATTGTGGGCACAAAGTGGGGCAAAGGAGGCAGGCATGAACAGTATTCTCCAATGGATCTGATGGGATTTGATGATGGATGTGGAGGGTGAGGGAAAGGGCCATCTGGTTTCCTTTCTTTTCTCAATTTCCTGAAGATCTGGAAGGGCAGGGAAGAACCCCACCCTCCCATTCATGAAATGGAGGCTCCCTCTCTTTTTCACATCCTCCCCTTCCTACTTCTTTATGTCTACTTCTCCCTTACCCCTCTCTCTAAGCCTCTGAGGGAATGAAATACTTCTATCCACTGGGTTTCTGTCTATCTCTGCCTATTTCTGCTCTTCATTTTTGTTTTTGTTTTTCTGCTACAATGATACTACCTGGATTTATAATATCTTTATCCTATTTAAAGCATTACTGTAAAATATTTACACTCAAAATTTGATACCTATTCTTTCTCTCTCTCTCTTTCTCTCCTCTTGTTTGCAAATTTGTCCCTCTTCCTATAGATACACTTCAATGCATGGGAGACTTACATCCTGTGAATTCTTTCTGTATGAAGAGCTTATGTTAGTGGCAAATAGTGTGATTATGCAAAATACACACATTCAATTCAACATTCATTCCTGGCTTCGTGGTTTTAAAGAAGTCTTGCATAAAGAAAATATCAACTGACAGCACAATAAGCCTTAATTGATTTTGACTTCATGTAGTATCAGATCTGCCATGTCCAGAATGGACAGACAATACAAGTGATGTAACTATAATGATGGCAAAGTCTGAAAGGAAACTCACTGTGTTAGTTTGTGTGTAGGTGTGTGAAGAGGGGGTTACCAAGAAATACAGTCACTTAAAACTTTCAAATAGCAAGCCTTTGTTTTAGCATTAGATTCTCAAAGTTTGTGTTTGTAAAGCATGATTGATCCAAAGGGCTTGCCCTCAACCTCATCTATTTGCATAAATGATAGGAAAATTCAGGTCTTTGCAAATCAGAATAAATTCTTCACCTCACTGCGCCTCTATGAGAGAACAACAAATATACTGAAAATGAAAATGACCATGAATTAAGAAATTCCCCATGGCATTTACCCCCTTTAGTAATATTATCACAAAAAATAACTTAAATAACCTGAGTCCAAGTATTTTCCCAATAAACAGGATAAAGAAATGTTATCCAAATCCAGAACATTATGAAAATATCAGAAACACCTATGCACTTCACTCTCTCTGGCCTCATCGAGGCAATGACACACGATCAATTTGAAAAAAAAAATCCACCACACGACTGGACTGTTGTTTTGAAGCTTTTATTTCTGTTTTTATTTTCTTCAAATATCTCATGAAAAGGATAAGTTAAGATAAAAAATGAGGGCAGTACATTTGTATTTTTAAAAATCTGTGGAACATCCAATATCTGTTCTGCATAAACATATTGGACTGTTGTCTCGGACGTTTCACCCGGAAAAACATGAGCATGCCTCACATTACAAATGCTGTTCAAATATTTTCCAGACACATAAAAGAGAAAATATCATCACAAGTAATGAAAGTGAATCAGGGGAAAAAAAAAAGGGAGTATGGCATTTGGACAGACCCAGTGAGAACACAGAGAGGGAGAGACAAGGAAGGAAAAAAGATCTTAAACACAGATGTAGGCAATTGATCATATAGAGATTCTCTTCTAAGCTTAGTTTTCATATCATGTTTTGAGTCTGCTTTATCATTTGTCTTCAGCCATACTGGGCCTCCATGCCTTTCTTTTGTCTCAGAAATATTTGTAAAGGAATTTTTGTAAAATATACCCAGAAATAATTGGTAAAAGAATAAAAAGTGTTTCTGAAATTCAGAAAATTTGATTGAATTAAATATTTTGGGAGCCTGAGAAGAAGAAAGGCTTACTTAATTAAAATTCATTTTTGGAGGATTTCCTTGGGAAAGTTGTCTGTGTGATGATGCTGGAAGTATGAAATACACTCTAATCTACCTTGCAGAAGTTCTATGACATGCAGATAAAGTTGGTGAAGCATACATATAGCAATGTAAAATATATACCTGTGCATGCACGCACACACACCAGCCTTATAAATACCCAGAATGATAGGCCTAGCTTATTTAAGTCAATGAGAGAAAATACTTTAGTCTATTAAATATGTATGTTACAATTTCAGATAAATGGTACCTTTTATCTTACAAAAAGGAACTTTTCTCTCCCAAATTATTAAATCAGTGTTTAAAACTATTAGAAAAGCAATGCTTAGCCAAAGTGCTATCCCACTTACCATTTGAAAAAAAAGTTACCAGGTATTTATCCACCTAAATTATGTTAACTCCTTAATTTAGACCAAAGTATCAGTTGTAAGCATGTTTCCAGTGGCTGCCTAGCCTGCCACACTCCTTTGACAAATGACCCCTCCTAACCCTGCTCACGCTGTGGCCCCTGGCAGCCATGTCTGCATTTTTTGACACCACATCTCAAGCCATAGCTGATCAGGTACTTACCTAACCCAGGCTGTCCTGGCAATCTGCAACTCAGATGCAGGAATGTTCATTAGCTCATGAGAGTGTTATCAGTCAAGCATGAGCATAGGAAAGCACAGCATAAGGATGCCCAGAGAGAAAAAAAGAGTATGTAGTGGAAGCCATGTAGTCTCTCTCCTTCCCTCTCTCTCACACACACACGCACACACACATGCACACACACGAACACATGCACACACACACATGCGCACACACGCACACACGCACACATGCACACATGGGCACCGCTGGGCTTTCTACCTCAGGGTCTTTATGCCCATAGCATACATCTCCTTTATTGATTGAAGCTGCTTGCAATGGCTTTCTGTTACTTATAACAACAACAGAATCATTGATCAAGAAAAATGGAAAGAAGGAAGAGAGAGATACTGGAGCAGGTAAGCTCAGTATGGTGAGAATATGCACAAATAGAAACCCTTTAAGAAAAGACGGGAGGAAATTCTGTATCTATGACCCTCTAGGCCTTCAAGGGTGAAGACAGACTCCCAGAAACCTATTCTTCCCTATTCTCTTCCTTTCCCCAGCACTCATGGACTGGTCCCAACTATCTGCCTGGAATCCAGGAATAATCTCATATGTCCTCTCTCCATGATTATGTCAGCTACTACAAAACCTCCCAGGTCACCCTCCTCTCCTATCCTTTAAGTCCCAAGAGCTCCCTAGCTCAGTGGTTCTCAGGCTTTAGTGTTTATCTGAATCACCTGAAGGGTTTGTTAAAAAAACAGTTTGCTGGGCCAGAATTCGTTTCTCATTCTGTAGGCATGAAGTCAGGCCTGAGGATGTGAATTTTTTCTAACATGTTCCCAAGTGATGTTGATGTTTGTGGTCCCAGTGAAAAACCACTGCCTTATTCAGTTCACTCCTCCCCAAGTCCTAAAACTCATCTACTGTGCTCTCTGAATTCAGAGTCTGTTGAAGGCAAAATCCCCCATAGCTTCATCCTCTTTCACCTTTTTGCTCTAAGGAGAAGTCGACTCCTCCCCAAGGTCACATTTTCCCAACAGCCTCTCTAATGGTGGCTGCTTTTCCTCCCAGCTCTATACCAAAGACCTGAAGGTGGGGTAGACGTTGTCCTGTGTCCTCATTGCTGCTTTCAGACCTTTCTCTCTACCTCCTTCCTAAAAACAACCAACCACGAATCTTAGGCTATCACATGATGTCAACCCTTCCCCTCATCGTTGCTGCCAGTTATGGATTCCTGGGATCTTTCCTTTGATTTCTTGGTGATAGAAGACTCAAGTTCAGTCTCTCTACTAATATCCCCGCCTTAATTATTGTAGATTTCAATGGATGTACATATGATCTTTCTACACTTTGGCCTTGAGTTCCTTAACTATCCCTCTTCCACAGATCTTGTCTTTCACCTTATTAGGTACTATTTTGTGGTCATACCCCGGACCCCTTCATAACCGATATTTCAAACATTCTACTCTCTGACCGCTGTGTCTTACCTTTTCAGTCCACTCTCTCTAGTATTAGGGCCTCAACAGTCCCTTGACCCTAATAGGACCTCTGATCTTTTCATTTTACCTTCTTTTTATTGACCTCACATTCTTCCAGATTAAATTTTATGGTTAATTGTTGTAGTCACTCCCTTGAAAACACCCTCCATTCCCATGCTCCTGCCTCATTGTCTCACTCACTTGGCAGATCCACAATCCTGGTTAAATCCAACTCTCTGCCTACTCTGTGTCTGCAACCCTGAAGCTAAAACTGTCTGGAGAAAAACTCACAGCCACACAGACTTTAAATTAGAAGTGGGCCCTTAATTCTGCAAGGCAATCATACTAGATGTTTTTAAAAATTCATTCTCCCACACCCTTGATAAGGATTTAAAATACTTTTCTCTTTTCAAATCCCAATAAGAAAATTGGAACATTCACAGGAGGATCTACAGAGATTATCATCACCACTTCAATCCATCTGCTGCACCTGCCCCTGCACACTTTGACCTCCTGCTGAGTAGGAGGTCATGGTAATGGGTGGACAATCCATGTCCCTATCTCAAGTCAACCCCTCTGCTGTGCGCTAGAACTCATCTTCTCTCACTGGATTGCTTGAGAAATTCTCCCTTTCTATATTATATTATCCATCTTCTCCACTGTATCATCACACAAAAATGATGTTACTTCTCTCAAAGTAAAAAACTTTCTCTTGATCTATCTTTTCCCACCAGCTTGCTGCCCCATTTTGTTGCTTCTATTTGCAGCAAACTGCTTAAAAAATTTATCCATAGTCAGATCTCCAATTTGTCCCTCCGTATTCTCTCTTTAACCCACTTCAATCAGGCCTTTGCCCACATCGCTCCAGCAAATCTGCTTCCCTGAAGCTCACCTGGATCACCATGCATCATGATGAAATCTCTGCTTTAATCTTAGCCTATCAATAGCATTTGAATCACCCATCTTTCTTATTTTCTTCACTCCTATTCCAGGCACCACACTTTCTTGGATTTCTTCCTACTTTACTGAAAGCTCTTTCTGGGTTTCCATTTTGGTTCTTTCTCTTCTCCTTCCTCTTTTCATGGGGAGCCCCATGGCTCAGCCCTTGGAACTCCTTTCTTTTTGTTCCACTGTCACTCTCTTGGTGATCTTATTCAGCCTCATGGCTTGAAATATTATATATACATGTGTTTATAGTGCTATGGAAAAAACCTCTGTCTCAAATTCTAGACTACTCTGGTCAAACATCTATCAGACACATCACACTCAGTTTTCTAAGACTGAACTCCTCAACTCGCCTTCCTCCTGCCCCACCTAAGTGCTTTACTAACTGCTTTCCCTTCTCAGCTGATGGCAACTCCATCTTTCCAGATGCTTCATCAAAATTTTGTGTTTGATTCTTTTAAGTCTTTCAGACCCCACATAAAATGAAATTCTGTGCTCAACCTTCAAAAATATCCATGATCTAACCTCTTCTTTCTACTGCTACCACCAGATTACTGTCATCATTTACCTCGATTAGTTGGCTTTCTGATATATCTCATGCTACTGCCCTGTTTCCTAAACTCTAGCCCCCCCAAATAGCATCCAGGACCCTAGTAGCTGGAGAAATGTGGACCCAGGATGCAGTGCCCCAAGAGAAGACTATGGCAAGGAGGAGTCTGGGTCTAGCGAGGGCTGCTGAGAGCTTCATTCCATACCATTGAACACTTTGAACCCAATGCAGCCGCTCACCTCCAGCTGCCTCCCTCAATTGTACTTACCGTATCACTAAACACTTTCTTTTGTTTTCATTTCTTTGTTTAATTTTGCATATTGGTTACACAGTTATGTTATATATTATAATTTTACGGGTTTTGTTTTTGTTTGAGACAGAGTCTCACTCTGTAACCCAGGCTGGAGTGCAGTGGCACAGTCTCAGCTCACTGCAGCCTGAACCTCCCAGGCTCAAGCAGTCCTCCCACCTCAGCTTTCCAAGTAGCCAGGACTACAGGTGTGCACCACAACACCTGGCTAATTTTTTGTATTTTTGGTAGAGACGGCGTTTCACCATGTTGCCCAGACTGGTCTCGAACTCCTGGCTTCAAGTGATCCTCCTGCCTCAACCTCCCAAAGTGCTGGTATTACAGGTATGAGCCACTGACCCCAGCCATATATAATATATATATATAATATTTATATATATTATATTTATATATATTATATATAAATATAATATAATATATAAATAATATATATTTATATATAATATGTAATATATATTATATAATAATATGTAAATAATATATATAATATATATATTTCATATATATTATATAATATATATTACATAATACTATATATTTTATATATAATATAATATAATATATTATATATATTTTATATATATAATATAATATAATATATATAAAATATATATAATATTATATATTATATAATAATATATTATTATATATAATATATATATTTTATATATGGAAGAGTAAATATTATATATATATATTTAATGACAGGGATCTTTTTTTTTTCTTTTCAATCTAGTACCTACAAACTCAGTAAATGCTCAATAAGTTGTTACAATTAATTTCAGTAGGAGTAGCCATTATGGAAAATCCAACCCAAATGTTAGAAATGACCATTTTCCACTGCCTTGGAAAGCAGGATTATCCTCCTGGTTTTTTCTTCTTTATCTGTGTGGGATAATGACAGTATTGGTTCAACACCTTTCTAAGCAGTGAACTGTATAATTCCCATGCTTCAGTGTGTTTGACATAGTCAAATTCTACTGCTTAAAAATAAATACAAGCGATAAAATTATGCTCCAAAAACAAAACAAAAAGAGCAGCCAGAGTAATTCTTTTAAAATAAAAGTAAGATTGTATCACTGTTCTATGTAAAACCTTGTAATGACTCCCCACTTTTCTCATAGTAAAACCGATATTCCTATTATGACCTGGGGTAGCCAGTTTCTAATATGGTCTTCAATGATCCCAGACCCCTGGAACTTGATATGTAATTTCCTTGCACATTGAATGGCCCTTACCTGTGTAAATAATTGGATATTGAAGAAATGATAATGTGTGCCTTCTGAGGCTGGATTGCAAAGTACGTTATATCATTGGCCTCTTTTTCTTGGATCAGTTTTTCAGAGAAAACCATGTACATTTTGTGAGAATACTCAAGCAGCCCCATGGACCTGTCCAAATAGCAAGGAACTGAAGCCCTCTGACAAGAACCATGTGAATGAACCATCCTAGAAGGAGATCCTCCAGCCCCAGTCAAATCTCCAAATAACTTCCCCCACAGTCAATATTACAACTGCATCCTCATGGGAGACCCTGAGCTAGAACCACCAGTAAGCCCCTTCCAAATTCTGAAACCTTAGGAATTGTGTGAGATAATAAATATTTACTACTATTTAAGCTTTCTAAAAGACATAAAAAAGAATAAAATCATGTCCTTTGCAGTAATATGAATGTAGCTGGAGGCCATCATCCTAAGTGAAGATGGAAGAGAAAACCAAATACAGCATGTTCTCACTTATCAGTGGGAGCTAAACATTAGGGACATATGGACATAAAGATGGCAACAGTGGACACTGGGGGCCACTGGAGTGGGGAGAGGGGGAGGGGAACAAAGGCTGAAAAACAACCAATTGGGTACTATGCCCACTACCTGGGTGATGAGATCATTCACACCCAAAGCCTCAGCATTGTGAAATATACCCATGTAATAAACCTGCACATGTACCCCTGAATCTAAAGTTGACATTATATTAAAAAAAGAAAGCTGCTAAAGTGTGGGATCGTTTGTTATACAGCAATAGCTAATTAATACATGACTTTTACATTTGCATAATATACACCAGTCCTCTAGCTCTTGGGCCTCATCTCCTACTACTCTCATCCTGATTCATTCAGTTCCAGCCATGGTGGTCTCCTGGCAATTCCTAGAACATGCCAGGTACTTACTCAACTTGGGCATTTGCTCTAGCTGCTCTCTGTGTATGAAGTAACTCAATTCTCTAGGTATCTTCCTGGCTAGTTCCTTAGCCCTTTTTTAAGTGTTCCTTTAAATCTCATCTTCCCAGTAAGGCTCACCTGGCCAACATGGTATAAAACAACCTATATTAATGTACTCTATAATTAAGGGATTTAGTATATATTATTTTTGTTTGTTCCTTTCATGGCTTGACACTCAAAGATTTCACTAGGATTTTTAAAACTCTCAAGCACCTTAAGGATAATCTTTGTTTAGAGGTTGTGAACTCGTTGTTACTGGAAGGCAGACACTGGAACAAGAACTGAGCATCCAAATTTTACCTAGGTGGCTTTACCAGGTGATTTTAAAAATCATATTTAGCCTGAGATTTTAGAAGACTGGTCATGGAGAATAAAATGGAAAAGAGTTATAAGCAACAAAAGTCCAATTAAACTGAATTTAGAAAAAAAAGTATGAAGTTGCTTATCTCAATCTAGAATTTAAAAAGTTTACCTCCGTCTCCATCATCTTTTCCCTCATACTTAATTTTATTTGCAGTCAGATTTGCCCTTCATTGTGGCCCTCAGCTGTTCCAGTCTTAACTAGTGGTTCAAAAAAAGAAAAAAAAGGAAAAGAAAAAAGAAAAGAAAACAACAACAAAACCCCAAACCTCGGAAACTGAGTCTCTTAGCTGTCACTGGCCAGGCTTTGGATCCGTGCCACTTAAAGTACATGTATGGAAAATGGAACAGAATTTTCCAAAGAAAATTTGTGTGTATTCACTAAAAGAAGGTAGAATGGAAGCTGGAAAGACAAAAACAACAATTGTCTGCTGTAATACACAATAACAACAACAACAAATAAACACTATGATATGTCTTCATAGGCAATTTGAAAACAGATTTTAATTGAAAGAGGAGAAAAAGCTGAGCATCTGATTAATCTCCTTCTTAGTCATGGCTTTGTCCTTTCATTTAGTGAAATGAAATGATTGGTGAATTTTTTTTGTGCCATCACCCAAAGGAACATGTATAAGTAGTAAACAAAACACATTAAATATCATTTATATAGTAATATGTCCAACTCTTATTGTCATTCATCTGGTAGTGTTTGGATAGTTTTGCATGATGGTTAGAACATGGGTTTTAGAATCAGAAAGATTGGAGTTCAAGCCCCCTCTATTTCACTAATTGAATGGACAAATGAACCTCTCAGCCTCTACGATGTGGAAAATAACACCACCCCACAAGACTGTTGTGATAATTAAATAAAATATAGAGATGTTTCAGTTTGGTTTTCACTCAAAGCAGAGTCTGAGACAGGATAGTTAGTTAGGGAGGTGCTCCCAGGAGGCAAGAGTGAGAGAATGGTTAGAGTGAGCCAGAGAAGGAGGAATAACAAATGTAAGGATGTAATATTGTGGTTGCTGATGTAGGCATTTGTGGCTTTATTTAGCTAGCATTTCAGAGAAGCAAACAGAATGCATCCCAGAATTGTCTTACTGAAGGATGGGAGTCTGGGGCTCTTCTTCTTTACTGAGGGTTTCCCACGGGGATGTTCCCTTCTTTGCATTTTCCAAATGTTCCTATACAGGAATGCAGCAGACTCCTGTGGCTTCAGCGAAACCATGTTTTTCTCTGAGGGACAGTCTATATCTGTTTACTCTAGTAATGGCTGTGGCTTCCTGGTGGCCTGACATCTTTTTGGGGGATGAACTCCTAAAAGGTATGAGGGTGTAAGAACCTCAGGAACAGTCTGGTCTTGATGCCCTTTTGAGATGAATGAATTATATCCAATGGTTTCTTCTGTTTTTGGTCAAGTATCAGAGTCCCAGAAGAGGCCATCTCATTAGACAGGGTTAGGTCATGTTTTCACCTCTTCTTCAGCTGGGGTGACATGGAGAATTATTTGCCTATTCTATTACAAGTGATTCCATTACAGGAGATTAAACTTTATATAATAGCAGATTATTATTTTGTAGTTAAATATTTTTCCTCTACACAAAATATTTAAATAATATTCACCACTCCCATTTAAGTAGTTTGAACACTATAATGCAATTTTTCTTCATGGATGAGTGAACACTACAGCTTGTCACTCTAAAAATGATCAAGCTGCTTAATACCTAATTAAAACAGAAGTAACTTGCTAATATCTTCATGCTTAATCAATTAAATCCTAATAAGAAAAATAATGTTATTTAGATCAAAAGAAAATAACTAAAAAATAACCTATCAGCTCATTAGTGAAGTGTTGTTGTTTTTTTTAACCATGAGCAAAAAAAATCTTCTGTCTCAGAGCACTGGCTGGTTCTTTGAAATTTTTGCCCTATCTTTCCCCTTCCCCTTTCCTCTCTACTTCTTCTATCATACTGCTTTCAATAGACAAGACATTTGGAGAGAATGATGACTGTAGTAGCTTTTCTCCTTTTCCCTCCCCTAGGTTTTAGAGAAATTCTCATACTATTGCTATGCTTTTAAGCTCTCTTCAGTTAATGCAAGAAAGCATCATCTTTAAATACTAAACCATCATTAACAAGTAAAACATCTATAGCTAACAGGTAATTGGAGATTAAGTGGAAGGTTCTAGGAGGACCTTCCTTCTTGATACAAACTTAATTGGAGCATAGATATTGAGAAATATGGAAAAATATATTTTAATCATGGGAAGGGCAACCCTTTGGAATTCCCATTCTCTTTCATTATTTCTGTATATGGATACTGAGGGACGAAGCTTGGCAACTCAACATCTTGTTTTATAGTTGTGTTTAAAACAGAAAACAAAAGCTGGCAATAATTTTTGGGCAATAGATCTCCTTATTATACTCTCTTAGTAGGTCCTCAGTTAAATTTTGTCTTTTATTTTACCATGTACAAAGTTGTGTGTCAAGGCACTGGCTGGTTCTTTGAAACTTTTGCCCTATCTCTCCCCCTCCTCCTTCTTTCTCTACACCCTTCTCCTGTGCAGTTATAGCCCAAAGTTAGGTGTTCTGGGGTAGGAATACTAATGGGACTGTCTTTTCAAGACTGAATGCATATTCCACTCTATGATTCAGCTGGTGAAAATGCTGTTCGGAAAGTTGACTCGCAGTACTACCCAGTGCCAAAATTCATTCTTAGCTTTGGCTTTGAATACAAAAGCCAAGAGCTACTTTCTTTCTTTCTTATTTATTTATTTATTTATTTTTTTATAGACGGAGTCTCGCTCTATCTCCCAGGCTGGAATGCAGTGGCGCGATCTCAGCTCACTGCAAGCTCCACCTCCCGGGTTCGGGCCATTCTCCTGCCTCAGCCTCCCGAATAGCTGGGACTACAGGCGCCCACCACCATGCCCGGCTGATTTTTTGTATTTTTAGTAGAGACGGGGTTTCACCATGTTAGCCAGGATGGTCCCGATCTCCTGACCTTGTGATCCGCCGGCCTTGGCCTCCCAAAGTGCTGGGATTACAGGCGTGAGCCACCGTGCCCGGCCCCAAGAGATGCTTTCATGTATGTTTTGCTTACTGACAACAACTGACTGATGTACCATGTCAATTATCAAGGATTATTTTTAAGTCCTTATTATTAGAAAAGGAACAAAGTCATTATGTAATCTAATCTGACCTCTTAATTCAATGCACTACTTATCTCTTGGTTTAGCTGCTGTCAACTATTTCAATGTGAATTGCTATTTTCAGTTTGGTTTTACTTTATCAATCCCTACTCTTAAAAAAAATTCTCAAAATGATCTTAAGGAGTCAATTCAAACTTTTACCTCACTAAAAACTTCTTCCTATTGTTTCAAACTTCCATCTCAAAGTACTGACACATTCAGGGAATAGGCATATAAAAATGCCTTGTTAATAACAGGATTAAAAAATTTTATTTATCTTTCATTATTAAGTTTTTCCAATTGTCAGGCTCTCCTCCCTTGGACCATATTCTCAGGTTATATTTTTCTGCAGATCTTTGTCTCCAGATGTCTACAACGACTATCATCATAGAAACTTGTTGCTAGTGAAAGTAGGCTAAATTTATAAGTAAAAAGGAAATATTTTTCCTATTCCTGAGAACAGACATTTCTGATCTCAAATTTGAGAGAATTAATGTTGCTTAGTTATGGTATTTGAGTCAAATATAGAAATAGGTAATATTTTCTTATTAGTATATTTAGTATTTAAATTAGTATTAGTATTTAAATGTAAATACTAGTTAGTATTTTAAATATTCACTTAAATACTAATACTAATTATTACTAATACTAATTTAATTTAAATCTAGTGTTTAAATACTAATTTAAATTTAAATACAAGTTTTTGAATTAGTATTAGTATATTTAGTATATATTAATATTTCAATCCCCATAGGTAGTTTTTCTGGTTCCTTCTCATTTGGGTAGACTATGTCAGAGGGAAGATCTGGGACTCAAGAGCTGCTGTTCAGATTCTTTTGTCTCACAGGGTGCTTTCTTGATTGGGTACTCTCTTCTTTCCCCTAGGGATGAGGCTTCCTGAGAGCTGAACTGCAGTGATTATTATTTCTCTTCTGAATCTAGCTGCTCATGAGAGCTACTGGGTTCTGGGCTGGTACTGCGGAGTGTCTAAAGAGTCTTGTGATGTGATCAGTCTTTAGGTCTCTCTGCCACGGATACCAGCACCTCCTCTGGTGGAGGTAGCAGAGGAGTGAAGTGGACTCTGTGAGGGTCCTTGGTTGTGTTTTTGTTAAGTGCGATGGTTTTCTGTTGGTTGGCCTCCAGCCAGGAGGTGTGGCGGTCTCAAGAGCGCATCAGCTGCAGTAGTAGAGGGAAGATACCAGCTTGCCCAGGGTCAGGTGGTACGTAGGGCCATAGAGCTCCCAAGAGATTATGTCCTTTGTCTTCAGTTGGGGGGTGGGGTAGAGAAAGACCCCAGGTTGGGGAGGGTTAGGTGTGTCTGAGCTCAGACTCTCCATGGGCAGGTCTTGCTGCGGCTGCTGTCGGGGATGGGTATGTGTTTCCCAGGCCAATGGAGTTATGTTCCCAGGGGGATTATGGCTGCCTCTGCTGCAGTCATACAGGTCACCAGGGAAGTGGGAAAAAGCCGGCAGCCACAGGCCTCACCCAACTTCCACATAGTTGAAAGGCCAGTGTCACTCTGACCGTACCCCCACAACAGCACCGAATTTGTTTCCAGGCAGCCAGTGAGGAGGGCTGAGAACTTGCCCTAGGCAACAAGCCTCCCTACTGAGAAAGCAAATGGACTCACAGTTCTTCGGCCATCCTGCAGCAGCAATCCACCTCCTTCAAAGGGTCTGTGGGTTCTCTCGGCTTTCCTGGTATATTCCTGCAGTAGTTCTTGGAGCAAAAGTTTACAATGTGGGTCTCCACATGTTGCCTTGTCTTTCCCAGTGGGAGCTGCAAGTTAGTCTTGCCTCCTATCCGCCATTTTTGGATCCTCCCTCATAAGTAGTTCTTTACAAGTGTAAGCCACAAGTGGTGTTGCTTCTGTGGTATTTGCTATATTGTCTCTATCTTTTCTGTGCCAATGGTCTAAGGATGAGTGGAGAATCATGATTCAGAATTTATTTTTTCCATACTTCAACATGGCCCTGTGTGTAGCTTCACATTGTTGAGTCACACTTCTCAAACTCATTTTCTCTGAGCTCGAGGGTAAGAAACTGAGATGTGACATAATGAAAACTTCCAACACTATGAATACTACAATAAAATATTTTTAAAGATAAGGGGAGTTATTTGTGCCCCCATAGACTGCAATGTTTTTCAATGTGCAATTGCCATAAAATAGTGAACTGTTGAACATTGTTTTTTTTTTTTTTTTTGAGATGAAGTCTTGTTCTGTTGCCCAGGCTGGAGTGCAATGGCATGATCTCGGCTCACTGCCACCTCCACCTCCTAAGTTCAAGTGAATCTCCTGCCTCAGCCTCTCGGAGTAACTGGGATTATAGGTGTGTGCCACCACCTCCGGCTAATTTTTATATTTTTAGTAGAGGCAGGGTTTCACCCTGTTGGCCAGGCTGGTCTTGAACTCCTGACCTCAGGTGGTCCAACTGCCTTGGCCTCCCAAACTGTTGGGATTACAAGCGTGAGCCACTGTGCTCGGCCTGTTGAACATTTTTGACTAAAATCCTCAGTGAAATATACAGATAACTTAATGTCCAAAACATATATCTACATACATGCAAAACTGAAACAAAATTTTCATGAAACAGTTCTTACCCTATATTCCTCGTAATGCACTCTGAATATTTTTTCTTTTCTTTTTTGTTTTTTAAAATGTTGATTAAACTCAGTTGATTTTGTGACCCACTAAAGAGCTGTTAATCAGATTGAAAAGTACTGTATTAATGGGATGGGGGAAGAGCTTTCTAAATCATATACACAAATATAATACACAAAAACATAAGTGTTTTTAAAATTTGTTTTTATGTATATGCAAAATATATTTTTCACTGTAAGTTTTCGGGACGAAAGTTTGCAAGCCACTACCCAAATGAATAAAAGAATTGAAACTTTTATGCAACCAACAAACATATGGAAAAAAAGCTCATCACTGATCATTAGAGAAATGCAAATAAAAACCACAATGAGATACCACCTCATGTCAGTCAGAATCACGATTATTAAGAAGTCAAGAAACAGCAGATGCTGGCGAGGCTGTGGAGAAATAGGAGTGCTTTTACATTGTTGGTAGGAATGTAAATTAGTTCAACCATTGTGGAAGACACTATGGCGATTCCCCAAGGATCTAGAAGCAGACCTACCATTTGACCCAGCAATCCCATTACTGGGTATATACCCAAAGGAATATAAATCATTCTATTATAAAGATATATGCACACATATGTTTGTTGCAACACTATTCACAATAGCAAAGACATGGAGCCAACCCAAATGCCCATCAATGATAGACTGGATAAAGAAAATGTGGCACATCGAATACTATGCAGCCACAAAAAGGAATGGGATCATGCAGGGACATGATTGAAGCTGGAAGCCATCATCCTCAGCAAACTAACACAGGAACAGAAAACCAAACACCGCATGTTCTCACTCACAAGTGGGAATTGAACAATGAGAACACATGGACACAGGGAGGGGAACAACACACGTCAGGGCCTATCGGAGAGGAGGGCGAAGGGAGGGAGAGCATCAGAATAAATTGCTAATGCATGCAGGGCTTAAAACTTAGGTGATGGTTTGATAGGTACAGCAAACCACCATGGCACACATATACCTATGTAACAAACCTGCACGTTCTGCACATGTATCCCAGAACTTAAAGTAAAAATAAATAAATAAGAACCAAAAAAAAAAAAAAAAAATTGAAACTTGCCTTCAGAGGCAAGTAGGTAAATAGAACGTGCAGTCCTAACTTATTTTTATTTACTTTTTATTAATTATTAGGCAAACCCAGAGGATTGCTTTTGTTTTCTTCCCTCAACTATTTTTTTTTCAAGAATGATTTGAGTTCTCCGATCACATTATAGACATACAATAGCTATGTCAAGTGTTGATTACAGTGATGGAGTTAGTTTCTTGATCTTAAACATAATGAATAACTCTTTGATATAATCTTGTATACATAATCTTTAAGGAATCTTATAATTTTTAAATAACACTTTGGGACTGCTTTTTCAGCTATGATGAACAAGGGTTAATGTATATTCATGTTGTAAAATGGATCCTCTGTAATCGTTCCTGTATTACAGATCCCAAGGGCTATATTCATGACACTTAAAGGGATAAATTTAAAACACCTTCATGAGGATTGGCATAGTGTTCATATAACATTAAGTGTAATTCTAATGACTGGAGAACTCAATGATTCAGAAATCTGTGCCCATTAACATCAGTAGCAGTGACTAAGTGTCTAAGTATCTGACTGTATGCAATACAGTGCTAGACTCAAAGCAAACAGAACCTACTCTCTGCCCTTTGGAGGTTTATATTCTACAGTATCAAGTCCAAAATAAATATTTTTCACCCCAGATAAAAGGAAAAGTGGGAGATTTTTGTCTTAGTGGCACTCCTCATTTGATAATCATCTCCCCTCATAAAAATTCTCCTCTCTTGCCACTCCCTTCTCTATGATCTTTAATTCCTCTTCCCTCCCCCAACCCCTCACCCCTTAGCTCTCTGGTGCTGCTATGCTAGATATGCTGACTATGCATATCTAGCCCACTATCAGCACTTCTCTCACCTTCCACTAACTGAATCAGAATAGACTGTAGACTCCAAATTTGACTGTCAAGGGTTTCAGGCCCAGCACTTTAACTGGCCAGCTTTGAAAACTTGGACAACTCATTGCAATAAATATAAAAAGTTCAAAATGTCTGAAACCTACTTTCAAATAGTTCGACCAATTATACATATGTTAAGATATATATATACTTTAAATACAAATACATACTTTGTATGCACACACACACATATGTATAATACAAATACAGTAGGATGTTAATAACTGGGAAATCAATGTGAGCAGTGTATATAAGTTCATTGTAAGTTCATTGTGCCATTTTTTCAAATATTCTATAGAAATATAGAATATTCTATAGAAATATAGAATATTCTATAGAAATATAGAATATCCTATAGAAATATAGAATATTCTATAGAAATTTCAAACTAAAATTTGGGAAAAAACAGAAAGACCATTTCCTTGTATCGTAAATATCCAATAAATGCTAGCTATTATTTTTATTAATCTTGTACTGTATGCCTGTGGGAGACAAATCCCCAGCCCACTCCTAGGTAATGCAAACATTTAGTGTTGGTCTTTAAGAGACATAATCATAATCCTTTTTGCCTGCCTTTCCATATAAAAATGGATTGGGAGTTTAGTAGAGTGGCAGTCTACTGGTGTATAGGTGACTACTTAATTATTTAGAGTTACAGACTGTTCTAATTTTACAGAGTTGAACATTCACTCACACTGCACTCGGTCTTTATTTCCTGTAACCAAGCTAATCTCCCTCCTGAGTAACTTCCAACATAGTAAGAGGAGCAGAGTAGTAAGTGAAACGCATGCACATAGGTGGCACACATATGCCACATAAACACGCTAACTGATCACTCAAACCTTTAACTTGCTAAATAATACTAAATAATTTTTGTCTAGTTTACACAATTTCTTTCAATTAAATCTTCAGAAAATTGAGTGTTCAATTCTTGATTGAGGCTGATCTTTCTTTGCCAGATGGTGTCTGGGTGTAGGGAAAAGCTCAGGACTCCACCTGACAATAGGAATGAGGTAGCTGAATCATGCTCTGTTTTTCTCCTGCTCAGCTGGTCTCATCTCTGGACTGACAACCCCTGGGAAGTGATTCATTTAGGTGCCCTTGAAGGACCTGAAAGCTTTTATGTCTGCCCTAAAAAGTAATCATAATCTCCTTTTGTGGCAGCCCTGAGATTGCTGAAAAACCAACTCAAAGTCTAATCCTGAGAAGTGACTTGTGGTGAACAGACTCCAAGAAAGCCCCAGTTATTCCCACCTCCTAGTATTCATGCTGTTGTGTAGTCCTCTCCCTTTGAATGTTAGTGGTGATGCGGTATTTTTCTCACCCCCATTCACCGAACTCACGGCAGGGCACCCCATCTACTTGGCCCACTGTGCTTAGCCCCTTGCAGGAGGGAGCAAGTGAGTGAGTGAGTACGGGATCCAGCTGGCTGCTCTGGGCATTGACACAGGAGCAAGCTCTGTGTGGGGCCCATGACCAGACCAGACATGTTGCCTTGAGGGGAATGCAGCGGACCCCAGGATGCCTGTGACCCCGAGGCCTCACAGGGTGCCTGTGACCCTGAAGCCCCAGAGGGGGTCTTATAGTGCTCTTTTAGTTCTGCTACCTGCACTCCAGTGGACAGCAGTGTGTTAGCAGCTCACTTGGCCCCTTGCCTTGTTATGTGGGGTGGCTGCCCTCCGTTGGCCAGGGCAAAGGGCCAGTGTGACAGCCTTTTCTGGGTACCTACATTTGGTGAGCCCCGAGCTCTTGTCCAGCATCCAAGAAGCATGAGGTCATGTGGACGATTGAAGGATGGTGAAGGCAGAGAATTGTACTGAGTGATGAAAATGGCTCTAACTGGAGAGGGGATGGGAAGGGCAAGTCATTTTCCCTGAAGTCAGGTTGTCTCTCTCTCGCAGTCAGGCTGTCTCCCCTACTCCACCAACTGAGTCTGGGGTCTTTATAGGTACAGGATGGGGAGTGTGAGTGTATGCCAATTGGTTTGTGAGTATACGGAAAAGGTTAAAGTGACGACACCACTCAAAGGTGGGCATGATGGTGCAGAAAACCAATTAGGAAAGGGTAGATATGTGTAAGATAGGTGAAGGGTGGGGATCAATTAGAGAAAAGTGCGCCAAACAGGAGGACAAGTTCTCGATCCAGTACAAGGATTTAACTTGTAATTTGGCTTTCAGGCTTTAAAGTGTCTTCAGCTTGGAGGTGGGGTTTCACCAGGTACCCGCCCCTATCTGCCCAGGCATTTGGCTGTTTCCTGTTGCTATCAGTGGGATGTGTGACTTGCTGCTAACCAACAGAATATGGCAAAGGTGATGTGATGTCATTTCCATGATTCTATAAGATTGTAACATGTACATTGCTAGTAGCCCTTCCATATTGAGTTTCTCTTGCTACTTTTCATAAAGAAAACCACCATAGGAAGAGACCTACCTGGTAAGGAGCTAAAGGCAGCCCTGACAAATGGCCAGGAAAGAGCTGAGGCTGTCAGTCTAACAGCCTGCAAGAAAGTGAATCTGCTAAAAGCTACATGAACTTAGAGGAAGATTCTTCTCCAGTCAATCCTCTGTTGAAATTCCAGCCCTGGCTCATGGTAGCCTTGTGAGAGACACTGACGCAGAGCACCCTACACTGCTACTTGGAATCCTGATTTGCAGAAGCTGTGAGATAATAAGCTGCTAAATTTGTAATAATTTGTTATGTAGCAATGTAAAATTAATACATAACTTTTGCCACAAATTGAGCAACCAAGGAAGTCGACAGAGTTATGAGTTCCTAAACCTCTGGGCTTATCTATGGCATTAAATTATTCTGGACATACTTGTTTTTTTAGAGATTTTAAAAGACCAGAAACTAGATTCAATTAAATTCAGTTCAAGCCAAGCCTATTTAATTCCATTCGACAAGAGTTCCTGAAAACTTTCTATATTCCCCTGCCAACCCTGTCCCATTGTGATAGACCCTGCGAATAAAAAACTAAATATAATGCAGTCCTCAACTCAAGGGAGTTAGCTCTGTTGGGGAAGACAAATCTCTAGGACTTACCACCACAGGGCAGGATGTTTAGGATATGAGTTTTTGTATATTTTTAAAGCACCCCCTTATGGTTAATTTTATGTGTCAACTTGGCTGGACTGCTTTTCCCAGATATTTGGTCAGACCTTATTCTGGAAATTTCTGTGAGGGTGTTTTTGGATAAGATTAATATTTAAAGCAGTGACCTTTGAGTAAAGCAGATTGCCCTTCATAATGTGGGTGGGCCTCATCCAATCAGTTAAAGGTCTATAACAGAATCAAGACTACAAGACTAACATCTTCTGTGCAAGAAGGAATTCTGCCAGCAGATGGCTTCCGTACTTGTACTAAATCAATTCTTCCCTGGGTCTCCGTAGTAGTATGGGCCAATTCCTTAAAATAAATCTCTCTATAAACAAATATGTATATATGCATTCTATTCATTTTGTTTCTCTGGAGAACACTCTCATACACAGCCCATACTGTAACACTAATATTTTAAATTGCGACCTTTACGTTAATTAGTTCCGTATTCAACTGTGAATCTTCACTTATAGTTCATGTTTGTTACTTGGTCCCTTCTCTGACAGTTTCCTTACATGGCAAGTTCTTTGAGGATATCTGGGTGTTTTTAAAAATCTATATACCTACAAACTGTCTATTTTGGAAATGAAACACTTGTTAACTGTGTGATTTTAGGCAAATTACTTCATGTCATTAATTCTTAATTTTTCTCTCTCTTTTTTTTTTTTTTTGAAACAGAGTCTTCCTCTGTTGCCCAGGCTGGAGTGCAGTGGTGCAATCTTGGCTCACTGCAACCTCCGCCTCCCGGGTTCAAGTTATTCTTGTGCCTCAGCCTCCCAAGTAGCTGGGATTACAGGTGCACACCACCATGCCTGGCTAATTTTTGTATTTTTAGTAGAGACGGGGTTTTGCCATGTTGGCCAGGCTGGTCTCGAACTCTTAGCCTCAAGTGATCTGCTAACCTCGGCCTCTCAAAGTGCTGGGATTACAGGCATGAGCCACAATGCCTGGCCAAAATTCTCATGTAAAGGAGTAAACTACCACTTCATTGAATTGCTCTTAAGGTTGATTAAGATAAGACTATAAAGAATTTAGTATTGTGCTTAGTGCTATAGTAAGCACTCAATAAATCTTATTTTTGTGTGTGTGTTATTATTATCTACACCAGCAGAATAGTTAATATTCATTAAATTGAAAATTATAATAACAATATAGAAGGCATCATGTCCAAAATGAAGAATAATAATTCTATATAGAAACTTTACCTCAATACACTTGAGACGTGTAGGTACGTAACTGAATGCATCTCTAATAACGTAAAACATGATTTTCAAGTACATTCTGTGCAAAATGTAGTGTAGAATAAAAAATGTTCTCAGATGTTACCAGTTATCTACCCAGAATTTAATTTTGCATAGGTTCTTAAGTATTTTGATGCTGCCTTAATTTGTTATCAATTACAAATAATTTTTCTAAACTGTACAATTAGGAATGGATTCATTTGTTCTGAACTGGTAATTATGCACAATAAACGGGAATGTAGTAGGATTATGAGGTTATAGTTGAATAATAGCAAGTTAGGACTAATTTTTCATAATTTTTCCCTTTGTATTGTTATTAATGAGAGATAAATGTTTTTGGTTAAATTACTTAGTTCATCAGTGGAGGAAGGAACTCAAAATTGAAGATTAGTTTTCAGACAATTATCTTTTATATTTAAAGAAAAAAAGAGAAAGCAGTTGATTACATTTATACACAACGTTCTTCTTTGTCTAAAAATTTCAGCTTGTCAAACACACACTATGGAAAGTTATATATATGGCAACAAGGCCTGTATAATTTTCTATTTTTTAAGAATTTGCAAACTCAATAATTGCAGGAAAACAGTAGCCTAAACTCTCAATGCAGATTTAATAATAGTGTACTTTACTGAGTTCTCTTTTTGGAAGATTTTATTGCTTAAAAGCAATGTAGTTCAGGACACCTACTAGAATACTAAAACCTTGATTATTTACAATTAAGTAACACTGGTTCGAATATTTTATTTCTTTTCATTTTGGATTATTTTCATCATGTTTAGTAGCAACATCAGTGAAGCTGCCATGGTATAATACACAATTTATTTTGGAATAGCAGAGAAGCTCATCTGTATAACGAGAGTTAATATGGTGGTTCAAACTCTACAAAGTTTACAATTTTATTATGTCAAAAATTAACATAAAATCTTGTCAAATTTAGGGAAATTTATATTGGTGGAATGAAAATTTTTAAAAATTGTTGATTTCTCTGCTTAATTCCATACAATGTGTACTAAATATAAATTCATGTATCTAGTCATGTAAAAACTCACTGAATCCCCATCATGTACAAGACAGTTTCATGTCTTTCCTCAACTGGCTCACATTTCTAGGAGAGGAGATAAGGTGAAGCACAAGTAATAGTCATATAAGCCAGTTAATGGCGTTAGAGTTCAAAGCAGGGAGTGGTCACTTTCAGATCAGCAAAGGACTGTTTCATGAAGAAAGTGCTAGAGGTATAGAACCATAAATTTCTGAAATGAAAGGGCTTTTTATTGTACAGGTGAGGAGACCAAGGCCAGAAAGTGTAAAAACTTGTCTGAAGTCATGTTATAAAAATATGATAGCACTTAATTAGTTAGAAACCAGGTTCCATAACTTTTTGTCTAATGGATCTTTTAAAATTGTGGCTTTACTGAAGTGTAATTCACATACCATAAATTTACATTTTTAAAGTGTACAATTCAACATTTTTAAGTATATTTATAAAGTTGTGCGACTATTAACATTATCTAACTTGAGAACTCCAAAAAGAAACTCTGTACCCTTAAGGTATCTGTTAAGGCATTTGTCCCATTTTTCAAGTGGTTTGTTTGTTTTCTTCTTGTTGAGTTTTAAGAGTTCCTCATATATTTTGGTTAACAGTCCTTTGTCAGAAGTATCTTTTGCAAATATTTTCTCCCATTGTGTGGTTTGTCTTGTTCTCTAGACATTTTCTTTCATAGAGCAGAAAATTTAATTTCCATGAAGTCCACCTTGTCAATTAATTCTTTTATAGATTATGCCTTTTGGTGTTGTTTCTAAAAAGTCATTACCATACACAAGGGCATCTAGGTTTTCTCCTATGTTTCTTTCTAGGAGTTTTATAGCTTTGAATTTTACATTTAAGTCCATGATTCATTTTGAGTTCATTTTTGTGAAGGGTGTAAGGTCTGTCTAGATCCATTTCTTCGCATGTGGATGTCCAGTTGTTCCAGCATCACTTGTTGAAAAGATCACTTTTTTTTTTTTCCATTTCATTGCCTTTTCTCCTTTGTCAAAGATCAGTTGGCCTTATTTATGTGGGCCTCTTTCTGTACTCTCTATTCTGTTCCATTGATTTATTTGTCTGTTCCTTTACTAATACCACACTGTCTTAACTACTGCAGATTTAGAGTAAGTCTTGAACTCAGGTAGTGTTGATTCTCTGACTTTGTACTTCTCTAGCATTGTGTTGGCTATTCTGAGTTCTCTGATTCTCCATATAAGCTTTAGAATCAGTTTGTTGATATCTACAAAATACCTTTCTGGGATTTTGATCAGGATTGTATTGAATCTATAGATCAAGTTGGGAAGAACTGACATCTTGACAATATTGAATCTTCTTATCCATGAACATAGAACATCTCTCCATTTACTTAGTTCTTCAGTTCCATTAATCAGAATTTTGCAGTTTTCCCTACATCGATATTGTAGATATTTTGTTAAATTTATATCTAAATATTACATTTTTGGAAGTGCTAACATAAACAGTAGTGTGCTTTTAATTTCAAATTTACTTGTTCATTGCTGGTATTTAGGAAAGCAGTGGACTTTTGTATTTTTTCATGTATCTTGCAATCTTGCTATAATTGCTTATTAGTTCCAGCAGGGTTTTTTTTTGGTGGGGTGAGGGGGGGGGTCGATTCTTTCAAATTTTCGACATAGTAATCAAGTCACCTGTGAACAAAGTTTTATTTCTTCCTTCCCCATCTGTCTGCCTTCTATTTTTTTTCTTGTCTTGCTGCATTAGTTAGGAACTGCAGTAAAATGTTGAAATAAAGTAACCAGGGACATCCTTGCCTTACTTCTGATCTTAGTGGGAAAATTTCTTACCATTAAGTATGATGTTAGTTGCAGGTTTCTGTAGATTTTTTAAAGTTGAGGCATTTCCTCTAATCTCTAAATTATTGAGAATTTTAATTATAAATGGGTGTTGGATTTTGTCAAATGATTTTTCTGCATCTATTGATAAGATCATGTGAGTTCTTTTCTTAGCCTGTTGATATGATGGATTACGTTAATTTTTGAATGTCAAACAAATTTTGCATACCTGGGATAAATACAACTTTGTTGTGGTGTTTAATTTGTTTTATATATTGTTGGATTTGATTTGCCAATGTTTTGTTGAAGACTTTTGTATCTATGTTCATAACAGATATTGTTTTATAGTCTTATTTTCCTGTACTGTCTTGGTTTTGGTATTAGAGTAATTCTGGCTTCATAGAATGAGTTAGGAACTACTAATATTTCCTCTCCTTCTTTCCTGAAAGAAATTTTAGAAAATTGGTATAATTTCAAAACTTTTGGTATTATATCTAAAAGACCATTGACCAATTCAATGTTACAAAGATTTAACCCTATGTATCTTTAAGAGTCTTATAGTTTTAGATCTTACTTTTAGGTTTGTAATCTATGTGGAGTTAATTTTTGGGTATGGTGGGAGGTAAGAATCCAATTTAACTCTTTTGCATGTAGATATCCCATAGTCTCAGTCCCATTATTTGAAAAGACTATTTTTTTTTTCCCATTGAGTAGTCTTGGTGCTTTTGTTGAAAATCAGTTGACCATAAGTATGAGGGTTTACTTTTGGATTTTCAGTTCTCTACCATTTAACTATATATCTATTCTTATGCCAGTATCACACAATTGATTACTGTAGCTTTAGAGTAAGTTCTGGATTTAGGAAGTGTGACTTCTCTAATTTTTTCTTTTTTTCTAGATTATTTTAGTTATTTGAAGAACATTACCACCTTAGCAATATTACATTTTCAACCACAAACTTGGGATATGGTACATCTTTCTATTTATGTTTCATCTTTAATTTCTGGGTGTTTTAAATTTTTATTAAAACTTGCTAAACTTGCAATGCTCCTGCCTCAGCCTCCTAAGTAGCTGTGGCTATAGGTACATACCACCATGCCTGGCTTATGTCTTCTTACATTTTTTTAAATGATGTTTTATAGTTTACAGGTCCAAGACATATTTTGTTAGATTTATTTCTAAGGATTTTATTCTTTTTGATGCTAATATTAATTGAATGCTTTCTTAATTTTATTTCCAAAAGGTTCATGGCTACCATATAAAAATACAACTGACTTGTGAATATTTATCTTGACTCTGTAATCTAGATGAGAAAACAGAAGCAAAGGCAGAAAGATGCTACATTGCCAGCTTTGAAGATGGAGGGAAGAGGTCACAAACCAAGGAAGGTGAGTGGTGCCTAGAAGTTGGAAAAGACATGGAAACACATTCTTCTGTAAAGCACTTAGAAAGAAATACAGTCTTCCAAAATGTTGATCTTAGCCAGGTAAGACCTGTGATTAACTTCTACTACATATAACTATAAGAAAATAAATTTGTATTGTTTAAGCCACTAGGTTTGTTGTGCATTTTAATAGCACCAATAGAAAATTAATACATCATGGAGGTATTTTTCTACACTTTATTCTGTTGGCTTTTTCACCTTTTCATTTAGATCTTTAACTCATTTGAAGTTCTTCTTGTATGCGAGGCCAGGATAGAAGCCTAGCTTTATTTTTCTCTATATAGTGAGATTTTTTTTTTCCAGTGCCATCTACAACTTGGCTTTCCTCACAATTTGATGTTGTCATTTTAACCATGTTTCAAATTCCCATATAGTCCTGTGTCTATGTTCTATATTTGTTTTCATTGTTGTATTTTTGTGTTGCTGTAAATTATCACCTTGTTTTTGTCACTGTAAATTTTAGACACACTTGTTTTAGTATCTGGCAGGGAAAATTTCCAAACCTTATGCTATGGTTTAAATATGTCCCCCAAAAAGTATATTGGAAACTTAAATACCTCCCACTATACCCCACCTCTCAATACTGTTGCAGAGGGCTCATTTATGAGGGCTCCACCCTCATAAATGAATTAATGTTGATTATAAAAGGGCTTGAGGCTGTGAGTTCAATCTCCTGTGTACTCTCTCTCCCCCTTTTCCCTCTCTTGCCCTTTTGCCTTCCACTATGGGATGATGCAGCAAGACGGCCCTCACCAGATGCCAGCACCTCCTGTGATATTGGACTTTCCAGCCTCCAGATTCATGAGAAATAAATTTCTATTGTTTATAAATTACCAAGTCTATGGTATTCTGTTATAGTAGCACAAGATGGACTAAGACACTTTTTTCTTTTTTTAAATGTTGAATTGACTATAAAAATTAATTCATATTTTAAAATATAGAATTTGTTAAATTCTTTAAAACAACAGAATTTCTATTTAAAATATCCTGTAGGGATGATTTTAGATAGATTTATTTTAGGAGAATTGAAATGTTTTCTATGTTAAATCATTTTATCCATGAACATGGTATATGTCTCCATTTATTTAAATGATTTGTGAACTTTAATAGTTCTTTCTGTAGAAGTATTTGACACTTCTGTCTCATTAAGTCAGTCTGCTTATGGTGTTAAGATGTCTTTGATCTCTTATCTTAATTTGTTCTATTATGTTATAATCTGCATGTAATGAGGGACATCTTTGGCTCATCTTTGATCTCACTCCCTTCCCCTTTGAGGAAAACTCAGTTATTTGTTGTCACATATCAAAATAAATCCCAACTACAAATGTATTGGCCAATAAAATTAATTTTGCATGTTTCATAGATAGGCAGAGACAAAGATCCACATCACATTACCCAGAAATTTAATAATATTACCTAGCAGGCATTTCTGTTCAGCTAAGTTTTCTTTTTTGCACTCGAGTAATTGAGCTCTTTCTCCCTCAATGTTGCCTTTAAACAGAACAATGTTGTTTCAGTGTGTCTGACTGTACGTTTCTTATATACATCACTAAACACTATCTTTACTATTGGGAATGATCATTTTATGGAGGATGATGTAGATCTGAACAAATAATAGGCCTTCTTAAGCATCTATTCTTCTTAGAAGGATGAGAGTTCTATAAATATTTATAGTTTTTATCCTATCACTTGTAATTTATGTTGCCAACTATTGAATGAGCTATTCTGTGTTTTCCAGAACCTCCTTTACATTCACTTCTATTTAAGTCCACCTATACTTACCCCATTGGGCTACGTACTTTAACAGAAAATGGCCTAAAATAAAACTGTTTGAGGCCTGCCTCTTACAGTTGCCAGTTATGAGCCATGAATACAGGTTTTCACCCTCACCTCCTTTTAGCTTTCTCTTTTGTAAAGTAGGGTTGGTAAAAGAATGTGCTTTATAGAGTTTCTTTGAAAATTAGATAAAATAATGCTTATAAGCTCTCAATACATTGGTGGCATTTGATGAGTCCTCCACAATTTTTAATGATTATATTTTTATGATTTTCATGTATATTATTCTGACCTTTCTTTCTGTTCCAGCTAGCAGAAGCTTTCTCAAACAACTTGAGTCTCTTACAATTATAAGTAAAGAGGCTTTAAGAAATGTAAGCAGAATTATCCTCTTCTAATATTGGAGCATTTGGGGACTATGAAAGAGTAGGGACTTTATTACAGTTCTAGGAAAGCCTGTCTAACCACTCTTCCCCAATTCTGGTGAGCAATTTAAAACTCTGAGACTCCTCTGGGGGTAGTACAAAAGTTGCTGTGGTGATGTTGGTGGTGGTGGGGTGTTCTCCAACTGGTGGTCAGATCCAGTATCTTGAGGAAAGCCTGAGGATCTATGCTCAATAATTAGAGACAGTCCAGTTATTAGCGTGAGGGACAGAGAAACATATAACTCTAAAAGCAGAAAAGATATTTTGTGGACGAAAATAAGCAGGTTGTCATTTTTCCAAATTTACATGTAGCATTCGTGACAGTATAAATGTTCTAGTCTCCTGACTTCTAATCTGGTGCTATTTCACTCGATCCTGCTGCTTCCTTCAACACTCCTCCCTACTCTCTGTAATAGGTCTTAGAGAAGTAAGACTCATTTATCTCACTACAGAAAGATTTCTTAAAGAAAGAATTTGGGACCAAACAATCAAATGCTGAGGTTGGCACTGATTGGTTTTAGATGACTATGGGGGTTCAATATTGGGATCCAGCATCCTCACCTGGATAAAAAGGGGCAGATCTAAATCACAGTACATAAACTCAGGTGTGCAAAAAAAACATCGCTTTCCTTTATTTTTGCATTTTATTCTTTTAAAGAAAAATAATTCAAACTTTCATTTTAGATTCAGGGGGTACATGTGCAGGTTTGTTACATGGTTATATTGCACAATGCTGAGGTTTGGGGTACAAATGATCCCATCATTCAGGCACTGACCATAATATCCAACAGTTCATTTTTCAACCCTTACCTCCCTTCCTTCTTCCCCTGTCTTGTTGTCCCCAGTGTCTACTGTTCCCATCTTTATGTTCATGAGTACCCAATGTTTAGCTCTCCCTTATAAGTGAGAACATGCAGTATTCTCTTCCTGTGTTAATTTTCTTAGGATAATGGCCTACAGTTCCATCCATGTTACTGCAAATGACATGATTTTATTCTTTTTATGGCTGCATATACTCCATGGTGTATATGTACCACATTTTCTTTATGCAATCCACCATTGATGGGCACCTAGCTTGATTCCATATCTTTGCTATTGTGAATAGTGCTGCAATGAGCATACAAACACATGTGTCTTTTTGGTAGAATGATTTATTATTTTTGTGGCTATACATGTAGCAGTGAAATTGCAGGATCTAATGATAGTTCTGTTTTAAGTTCTTTGAGAAATCTCCAAAGTGCTTTCCACAGTGGATGAACTAATTTACATCCCTACCAACAGTGTATAAGCATTTCCTTTGCTCTGCAGCCTTGCCAGCATCTGTTGTTTTTTGACTTTTTATTAATAGCCATTCTGACTGGTGTGAGATGGTATCTTATTGTGGTTATAATTTATATTTCCCTGATAATTAGTGATGTTGAGTATTTTTGCATGCTTGTTGGCCATCTGTATGTCTTCTTTTGAGAAGTGCCTGTTCATGTCCTTTGCTCATTTTTTAATGGGGTTATTTGTTTTTTGATTTTTGTGTTGTTTAATGTCTTTATAGATTCCGGATATTAGCCCTTCGTTGGATGCAAAGTGTGTGAATATTTTTTCCCACTCTGTAGGGTGTCTGCTTACTTTGTTGATAGTTTCTTTTGCTGTGTGGAAACTCTTTAGTTTAATTAGGTCCTACTTGTCAATTTTTGTTTTTTTGCAATTGCTGTTGAGGACATAGTCATAAATTCCTTCCCAAGGCTGATGTCCCAAATGATGTTTCCTAGGTTTTCTTTTAGGATTCTCATAGCTTGAGGTCTTACATTTAGATCTTTAATCCATCTTGAGTTAATTTTTCCATACAGAGAAAGGTAGGGGTCCAGTTTTATTCTTCTGCACATGGCTAGCCAGGTAGCTCATCACTTACTGAATAGGAAGTCCTTTCCCTATTGCTTATTTTTATCTACTTTGTCAAAGATTAGATGGCTACAGGTGTGTGGCTTTTTTCTTCTTCTGGGTTTTCTATTCTGTTCCATTGGTCTCTGTAACTGTTTTTTTGTACAAGTACCATGTTGTTTTGGTTACAGTAGCCGTATGGTACAGTTTGAATTTGGGTAATGCAATGCCTTTGACTTTTTTCTTTTTGCTTAAGATTGTTTTGGGTATTCAAGCTCCTTTTTTGGTTCCATGTGAATTTTAGAATAGTTTTTTCAAGTTCTGTTAAAAATGACAATATTTTGGTAGTAATTGAGTTGAATCTGTAGCTTGCTTTGAGCAGTATGACCATTTAAAAAATATTGATTATTCCAATCCATGAGCAAGGAACATTTTTTCATTAGTTTGTGTCATCTATGATTTCTTTCAGCAGTGTTTTTAGCTCTCCTTGTAGAGATCTATCACCTCCTTGGTTAAATGTATTCCTAGGTATTTTATTTTCTTGTTGGCTTTTGTAAGTGGGACTGCATTCTTGCTTTTGCTCTCAGCTTGGACATTATTGATGTATAGAAATGCTACTGAAAAATATCAGTTTCTTAATTTAACACAGCCTAATTGATTAATTTGATACCTGATCCTGTCAGGTAGATAAGACATTCTATCTCAGTTATTATTTGAACCCTCTTCATTTCCTTGTCTTTCCTCTTGCTATCTCTTTCTACCTTTTTCCCTCTGTCTTCAAGAGTATCATCAGAATTCAGAGGGCTTATAACATACCTAGAACCTAAGAAAAGTGTCTCTGATTTCTAGTCTATTATAGTAGCCACAGATATTGTTCAAATAGCTAGCAGTCACTTGAAGCTGGTGGGGGGTCTTCTGCATCTGCTGTTTTACAGGTAAGAGAAACTTTCCCAAAGCTGGGCAATTTAGTGCATGGGTCTTACCTTTCTAGGCAAACTATACTATTCTTTGCTCTGGGGGCTGCCCATTTCCTCTGAGAGTAGCCACAGACAGGGGTAAAGGGAACTATGGTTTTTAATTCCTTTCCAGTCTGAGGTCCTTCTTCCCTACCTCTCTTACCTTAAACTGGCATCTCTTCTAATTTTTCACAATAGACTGTTAATGTACATTGAACACAAAGGCCAAATTATTATCAATCTAAAAACTACCACTCAACCTACAAATTACCTTACAAACAGTGAAGTAAGAAGAAATAGTTGATTTTATCCTTCTAGTGCAACAAAGAAAGACAATGAACATAACCACTAGGTTTATATGTTAATAGAGTCTGAATATTCATTTCTTGCTACAAAAATGAAGTAAGATAGTACAACTTTGAAATGTAAACCTCATATTACAAAGTTCTTTTATGCTGGTTAGTGAGAAGTGCTAATTAACACTCATGTTTTTAGATTATTACAACTATTAAATTTATTTGCAGTAATAATAAATTCATCAGTTATATGAAGGCTTTTTATATGAAAGATTTAGAGCAATTACTTTTCATGTCCACTAAGGATGACAGAAGAGCCCATGGTCTTAAAGGAAACCAGCAATAGTTTAGCTTATACATAATTAAATGGCCCAAAAGACAAGTCTAGGGTGTCATCATAACTAAGGAGGAAAAAGAACATAAAGTGGTCATTCTGATGAGGCTCTAAATTTATTTAGAGTGTGACTTGAGCTTGGCACAGTTTGATAGTCTACTGATATTAGCCTGGATTGAAGAAAAATTATTAAAAACCAGGAAACAAGACAAAAACATGATTGCATGTCCTTTCAATATCACTGGAGCGTTGCCTAATAGGCCCAGGCAAGATGAAGTATGTTTGTTTTACTTACTATTTACTATTGATTAGAACACAGAAACTGCGAAGTTAATTGTTAACTTGTAGCTTTTGGTCCATTAGAAGCAAATGATTTCTGCCAGGTAGAGAAGATCCCAAAGGTTATGGATGTATTGCCTGGCAGGATACTAACTGGTATGTCCAACTTGGCAAGTTAATTTTAACATCCCTTTCCTAACTGACTGTATAAATCTTTATTTCTTCAATTCTGTGTTTGATGCAGCTTTACTATCTTGCTGGTTCCCTCATTAATGAATTAAATAAATCTTTGATTTGTGCTCATTCTAAATTTGTATGAGAGCCCTGCTGTTAATTTTTCGAGAATTATACTTTAACAGTGGGGAATCAAGAGAACTGATTTTCTGGCAAATTAAGTGTGTGTGTGTGTGTGTGTGTGTGTGATATAAGAAGTAGAAATCCACAAAATAGATGTATATATGTCTGTGGTTATATTAAAATAGATGACCTCAGAGTAGAGCAGGAGTGGGTAGTGAGAGGCAAACAACAAAAAAGAAAAAATGAAAGAGAGAAGTATTGAACAAAAAAATACTGCTTTGACAACTCCCCAATATGTATGATTTTACCCCTTAATATAAAATCACATATTTATGTATATGCATAAATTTTTAGAATGTATGAAACACATATATTTGTAGAGCTGTCAAGTGAAAAAGGCAAACAGCAGAGAAAAGAGTGTAAAGTATATATATTATGATTCAATACTGGAGTGTAAACAGAAAATATAAACAAATACCCTGTAGATGTCTATTTATGCTGTATGTGTGTGTATCTATTATCTATCTATCTATCTATCTATCATCTATCTATTATAGATATCTATCTATAGATAGGTAGATGGTTATAAATAACAAGAAAGTTTTGCAAGGAGTCCATACAAATCTATTGGATTTGTAATCAGTTGGAAACCTGACATAGGTGGAATGGAGAATAGAGTAGGGTGGAGAGGAAAGATAATGTCTTCACTTAAATTATCCTTATATTGTTGATTTTGTTAGAAAAAGTGTAAACTTGCTGGAAGACATCAAATAAAAGTTTAAAGTGTATACATGTATAAATAAAAAGTTTTTAGAAATAAAATAAAACTGCTCAGCAGTAATTATAATGTAAGTCAGCATTGCTTTGCAACAAGCTGTGGAATGGGACCCTCTCTGGCCCTCAGTTTCTTCAATTATGAAATGATAAGGAGGGAGTATTTAAACGCTAAAGCATTCAAATTCTATAGTTGGTTGAAAATTGTTTTCTGAGATTTAAATAAACTATGAAATTAACTTTTAAAATGTCAAAAAATAGAAGAAGGATGAATGTACTTAAGTCAAGAAGAAAGGAATGAAAGAAGTAAAGAAGTTAGGAAGTTAAGAAGACAGGGAGGGAAGGAGAAAGAAAGGGCCATTTAGAAAATCTTGATTTGGTGTTTTCGTCGTTTTGCCAGTTTGTATATAGTTGCTGGAACACAATTACTGTTGTAGCCTCTACTTTGCTTTTGTTCAATTATCCTTATGGTGGCAGAGCTTTTGCAACAAAGAGTGTGTTTCTTTTTTTCATGCAAGAATTCACTTCTAAGAAGTAAATTAACTGGTTATTTGGGCATCCATGGACAAGACTTTTTTTTTCTGCTAAAGGTTAGGGGAAATCAACATTTTTCCACTAATCAGTGAAATTTCATAACTGACACACACCTAGAGTAATTATTCTCCCACAGTTGTTTTGTGAACTCCCTCCCCCAGTCTCACTTTTTTTATGTGATTTGTCCAGTTGAATTATGCTAAATATTTTCTGGATTTTCAAAACATTTAAGTAGCTAATTTTTACACAGCCTATTGGGCATTTGCTGACTCAAATTTCCAAGTTAGATGGCTTTTCCTAGCTGATAATTACTTAAGTAAAAGACAAGTAGAAAACTTAGCTTTTATATTTGGTACTTCCATACATCACAAATAATAAATTTTATAGAAAATGAAAGCATGTATTCATTGTGTTAATTAATGGGTAAAAATAGAACCCAAAACTAAAATTAGAAAATTATAGTACACTTGCATACACTTTTACACTGGCATATTAAGTGGATCATGTCATATTTTTATCTACAGTTTTACCCAGATTTCTGGAATACAATGCATTTTTCCTTTGATTTAAGGGTTAAAACTAATGCTACTGGTAATTTCAACACCATCATCCAAGTTCCAGATGTCTCCTTTCAGATACATGCCAAAATTAAATGCAGATTTTGCTAAAACATACAAGCTATTCTTTTAATCTGCAAGCATTTCTAGTTCTTACTAATAAGTTCTTCCATCTTTAATCTACCTTCTACTAATCGTCCACTTATAGCAGCACTCTCCATTGACCCAGCGATTAAACCCTCAACAGTTAATCCTAGATTCAAACACCTAGAGCTACAGGGTTTTTGTTGTTGTTGTTGCTTTTAATACTTTACTAATTCTTAGTAAAGTCTTCCAATTCATTTTCCATTTTCCTGGTGGGAAAAGAGAAACCAATTCACTGCCAAAAGCATTCCATATTAGATACTAAACGAAGTCAGGTAGCAGCTGTCTAATCTAAACTTTGGTGGATAATTAGCAAATCCAATATCCAAAAGAAACAGGTAATTGTTGTGATTCATGAATTTGTTGCCAGGGCAGATATTTTACAGCTCAAATATCTTTCCCTAAAGAAGGAAGCTACCTAGAGCTTTGAGCAGTAAAATACTGTTTTCTCCCTATTTAAAGAGAATTGCTGTTTACTTTGGGGATGTTCTTGGCATTCAGCTACTTTTTTCTTCCTCTTCTTCATATTTTTTCTTGATGATGTTCAGAAAACCTATGAAGTATAAAACTTCATTCAGGCAGAAATTCCAACTATTCATCATTGCTTTGATTCATCAGAGTCCAGGAGGACACTGTAGACTGGAATAGTGTGATTTGCAAAGAGGAGTCACTAACACATTGGGATACCGTAACATGAGGTAAAAACATTTTGTCTATTTGAGGTCGATTTAAGGTAGAGCTTTCCAAATGAGAGAAATCTAACAAAGCACTCCTTCCAAAGACAAAAAAGTGAAGTAAGGTTTTTTCATCATGCTTTTGGATATTTACTCCATTGCATGCTCCCCACTTCTATTCCAATTTTCTTGTCTCTCTCACATGCCCAGTTCTCTTGGCACACACTTTCTTCTCTCCTTACACCACCCCGGCTTTCCTACCCTGCCTAAGCTGTGATACTACCTTATTCTTTAAGACACTTTTCTGCCTTTTCTGGTCTGATAAATGCATCTGTGTGTACATATCATTAGAAAGAAATGCCCCTTTGGAACTTCTAATCATTCTGGTCAGTTTTAAATACAAACATGAGAAAATGTTATACAAATTTCAGACCTTCTAAAAAAAAAACTTGATGTCCAGGATTGAAGGGGTTTCTCCCATCCAAAGATAGAACTATCTTTTCCCCTGGCCATTGCTTTTGGAGCCCTGGATAGTTCTCTCCTAAGTCTTATATCCTCTCCAAAGGGCCTTCATATTGCTTGAAGTTCAAAGCAAGTAAGGAAACAGCTTCTGTTTTGTTTTCTCTTTGCCGTCTTTTCCTAAAACTCACACCATTTTTAATGTCTTGGTAAATATATGTAACAGTGTGTGTGGAAAGAAATGGGGAGGGAGAAGAGGCAGGTTGAATGACATGAGTGATTCAAAAATAGTGAAAGAGAAAAAAGACATTTTCTGAAATATGATCTTGGATCTTCAATGGACGAATATTTTTAAAATCCTAGTTTACTTTTTGTGGAATAGAATCTAAAGGATAAACCAATTTCCAAATTATATGCCAAAATAGAAAAATTACCATACCAAATAGAAGCCAAATTGAACACTTAATTGTATAATTACAAAATATGTATTACATTTGCTTTTCTTCATGTTTGAAGAAACTCCTGTTGGAAAATTGGATACTCTGAGTTAAGAACAAAAACAACAGTGAGACATCTAACATTTATAAGTGCTTACTATGTGTAAGGCATAATTATTTTCCTTTTTATTTTGAAACATTTTAAAGTTACAAAAGAATTGAAAGAAAACATGTTCATAAAGTCAAAAAGTCTTAGCAACTAACACCAGCATTCCTCTTAAGGAGAATTTTTTTTTTTTTTTTTTTAGTTTGTGTTTTTTGGTGGAAGTTTCAGAATATTATAACTACCTTGAGAACATGATGTAAAGAGGAAAAAGGCAAAGAGGGAAAAAGTGGGGGGCGGGGGTGAGAAGAGAGAGAGAGAGAGAGAAGGCTTCCATGAAAAAATCAAGAAGAATGGTAGTAGTAAGAAAGAATGAAGAGAAATGAAGGGACACTGAGGGGAAAAAAGAATTGACCAAACCATAAAGTAGAATTAAAGTAAGAATTTGAAAAATGAGGATGTCTAATATCCAATTTAACCTGTTTGGATACAACAGGCATTTTTATTTTTATTAAATCAGAGACAGGCCAGAGGTCAATATCTTTCCTTGAAATTATGAAATAACATGGACTTTGAAGTTAGAGAGTCCTGAGTTCCAGTCTCATGTTCCAATTCTTGACTTCTTATAAGTCATGTCACCATGATCAGGTTGCTCAGTTTCTGTAAGTTTATTTCCTTAGATGTATACAAGTGAAATCACATTTTATAATAATTCTAATAAGTGACAGGCATCAAGTGACATCTGCTCTATGGCAAGTATTCAATAAATAGTCATTCCCTTTCTGTTATGTTGTATTCTGTATAATTCAGGTGAATAGAAGCCCAGTGAAGGGTTTCCTTGTGGGGTGCAGAGTCAAGTGAAAGTACTGGAGGAGTGTATGAATTAAGTTTTTCAAGGACTTCGATGTCTCAAAAGTGTAAAAAACATAAAATTCATCAAAATTTGGTGCCAGATCTAGTTTTATAAATTATTAATTAACAGCAACTATAATACTACTGTTATAGTCCTGCCAATGCACCACAATGTAGCAGTCCCTCATTGTAAGGTATCATCTGGAATTCTTTGTCTCATGACCAAGAGAATTAAGAAGCGTGAACAAAAAAGTGTGAGGTTGGAGCAAAAGTTTAATAAGTGAAAGAAGAAAACTCTCTGCCATGGAGTGGGGGTGCAGAAGAGGGTTGCTGTTTTTACAGTTTAATGCAAAGGCTTTTATAAGAAACCCATGAGGGCTCTGTGTCTCATTTGCATAAGGTGTAAATTTCTGGTAGCTCCACCTTGTCCTCGTAATGTACATGCTGGCCCTTGGCTTGAGTTACTTCATATTGCTTTCTTCTTCTTACTGCGCATGTGTCAGGGGATGGAATTTTTTGACTTACCCAGACATTGCAAGCATGTCTGGGTAAGTCACCTGTGTAGCCTTTCTTATCTGTGACGCTACAGGCATGTCTTAGGCAAGCCCCCCTGTGCAAGTTCCCCTATCTGTGCCTGCAGGCTGTTCTTTTGTTTGAAAGAATTCAATTGAGGATCCACCCTAACTTCCTGCCGCACCAGTTTCTTCCTGCTCCTCTCTCACTATTAATATGTAAATCATATTATATATGACTTCATTTATTATTATTTTCTAACTCTTTATTTTTGGAAGAATTTTAACTCTACAGAAAAGTTGAAAGAAAAGTACTCTTCCTTTATATGTCCTTATATATTTCTCTATATCAGTGGTTCTCAACTAGGGGTGATTTTGCCTCCCAGGGGACATTCAGCAATGTCTGGAGACATTTTTGGTTGTCACAATTGAGGATGCTACTTGCATCTGGTCGGCAGAGGCCATGAGTGCCAACAAATATCCTACAATTCACAGAACAGCCTCCCCCTACAACAAAGAATTAAAACAATGTCAATAGTCCTGAAGTTCAGAAACCCAGATTTAGATTCACTCATATAGTCTTTCTCTATTAGGTTGAACCATATACAATTGTTGATATACAACTATTTTAGGTGTGAAACAATGTCAATTTCAAATGAAATATTTTACACATTCGCAGCACTTTTGATATTTGTTTGTGTGTATTCAATCTATTTTTGCTGAACCATTTTAAAGTAAGTTACAGACATATTTCACTCTTAAGTACTTTAGCATTTATTTAAGAACAAAGATAGTTTCCTACATAAGTGCAACATAATTATCAAAATCAAGATATTTAGGATAAATAAAATTATAGTTAATAGGCCATATTACAACGTTCCCAACTGTCCCCCCAAATGTCACTTATACTCCCTCCCTACTTCCAATCCAGTACTCAATCAGTTCGTCTCATTATTGGTAGGACTACTCTTAATGAAAAACTTTACTGGGATCCCAAAATTGTGAAGTTTCCGTGTTTGCAGAAGTTGTAAAACTAGAAGTGCCAAGCAGATGGAGATGACAGAAAGATCTTAAAAGGTTGTTTAAGTGGGCTGACAAGTGGCAGATGAATTTTAATGCAGACAAGGGTGAGATAATACTCCTAAGGATTATTTTGCATTTGGATTTCAAAAACCCTAATTAAACTTCTTAATTTTTTCCTTTTTAACTGAGAGTTTTGTACCAAGGCTACTTAAAGAACAAGGACAAAAGAAGTCTTTAAAAGATTACTCATTCCTCTCTCCAGCTCTATTTGTTCAGAAAATTAACACCAGAAAAGGAAGCTGTGTAAAGGAGGGAACTTATGCCTGTTTTAGCTGGTTCTTGAAGTAATAAATTCCAATTCTGATAGCTAATATTACAAACCTGTACAGTTTTCCTACGCTCAGAGGTGAATGAATGAAACACTTGAGCATCATCAGTGAGACTGATCTGTATGTGTTGGCATACTTAAGGTTTGTATTCTCTCAGTTGAATGTAGGCTGAATTATTAACTGATAGGTCTTGATCTATCCATTCTAGCTGTTAAACTCTTACCAAAGATGGGGGTCTTGTCTTCCTCCATCAATGTGTGGGTCTTCCATTTTCTCTGTAATCTGGCCTCCTGGCATTGATAGCAAATTTTCTTTTAGTATTTCAGATAATTTCTTAATAGCTCTCCCATCCACACCAACCACTGGAAATAGCATTTCTAACAAGGGCTCTTTTATCATCTTAGTTTGCATAGTATGCATATATGTATATATGTATTCTATGAAAACATTTTAGGTGTACATATATACTATAATATAAATAAATTTCTATTTTTTGGTTATCCTAAAAATAAACCACACTCATAAGCAGCATTTTTTATGGTCTTTCAAATTTACCATTACAAAATATTATAGGTAAAGGCCAATACAATTTAATGGGGAAAAAGAAGAGTGTTTTAAACAAATGGTGTTGGGACAACTGAATATCTACATGCAAAAGCACAAATTTCGACCCCTACCTTATACCATACATAAACATTAATTCAGAGTGGGCCACAGACTTAAATGTAAGAGCTAAAATGATAAAGACCTTAGACAAACATACAGGAATACATCTTCATAATCTTGGGTTAGGTAATAATTTCTTTGATGTGATACCAAAAGCACAGGTGATAAAAGGGAAGAATGATAATTTGGACCTCATTAAAATTTAAAACACTTTTGCTTCAAGGAATACCATCAAGAAAGTGAAAAGACGATCAATGTAATGAAAGAAAATATTTGCATATTATATATCTGATAAGAGACTTATATCCAGAATATATAAAGAATTATTGGCTAGGCAAGCTACCAATGACTTCCTTCACAGAATTGGAAAAAAACTACTTTAAAGTTCATATGGAACCAAAAAAGAGCCCGCATTGCCAAGTCAATCCTAAGCCGAAAGAACAAAGCTGGAGGCATCATGCTACCTGACTTCAAACTATACTACAAGGCTATAGTAACCAAAACAGCATGGTACTGGTACCAAAACAGAGATATAGACCAATGGAACAGAACAGAGCCCTCAGAAATAATACCACACATCTACAACTATCTGATCTTTGACAAACCTGAGAAAAACAAGCAATGGGGAAAGGATTCCCTATTTGATAAATGGTGCTGGGAAAACTGGCTTGCCATATGTGAAAGCTGAAACTGGATCCCTTCCTTACACCTTATACAAAAATTAATTCAAGATGGATTAAAGACTTCAATGTTAGACCTAAAACCATAAAAACCCTAGAAGGAAACCTAGGCAATACCATTCAGGACATAGGCATGGGCAAGGACTTCATGTCTAAAACACCAAAAGCAATGGCAACAAAAGCCAAAATTGACAAATGGGATCTAATTAAACTAAAGAGCTTCTGCACAGCAAAAGAAACTATCATCAGAGTGAACAGGCAACCTACAGAATGGGAGAACATTTTTGCAATCTACTCATCTGACAAAGGGCTAATATCCAGAACCTACAAAGAACTCAAACAAATTGACAAGAAAAAAACAGACATCCCCATCAACAAGTGAGCAAAGGATATGAACAGACACTTCTCAAAAGAAGACATTTATGCAGCCAACAGACACATGAAAAAATGCTCATCGTCACTGGCCATCAGAGAAATGTAAATCAAAACCACAATGAGATACCATCTCACACCAGTTAGAATGGCGATCATTAAAAAGTCAGGAAACAACAGGTGCTGGAGAGGTTGTAGAGAAATAGGATCACTTTTACACTGTTGGTTGGACTGTAAACTAGTTCAACCATTGTGGAAGATAGTGTGGCCATTCCTCAAGGATCTAGAACTAGAAATACCATTTGACCGAGTCATCCCATTACTGGGTATATACCCAAAGGATTATAAATCATGCTGCTATAAAGACACAGGCACATGTATATTTATTGCGGCACTATTCACAATAGCAAAGACTTGGAACCAACCCAAATGTCCATCAATGATAGACTGGATTAAGAAAATGTGGCACCTAGACACCATGGAATACTATGCAGCCATAAAAAAGCATAAGTTCATGTCCTTTGTAGGGACATGGATGAATCTGGAAACCATCATTCTCAGCAAACTGTTGCAAGGACAAAAAACCAAACACCACATGTTCTCACTGATAGGTGGGAATTGAACAATGAGAACACTTGGACACAGGAAGGGGAACATCACACACCATGGCTTGTTGTGGAGTAGGGGGAGGGGGGAGGGATAGTGGGGGGAGGGGGGAGGGATAGTTGGGGGAGGGATATTAGGATATATACCTAATGCTAAATGACAAGTTAGTGGGTGCAGCACACCAACATGGCATATGTCTACGTAAGCAACAAACCTGCACGTTGTGCACATGTACCCTAGAACTTAAAGTATAATAAAAAAAATTAAAGAATTTTTGTCTAGGCGTGGTGGCTCACACCCATAATTCCAACACTTTGGGAGGACAAGGTGGGTGGGTCACCTGAGGTCAAGAGTTGGAGACCAGCCTGGCCAGCATGATGAAACCCCATCTCTACTAAAAAAACAAAATCTAGCCAGGCGTGATGTTGGGTACCTGTAATTCCAGCTACTTGGGAGGCTGAGACAGGAGAATCACTTGAACCTGGGAGGCAGAGGTTGCAGTGAGCTGAGACCATGCCATTGCACTCAGCCTGGGCAACAAGAGCGAAACTCCATTTCAAAAAAAAAAAAAAAAAAAAAATTATTACAGCTAAACAATAAGAAGTCAGGGGCTGTTTCAGCAAGGTGGTGGAATAGGAATTCTCCAGTTCCACTTCCCCCAACAGAAATCCAGCTAGAAACTATCCACAGACAAGAATACCCTAGTGAATATCTTAGAACTCAGGAGTGAGGCTGGGATACCTCCATAGACCACAGAACTGAGAACAGCAGCACATAAAGGTTAAGAGGAGCAACTTTAATTTCACTTAGACCATACTGCCCCTCCCTCAATCCAGCACAGCAGTTTGCTGAGACTCCACTGTTTTTACAGAAGAAGAGAGTTGAAGGTGAACATTCAGCTTCCCTACCAGTCTGGGACCCTTCTCAGGAGGTACTCTCTTGTCTCCCTGCCACACACATAGGAAACATTGGTGGTACAGGCAGCACTAGATCACCTGGGGTCAGTTAGAATCAAAGTACAAGGATGGTGCTCACAGAAACTAATGTAAGGATATTGGCAGTTGCTCGGCATTCCAGCCAGTTGGAGGCATACCATCAGAGAGGCTAGCCAACAATATTGTGTTGCAGGAAGCACGGCTGATGGTTCTCCTAGGCTGGAATCCTTGACTGCTACTACACCCAGCCCTAGCGCTCTCCTTGAAACTTCCCCAGGCCATAAGATAGGGGCAAGTCAGTGATTATTTGCACAAGGAGCCTCTGGTATTGCTTGGTCTCAGTTGCCAAGCTTCAACCCAGCCAAGCCCCAGTGAGCTCCTCAACCCTTCCCTAGCCTGGAAAACAGGGGGAAAGTGGTGATTAGCTTTGGAGGAAGCATCTGGCCCTGCCCAAACTCAGTGGCCAAGTGGCTAAAATATCAAGCCTTGATGATCTGCTTAAGGTTACCTAGAAAAGGAAGCAAGCCCTCCTTGTATCTGTGGAGCATAGCCTCCGCCCTACCCACCCTGAGTGGTTGAGTAGCAATCCCAGAGATCTGGCTCTGCCTTGGAGTCCAGCACATGGCCCTACCAAACTACAGATCTCAAATGATAGTACTGGTTGCCCAGGGAAGAAAACCTACAACATAGCCTGATCAGGGGTGATAGCAGATCCTAGATAGTAGCTCTGCCTCACTGCAAGAGTTCAGCCTGTGATTTCACCAGACTATGGAGAACAGCCTGCATTTCCACTTGACCCAGAACATAGTTAACAGCTCATCCCAATTAGAGAACACCACAGCAAAGTCTGTCTGTCTGGGTTTGCCACCAACTGGCTCAATTAGAATCACAGGCTAGACTACATAGTGAATGTCCACTGCTACCAAAGGCTAGAAGAGTTGTCTGTTTCCTCAAATATGCAGACAACAACACAAGGACACAATAATAAAAAATTAGGACAATACGGCACCACCAAAAGAAACTAATAAACCTCTAATAACAGACTCTAAAGAAAAGGAGATCTATGAAATGACTGACAAACTATTCAAAATAATCCTCTTAAAGAAGTTCAGGGAACTATAGGAAAATGCAGATAGAAAATTAAATAAAATTGCAAAACAATTCTTTAACAAAAAGAGAAGTTTGACAAAGAAATAAAAACAATTAAAAACCTAAATAGAAATGTTAGAGGCAAAGAATACAATCATTGAACTGCAAAATTTAATAGATTCAAGAGCAGACCTGATCAAGCAGAAGAAAGCATCAGTGAACTAGAAGATGGGATATTTAAAATTATTTAGTCAGAGGGGTCAAAAGAAGAAAAAGAATAAAAAAAGAAAAGGTCTCATGGGAATTACGAGACAACATCAACAGAACTAACCGATGCATATTAAGAGTCACTGAAACAACAGAGAAAAAATACCAGAAAAAGATGATAACATCCAGGTACAGAAAGTTCAGAGGTCTCCAATCAAATTCAACTCAGAGAAATTCAAAAGGATACATCGTGATGAAATTATCAAAAGACAAAGACAAAGAAAGAATACTGAAAGCAGCAATAGATAAGAAACACAATCACATTTAAAGAAGTCCCAATATCAGAGGATTTCTTAGCAGAAACACTGGAGGCCAGGAGAGAATGGGATGATAGATTCAAAGTGCTGAAGGAAAGAAACCAAGCATCAAAGAATACTTTGCCTGGCAAAGCTGTCATTCAAAAATGAGGGACAAATAAAAACACCCAGATAATCAAAAGCTAAGACAATTCATCACCATTAGGCCCATACAACAGGAATTGCTAAGGAAGTTTATTAAGTTGAAATGAGCAGCTGATAACTAATAATGTAAAACAAACGAAAATAAAAAAAACAGGCCAGGCGCGGTGGCTCATGCCTGTAATCCCAGCCCTCTGGGAGGCCAAGGCGGGTGGATCACGAGGTCAGGAGATCAAGACCATCCTGGCTAACATGGTGAAACCCCGTCTCTACTAAAAATACAAAAAAAATTAGCCGGGCGTGGTGGTGGGTGCCTGTAGTCCCAGCTACTCGGGAGGCTGAGGCAGGAGAATGGCGGGAACCCGGTAGGCAGAGCTTGCAGTGAGCCGAGATCCCACCACTGCGCTCTAGTGAGACTCCGTCTCAAAAAAAAAAAAAAAAAAAAGAAAAAAACTAAATGGCATATGGAATACATAGTCATATTCAGAATACTTTAAAACTATAAACATTGTGTGTATAACAATTTTATTTTTACTACTAGGGTTAAAAAGATAAAACTATTAAAAACAACTGTAGTTATAATAAATTGTTAAGTATGATGCTAGGAAAACTGAATATTCACATGCAGAATAATGAAACTAGACCCCTATCTGTCAGAATATACAAAAAAAAACACCTCTAAATTGATTAAAGACTTAAATGTAAGACCCAAAACTATGAAAGTACTAGAAGAAAACATAGGGGAAATGCTTCATTACATTGGACTGGGCTAGAATATATTATATATATATGCAATTGACCATTGAACCACATGGGGGGAATTAGCGGTACTGACTCCTTATGCAGTAGAAAAATTTGTATATAGCTTTTGACTCCTCCAAAACTTAACTACTAATAGCCTACTCTTGACTAGAAGCCTTACTGATAAGATACACAGTCAATTAACACATATTTTATATGTTATATGTATTATATACTGTATTCTTAGAATGAATCAAGCTAGATAATATAAAATCTTATTAAGAAATCTATAAGAGAGAGAAAATATATTTATTCACTAAGTGAAAGGTCTTCATCCTCATCTTCTTCATCTTGAGTAGGCTGAGGAGGAGAAATAAGAGGAGGGGTTGGTCTTGCTGTGATTTCAGGATGGCAGAGGCAAAAGAAGATCCTTGTATAACTGTCTCTGCACAGTTCAAATGTGGTTTAAAGGGCAACTGTACATTGGAATACTATTCAGCCATAAAACAGAATGAAATCCTGTAATTTGCAGTTACATGAATGAACCTGGATGACATTATATTAAGTGAAATAAGCCAGGCACAAAAAGATAAATAGTGCCAATTCTCATTCATACATAGAATTTAGGAAAGTTGATCTCATAGAAGTAAAGAGTAGAATAGTGGTTACCAGAGGCTGGTGAGGGTACGGAGGAGGGAAGAATGGAAAGAGGTTGGTCAACAAATGTGAAGTTATAGTTTGACAGAAAGAATAAGTTATGGTGTTCTGTTGCACAATAGGGCAACTATAGATAATAGTAATGTATTGCATATTTCAAGATAGCTAAGAGAGAGGATTTTGAAAGCCATCACCACAAATAAATTATAAATGTTTAAAGTGATAGATATGCTAATTACCCTGATATAATCGTCATACAATATATGCATGTATTGAAACAGCTCACTGTACTAGGCATATAGTATAGTTATTATGTGTCAATTATAAGTAAAACAAAAATAAATTGTTAAGAAATACAAATGATAAAAAAGTAAATTTTGACAGTAAAGCATAAAAGGTGGGGGGAAGGAGTGAAAGTGTAGAGTTCTGTTTGCAATTAAAGTTAAGTTGTTAACAGCTTAAAATAACCTATTTGAAGTTTAAGATTTTATTTTATTTTTATTTATTTTTTTTTTTTGGAGACAGAGTCTCACTGCTCTGTCGCCCAGTCTGGAGTGCAGTGGCATGATCTCGGTTCACTGCAACCTCTGCCTCCCAGGTTCAACTGATTCTCCTGCCTCAGCCTCCCGAGTAGCTGGGATTACAGGTGCATGCCACCATGCCTGGCTAATTTTTTTATTTTTAGTAGAGACGGGGTTTCACTGTGTTAGCCAGGATGGTCTCAATCTCCTGACCTAGTGATCCACTCGCCTTGGCCTCCCAAAGTGCTGGGATTACAAGTGTGAGCCACTGCACCCAACCTTAAGATGTTTTATATAAGCCTCATGTTAACCACAAAGCAAAAACCTATGGTAGATGCATAAAATATAAAAAAGATTTAAAGCAGATCACCACAGAAACCATCAGACTATAAGACAGTGAGAGGAAGAAAAAACAAAGAATCTACAAAACAACCAGAGAACAAATTACACAATGGCAGTAGCAAGTTCTTACCTATCAATAATTACCTTGAATCTAAATGGATTAAATTCAGTCAAAAGACATAGAGTGGCTGAATGGATTTAAAAAAAAAAAGGAAAAAAAAAACAACAAAAAAAAAAACCCAGAAGCTCCAACCATATGCTGCCTACAAGAGACTCACTTCACTAGTAAGGATACACATAGACTAAAAGTGAAGGGATAAAAAAAGATATTCCATGAAACTGAAAACCAAAAGAGAGCAGTGATAGCTATACTTATATCAGATAAAATAGATTTTAAGTAAAAAAAAAACTATAAAAAGAGATAAAGAAGGCCATTATGTAATGATAAAGGGATCAATCATCAAGAAGAAACAACAATTGTAAATAAATACATACCCTGACATTGGAGGACCTAAGTATATAAATTATTAAATGCTCTGAAAGGAGAGATAGATTGCAATACAGTAATAGTTGGGCACCTCAGTACTCCATTTGTAACAATGGACAGATCATCTAGAAAAAAATCAATAAGAAACACTGGACTTGAATTATACTTTAGATCAAATGAACCTAACAGATATATATAGAACATTCAATTCAACAGCAACAGAATACATTTTCTTCTCAAGTGCAGATAGGACATTCTTCAGGCTAGATTGTTAGACCACAAATCAAGTCTTAACAAATTTAAAAGGACTGAAATTATATCATGTATATTTTCTGATCACATGTCATGAAACTAGAAATCTATAACAGGAGAAATCTTGGAAAATTTACAAATATGGAGATTAAATAACATGCTTCTACATAACCAATGAGTCAAAGAAAAAATGAAAAAGGAAATAAATAATACCTCAAGACAAACAAAAATGAAAGCGCAGCATGCCAAAACTTATGGGATGCATCAAAAGCATTCCTAAGAAGGAAATTTATAGCAATAAATGCCAATATCAAAAAAGAATAAAAACCGCAAATAAAAAATCTAATGTTATACTTCAAGGAACCAGAAAAAGAATAAGAATACCAAATTTAGCCCAAAATTAGTAGGAAGAAGGAAATAACAAAGATCACAGACTCTATTTCTAAATGAAATAGAGTCTAGAAAAGCAATAGAAACCAACACAACTAAGAGTTCATTTAGATAAAAGATAAAATAGACAAACCCTTAGCTAACCTAACTAGGAAAAAATAACACATAAATAAAATTAGAATGAAAGTAGAGATATTACAACTGATACCACAGAAATACAAAGGTTTATAGGAAACTATTGTAAACATTTAGACACCAAAAATGGATAATCTAGAAGAAATGGATACATTTCTACACCTGTACAACCCACCAAAGCTGAATCATGAAGAAATAAAACACCTAAGCAGACTAATAATGAATAAAGAGATTGAATCAGTAATAGTCTGCCATCAAAGAATTCAGCTTCGCAGCTGAGTTCTACCAAACATTTGGAAAACTAATACCAATAGTTCTCAAACCTTTCCAGAAAACTGAAGAAGAGGGAATATTTTCAAACTCATTTTATTTTGATTTTCTTTAATTTTTTGAAATTTTAAATTATTATGGATACATACTTGGCTTTGGCATTTTCTAAACACATTTTATGAGGCCAACATTAGCCTGATATCAAAGCTAGGAAAGGACACTACAAGAAAGGAAAATTATAGGTCAATATAATTGATGAAGACAGATGCAAAAATGCTTACCAAAATACTAGCAAACTAAATTCAATGACACCTTAAAAAAATGATTAACTGTAATCAAGTGGGATTTATTCCTAGGATGCAAGGATGGTTCAACATATGCAAGTCAATAAATGTGATTCACCATGTTAATAAAATGAAGAAAAAAATGATCATCTCAATAGATGCAGAAAAGACATTTGACAACATCCAACTCCCTTTCGTGATTAAATTTTTCAAGACAACAGATATAGAGGTAATGTACCTTAACAAAATAAAGCCATATATAACAAACCTGTAGCTAACGTCATATTCAACAGTGAAAAGTTGAAAGCTTTTCCTCTAAGATTAGGAACAAAGACAACCATGCCCATTCCTACCACCTCTTTTCAACATAGTTCTGGAAGTCCTAGCCAGAGCAATTAGGCAACAGAAAGAAAAGCCATCCTAATGGGAAAGAAGAAAACTTGTTTGATGACGATGTGATCTTATATATAGAAAATCCTAATCTCAAAATCTACTAGAATTGATAAGCAAATTCAGTAAAGTTGCAGGATACAATATCAACATAAAAAAACAGTAGCATTACTATGCACTTAATAACAAGCTATTTGAAAAGAAAATTAAGAAAACAATCCCATTTTTTAATAGAAACAACAAAAATAAAATAATTAGGTGCAAATTTAACTAAGGAGGTGAAAGATGTACTGAAAATTATAAAACACTAAAAAATTTGATGAAAATACAAATAAATGAAATGATATCTTGTGTTCATGCATTGGAAGAATTAATATTGTTAAAATTTCCATGCTACCCAAAGCAATCTACAGGTTCAATGCAATTTCCAATGTCATTTTTCACTTTGTTATTTTTTCACAATGACACTGGAAATTTTTCACACTTTACACAAACAGAAAAAAAAAACCTTAAATGCATATGGAATCACAAAGACACCAAATAGCTGAAACAATCTTGAGCAAAAGGAATAAAGCGGGCAACATCATACTACCTGACTTCAAAATATATTATAAAGCAATTATAATGAAAACAGCATGGTACTGGTGTAAAAACAGACAAATCAACCAGTTTAACAAGACAGAAGGCCCAGAAATAAACCCACACATTTACAATCAATTGGTTTTTGACAAAGGTGCCAAGAACACATAATGGGGCAATTACAATCTCACATAAATGATGCTGGGAAAAATGGTTATCCACATGCAGAAAAATAAAATTGGACCCTATATTATACCATGTACAAAATAACTCAAAATGGATTAAAGACTTAAATGTAAGACCTGAAACTGTAAACTACTAGTAGAAAACAGGGGAAAAGCTCCATGCTATTGGTCTGGGCAAGGATTTTTGAATATCATCCTGAAAGCTCAGGCAACAACAGTGAAAATAGACAAATGGGATTGTATCAAACTGAAAAGCTTCTGCACAGCAAAAGAAACAATTACCAAGGTGAAGAGACAACCACAGAGTGGGAAAAACGTATTTGTAAACCATACATCTGATAAAGGGTTAATATCTAAATATATAAGGAACTCAACTCAATAGCAAGAAAACAAATAACCTGATTAAATGATAAGCAAATGACTTGAACAGACACTTCTCAAAAGACATTCAGATGGACAAACAGGTTCATGAAAAAATGCTCAGAAATACTAATCATTAAGGAAATACAAATTAAAACCACAACGAGATATCTCACATCTATTAGAATGGCTCTTATTGCAAAGATGAAAGTTAACAAGAGTTGGGGAGGATGTGGAGAAAAGGGAACACTGATACACTATTGGTAAGAATATTAATTAGTACAGCCATTATGGAAAATGGTATGGAGCTTCCTCAAAAAACTAAAAATAGTTATATAATCCAGCAATCCCACTTGAGGAGATACATTGAAAAGTATCCAAATCAGTATTTTGAAGAGATATCTGCCCTTCCATGTTCACTGTAGCATTATTAACAATAGCCAAGATATGGAATCAACCTAAGTGTCAATCAACAGATGAATGGGTAAAGAAAATGTAGTATATATACACAATAAAATATTCAGCCTTCAAGAAGAATGAAATTCTGTCATTTGGGACAACACAGATGAATCTAGAGCATATTATGTCAAGTGAAATAAGCCAAGCACAGAAAGACCAATACCTCATGATCTCACTTATGTATGGAATCTAAAAAAGTTAAATTTATAGAAGTGGAGAGAAAATGGTTGTGACCAGAGGATGGGCTTTGGGAGAACGAGGGGGTGCAAAGTTACTGGACAAAGGGCGCAAAGTTTCAGCTGGACAGGAAGAATAAATTTTGAGCTCTATTGCACAGCAGTGTGACTATAGTCAATAACAATGTATTGTAAATTTCCAATGTATCACCACAAAAAATGTCAAGCAAGGTGCTAGCTGTGTTGATTAGCTTGATTTACTTACTTCAGATTGTATACATATATCAAAACATCACATTGTATGCTATAAATGTAATACAATTATGATTTGGTAATTAAACATAATAAAAATGAAAATAAAAAGACAAGTAAACTAATATTAAAATGGGCAAAGGATTTGAATAGACATTTCTTCAAAGATACACAAGTGTCTGATAAGCTCATAAAAAGATGTTCAACATCATTAATCATTAGGGAAATGCAAATCAAAATCATGAGGTGTCACCTCACACTTACTGGAATGGCTATAATAAAAGACAGAAAATAACAAATGTTGACAAGTAGTTAAGAGAAATTGAAATCCTTATACATTGCTGGTGGGTGTGTAAAATGGTTCACCCACTTTGATAAAGAGTTAAAATACCTCAAAATGTTAAACATAAATTTACCATATGATCCAGCCATCCTACTTCCAGCTATCTACTTAAGAGAAATAAAAACACACATCTACATAAAAGCTTGTATGCTGTTCATAGCAGCATTTTGTATAATAGCCGCAAATTTGGAGCAACCTAAATGTCTAACAACTGATGAATGTATAAACAAAATGTGGTATGTGCCCCACATAATGTTTTCAGAATTAAAAGAGATACTATGTGAAGCTGCATATAGTAGAAGGCACTGTGGGGTGTATGTGTGTGCGTGTGCATCTGTGTGTGTGTGTTTTCTTTTACTACACCAGAGAGTGATGGGTTCAGGAGAAACATTAAGTTGCTTATAGGAAATGCAGATCCAATGCAGTGTGAGGAAGTTTTCAACTCTGTCTCTAAAATTAGAACTGCCTAAGACTATACTGCTAATAAGAGGTATGGTTATGATGCTGAAGTGTATATTTAATTTCTGAGTACTGCAGCCAGTGAATTTCCATAGAAAGGCACCTAAAATGAGAAGACAGATGTAATGTGTGGAAGAATTAAAAAGACTGCTTTTCCCCCCTGGGGAGTTGAAGATTTGAAGGAGACATGATTTAAATTTATAAGTCTGGAAATGGATGTGCAAGATAAAAAATCGAGTTGTTTATTAAATCTCAAAACATTAAAAAATAAGCAGGTGAGAACCAGAATTACTACCCAGAGCAGAAACCAATCTTTTCACTGTGTGAAACACCAAGAGATGGTAACGGGCAGAGAAATACACGAACTCTGCTAGGTTGTGCATGCTTTTCTCGATGACTGAGGCTCGCTGGAGAAGCTGGGATTGCTCTGCCCTTGTAGGGTGACCTTAAACAGCACATCCAAGCTCTTCCAGGTACATCCCTAGGGGTCACTTTCAAACACAGAATACTAGACTGCATGAACCAGGAGTGCCATCCTTTGGGGCATTTGTTCTCAACTAAAGATATGAAAGCATGACCCTATTATAGAAGCTGTTCTTTTTCTTCTAGATACTGATTTTGTCTTCTAACATCATTTTGAATCTCTTTTAAATAAACTTGTCAGAAGCTGCTTCATGCATAGCAGTTGGAAGTATTTTTACTCTAATCAAAGGGCAATTGCTGAAACAGACTGTCTAAAGTTACTTTCTAAACATTCCTTTCACCTTCTTGTCTCCAGCTCAACTTCCACTCTCCCAACAGAATTCTGCAAAAACTTTCTCTTTTTTTGCTTTGGTAGTTTTGTTAATACCACTTAAAACAATCGAGCTGAAGGAGCAATGCAGCCTCCTTCCCTCTCTCAAGTTTTTGAGTTCTGGGAGTCCTTACAGGTATCCATTCTTCACCTGGGGCTAATGGAGCAGCAGAAGCATCACCTGCTAAGCAGGTGGAAAGCCCCGACTGTCAGTGTTTGGGGGGAGTATTGGTCCTCAATACGGACTATAATGAAAACTTCAAAATTACTTTCCACCAGTGGCTACAATGAAGGGCTCTGGGATTTGAGCTTCTCTTTGAGAGAGCAGTGTTTCAACAGAAGAGCTACCCGGTGGACTGATGAAGGTAGGGAGAGGCCACATCTTTTCAACAGTGCTTCAAAGCCTGTCCAGGTTCATTCGCTTTATGTACTCCAAAATGAATTCCATTCGCAGCTGGAATGTTTAGTATCAGCAGGGCCAATAGATTTTTCCACTACGCTCAGCCCTAGTGTCCATGTTCCCATTAAACACATCTAATTCAAAAGCCAAGGGAGGCGCATACATCTCAAGCCTACTCTCAGCTTAATTCCCTCTGTCTTTTTAAAAGCTGCTCTTCCAGAATGAATTATAAATCAACAACAGCAAATTTTCACATGGAACTGTTTATGTGTTTTTAAAGAGGAGCTTCTGGGAAGAAGCCGAAAGAAGATTTAATAAATGGAGAAACTGTGAAGCTTCCAAAGCACATAAGTAAAATTAAGAGACAAGATGTGACTCAAGATATCAGGAGATACAGCGCAATGATGGGTACCTTCATGGGTAGATGTGATGCACAGAGCCGCCTTTTCAGCTTCCAGGCAGGCAGTGAGGGTGGTTTTCTCACTTCTGCTGAGCCTTGAGCAACGCTGCCCTGCTCTGAATCATGGAGGCTCAGACTATGGCTTAAGGGCAGGATCTAGGCAGAACCACCACCTAGGCAATTTCGATGGCCATCTGCCTCCTGCCCCTGAAATTGCTCTTATGGGTACTCTTCTCTCTACTCACCTTTGATTTACGCTTCTTGCCTGCCCTCCCTAGCACCTCTCCGGGCATCTTTGGTCATTTGATTATTTTTCACGGTATCCTTTCTATTTTAACAAATTTCTAACTGTCTTATTTTCTGCACCACCGCTCTCCCCATATTTAAAGCTTTACCTCTATTTTCAGTGCCCAGGCTTTTCTGGAGAAGCTGGGACTCCAAATTTCTTGCTTTAAAGGGGTCATGCCATGGAAGCTTCCATCTGCCAAGTTGAAGGATGAAGTGAATGTGTAGTCCTTTGTGATCAGAGTCTCTGTGGAGCAAGCCAGTATTGGTCAAAGTCTGGTCCACAAACGAGTGCCCACCTTTCAACTATAGGTTACTGCTCTGTAATGAGACAGTAAAGAAATCAAGAGTAAGAATATCACAATCTTATAGCAATCTGGAATTGCCACAGCATCTCAGTATGCAGTTATTTTCCTAATAATTCATTTTCAATTTATTTTATAAAAGTATCAGTTTGTGTCCAGGCGTGGTGGCTCACACCTGTAATCTCAGCATTTTGGGAGGCCGAGGCCAGCGGATCACCTGAGGTCAGGAGTTTGAGACCAGCCTGGCCAACATGTTGAAACCCCGTCTCTACTAAAAATACAAAAAATTAGCCAGGTGAGGTGATACACACCTGTAATCCCAGCTACTCAGGAGGCTGAGTCGGGAGAATTGCTTGAACCTGGGAGGTGGAGGTTGCAGTGAGCCGAGATTACGCCACTCCACTCCAGCCTGGGAGACAGGAAAAATAAAGTATCAGTCTGTGATGGAGAGGACATTTTAAAGAAGTTTCCACTGTTGTGGGACACCCCTAGCTCTTCCAATTCAGCACATGAAGGTACACTGGATGGAAACCCTTTAGGCTTACCTCTCACACTTCAGTCCCTCACTGCTAGTCATGCACAGTGGGATTTTTTTCTTGCTCTTCCTCCATAAATGCATTTAATCTTCTAAATTTCATGTCTCAGTGGAGAATGGGCAATCTTTGGTATTTTAGCTGAAGTTACACAGGGTTTCTGATATGGTTTGGGTCTGTGTCCTCACCCAAATCTCATCTTGAATTGTAATCCGAGTTGTAATCCCCAAGAGTCAAGGGAGGGACTTGGTGGGAGGTGATTGGATTGTGGTGGCAGTTTCCCCTGTGCTGTTCTCGTCATAGTGAGTGAGTTCTCACGAGATCCGATGGTTTTTAAAAATGTTTGGCAGTTTCCCGCTGCAATCTCCTCTCTTGCCACCTTGTGAAGACATGCCTTGCCTCCTTTCTGCCTTATGCCATGACTGTAAGTTTTCTGAGGCCTCCCCAGCCATGTGGAAGTGTGAGTCAATTAAATTTCTTTTGTTTGTAAATTACCCAGTCTAATACGGTCTCTAATTCCCTAGTGTTTTTCTTCTCTGTGGTCTTTTCTTTATTCCTTTAATGTATATAGTCAACTCCATGCCTTTCAATCCCATCTTAGTCTTTGTTTTCTATCAGGCACCCACCAAATTTCAGCCGTGGTTATGGGGACACCCTGAGCTCGTCTTCTCACCCCTAGCCTTTCTGCTCCCTGGAGATCACCATGTATCTAAACAGGTGTGAAAAGGATTGGCTAGCACCTTTTCAGTCACTAGGCTAATTCCAGGGAAGTTTCATTCCTCCCAGGGGACAGCTCTCTAGGACTTTTACTAAAAAGTTAAAATCCACTTACTTGAAAACAACTCGATCTTGCAAATGCAGAATGACTTGAGGGGAAAAATAAAAGCCCCATTCAGAGCCTCTCTACCCCAACTATTTAGTGAAAGCTGTCACAAGAGGGATGAGTGACATATTTGAATGAGTTCTTGGGGTTTTCTCTGCACGAGGCAAACCCAGGACCCAGCAGGAGGCAAACCAGCTGCAGCTTGTCATATATTAGTCAATTATCCTAATGATTTTTTCCCCACTAAAAAGCACGAATCCAGGTTGCTCTTATATTTTATTAAGATTTTACTTTGTCTACTCACAAATATTAATTGGATTCTCTCCATGTTGATTTCAGCCTCTGGGGTTTGGGGGTCACTGCAGGTGCATGAGGGCCAGTGGAGGGGGAGTGAAGACTGGCAGGAAGTGCCTTCCTTCCCCGCGTTTCCGTCCCCTGCTCTTGCAAGGACAGCATTTGATTAGTCCTTTACAACCTGTTTCTCCTCAGATACAAGGAAAATACTGCAAACCACTGTGCCAATTCTGGCTGTGGCTCCTTTGAACACTGTGGGATCTGCTAGAGGAATGTGAAATAAATCCAAAAAAGGCTGCTTTATGGATCTTTGAATGTGGTGTCACAGAAGGAAACTGTCTTAGAAATCATAGCTAAAATTGGATAGTTTGTTAATTCTGTGGAAAATTTTTTGAATTACAATTAATCTTTAGCCTAGTAGTCATTTCTAGCCAATGCCCTCCACTCAGTATACATGACAGTATTACTGAGATATAATTGAAATCTAAGACCTTGATTCAGTCCTCTATCAGTGGCCTTTCTTCTTTCTGTGGTCCATGCAGCCATCATTCTAGTAGTCAGGTAGTAATTGCATCACAGTTCTGAACAAATGTTGGTGTGGGTAACTGTTTTTCTTTTCTTATTCTTTTACTCCTTAAACTTAAATATATAGATTTTTGCTCCCTGTTCTAACTCATATTTGCTAAAAAATTTACTCAATGCTATATTGGTAACTGATCAATTTAGTCCATTCAATCATTACGTTAACGGAGCTAGTACTGTGGCTTTGCACCTGAAATTTCTCTTAAACTCTGGCATGTCATTGCCTCTGAATAAGGTGGAATAAAGTGGCTAAGCCAAGACAAATTTGATAGTACCAATAAAAATGTAACTTAAAGCACTTGTTCCCATAAAATGTTTTAGGAGCATTATTTTCCTATATTAAGGATGGCACATCCATATACTTTAGTGTTTTATTACAGCATCAAGAACATTTAGAAAGAAGCCAAGATTTTATCACTCTTTCCTTAAAAAATAATGTATTGTATATTTCAAAATAGCTAAGAGAGAAGATTTAGAATGTTCCTAACACAGAAAAATGATACATGTTTGAGGTGATGAATATCCCAATTACACTGATTTGATTATTACACATTATATGCATATATCAAAATATTACATATACCTCACACATAAATTCAATTATTGCATATCAATAAAAATCATAGAATTTCATGTTCTTTTCCCTTGAATGTCACTACTTAAATACAAAGCCACACTAGCAGTACAGAAGTTCCATTTAAAGAGGGAGGTGGAGTGAGTGAACATGGCATGCTTCAGTGGAAAGAGCAATGGAATAGAATTCTGCAGAACTCAGTTCCAACATGGCCTCTCTTGCTACAACATAAGATCATGGGTGAGCCAATTGACTGCTGTGTCCCTGAGTTCTCATTTTGCAAAAGGGTAATGATAACTGGCTTTGACTTCTTATGGAATTTCATGTCAAGATTAATAAAAGAATAAAGTGAAAGCTGTAGCCTGAGCCCCCCAGGAAGAGGGGAAATCAAATTTTCCAGCCTAAGGATGGCTCCCCTACCAAGATGAAACCTGTCTATTTGTTAAGGAAGGAAAACCGCTATGGAAAATTGGGAAGGACCTACTTTAGTCCTTCAATGTATTGCATATTTTTGTTTTATCTTTTTGGATTCTTTCTCTGCTCCCCCTTGTCAATGGTGCTAATTTCCATTCTAGGATCTGTTTTGATCTAGGGAAGGAAACCATATCCCTAGCACTAGGTCTTGGGCAGAACCAGTGTGAATAGGCACATGTTTCCCATTGAGGCTGGGATGGATTTCTCCTTATCACAGCCCTAGAGTGACATTTTGGTGCAGCTTCTGCTCCAATGCTTATCCTCATGGAAACTCATAGAACCTATTTTCTTCAATGTATCAGTAAGAATTCTTATGTTGCAAAGATTCAATCCATCTGAGGTAAGAGGAAAGAAAAGGAGATCGGGGTAACCGTGATAGTGACAACATTGACCAAATGTGGTAGAAGCTCTGGCAGTATAAGCAAATGTCTTTCAAAATCACAGAGACATACAGTAGTTGCAACTTCCCAGCAGCCTCAAGACCAGGGTCACAAACACAAATGCCTACATGGGTTAAAAAGAAAATGTAGATGAGGACTTATTGAGAGATAACAGGGATTGGTTGGGAGTATAGCAAAATTGAGCTTGTATGCTCACTCTAGCCATTGTTACCATATGGGAATATGGATTCAATTACAAATGAGCTTTCAGTTTTTAAAGAGAAACCAGAAATCTATATTTTTATGTGAAATCTGTTTTTTAGTGTAGGCTCAATAATAATGATAATTTTAATAATATGCACTGTGCATATGAAACAAGTCATGTCTGTGGGCTGAATTTGTCTGTGAATGGCCAGTTTGTGACTTCTGCTAGATCTTCCTTCCCAGAGCAGAGTAGTATCTATGGTGCTTTTGAGTCATAAGCCCCTAAACCTCATTCTGTGTCTGAACAGGAATAAGTGACTTGAGGATGGAGGTCGCATTGGATTATATCAAGTATGCTGCTGGTAGCTCTGTATTTGTTGGTTGGTTTGTTTTGCCATGAAACAGTTCCTCTACTGACTTGATTGTCATCTCTCAGGTTAATAGCCAGGGAAACAACTGTTAAAATGAAGGCACTCAGTCTGTGTATTATATTTTGATGGATCTGGTGCTCACATACCTAAAGTGATCACCTAAATTCATTCCTTAGATGATAAGAATTTGGATAATAAAATTGTGTTAGCTCTCTTGCTCCCAATATTTTTGTGGACCTGCCATAGTAAGCACTTTTTTCAAGCCTGTGATTTTCTCCACTAACTGAAAAAATTGATAAAGTAATGTATCATTTAAAAGATCTGAAATTTAATTCACACTGTAGCTGGACATTTTAGCCATGTGATTTGATTGAGACTGACCCCTTTCCAGTTCCAGAAGTGGCCCCTGATGAGACTAAGCCAGTTAGAGTGAATCTGTCCCTTGTGCCTCTATGGTTCTGAGACAGGTACTAGATTGTCAGGATGCTTTGAGGTGCAAGGAACTGAAACCATAATTCAAACCAGTTTAAAACAGGGCAATTTGTTAGCTCATGTAGCTCAAAGTCCAGAGAAAAGTGTGGGCTGAAGGCCAATGGTATGATCAGGGCTCCGGTTCTATTTCTGTATCATTCTCCAGGGCCACTTATCTTTGGCTGGCTTCTTTGGGTCACAAGGTGGCTATCAGTAGAAGCAGGAGCACATTTCTTTGTTCATGTTGAGAAACAGAGACCATTTGCATAGCCACGAAACAGATAATCACAGTCCCATTTTCTTTTTGGAATCACGGCACACATTTGAAATGAGAATATCTGATGGCACTGTAGGGCAAGGATGGGGGAAGAAGGTTTGGGGCTAAAAGTGACTAATCCTGGGAATTACCACCGACCTGGTTCTCCTGGCCATCGCGAGGGCTGAGGAGGTCAGTAACTCAGCACTTGAAGTGCCCATTTCTGCAGCATATTAGTGGGAAATTTTGTCTGGGAATGACTTGGATCTACCCCAGACTGAGAGATGGGGTCCATTTTTCCTGAGATTTGTGGGCTGCCTTCAAGAGGGGCAGATCGCTTGATGATGGTGAGAAGAGAGCCTCTCTCTTTTCCTGAAAGACAGTAGAATAACAAATCTTATTAGTTCTAGGAAACTATTCTTTTTCAGCTTCACCCTCAAATTGTAAACCCCATCAACCATATCTCATCATCTGCACTACTTGCATCCTTGTCTGAGCCACTAGCATTTCTTGTCTGGATCCTGTGCTAGCTCCTGTACTGGTTTCCTAGGGATTATGCAAGTGGCTTAAAACAAAAGAAATGTATTCTTTCACAGTTCTGGAGGCCAGAAATTAGAAATCAAGGTGTCAGAAGGACCATGCTCTCTCCCAAAGTGTGAGGGGAGAATTCTTCCTTGCCTCTTGCAGCTTTGAATGGCCCAGATGTTTCTTGGCTTGTGGCAGCGTAACTCCAATCTCTGCCTCTGTCTTCACCTGACTTGCTTCTCTGTGTTCCTATGTGCCAAATCTCTCCCTGCCTTTCTCTCAGAAGACACCTGTCATTGGATTTAGGGCCCACCCTAAGTCCAGGATAATCTCATTTTGAGATTCTTAATTATATTTGTAAAGAATTTTTTTTTCCAAATAAAGTCACATTCACAGGTGCCAGAGGTTAGGACTTGAACATATATTTTTGGGGGACCCTATCCAACCACCACACCTGCTGTTTTTACTCCCTACTTCTGCTCTTTCACCCCTACAGATTATTCTGCACACAGTGTAATGGTCCTTTTAAAACATGTCAGATAACCCCTGCTCACATCCTCCAATACTTCTTGGGAGCCTTAAACTAATATCCCATCTTTGTAGCATGGTCTCTGAATCCCTACCATTGTTTCATAGCTTCCACTCTTTCTTCATCTCACACTGCTATCCCTCTTGCTCAGAGGACTTCAACTCTACTGGCCCTCTCACTCTTCCTCCAGCACGCCACAAACACTCCTTCCCTAGAGTCCTTGCAGTGGCTGTTCCTACTGCTTGGGAGCTCTTTTCCTGTAAGTATTATCATGGCCAGCCCCCACACTATAATTAGGACTCAGATGTAATGTTTCTTCCTCGGAGAGGGCTGATCATCTTGGATAGAGCAGCATTCCTGTTACTCTCTTTTGCTTTTATTTTTTTCTAAGTGCTTATTGAACTAACGCCATGTTTTATATCTGTTTCCTCTGTATATATGGCATGTCGTTCCTACTAGAATGTATGCTTTATCTCACTAGTTCCCTTCTGTATTCACAAAACAGAACAATGCCTGACATATTAGAGAGTGTCCTATTCCTTTCACGCCATTATAACAAAATGCTGAGACTGAGTAATTCATTAAGAAAAAAATTTTGTTTCTCGCCATTTTGGAAGCTGAGAAGCTCAAGATCAAGATGCCAGCAGGGTCGGTGTCTGATGAGGGTTGCTCTCTGTTTCAAGGTGGTTCCTTAGTTCCTTGTTGCTGGTTCCCTGGAGTGGAAAAACAGTACATTCTCACATGGTGGAAGAAATAGAAGGAATGGACTTTTCCTCTCAAATCCTTTTATATGGCACTCATCCCATCCCTGAGGGCTCCAGCCTCCTGACTTGAACACCTCTGAAGGGCCCTGCCTCATAACACCATCAAACTGAAGATTAGATTTCAACATGTGAATGCTGGGTTTGTGGGGGGACACATTCAGACCATCGCAAAGATATTTAATACCTATTTGTTGAATAAACGACTATAGCCCTGGTGGCAATTTGAAGGATGAAGCTGACACAAGGAGAAGGGCAGAGGCAAGGGACCCTCAGAGAATGCAAGGCCTCAGCTATGTTGACATTATGATTTTTAGGATCAAACCACCTCTGAAGACTGCGCTGGCCCTACATGCTTCAGTCACATGAAAAACAAATTTTCCTAGGGTTTCAGCCAATATGAGGTAGAGTTCTGCTGGTCACACAGGAATGAGTCCTAACCAGCACTCTCTATCTTGAGTCTGTACACTTTTGTCAGCTTGGAACTAGGCTTAGTACCAGGCTTCTTCATATTTCTGTCCCACTGATAATACATTAGGTAGAAGTTTTAGTGTAATTCCTTCATCTGTGGTGTTTCAAAAGCAGCAACCTTATTTTAGATATTGACAGCTGAATCTAGTGCTCTCAGGTATACATTTCAAAATGTAAATTAACTGCCAGTGATGTGGTTTGGAATGCAAAGGATTCCATGCCTAATCCTTATCAAATCACTGACTTAAATTCAATATTCTGTGACATGCCTGCTCTTCCTTTTGATCATTATTGTCTATTAAGTGCTTATTTAAGCATGTTGCTATTTTGAACATGAAATATAGTGAATTATCTAGAGAGAAGTGGTAATAATGTTGTGGAATAAAATTTTCGAGAGGGAAGCTTATATTTATTCTCTTGGAAATTCACCTTTTTCCCTCTTCCCTTTTCTCTAGCTAACCCTTTCCCTGCTCCCTTCAAGCAAGATCTTCTGTACTAACTTAGGGAAAGTTTATGACAGATTGGAAAACAACAAAAAGGTTCTTGCTGATTTCCCTTTCTCAGACTAGTGGAGGTCTGGGCATAGGTAAAGTGTTGACAGGAAGCAACACTTGAGGGAGAGCAGGCTCCCTTGATCCTCGAGCAGAGGACATTCTTTTAGGTTGGTGGAGGAGAAGTGAGCAGAACGGAATTATGCAGTGTCCTAAAGATAGGAGCCCTGTGGTCTGTTTGATAGGTTGGCATTCTGGGGAGGAGGACAAGTCCCTAGATTAGATGCCGTAACAGTTTGCAGCACTGAGATCCCTGGGCTCCAGCAGAACGATTCTATGTCTTCTAGAGTAACATGGAAATAGCAGTGAGCACATCTGGACCTAATGGAGACATTTGGTTCAGTATAACGGTTTGCATGTGCTGATAACTCAGCGTATCCTATCAACCCGATGGGCCCTTGGTGGCTCAGAACATGAATGTGAGAGCAAGCAACATTAAGAATCACCTACCCCCTTCTCAACGCCTAACCCTTGTATCAGACCCCCACTGAACTTTGGAGAACTGGGAGCCCAAACTAGTAATTAAATCATTACACAATAATAAAGAAAGTTGCATTTTTCACACCTGTGTTGGTGGCCTGCATTTTATACCTTGTGTAGAATATTTATTTTCTTTTCCTCATGACTGAATTTCCATGGAGTTACAAGAGGACATAACTTCTAGGTATATAAAGACTCTTTATAGTTCTGATGGAAGCCCACAAATGTTTATTGTTGGAAAAGCAGGCTTCAGCCCACCTGGTCATTAAGTAAATGCACAAATCTTGGCCAAGACTAGGTTTTCCATGTTGAGATGTAGAGAGGCGATTTTGCTGTCATGAAAGGAGTTTGACTAAAAACAAAAGAAAACAAACTGCTCTAACAGCATTAGACCAGCTAATATTTGCTATTTCTGTATCCCATTAAAAAATATGCAGATGGAACAGTGTTAGTGAACTTCCTGGTCAGAAGAAAATCCTGTCCAGTCCAATCCAGTGCAAACTAATTTGGAGAGCACATAGTACTTAATGAGTAACTCTTGTGCCTCTTGTTGCTGCCAAAAAAAAAAAAGGGAATTAGAATTGTACATGAAAAATAAAATTCGAAGCCTCCTAACTGACTGACAGGCCCTTCCTTTGGGCAAGGGCATTCCAAAGTAAACCTGGAAAAACTAGTTCAGACCATGATAAAAAGTGAGGGTTGGACATGCCTCCCCTCTTTGACCATACCCTCCTCCCTTTGGAATTCAAGCACAGTTGAACAGCTTTAACATTAAAATAGAGATCTTAAGACCAACAAAACAGACTTTTTATAGCAATGAGACACCAAATTCTAGCCTAACTCTACTACAGCATCACATGACCGATAGCAGGCCCTGAAAGAAGTATTTTAGCCCCATATATATTTCTTTGACATATTTTGAGAGGGCCCTGCAAAACTGAATAAATGAATATAGCCCTGGCGGCAATTTGAAGGATGAAGCTGACTTGTCTTTTGTGGGGGAAAATCTACATTCTGTAGAGAATCCCATTTCCTTTCCAGGCCTTTTCCCAGGTTCAGGAGAGAATTAACTGAGTCTGGCACTTTTTAGGTCTGATAAGAGCTCTGAAGTCTGCCACCTGGAGGCTTCATCTGCATGATAAAACCTTGGCCTCCACAACCCCTTATCTTTACCTAGACATTTCTTTCTATTGATTCCAGGTCTTTAGATAAAACTCTTTCAACCAGCTGCCAATCAGAAAATCTTTGAATCCGTCTATGACCTGGAGGCCCTGCTTCCAGTTGTCCCACCTTTCTGGACTGAACCAATGTACATCTTACATGTATGAATTGATGTCTTATATCTCTCTAAAACATATAAAACCAAGCTGTAGCCCAACCACCTTGGGTACATGTTCTCAGCATCTCCTGGGGGCTGTGTCACAGGCCATTGGTCATTTATATTGGCCATTGCTCAGAATAAATCTCTTCTAATATTTTACTGAGATTGACTCTTTTGGTTGATAGAATTTTAGGATTATTTCACTTTGGTGTGCTACACCTTTATGTGACAAATTTAGGACTGGTAGAGATCTTCTACATGTATTATCTCTTTAAACCTAGAGTTTCATCATACATTTGATTAAGATAAATTGAATTGATTGAACTATTTTAATTTGGTGATTATTATAGGAAATTGGTAAATCCTTCAATTAGCCAAGCCATTACCGATCTGGCTGGTCCTGGCACCCCTTCTCTAATACTCTGACACCAAGTGGGTGTCAAACAATTCAATTCTGACACCATCTACCTGGAGTTAGTGTCAGAGCCCTCGGTCCCAAACAACCCTTCCCACTTTAGATGCCAATTGCAAGTCTCCGGTCACTGGTACTTCCAACCAAATGGCTACAAATAGGATATTCAATAACTTACTAGAACAACTCACAGGACTCAGGGAAACATTTTATGTATGTTTACTGGTTTATTATAAAGAATGTAACTCAGGAACAGCCAAACAGAAGCAATGCATAGGGCAAGGTGTGGGGTGGGTTGGGTGGCTCAGCGCTTCCACGCTCTCATCAGGCGCACCATCTTCCCAGAACATCAGTGTGTTCACCAGCTTGGAAGGTGTTCAGACTTTTTGCTTGAAAGTTTTCCCGGAGGTCTCCTTACTTATGCATGATTGATTAAATCACTGCCATTGGTGATTGAACTCAATCTCCTGCCTCTTTTCCCTCCCCAGAGGTGGGGAGAGGGGTGCAAGTTCCAACTCCATAATGATGGCTGGGTTTTTCTGGTGACTATCCCCCACCCTGAAGCTTTCCAGGGGCCCAGCCAGGAGTCACCTCATTAGCATACAAAAGACACTCTTATCACTTAGGAGATTCAAAGGGTTTTATGAGCTCTGTGCCAGGAACTGGGGACAAAGGCCAAATATTTATTTTTTATTATATCACACCGGTTTTTTCATCTAGTTTACAATAGCCAGTGTTCATCCTTCATCCCCAAGGGGTTTCCTTTTTGGTTTTTGTATTACTGTTCAATTTCTCAGGATTTGTAAACTGCTCATGTCTCTGGCCAGAGTCTGCTTATCTTGCCTCATTTGAAACCCATGGTTCACATGCAGAGCACAAGCAGGATTCACGCTGACCAGGAAACCTGATTGCCTTTGTATCCCATTGCCATCTCTCTCTCTACACCTGCATGTTTTCCAATGTATTGCTGCTCACCTCCATTTCCCTCACTCCCTACTTAAGGCACCCAGTGTAATGGGTTCGATATATGCACTTAGATATGTATGTACCCTGAAAAATAATTGTATTTATTTCTGTGAATGTTTTCAAATGTACAGTTGACCCTTGAACAACACAGATTTGAACTACAGGCCCACCTATATGCGGATTTTCTCCCAGCTTTTCCACTCTTGAGACAAGACCAGCCCCTCCTGTGCCTCTTCTTCCTCAGCCTACTCAACCCAAAGAGAATGAGAATGAAGACTATTATAATGATCCACTGCCACTTAATGAATATTAAATATATTTTTCTTATGATTTTCTTAATAGCATTTTATTTTCTGTAGCTTACTTTATTATAAGAACACTGTATCTAATACATGTAACACACAAAATACATGCTAATTGTTATCAATAAGGCTTCTGGTCAACAGTAGGCTATTGGTAGTTAAGTTTTTGGTGAGTCAAAAGTTACATGCAGATTTTCGACTATGCTGGACCAGCACTTCCAACCTCTGCATCATTCAAGGGTCAACTGTACTTAAATACTCTAGTACTATAGAGCTGCTTTTATTTCTTGCATGTGTGAACAATATATGTTTATTATCAGTTCATATTACTGTATGCATTTCTAGTTTCATGATATTCATCCACCAAATGTCACTGTGGACATCTGAGTGGTATCTTAACAACGCACTTGCACAAAGAGGCTGCATTCTTGTACATATACCTTTGTGGAAATATGCCTGGGTTTTCTTGGGCCTATATGTATTCAGTAATAGGATTTCTAGATCTTAGAATACGCATACTTACTTTCAGAAAATATTGCCAAATTCCTTTCCAGAATGACTTTGCCAAGCTACAGTCCCAGCAGCAGCACATGCAGGTTCCTTTTTCCCCAAAAGTCTGCTTCCATTTAGCAATTTCTGACTTTCTCTTTTTTTTCAGCAATTTGAAGGGTATAAAGTGTTATAAAAGTAAACCATTGTTTTAATTTGTGTAATTTATGTGGGGTTTTTAAAAATTCCAGAAACATCAAGTATTATTAACTATTTGGTTTCTCTCCTGTGAATTATCAACACTTCATTTCCTCTGCCTATTTTTTCTACTGGGTTTCTTGTATTTTTCTTGTTGCTTGCTCAAGTTCCTTAGGTGTTCTAAATAGAATTTCCTCATTGATTTTGACATTGCAAATATCTTCTCCTAATCTGTCACTTTTTTAAGCTTTGTCTAAGATAAGCTCCTTTGAACTTAAATTCAAGTTTAAAAATATATTTCTAGTGCCACTTTTGGCATCTTATACATTCCCAGAAATTCCCTTTTGTCAGTTTTCTGAATTCATTATTTTGTTGTTGTATTTTAAAAAATCTATTGTGTTTGTGTTATTTCCCCCTTTCATCCTGCATTTTGCTTTTTTTTTTAACAGTTTTATCAGAAATGTATCTTATTAATCCTGTCAAACAATCAGCTTTTGATTTTATTAAACTTTACTTTTTAATTTTTAATTTTTGTGAATACATAGTATATATATTTATGAGGAACTTCACTATTTTTTAAAATGATCTATTTCACTGATTTTTATCTTTATTATTTCCTTTCTATATGAGTCTGTTTACTTGTTATTCTTTTTCTGGTTTTATTTTGAGTTGAATGCTTTGCTAATTTGTTTTCATGGTTTCTGATAAATGCATTTAAGGCTGTAACTTTTCTTTGAAGTACTACTTTAATTGCATACCAAATGTTTGATGTTTTATTACTATTTCATTCAAAATATTTTATAATCCTTCTTGTAATTAATTTTTCTGTAAATGTAATGATTGTTCAGCAGCATAATATTTTGTTTTTGGATGTATGAGATTTAAAAATCTGCCATTTGGGGTTGATTTTAAGTTTTACTGCATCATGATCAGAAAACATACCCTCCACGATGTTGATTCTGTGCAATTTGTTGGGACTTCCTTTGTGACCTGGTACATTTAATTTTGTAAATATTCGTGTGTGTTTTAAAAGAGTGGCATTATTTTGAGGTTATAAAGATTTATATATATCAATAAATTATGAATTAATGGTAGGCCGGGCGCGATGGCTCATGCCTGTAATCCCAGCACTTTGGGAGGCTGAGGTGGGCGGATCACGAGCTCAGGAGTTCAAGACCAGCCTGGCCAACATAGTGAAACCCCGTCTCTACTAAAAATACAAAAATTATCCGGGGCGTGGTGGCAGGCTCCTGTAATCCCAGGTACTCGGAAGGCTGAGGCGGAGAATCGCTTGAACCTGGGAGATGGAGGTTGCAGTGAGCCGAGATCCTGCCACTGCTCTCCAGCCTGGGTGACACAGCCAGACTCCACCTCAAAAAAACAAAACAAAACAAAACAAAAATAATGTGTTATTTGGCTCTTCCATACAATTGCTTATTTTGGAGTCACCTTTTAGTTCCTAAAAGGGGCATCTTAAAATCATTGAGTACAAAGTTTGATATTTACTTCTCAGATTCCTGGGTGGTTTATACATTGCTAGGTGGGTATATTGTTTATGCTGATTTTTCTCAGCAGTATGTTACTTTGTGTTCATCCCGCTATTAAGCTAATTTTATCTTTTTTTTTTTTTTTTTAAGACAGGGTCTCACTGTGTTGCCCAGGCTGAAGTGCAGTGGCGCAATCTCAGCTCATTGCAACCTCCACCTCCCAGGTTCAAGTGATTCTCCTGCCTCAGCCTCCTGAGTAGCTGGGCTTACAGGCATGTGCTACCACACCTGGCTAATTTTTGTATTTTTAGTAGAGTTGGGGTTTCACCATGTTGGCCAGCTGGTCTCAAACTCCTGACCTCAGGTGATCCGCCGGCCTTGGCCTCCCAAAGTGCTGGGATTACAGGCATGAGCCACCACGCCTGGCCTCATTTTATCTTAATTGTTATATTTTGCGTAGTCTGTCCAGCTAGTTCTTCTTTATGTCTTCTAGTTTTAGCTTTGATTTGTAAATCTTTCCTTATCTCCTCAAGACTATTTATTAAGATTATTTAAATTCTTCTTCAGCCTGGTCCATTCCTTTTTCTTTCTTTTGCATGGGTTGTCTACTTCGTTCCTTGTCTTTCTTAGCTGTTATTCCTCTAAGACAGACCCACAATTTTCTCTGGAGCCCATACTCCTTAGAGGTGTTCCCCTCTTCTTCTGGCTAAAGCCTAGCGTGAGTTTATGTACCTGCCGTGGGTTCGGGCAGAATTTCCTCAAGATTGAGAGCCTACACCCTGGCATTTTTTTTTTCTTAAGAGTTGTCTTGCTCAGCTGTAATCACCTTGCCCCCTTTGGTTGAGGAGGAGAAATCTCAGGGCCTGGTGAATCTGTTGGTCACTGCTCCTACTTGGTTGCTTACATGTCCAGTGCTGCTGGGCTGGCTGCTATTCCTGATCCTTTCAAAATTCATTTGTGACTGGACAGGCAATGGCCCAGTCACGACATGTGGTTTCAAACAGTGGGTACTCCTAGAAGCCTCTTGCGCTCCTGGGCTCCTGGTTAGCAGTGCCAAACTCTTCTAGGTTTGTTTTTTCCTCCTGGGTTGTTATTTCCTCTCCAGCCTCAAGCTGGTCACTTTCTGATGGCATCTCCAGGACTGGATTGGGGGAAGGGGTAGATGGGAAGACAGCCAGTTACTTATGCTAGTGTCATTTTTACTGTGAAGAAAGACGTTTTCAATCTCCTCAACAACTTCACACTTTTCCCACCAAGGTGCCTTTCAAAATGTCACAACACGTTGTAGTGTTTCTTGTCTCAAGTGATTAGCAAATATCTGGCCTGGTGGCACAGGCAGTAAAAGAATTTTTCAAGACAGTTCTTCTTGGAAAAGAACTTTTTGTTCTTTCTCTAATAAATCTGCCTTTCTTCATTTACTGTCTTGGAACTCTTACCATTCTTTCTTTACTTACTGTTACAAGACAGTAAGGAAAGAAAGGCAGATTTATTAGAGAAAGTAGGAAAATACCTTGCAAGGAAGCAACAGGAAGGTTAGCAAGAGAGGAGCTAACTGCAAAGAGACAGGTGCTTGCTGGGGATTTTATAGGATGGTTCTCGTGCTGTTTGCTGAAGACGGCTTTGTGCAGTACTCATAATGCCAAGGTTGCGGTGAACTAACTTGCGTTTTCCTATCAGCCGAGGGACTGCTAATAGCTGGGTGCAGGAAGATTGTGAGTTATATGCGCAGGAGGGCTATGTGTTCTGGATCATGAAGAAAGGCAGACTTACAGCTTAGCTGCTTTCTTTTTGCCTTCCTCAGTCCTGCCAGCCGAACTCCCCTTCCCTAATTAAGACTCCACATTTCTTTTTACTGTTTTCCTGCAAATATATAAATAGCCTAGCTCAATTCCTGATATCGGAGTAGGTGTACAATACAATTATTCCATTATTATTATTTTAATGTTACTATTTACAGTCACTCAAGATAAATATATATAGTTATAGTAACAGTTGCACTTGATTATGTGACTGGGAGATAAAAAGTATGTATATACAAACTTGCTCCTAAATTCGACATATGACTGTTCTGTGTATATGAAAATAAGTCAACAGGACCTGCAATCTGAATTATTTTGTAATATTAATGATTCACTTATGTTATTGTTTCCATATATATTTTTAATTTTTATTTTATTTATTTATTTATTTTTGAGAAAGAGTTTCCCTCTGTCGCCCAGGCTGGAGTGCAATGGCTCAATCTCAGCTCACTTCCACCTCCACCTCCCAGGCTCAAGCGATTCTTGTGCCTGAGCCTCTTGAGTAGCTGGGATTACAGGCAAGTGCCACTGTGCTTGGCTAATTCATATATATATATATATATATATATATATATAGTGCAACCTGGAATATATTCCATGATGGCTGTGTAATAAACTCCAGGCTGTATTAATGGAATCAGTCAAAGACATTTAGCTTAGATGTGGGTTGAAGCCTAAAGTTAGTTGTCAATAATATTGTAGGGGATTTAAGAATTTCTAAACTTTACAATTTTTGTATGGTAAAAAAAATTTTTTTTCTTTTAAAATGGGAAGGGGTGTAGAGGAAGAGAGTTAATGTTCAAGGAACACCTGCTTGGTGCCTAGTGTTCTGCTTGATGTTTTTTATATGTGCTCCCATTTAGTTGTCATAACGCATATAAGCCAACTATTATAATTTCCATTTTTAAAATGAGGAAGTTGGAGCTTCAGGAGGTTCCATAATTTGCTCATTTACAAAGCTAAGTGCCGGAGCTATGATTTCAGTGTAGATCTGTCTGCCTTTTGTGTTCATACTCTATACCAGTGCTTCTCAAATTTTAATGTGTATGTGAATCACAAGCTAGGGATCTTGTTAAAATGCAGATTCTAAGTTTGTAGTCTGAGGGTGGACTAGGATTCTATATTTCTAACATCCTACCAGGTGATACTAGTACTGCTGCTCTATGGACTACACTTTGAATATAAAAGATCTATATCCTGTAGTGACACAATACATATTTAGTTAAAAAAACATTTTATCTGATTTCCTACTAGCCATTTGGATAGTTGGGTAGGGCTGCAGTACCAGTGTTGGGGACCACCACGGTTTCCGTTTCACTGCTAACTACAGATGCACTTCCACCACGACACCTGTGAGGTGGTTTTATCTTTTCATTACTCTTCTTAGTTCTAAGTAGCTTTTAATACAATGCTCAAGAGCCATTTTCTAATAGGTTTTGTGTGCTGCTCTCCTGTCCCATTTAGTACCCTTTAATATTTAGTTTAAAGAATATTTAGTCTGTGTATGGGACCAAAATATGAACATGTCTAGATTTGTTTCTGTTTCATGTATTTATACATTAGCAGAAGCTGAAGCTTCTTTAACTTCTGTTTATACCTTGCTATGGTCTGGATGTGTCCCCCCAAAATTCATATGTGAAACCTAATCATCAATGTGATGGTGTGAGGAGGTGGGGTCTTTGGGAGGTAATTAGGTCATAAGGATAGAGCCCTCATGAGTAGGATTGGTGCCCTTATACAAGAGGCCCCAGAGAGCTGCCTTGCTCCTTTCCCCATGTGAGGACACAGCAAGAAGGTGCCATCTATGAACAGAAAACAGGCCCTCACCAGACGTTGAATCTCCTGGCCCCTTGATCTTGAACTTCCCAGCCTTCAGAACTGTGATAAGTAAGTATTTGTTGTTTATAAGCCACCCTGTTTATAGTGGTTTGTTATAGCAGCCCTCACGAGCTAGGACATACTTCCTCCATGCAACTCAGCTAGGATAGTAGTGTTATTGGCCACTAACTCAGTCTTTATTCTACCAGGTTCATTTCTAATGGGAAGCTTCTTATGTTTTGTGTACATTATAATCACATATCAAAAAACGCCTATTTGTTTATTGATTTAGTAGCCATGTAGTTTCTATCTATTCATACTTTCCTGGAAGTGTTGGAAATGTCACTTCATGAAGGATAGAGTGTCTTGAAGATATGCTACTTATGACTTGGTACAGCTGTTGTGCTCTTCAATTAACATTTGGAAACATTTAAAGAATTAAAAAGCTTTCTGGAGCCATGTTCCCAAATGACAGAGAAAATATAGAAATTTCTGTGATGCATTTTCTAAGAAGGGGAATGATCAGAACATGGTCAGGGTGACCAAATTTCAGGACACCGTCATGTACAAAGCCACAAATGGGAGCATTGAAACCTCTAGTCACATCTCAAGTTTGGAACCAAGCATCACTATTTTGCTGAGGAGGTATTGAGCTGGGCTTTAAGTTACTCTAGGGGGCTGAAAAAAGCAAAACAACCCTTCTAAATATTTACCAAATGGAAAATAAGGAAAATCCATTCTTAAGGGAAAAAGAAGTATAGTTGGTTCAGCTTTTTTTGAAAACGTAGGGGCACAATAGTCTATGTTTTCTTTTAATAGTCAAAAAATTCTGTTAGGAATTATGAAAAAAATTGCCTTCTTAATCTTTATTGGATTTTTAAAAATTAAAACGTTTAAATGTTTACAGCAACTCAGAAATTTATCAAGAAACTTATCTTTTCCTACTCTTTGTTTATTCTGCACCTTACCCACTGTGGGGAAAGCAAGTTTAAAATAATAATTTATTTTAATTTAATTTAACTTATTAATGTTTGGAATAGGAGATACAATCACATGGTTAAAATTTTTAAAGGTATAGTGTTTGGATATCAAAACACCAAGTTGTACACCTTAAATATATACAATTTTTATTTGTCAATTTTACCTCAGTAAAGCTGGAAAAACAATTCATATAGTACAGGGGATAGATGCATCTCCCTTCCACCTCTGTTCCCCAAATAACAGCTTCCTTTCCCTAAGGCCAATGCATGTTGGCACTTTCTTATATATCTTTCAAATGTATTTTATTCATCTATGAGTGCGTATTTTATTATCCCCCTAACCTTTTATACATATTGTATTATAGAATACAGCATTCACTGTCTTGTACCTTGCATATTTTACTTAATAATAGATGTCAGAATCTGTACAATCTCAGTATGTAAAGAGTTTCTCATTGCTTCTGTGGTGTGCAGTGTTCCATTACACAGCTGAACCATGATTTGTGAACAGTACCTTACTGACGGACATTTACATTGATTCACATATTTTGCTATTAAAACCAGTGCTGCAATAAATAACTTTGTAAACAGGTCATTTTGTACTTGTGTAAGTAAATCTGTGGGATAAATTCTTAGGAGTGGATGACTGGATCAAATGGTACATGCATTTTATGTTTGATAAATGCTGCAAAGTTGCCCTCCCCTGGAGTCATATCAATTATATACTCCTACCATTTCATAAGAGTGATTTCCACCCCCCCACAACTTTGCCACTACTTTATGGTTAAAGTTAATCTTGCTATGTGCTTTTAATTTGCCCTTTTCTTTTTATGATTGAGGAGGAGCATTTGTTTAGATATTTAAGAGCCATATTTATTAATATTTCCTTTTTGTTGAATCGTTTATACATGAAAGATGTTAACACTAGTTGAGCAGAAGTCTTTGGGGTCATAGAACTGGATCTTTATTAGGATAATTTCTATAATTTTCCAGAAGGAGAAATTCTTCCTGGTTCTTGCTGTGTGTATCTTCTATATTTTATTATATCTTTTTTTTTTTTTGCTTATCAAAAGTGGTTTTGGGTTAGATCAAGATCTTATAGGAAAGAATGAATGCCTTTATTCTAAGAGTGCTGATGATTACACAAGTGTCTGCTGTTGTCACTTAGGATGGTGAGGGTTGTGGAGAGAGGTGGTTTGACATTCAGAGGAAAAATGGCTAAATAAAACTCATGCGTCTCTTGTTTCAGTTACCTTAGGCCCTGGGTTGCAGGCAGCTTATCAGAGTCACTGGGATTTAGTTATGAGTAATACATCAAATGGACAAATTCCACTAAAATTTTATTCCAGTAGCCAGGTATGTATGTTAACTTTTTTGTGGCAGTTATTTCCACGCTTATGATTGGCTTCAAAATAAAACCAGCTGGAGGTGGAATCTTGCCCTGCTACTCATTCACTGTGTGACCTTGAACTGTTAGTTTCTCTGAGCTTTATTTACCTCGCCTATAAAATGAAAAGACTAATACACACTTAGCAGGGCTTCTGTGAGAAGGAAAGGAGGTGACGTACTCCAAGCACTCACTACAGCCTTAAATACGAAACGCCTGCCCTTGTGATTATATGCTAAGGTACCCAGACTTAACCTCACAAGCTGTGTGTCCTTGGGCAACTTCCTCAGCCTTGCCACGCCTCAGTTTCCTCCTCATAAAATGGGGATAATAACTGTACTTCATCAGGTTGATATGTAAAGTGTGTAGCACAGCGCCAGACACATAAGTGCTCAATAAATGGTAGCTATTTGTTTTTATTATTGTCATTATCATTCTCTTCGGCAATTTTCTTAAGCTTCCTTATCCTGAGCCCTTCTGTTGAAAATTGGCCGGGATGCTTCCACTATTATTCTTTCTCTATAGTCATGCTGTGACATTTGAGTCACTGTATGATTGAATCTGCCAGGCACTTCTCTCAGTTCCGCATGTGGAGATGCGGGGATTCCTGCCGACATCGGCCCCCAGGGACACTTCTTGGGCCTGGGCCAGCGCCCCTTTCTTTTCTCTGAAGAGTTGCAGGGACTGTTCCACCCACTCTCTTCTGGCTGCCACCGCCTGTTCTTCCCTCACGTTTCTCTTCTCTTCAGATCTGGAATAGGACAAAATAAACAAACATTTATTGGGTAGAGGAAGAAAGGAAAAAGAATGCAGATCGTGGTTTCGGGAGAGATGTGCGTTGGGGCTGGCTCTTGCTACGTAGCTTCGCTTCGGTATTCACATGTGCAAAATGAGAGATTTCTACTCTGTTTTGAGATTGCCCACCAGCTCTAATGTTCTTTGCTGCTCCGTTATGTTCAGAGCAGTATGCAGTGTGTTTGAGGGGCAGTACAGGGACGCATGGGGCATGGTGCTTGCTCCATGAGGAAGCTGAGAGAAAACGTAGCCTAGTGGAGAGAGCACAGGCTGAGTCCAAATGTACTGGTGGTTTGCCCGAGGCAAGTTACTTAAGACTCCCAGTTTCACAATCTCTGAAATGGGTGTTGGATTTAACAGATTTTAGAGTCAGATGGTGTATGACTCAGGGTTCTCCAGAAATACAGAACTAATAGGATTAGTAGGGAGAATTGCTGTGTAGTATTCAATTGGATTAATATACTATAATTTATTTATCCATTCTACTACAGTAACTTATTTGTGTGCAAAGGATTCATTCCAGACCCCCAGTGAATGCCTGAAACTGTGGATAGTATGAAACCCTATATATTCTGTGTTTTTTTTCTATATACACTTACCTGTAATAATGTTCAATTTGTAAATTAGGCACACTAAGAGATCAACAACAATAATAAAACAAAACAATTAAGTAAAATGAGGGTTAACTGAACACAAACACTGTGCTATCACATCAGTCAATCTGATAATGAGACTGCAACTAAATGAAATAGTTGAACTCATAGAAGAAGAGTGTTGAATGGTGATTTCTGAGGTTTGGAAATGTTTAGAGGAATGGCAGGTAGTGTGTACAATGTAGAGATGCTTGATAAAGAGATGATTCATGTCCCAGGCAGGACGTAGCGGGCATAAGAGTTCATCATACAACTCAAAATGGCGTGCAACTTAAAACTTATGAATTGCTTATTTCTGGAATTTCCATTTAATATTTTCAGACTGCAGTTGACTAAGGGTAACTGAAACCATGGCATGTGAATCGGTGGATAAGGGGAGACCACTATATTCTCTGTTCAAAAAAAGGTAGATCTTCAGTTTAGTTTTTTTGACTTGGTTGTGCATAATTTACAAATAGAAATTATATATATTTAAGTTGTACAACTTGATGTTTTGCTCTTCATATACACTTTGAAGCGATCACCACAATCAAACTAGTTAACTTATTGTAATCTCACAAACTCACCTTAAACTTTTATTTTGTGTTATAAACATTTAGGACCTATGCTTTTGGCAAATTTCTAGTATATAATACTGTTACAGGAGAAATCAGGCACTGTATAGAGAAACATCCCTCCAAACTGGGAAGGAGCCAAGAGACCGAAGAACGACTCAGACAAGTCCAAATTGGAGAGTACATGTGTTTATTAGGACTCGTGCAGGGCACCCTTGGGTGGCAACAGGACAGCTTTGTAGCTCTGCCCCACCACCCATCTCTAAGTTGTGTATAAGCTGATTTTCTGGCTCTTTGCATACTGCATGCAATGATACTGTTTTTCCTGGTATGTTCCCAGGTGTGCTCCAGGATGTGTGAGTGCTCAGGGACACCTGCTCCTCAGCTGGGCACCAAGGCCTTGGCTCACCATCCAGTCTTCGGGGTCCAAGCAGTGGACTTACACCCTTAAGTCACCTGGGTGGGGAATCCATGACTCTACAAATACAGTAGTGATTACTGTAGTGACCATGATATACATGGTGATCTCCAGAACTTATTCATCTTGCATAATTGAAACGTCGGGCCTTTTGATCAGTATTTTTTCATTTTCTCCAAACACTCCAATGCCTTGGAAATCACCATTCTACTTATCCTTCTATAATTTCAACTATGTTAGATTCCCCATATGCTTTGGTTTGAATGTGTTCTCCAAATATCATGTTAGAAACTTAATCCTCAAATTCGTATGTTGATAGTTTTTGGAGGTGGGGCCTTTGGGAGGTAATTAGGCTTAGATAATGTAGTCAACATTGGGCCCCTATTATGGTACTGGTTGTTTTGTAAGGAGAAGAGAGACCTGAGCTGGCATGCTTTTGCTCTCTTGCCATGTGTTGCCCTCTGCCATGTTATGAGAGGCCCTCACCAGATGTAGCCCCTCACCAGATGTAACCCCTTAACCATGTTAAGAAGGCCCTCACCAGATGTAGCCCCTCAACTTTGGACTTCTCAGCTTCCCAAACTGTAAGAAAGATTTTTTTCTTTAAACATTACCCAGTTTGTGGTACTCTGTTACAGTAGCAGAAAATGGACTAAGAAAGAAAATTGGCATCAAGAAGTGGGGCTGTTGCTAATAACACATACTTGAAAATGTGGACACAGCTTTGGAAATGGGTGATAGGTAGAGGCTGGAAGAATTTGGAGGAGCAGGCTAGAAAAAGCCTGTATTATTGTGAAAGGAGCATTAGGGTGATTGTGATGAGGGCTTAAAAGAAGAAAAGAACACTAAGGAAAGTCTAGAGTTTTTAGTGATTTTGTAAGCAGTTATGACCAGAATGCTGACAGAAATGTGGACAGTAAAGGCTATTCTGATGAGGTCTTGGGTGGAAATAAAGATCAAAGTATTAGAACCTGGAAGAAAGGCCATCTTTGTTATAAAGTAACAAAGAACTTGGCTGCATTGTGTCTACGCTCAAGGGTTTTGTGAAAGGCTTGAGAATGAGCTACGGTATCTGGTGGAAGAAGTTTCTAAGCAGCAAACCATTCAAGATGCTGGATGGTTACTTCTGGCCTCCTACAGTGAGGTTCAGGAGCAAAGGGATGGCTGAAATGCACAATTTATAAATAAAAGAGAAGCAGACAGTAAAAATTTGGAAAATTTACAGCCTGGCCACATAAAGAATGAATAAGTGTTTGAGTGTGGCAAAGCAACCATTTGTTAAACAGACTAGTGCTAATAGAAAGGAGTCAGAGGCTGTTCATCAGGACAACAAGAGAAGATCCTGAAAGCAATTCAGATATATTTAAAGCATCTCTTCCTGTCATAGGCCTAGTAGAGCAGAATGGTTTCACAGGATGGGCCTGGGCACACTGTATAAGCTTGCTGCTCAGGGCTGACTCAGGACTCTGTACCCTGGATCCTGATGCGGTGCTCCTTGGTTGCTCTAGCTGTGGCTTACATGGCCCCAGGTGCAGCTTGACCTGTGGCTCCAAAAGGTACAAGCTGCATATTGTGGTGGCACCACATCATAGTTCAAGCAGGCCCAGATGTGGTTCATGCTGCTGCTCCAGAGGGCACAAGCGGTAAGCCTCAGAGGGGTCCATATGGTGCTAATTCTGCAGAGGAGCAGAATGCAAGAGCTATGGAGCCACGGTGACTTCCACCTAGATTTCAGAGTGAATATTAAAAAGCCTGGGAGCCTAGGCAGAGACTTGTTACAGAGGCAGAGTCACTGCTGGTAGCCTCCACCAGGCCAATGCCAGGCAGAAATGTGGGGTCAGAGGTGGAGCTGCCTTGGGACTTCAGAACTGTACAGCCATCTGCATGCAATGCCCACCTGGGAAAGCTTTAGGCACCAGTGTGCAACTCTAACCTTTGAGGGCAGCCACATGGGCTAAACCCAGAAAAGCCTTGGGAGTAGGGCTGTCTGATGCCCTGGGGTCCCAACCCCTGAGCTGGCAGCACGTGGAGTGAAAGATTATTCTGGAGTCTTAAGATTTAATTTCTCTTCTGCTGGGTTTTGAACTTACTTGAGGCCTGTTACTCCTTTCTTCTTTCCTATTTACCTCTTTTGGAATGGGAATGTCTATTCTAAGCCTGACTCACCATCATATTTTGGAAGTAGCTTGGAAGTAGATAACTTATTTTGATTTCACAGGATCACAGATGTAGAAAATTTGCCATGGGATGAATTGTGTCATAAGTCTCATCCGTATCTGATTTAGATGAGACTCTGGACTTTGGACTTTTGAGTCGGCGCTGGAGCAAGTTAAGACTTTAGGACTATTAGGATGAAATATGTGTATTTTGCATGTGATAAAAACATAAACTTTGGAAGCGGGGGTAGAATACTAAGGTTTGAATGTGTACCCCAAATTTCATGGGTTGCAGACTTAATTCCCAAATTCATCTGTTGATGACATTTGAAGGTGGAGCCTTTGGCGTGTAATTAGAATTAGAAAAGGCATCAGGTTAGGGCACCCATAATGGAACCTAGTGGCTTTATAAAAAGAGCAAGAGACAACTGAGCTGGCATACTCTTGCCGTCTGCCATGTTATAAGGCAGTAAGAAGGCCCTCACCAGATGTGGCCCTCAACCTTGGACTTTGTAGCCTCCAGAACTGTAAGAAATAGATTTATTTTCTTTACAAACTACCCAGTCTGTGGTATTCTGTTATAGTAAGAGAAAATGGATTGAGACACCATGTAAGTGATGTAATGTAGTACTTATCTTTCTGTGTCTGGCTTACTCACTTCACATAATATCATCCAGGTTCTTCTGTGTTGTTGCAAATCACAGGATTTCTTCTTCTTGTTTTTTTTTTTTTTGAGAAAGTTTCGCTCTGTCACCAGGCTGGAGTGCAGCAGCAGCACAATCTTGGCTCATTGCAAGCTCCACCTCCCGGGTTCAAGCGATTCTCCTGCCTCAGCCTCCTGGGTAACTGATTTCCTCCTTTTTTAAGGGCTGAGTAATATTTCATGGTGTGTATCTTTCTCGATCTTTATATCACATTTTATTTATTTAGTGAGCTGTAGATCACATTTTGTTTGTTTCCTTATCTTGGCTATTGTGAATAATGCTTAAATGAACATGGGAGTGGAGATATCTCTTCTAGATACTGATTTAACTGCCCTTGGATATATACTCAGTAGTGGGATTGCTGGATCATATGATAACTCTGTCTTTAATTTTTGGAGGAACCTCCATACTACTTTCTATTTTGAGTTACTTTTTTTATATGGTGTTAGATAAGGTTCTAATTGTAGTCTTGTGCATGTGGATATCCAGTTTTCCCAACACCACTTATTTAAGAACCTATTTTGGCCCCTTTGTGTGTTCTTTGCACCCTTGTCAAAGAACAGACAACTGTAATAGCATGCTGCTTTTTTTGTTTTTGTTTTTATGTTTTGAGACGGAGTTTCACTCTTGTTGCCCAGGGTAGAGTGCAATGGTACGATCTCAACTCACTGCAGCCTCTGCCTCCTGGGTTCAAGCGATTCTCCTGCCTCAGCCTCCCGAGTAGCTGGGATTACAGGCGTGTGCCACCAAGCCCAGCTAATTTTGTATTTTTAGTAGAGATGGGGTTTCTCCATGTTGGTCAGGCTGGTCTCGAACTCCCGATCTCAGGTGATTCGCCTGTGTTGGCTTCCCAAAACATACTGTTTTAAGCTAATGACAACTTAATGTTAACTTCATAGGAATACTCTGCAGTTTACAGTTCACCTCCATTATGTAATTGATGTCAGATTTTACTTTAAACATTTTGTTTTCTTTAATAAATCTCTGTGGTTGGAATTAATCCTACTTTTGTCTTCAAATTTATATACTAGTGTTTAAAGTGATTTACATGTCACCATTACAGTATTACAATATTCTGTTTTTACATTTACCTTTAGGGTGAAATTTATAGTTTCATATGCTTTCATGTTGTTGTTTAACATCTTTTTATTTCTATTTGAAGGCTCCCTTTAGCACTTTTTGTAACATGGTTCTGGTGGTGATGACTTTCTCAGTTTTTTTTTTTTTTTGTCTGAGAAAGTCTTTATTTTTCTTTCATTCTTAAAGGGTATGTTACAGGTAAAGTATTCTTGGTTGGAAGATTTCTCCCAGTACTTTGAATACATCATCCTACTCTCTCCTTGCCTGCAAGGTTTCTGCTAAAAAAAAATCTGCTTATAGTCCATAATGGCTTCCTTGTGACAAGTTGCTTTTCTTTTTGGCTTTCAAAATGCACTTTGGTTTTGATCTTTGACAATTTAATTAGAATCTGTCTCCTTGTAGGCCTCTTTGAGCACAGTCTATTTCGGGGCTTTGAATCAAGATATCTATTTTTATCTTTTGAGTTAGAAAGCTTTGACCATTATTTCTGTAAATAGGCTTTATGCCCTTTCTCTCTCTCTTGTCTCCTTCTGGAACTCCTATAATTTGCATATTGGTTTGGTTGCTTGCATCCCGTAAGTCCCATGAGTTCACTCTTTTACTCTTTTTTCTTCTGTTGCTTTGGTTAATTTCAAATGGCCTATCTTTGAATTCACTGATTCTTTCTTCTACATGATTGATTTGTTGTTGAAGCTCTGTTGAGTTTTTCAGTTTAGTCATTGTATTCTTTGGCTTCAGAGTTTCCATTTAGTTCTTTTTTATGGTTTCTATTTCTTTATTAATAAACCTCATTTTGTTCATGTATTGTTTCTCTGATGTGTTAACTTGTCTGTGTTGTCTGATAACCTCATTGAGCTCTTTAAGAAGATTATTTTAAATTATTTGTCAAGCAGTTTAGGAATCTCAATTTCTTTAGGGTAGGTTTCTAGAGAAATTTGGTTTGGATCTGTTTCCCCACGCATACCTCATGTTGAATTATAATCCCCAAGGTTGGAGGTGGGGTCTGGTGGGAGGTGATTGGATCATGTTTTCTCATGGTTTAACACCATCCCTCTTGGTGTTGTCATGGTGATAGTGAGTTCTCATAAGATCTGGTTGTTTAAAGGTGTGTGGCACCTCCCTACTCCTTCCTCCTGCTCTGGCCATGTGAGACGTCTCACTCTCTTTTTGCCTTCTGTCATGATTGTACATTTCCTGAGGCCTCCAGAAGCAGAAGCTGCCATGCTTCCTGTACAGCCTATAGAACCACGAGCCAATTAAACCTATTTTCTTTATAAATTACCCAGTCTCAGGTATTTTTTTATAGCAATGTGAGAACAAACAGATATATAGAGCTTTGTTAGTTTCCTTTGGTGATGTGATGTTTTCCTGCTGCTTTATGATCCATGTAGCCTTGTATTGGTGTCTGTGCATATGAAGGTGAAAAACTCCTCTTCCAGTGTTTACAGACTGGTTTAAGCAGGTAAAGTCCTTCTCCTGCCAGGTCCCTTGACAAACGGTACTGTCTCTGGGATCACAGTTGAGCAGGGCTGGAGCTAGGCCGTGTGGCTGCTGCCAGGTCCACAGTAGGGTCTGTGGTAGGCCTATAATTGGGGTCATAGTTGGGCATGATTCTCATCAGGTTACCAGGTAGATGAGCCTGCCTCTGAGATTGTGATCAAGCAGGGCTGGAGCTCGGTCATAGGGTTGCTGCTGGGTCTGCAATCAGGTTTGCAGATGGCGAGGTATAAATCTGTGTGGTTTCCCATGGGTCCCTGGATGGGTTTCCACCAGGTCCTTGGGCAGTTTCCTGGCTAGGAGGATTGCCTCTAGGACTGCTGTAGAGTGGAGCTGGAGCTAGGTCACTGGGCTGTTTCAGGTCCACACTCAGGTCCAACGTCAGTGGACCTGTTGGGGCACGAAGGGCATGGCTCTTGCTAGATTCCTGGGCAGGTAGAACTGCTCCTGGAATGAGGTAGAGCAGGGCTGGGGCAAGGTCAAAGGGCTGCTTCAGGGTCTGCAGTTGGAACTGAGGTCAGTGGGTCTGTTATTGGGGTCACAGATAGACATGTCCCCCACCTGGTTCTTGGGTGTATCCATTCGACTATTGAGGGACATTGGGTTGTTTCTAGTTTGTGGATATTAAGTAGAGAGCTCCTATAAACTTTTCTGTAAATGTCCTTTTCTAAACGTGTACTCATTTCTGTTAGGAATAAACCTAGCAGTAAAACTGCTGTGTCACACTGTGGCATATATTTACCTTTAGTGAAAACTGTTGAATAGTTTATCACAGTGGCTGTAATATTTTACATTCCTACTAGCAGTATATGAATACATCAATTGTTCTTTATCTTTGCCAATATTCGGTATTCCAGTCCTTATTTTTTTAGCCATTCTGATGTACACATAAGTAACTTGAAGAAAAGTTGCCCTTCATTTTCTGAAAAATGGCACGTTTAGTCACAAATATAACTAGCTTAAGTATATTAGAAATACAATAAATGTCATCAAAATCAATACAGTCTTCTTAAATTTCTTAGAAAACACAAACAGGAAATGCCTAATAGATAAGTTTAAACAGGTCTCTAGTCGCTCAAAAAGAAAAGGTGATTGATAAGGTTATTAGGCTCCATTTCAGTCACGTGAACCATTTAAATCTTTACAACTGTACATGTGGCACAGAGATGTTGAGTTATATGAAAATATACTCCCTGATACAGGAAATCCTCACAAAGGGATAAATAGTTATGTTTGACCCATCTTTATTGTTGAGTTAGAGATATCAAATAAATCTTATGTGTATAATGGGATTACAGCTTTTAGACTTGTAGAATCAGCTTCCACAACTGTATTTACACATGGCTGGCCAGTGTCTGTTGATTTTTAAAGGACCACACTAAAATCATAATGTAAAATTCTTTTTAACTCAAACTAATTTGAGACGTGAATAAAATAAAAATGAGAAACCCTACAGTTTTTTGTTTTGTTTTGTTTTAGATGGAGTCTCACTCTGTGGCTCAGGCTGGAATGCAATGGCGCAATCTCAGCTCACTGCAACCTCTGCCTCCCGGTTTCAACTGATTCTTGTGCCTCAGCCTCCCAAGTAGCTGGGATTACAGGCATGCGCCACCACGCCTGGCTAATTTTTTTGTGTGTATTTTTAGTAGAGGCGGGGTTTCACCATGTTGGCCAGGCTGGTTTCAAACTCCTGACCTCAGCTGATCAGCCTGCCTTGGCCTCCCAAAGTGCTGGGATTACAGGTATGAGCCATCGCACCCATCCTGCAGTTATTTTTTATATTGAGCACTGAGCCTGCCTCATGAAATTGATTTTAGAAATAAGTGGGATACATTGTATAGAGAGCAATAACTATACAATCTGCTAAAAACTGTTAAAAACTTCTCTGTGTGTTTGATAGATGTAATGTGCACTATGATTAGCCTGCTATTCTAATGTGTAAACCATAGTTTTTAAATTTGTTTGTTTGCTTGTTTGTTTAAACATTGCTTCCCCAGTGAAATGAAAGTTACTTTTACTTTGAGTCAGTGTTTAGAAACTGGGTGTGGATAAATGACCTTCAAAAGTAAAACACTGGAAAAATGTATAATGTTTTTACAATGCTTTTAATATTGTATATGCACGGCCGGGCGCGGTGGCTCACGCCTGTAATCCCAGCACTTTGGGAGGCCGAGGCGGGCGGATCACGAGGTCAGGAGATCGAGACCATCCCGGCTAAAACGGTGAAACCCCGCCTCTACTAAAAATACAAAAAATTAGCCGGGCGTAGTGGCGGGCGCCTGTAGTCCCAGCTACTCGGGAGGCTGAGGCAGGAGAATGGCGTGAACCCGGGAGGCGGAGCTTGCAGTGAGCCGAGATCCCGCCACTGCACTCCAGCCTGGGCGACAGAGCGAGACTCCATCTCAAAAAAAAAAAAAAAAAAAAAAAAAAAAAAAAAAAAATATTGTATATGCACTGTCAACTAATGGAAATAATGACCTCAGGGATGTGTTTATCTTGGTTTTAGCCCACTTAAAATACATTTAGCCTTTAGCTTTTCCTTAGGCCCAAACCACATCAAATGGGCCACACACAGACTCCTGAGGTCACTACCACTTTATGGTCATTTTAGGAAGAAAAGGAAAGCAAACTCTCTCTTCATATTACGTTTTAGGCAAGGAATTCTCACAGGAAGAGTGAATATATATTTTTTCCTTTCTTTCTTTTTCTACACTAGGTGACCTGCTAGTCCCACTTTTCCTAAAGGTAGATTTTTAAGCCTACAAAATGAATCTTTAAAGCCAGTTTCAAGTGTACTTCATTGTGAGTAAGAGAAGCTTCAGAATCCAATATTATCTCACCAGAAAGCCACGTCCTCAGAAAATGCAGACAATTTCATTGGTTGTCATTCTTTTATCTTTAAGCCTTCAACTCAACTCATGGACTTACTTATTTCTGAGAACCCTTTACAAGTCACAGTATCCTGTAATCATCTCACAAACTAAGTACAGTGTTTACGCATCACTTCACATTTCCAACCTGAAATACTAAATATGGCATAGCACTTGTGTTACACAGAAGCCCAAGAATAAGAAATAAATAATATGGCATTGATAGATAAGACAGTAAGATAATTTCCATTTGGAAAGCTTAGGTGATTAAAGGCTGTTTTCTTCTTTAACCAAGAGAGTGCATGTGGGTTTGTAGACACCGTATGCTGAAACACTTCTTACCTAGGAAAAGGTGTCGTGTCACTCTTCAAAGGCACCAAACAGAACTCCTGGGCCAACCTGCTAATTCTTCTAGATGGTTCCTATCCAAAATCAATCATTCCCTGCCTCTTTTCAGATTTAATGAATGCACAGCCTGGGATTATGAGCTGCAGGCCAGAATCATTTAAATACTGTCAATTCCATATCAGGCATTACAATAGAATCTTAAGAATACTTAACAAAGTTTTAATATATATATGATATAGAGGCTGCCTCATTGAGCAATACAATTTAGAACTTGATAATTAATTAAATAATATTATAAATTATATTAGGAAGGGCTTTAAAAATCATTAATAACTTCTGCTAAGCTATATGTTTTAAGTTTTTAAAATAAAATATAAATTTCTTCTTGCAAAATTTTTTATTGCCCTTCACTTTACACTTTTTCTTTTAATTTTATCATTGCTCCTTACAAGTAAAGTACTTTGCTTTCCATTTGATTACATGTCAAAATCATTCTTTTCCTGAGAACACTTAGCTTTTTATTTCTCTAATAACATTTTAGCCCCACCGCCGTGACCTATTATTTAACCTAAGGAAATTAGAGCAATATCTGAACGAAAATTTATCTGAAGTGAAGGAAGAAAGAGGTTACTCATTGTGATTGTGCTAATTTTTTTTCTGTCTGTATTTCAAAGAGAAGTTTAAATGTTTTTGCATAGACATATAGAACATCAAAGAAAGATAATGAGGGAGTGAAATTTTTAATATCAAAACTTCACCATTGCTAAGAATTTTTTTCTATAGCTCAAAATAGAGAAAGCCAATGTTTAAGATGCTCTCAATAAAAAACATAAACACAATGTCAAAGGGAGATACAATTTATTGCAATTACTTAGCTCAAGAGTTTAGGTGGATGGAGGTAAGAGGAGTATGTGTACAATACATATTACCAATTATTATAATTACATGGGAGAGGGTAAAGTGTGGCAAAAGTAGTAAAATAAAAGACGTAATACACATCATAAAAGGCCAAAAATTTCTGGACTTACTGTAGTATGTAATAGGAGAAAAACTGAAGTCTCTTGGTGGGGGAGAGAGTGGCTTCCATGTCGTTCTGGATTTTCATTATATCTCAGGTGGGTTAGCATTAGGACTGATACATAGAAGACACTAAATAAATATTTGTTGAATGAATGAATGGAAAAATTTAATTGCTGCTTATTAAATAAGACTATTTTAAGTATTATTTTGGTTTTACGAAGTTTTGAAATGATAGTATAATTTAGACCTTGCTTTCAAATAGCTAAAATCTAGTGGGCAACATAGATATTTTCAAGTAATTCTATTACTGTACGAAATGTGCAAAGTTATGAGATAGAGATATAAACAAAATTCTGTGGTAACAGGTATGGGAAGGTGGAGAACAGGTGAACTAATTGTAACTGAAATGATAAGGAAAGACTTGACAGGTTAATGAGAGCTTGAAACCAGCCTGAGAAAAACTACTAGTGTGGAGAACTCTCTGTCTTAAGGAATAGAGAGTGGTCATGGATGCTTTGTAGGTGAGAAAAAGAAATAGACCTAGAAATGCCCCACTCGTATTCTTATTCCCTTACAGATTCAGTTCATGATTGGTGGCTTCCAAGTGCCAGCCTCTATACTTCTTTGACTTGGGACTATCTCTGGTCACAGGAGCCTTTGTGGGCAGGATAAAAATTCTGGGAAATAAATGTGCTTCACTTCTCTTTATGCAGCCCATAACTAATGAATGACAGAACCCTTGGCCCTCAGGAGAATACTCTGAGGCATGATTCTACACCATTTCTCAGTGATTCCCAGTGGGATTAAGCTATAGTTGCCCACAGTTGTAAATTGCTTGATAATGCACATTTTAATGTTTTCCTTCTCTTTCATATCTTATATCCCCACTTTACTGATATTTCTTAGGATCACTTCAAAAATAAAATGCTTGCACTTATATCCTTTCACGAATGTCTGCTTCCGGGGAAGACTAACTAAGACAGTTGATAATGGAAGTGGAATTCTAGAATTGCATCACTGTTGACCACATGGTGATAATTCACATCTCTGATGAAAATAGGTAATGATAGTGCTTGATATTCTGTAACATCACAATTACCTTTGGTTAGTTGTCTTGAGAATATATGGAAGGAAATGCACTGCTTATACAATTTTTCTGTTAGTTGACAAATATGAGGGCAATCGTAATTATAAAAAAATATAAATGTGGTTGGTTGCTGTTGAGTGTCACCAATGTGTCAAAGAAAGAAAATGACTGGTTCTGATTAGCCAACTATCAACATCGGGTACATTGTGAAAGTCAGAAGGCTTCTAGGGTGGCATTCAAAGAGAGTCTCACATTCTGAAGTAAGAGGGCAGACAGTTCTGAAAATTAAGCCAGCACCTTATTGTGAGATTAATGAAGTTAGAAGGAAGGTTATATTTACAGCCCCAGCCGTCTTTTATAGTAAAGTTTGCTCCCTTAGGGAAGAGATGAGAATTTAAGAAGGAAGAGGGATATTTGGGTGGATGTGCCTAAAAAACCTCTAAATCTCAGATTTTCCTTACCCTTTCGAACAATTCTGTTGACCCACTCACCTACTCCTAATTTCTAGAAGATAGATGCTTCTTTCTGCCTGGAGACCATGCAAAGTCCTCATCTAAGGCAGTAGCCTTAGAAAATAACACTCATCCTCCTAGGATCTGCCTTTACATTCCAATATTAGTTTGAACCAATAACTAAGGTAAGGTCTTGGCTTGGCCTTATTGAAAATTATTGTCCCTGCTATGGAAGGAAAGGGTTTAGTCACTGAAAAACCTGCAGGACCTGGCTAATATATACTTGCAGAAACCAAGGTAAAGTGCCTTGGAATACACTTCACAGTGCTGTAATAGAGGGACAGAATGTAAAGCTGGATAAGGGAGGGTGCATTGATATATGAACACCCTTCTGTGACTCAGGACTTAGTGTTCTGACTAGTATACCTGGAACGAATCCTAATATACTGCTGGGATGATTCCTTGAAGCTTGGAACAAAATTTGCTTACAGTAAATGAGACTGAGATGCTGAAACTATCTTGACTGAGAATTGAGAAAGAGGTAAAAGACTAATAGAAGTGGGGATGCTAGAGTGGATTTATTATATAAAATATAGAGAACCTACTAGTTAACTGTTTCTCAAGAGGGCCCAGAAAACACTGTTTTCATCAAAGTGGAAAAGAAAGAACTAGTCAAGGTGTTATATTTGCTTACCTCTGTAGGGCAAGACTAATGCTGGATGATGCTACGGAGGTAAAGAATTGTATGTATATTTCAGAACAAAATATATAATGAGTTCATATTGGTTCTTCCAAGACAACTGTAGGGCTAGAGACCTTTTGTTTATTCTCAAATAGCTTAAATCTGTATCCACTTTCTTTCGTATTAAGAATCCTAGTTCTTAATGACATCGACATAATTATTCAAACCCATAATATACACAAAATAGTCTCAGGATAACAATACCAACACAATCATCAATAATGTGATTACTGACAACAGCTTAATATGTTTTTGCAGTTCTTATTATCTTGAGGAACTTCCCACTAGTTTTTAATTTTTGTATTTTAAAATCACATGAAATAGTTACTCTGTTTGATAATGTCACAAAATCAATAGGCAGTTAAGATCATTTGCTTCATTTAGCTTTCTATTTTTAGAGACTGCTTCCAAAAATTGTTTTATAATTATATAAAATATGTGTAAGCTTCCTAAGTCAAATGTGCAAAACAAGGTATATTTAGAAAAGTCTAATTTTTATTTCAGATCTCTCTACTCTGTTACCTTCCTGTGTCTATAGGTAAATATTAGAAACAGTTTTATGGCTTCTCCTTCCATTTCTTAAATATAAGAAAGATGCATTTATATTCATAACTTTACTTCCTTTTGCTAATATGCTTGATATACTTTTTCTTCTCACCTTACTTATTTAACAACATATACTGAAGACTATCTTATAGGAGAACATAAAGATATCCCTCACACCTGTGAAAGCCATATGTGACTCCTTTGGGTGGATGTACCTTTTATTGATCCCCGGAGTACCACAGCAAATTCTCAGGGGCAATGTGGGGTATTTCAAATTCTTTAGAGAAATGCAGTAATTTTTAATATTTGTCAGGAGCTGAACAAACAATTAGCTTTAGGTAAATCACTGTTTCAACATTAGTTTGTGCTTTCTTCCCTCTGATGGTGTCTTATCTTTCCAAAGCTGGGTTTTTGGTTGTTACTAGGACAGAAAGCAAGTAATACATGAAAATCAATGTGGCATAAAAATCAGGTGGGATTTAATCTGAGTTCAAGGTTTAAGAAATTGTGTCGTCTCTACTAAAAATACAAAAAATTAGCCGGGCGTAGTGGCGGGCGCCTGTAGTCCCAGCTACTTGGGAGGCTGAGGCAGGAGAATGGCGTGAACCCGGGAGGCGGAGCTTGCAGTGAGCCGAGATCCCGCCACTGCACTCCAGCCTGGGCGACAGAGCGAGACTCCGTCTCAAAAAAAAAAAAAAAAAAGAAATTGTGTAGTACACAAACGGTACACACACCGTCTTGCTAAGTAATTCTGGTTATTTAACAATGAAATAGAAATATTGTCTTTTATTTCAACTTATGTGTATTTTTTTCAAATAGCTACTAAGATGTTAAGAGAGAAATATTTATTAAGTTGTTTGGGTCCAGCTACTTAATAAACAAAACTGTTAAGTATTTCTTTTGGTCAAAGTGTGCCATTAAAAAGAAAAAAAAAGTACTGACTCATTAAGAATCCTGTGAATCAAGAAAGTTTAGGAACCCAAGAGTCAACTACATTCCCTATTCATGGCCATTCAGGGCTTGTTTCCAGTCTTTTGCTGTTATAAATAGTGCTGACATGAGCCACCTTGGGCATCTGACATTTTTGCTAGATATTTAAACATTCTCCTATATCAGAGTTGTAGCCTTTTTACATCCCTACTGGCATTGTGTGGACTACCAATTTCCATGTGGCTTCAACAACAAAACTATAGTGTCAAACTGTTAGACCTTCACCAATTTAACAGCAGAGAACTGTCATAGCATAATTCAAAACATGTGATAAAATATATATAACATAAAATATGCATTTTAAGTATTTTTAAGTATGCGATTCAGTGTCATTAAGTACATTCACAGTGTTATGTAACCATCACCACTATCAGTTTCCAAATCTTTTCTATCACTGCAAATAGAGACTCTGTAACTATTAAACGATAATTTATAAATCTTCCCTCCCCTGTACCTGTTAATCTCCACTTTATTTTCTGGGTCTATGAATTTGCCTATTCTAGATATTTTGTGTAAGTGCAATCAGTATTTGCCCTTTTGTGACTGGCTTATTTCACTTAGCTTAATGTTTTTAAGGTCCATCCATGTTGTATCAGACCTTCTTTCCTTTCATCACTGAATAATAATCTATTGTATGTATTCTATGTGCCACATTTCGTTTATTCATTCATCTGTTCATGAATACTTGGGTTGTTTACACCTTTTGGCTATTGTAAATAATGCAGCTATGAACATAGGCGTACAAATGTCTAGTTCGTGTTTTCAATTCTTATGGGTATATATCATACCCAAAAGGAGTAGAATTGCTGGGCCATATGGTGATTCTATGTTTAACTTTTTGAGGAACTGCCAAATGGTTTTCCGCAGCTGCTGTACCATTTTACATTCCCAACAGCAATTTCAATTTCTCCACATCTTTGTCAACACTTGTGATTTTCTGTTGTGTGTGTGTATGTGAATATAGCCATTCTAGTAGGTCGTAATGGTGCAATTTTAATATACATTTTTATTATTAATGAAGCTGAGTATGATTTTATATGGCTAAGGATCATTCACATTTCTTTTTTTTAAATTATCTTCTCATCTGTCAGCCCCTCCAATGAACGTACTTAGAGATGACCTTATGTAGGTAGACTGGACGGGACTTGGTACCCAGCTAAATGCAAGGAATGACAAAAGAATGAGTGCTTCATCCTAGTTTCTAGGCCTGTGTAACTGGGAAGATGAGATCACTGTTAATACTGTCATGGGACTCTTGGAGTATTGCTTTTTTGGCTGGAAACCTCTGTGGCCAGTGGCACCTTTGCCCAAGTTTTGCTTGGGCATCCAGGAGCCGGCATAGGTGTCTGCTCCCTGCAAGACTGCAGCTGGACCAGGTGTACTGTAAGCAGGCAGCTTCCACAGCTGGCACTGGGGAACATGGTGGTGGCCAGAAGCTTGGAGACACCAGGAACTGCAGAGCTCCAAAGAGGGTGTCACAGGCCTGTATCAGGAATCTCCTAGGTCTGGGCTCCCTGAAGGGCCACAGCTCTTCCCTCCTTCTCTCTTCTCTCCTTCTTGTCACCCGCAATGTGGCAAGCAAGGGGTGTGTTTCAGCCCTGTTTGTGTTATAGCTCCTTTAGCCCCACCACTTGGCAGGTCCTGAGTTCTTGTCCTGTATCCAGGAAGAATGAGGTATGTGGACATGTTGAGGATGAGCAAGGTGAAGAGGAGCTTTATCAAACAACAGAACAGCTCAGAGGAGACCCAGGAGGGAGCTACAGGCAAGGTGTCCCAACAAGTGTTCAGCTCTCAGCAGAGAGGAGACCCTGGAGTGCTTAGCTCCTCTCCGCAGGCAGGTCTTCCCATTGAGTGTTCAGCTCTTAGCAGAAAGGAGACCCTAGAGTGAGTAGCTCCTTTCCACAGCTGGTCGTCCCAAGTGCTCGAGGCTGGCTGAGTCTGGGGTTTTTATGGGCTTCAGAGGGGAGGAAGTGGGTGCTGTTTGGTCCATGGGAGGCCATGGGTGCACCTGGAAAAAGCACCATAAGTTCTTACTGTGATCTGTGGGATGGGCAGCCTGGCCCGCAGGTTTCAGGCCTACCCCCAGCTTGAAGGCAGGACTTCACCAGGGCCCTGTCTTTTTGCTCTTGAGCCTGTCTGTCTCCTGCCACTGTTCATGGTGTCCAGGCTGTTCATGCCAAGGGGTGCTTGCAGGTCAGTGTCGAGCTGCTCTCAGCACCCCCTGGGCCTCCTTCCAGTGCTTATTGGCACCTAAAGTCTGGAGGCAGCCAAGGTGTCAGGAAGCTAGTGTGTCAGCACTGCCCTGTGCATGCACACACCTGGCTGGGTTGCTATAGCACCTGGGCTCGGCCTCAATTTTGCACTAAGATTGGAGTGGGTGCCGGGAGTGGGGAGAGGCCAGGCAGCAGGAGCAGGCACTTCCAAGCCTGCAGGGGCAGGGGGATCCTTCCTGGGCCCCTGATAATGCAGTGATGTCTGGGTCCACAGCCATGGCTTGAGTGGCTGTAGCTGCGCCCAAGAGGGCAGAGGCTCCTGCCCGCTCTGTGGAGCACACAGAGCTCTGGCCGTGCCTCCCCACTGCAGCCAGCATCTTGGCAGTGGTCACTCCAGATGGGCCACCTCTTCCATTGATATGACGCTTTGAGAATGATTGAGAATTATTATTTTGATAATAGGATAAATAAGAAGGAGGCAAGGTGGGGAGATTAACTATAAGAATAAATTCTCTAGGGCTTAAATGTTAAGAAGTTGAATGAGATAAAAAGGCAAGTTTAAAAGATAATGCAAATGAACTTTTAAAAATTATGACTTGATATTAGATTCTTGAAGATGAAGAAGATAACAGAGCAAAATGTGACCTGAGATTTATAGCCCTGGGGATTAGGTATTTGTGTCACAGAAATAAAATAGGATCATATGCAATGCCCTAATATGACTTTTGCTCTATAATTGGAGATCAATCTTAACATGCAAATACTCCTAAGAGGGTTGTTAGTGAATATGTTTACACTAAAATATAAATGATTTCTATCAGAGTTCCATTTATGAGCAGGTTCTGATTAGGATAAGAGGAGACTGGTGCACAGAGAACTGTAGAAGGGCAGTTGGTATGGGGCCAAGAGGAGACCCAGAGTAGGGAAAAGGAAGCCCAAAGGGCCAGTGGGAGCGAAAAAAAAAAAAAAATCACATTATTATTTTCAATCACTTTCTGTGAAGGTGGCATAGAATGAAAGGCAATGCTTAACCTTTTTGGCTATCTATAACATTTGCCAGAGACATTTTGTTTGCAAGTGACAGGAATCCAGAGCATATAAAAGGGCTGAGGCAGGAGAATCGCTTGAACCTGGGAGGTGGAGGTTGCCATGAGCTGAGATCGTGCCACTGCACTCCAGCCTGGGCAACAGAGTGAGACTCTGTCTCAAAACAAACAAACAAACAAACAAACAAACAAAAAGCAAGGAACTCAAAGTCTACATCCAGCTTCCAGCATAGCTGGATCCATTAATAGGAGGTGAAATGCTATCATTAGGGCGCTGCTCTTTCCAACTCTGGCTTTGTTTTTTTCCAAGTTGGCTTCCTTCTCAGGCAGACTCTCTTCATGCATTGGTAGAGATGGTACCTGTAAGGTCTAGAACCACTTTTATCTCAGACAAAAAAGAAAGAATGTCCTTTTCCTAACCATCCCCACAAAAGTTCTGCAGAGCAAAAATCCCTCAGATTGGCCTTGCTGTGTCACATGCCCAACTTTGAACCAATCAGGGTTCACAGGGCAGTGCTACAGTCACTTCTGAAACAGACAGGGAACCTGCCCTGAAGCACATGGACTAGAAATAAAAACTCTTTGAGGTTTCCACATGGTATAACAGTTTTCACGGTGGGGGCTTAGTAATTGAAAGTGGAATGCAGGCCGGGTGAGGTGGCTCATACCTGTAATCCCAGCACTTTGGGCGGTCAAGATGGTTGGATCACCTGAGCCCAGGAGTTTGAGACCAGCTTAGGCAATATGGTATACAAAAAATTTTCTGTACAAAAAATACAAAAATTAGGCAGATGTGGTGGCACATGCCTGTGGTCCCAGCTACTTGGGAGGCTGAGGTGGGAGGATCGCTTCAGCCCAAGAGGTCAAGGCTGCAGTGAGACAAGATTGTGCCACTGTACTCCAGCCTTGGTGAGAAGGTAATACCCTGTCTCAAAAAAAAAAACAAAAAAAAATACGGTGGCTTATGCCTGTAATCCTAGCACTTTGGGAGGTCAAGGCGGGTGGATCACCTGAAATCAGGAGTTCCAGACCAGCCTGACCAATATGGGGAAACCCTGTCTCTACTAAAAATACAAAAATTAACCGTGTGTGGTGGCATGCGCCTGTAGTCCCAGCTACTTGGGAGGCCGAGACAAGAGAATTGCTTGAACTTGGGAGGCGGAGGTTGCAGTGGGCCAAGATCCTGCCATTGCACTCCAGCCTGGGTGACAGAGCGAGACTCTGTCAAAAAAAAGAAGAGGAAAGAAAGAAAAAGAAAGAAAGAAGGAAAAGAAAGAGAGAGAGAGAGAAAGAAGGAAGGAAGGAAGAATGGGTAGGGGGAGTCTATGTAGAGTATTTCCTAATCTTAGAAAATGGCTTGTATATCTTAATAGTATCATGGATATTTATGTCTCTTTCCTAACCTTAATAAAGGACATTTAAAACTGGCATACTATGGCTGGGCTCGGTGGCTCACGCCTGTAATCCCAGCACTTTGGGAGGCTGAGACGGGCAGATTACGACATCAGGAGATCGAGACCATGCTGGCCAACATGGTGAAACCCTGTCTCTACTAAAAAAAATACAAAAAGTTAGCCGGGTGTGGTGGCGGGCGCCTGTAGTCCCAGCTACTCGGGAGGCTGAGGCAGGAGAATGGCGAGAACCCGGAAGGCGGAGCTTGCAGTGAGCCGAGATCGCGCCACTGCACTCCAGTCTGGGCGACACAGTGAGACCCCATCTCAAACAAAACAAAACAAAACAAAACAAAACAAAACAAAACAAAACAAAACAAAACAAACAAACAAAAAACTGGCATACTCACATCATCTTATATTTCAAAACTTTCAGATTTTTAAAAGGACATTTGAGTTCACTTACAAAATAAATGAACTGAACTGTATAATGAAAAAATAAAATCAGTTTGCGTTTTTCAGGCAAAACATGTTGCCAACATCTGTGTGAAGATGTGATGTGATCTTCTCAATGAACAATGTTAAGAGCCACTGAGTAAGCTAAAATAATAGTCTTGTCTGTAGTCAGTGTGTTGACAAGAAAACAAAAGGAAAGTGTAGAGTAAACACAGGACAAGATTATACAAAGAGAGTAGTTAAAAATAATAAAAACACTACATAACAAAAGAACCACTATAATGTAGCAGACAATGTTAAGTTCTTTTCCAATTAAATCTTTGGTTTCCCATATGGAGGCACCAAACCTGCTTTTCATTTTCTAAAATCAATTCCAAAGGGCTGTCCTTATGTCACCTTGAAAGTGTTTCCTAAAATTGCAGATTCAAGATTCTTTCAATGTAGTTTCCAAGTTCTGACCCATCCATTGGCTTCCAATGAGCATTCTTAAAACCTTCCTTAAGACAACCTTTTGATCTGCATTTCCAGAGCATTTTATCCTTTATAGAAGCGGCCTAACTTTATGCTTGATAAATCTTAAAGAGAAGTTGCTTCACCAAGGTTGGCAATGTAAAGAACTCCTAAAATGTATTCCTGTTGTGTGTGAGCTTTCTAGCAACATCAGACAATGTTGTGAGGAAAACACATGTGCTTCCTTTTGTTCTTTATCTGGAACCAGTGCTTGTTCATATTCTGCGATTCTTCAGTCTAAGTTGGGGCTTATTTTGTTATCACCGTCTATTTTACCTAGGATCTGAAAGGTGTATATGAATACAAGAAACAGTCTATATTCTAACAGGTAATAAATTTATCTCTAAAAACAGTTAAGCCTTTGTCTTTTGAATCTTAACGCTTCTGTAATTGTCACAGGGTGGTAAGATAAGCATACAATGGTGGATGATTTTTAATTTCCTGAGGGAATATTTCTCAGGATGCCAAGGAAGATGAAGATATGATTTTTAAAAAAATAGAATGGCAAGATTTTTTTTGAATAGCTCTTTTCTTTTTCATGTTTTATTGTTGAAAACATCTATTAACTTTATATTTAGTAAAAGAGATTCATTTTAAGTCTGAATGCCAGTCCCACATAAATTAGGCAACAAGTAAGGATAAGCACTTACAGGTTTAAAAGATCTTGGTAATAAACTAGCCACCTTGCATGTATTCATATACATAAACGTTAAGATATCCCTTTGTCCACAGAGCATTGCATTTACTTGGCCTCCCAGATGCCTTAGGGCAGGCCTCTCCTGACTCCTTTGACTTTTAGCCAAGTTCCTTTTTGAATTTGTTTTACCCACTTTTTACTTTATCGGGAAATCTGGTAGAATTCAGTGTTCCTTATGTTACAATTTGGGTTTCAGTGATAGAGACACAGTTAAAAGAGTACTGGTTTGGGGGCAGAACAGTCAGTTACCAGTTACAGGTCCGCTGCTAACTGACTGTGTGACTGTGGTCAAGTTACTTAGCATCTTTGAACTTTATTTTCCTAAGCTATAAAATATGGATAATGCATCTCTCTGCCTAAATCACAGGGCTAGGGGTGTTGTATGGAAAAGAAAGTGGGAGTCAGCATTCAGAAGATGACAAAGTATTTTACAAATGTCGAATTACTGCATCATGATGATGACTATGAGCTATCTTATAGTCTGTAAAAAACTGTTGAGACCACTCCTTCAACTTGGAAAGCAGGAGAAAAGAAAGGCATGGACTTACATAAATCATTCTATATAGTATTTTTCATATGTTAGATTGCTGCCTGCTAAGGTTGTGAAATCATATGTTGGTTGCTACTACCATTTTTAAAAGAATGGAATAATATAGAAATAATAGAACAGGACAGAAAATATCAGAGTTTGTCTCTCATAAGTAAGGGTTAGTAGCCAAAAGTCAGGGTAAGTATTACTTCAGAAAACTTTTTTCAGTGTGTATGTGTGTATGCAAATACTTGTGCTGGGTTGTGATGTAATATGTATATGCAATTAGTGGATCACAGTTTAAAAGTTTTGAAAGCCATCACTTTATGACGCAGCTGTGTCAGATCATCTGCTGTGTTTTCCCCTTCAAGTCTACCCCAGTCCCTCAGATGCCTCGTGCTTTAGCTAGACAGTGCAAGGAGTACATAGGGATAAGGTAGGAGGGTAAGCTGGTTTCTTTAGGGCAATTCTCCACCCTCCTCTCAGTCTTGTATAATCTGAGAGTAGCACCAGCAAGTGGAAAGGGAGCTGGTCTAAGAGTCGTAAGACTGAGTCCTAGAGTGGCTTCATTTATTTTCATCTCTTGGACCTTGGAAAAGTTCTGTAACCATTCTGACTTTCATCTCTTAATCTGTAAATTTGGGATTAATTAATATATTGAATACATACTTATGAAGCACGTGCTGGGCCAGGAACCTGACTAAGAGCTAAAAATATGGCGGTGATCAAGATAAACAACAGTTCTTGCTCACTAGGGATTTTAACTCTAATTTATTAAGGTTCTGAAAATCACATTTGATAAAATACGTAATGTGGCTTAAAACCTTCCATTTTAGATGCCAAGTGTGACACCCTTGCTTCTTGAAATATGGTGAAAATAAACTAGAATACCTATTTTCATGACCTGAAGAGATTAAAAAAAATCTCCAAAGACTTCTGAAATGGACTGGTGGACATATACATTCATATCACATTTGACCCAATTGCTGTTACACTACTGATTTCCTTCCTTGTATCTTACATTCCTTTTACCCAGTTTAGACTCTGTTCATCTTTGTGATCCTTTCTGTCCTCTCTCTTGCTGGTTTATTTCTCCTCCTTCCTCCCTTGACAAAATCCCATCCTTTGGGCATATGTCCAGGTCACTGCACACTTCGCAATGCAGCAGAACAGTTTATCACAGCTAGAGAAAGAAACAGACTGGCTGGCTGACTGGATTCCCTTTAAATTTATGAGTAATAAAATCAAGAGGGCTCTTATAGTTGCCTCACTGTATTTCCCTGGCCAATTTCTTATCCCACTCTCCAAGACAAAGATCACACACATTGTTCTTTCGCCTCAAGCCTCCAAAATCCCTTCTCTACTGTTCACTACAAGCTGATCGCCTTGCTGCTTATTTTACTGAGAAAATATTTTTAAAAATCAGAGGATCACTTCTAATCTGTTCCCTGCTAAATGTCCCCATCTACCCATATGTGTTCCCAAAGCCTCTGCCTTTCTTCCTGTTTGAATGGATGGATGCTAAGGGAAACCTCTCCACCTGCAGGCTGAATTCTATTCCATTTCACTTTGCCTTAAAGTGAAGTCTTCCTGTGTCGTTATGGTTTTTTATCCTAACAATACTTTAAGGATTAAGGACTCTGCCTTTCCCATTACCCTACCAGCATCATCATTTCTCCCTGCATTCTGAGGATGCTTCCCCTCATCATTACACAAACACACCATTATATCGCCCATCTTCAGACAAAAACGAACGCCTTAGTGAATTCCACTTTCTTTTTTAACAATCACACCATTCTTTGGTCTAATTGATGGCAAAAGTCTCAAATTTGATTCCTTTATTTCCATTATTATTATTATTATTGATACATGAGTACTTTAGAAATGTGTTTTTTAAGATTCCTTAACTACTAGGGTTTAGATGACTGACTTTTAAATGTAATTATGTTGCAATCAGTGGAATTGGTTGAGGCTTCTTATAATTATAGCCCGACACATAGTCAATTGTTGTATATGTACCCTTTGCACCTGAAAAACAAAAGTGCTTCTCTGATATGGTTAGGCTTTGTGTCCCCACCCAAATCTCATCTTGGATTATAATCCCCATAATCCCCACATGTCATGGGAGAGACCAGGTGGAGGTAATTGAATCATAGGGGTGGTTTTCCTCATGCTGTTCATGGGATAGTGAGTGAGTTCTCACAAGATCTGATGGTTTTGTAAGGGGTTCTTTCCTGTTCACTCGGCACTTCTTCTTGCCACCTTGTGGAGAAGGTGCCTTGTTTTCCCTTCATCTTCTGCCATGACGGTAAGTTTCTTGAGGCCTCCCCAGCCGTGCTGAACTGTGAGTCAATTAAACCTCTTGCCATTATAAATTACCCAGTATCGAGCAGTTCTTTTAAGCAGTATGAAAATGGACTAATACAATTTCTAATTGTTGTGTTGAATAGTCTACATATGCCCTTTAGATCAAGCTTATTAATTTTATTGTTTACATTTTTTTTTTTTTAATTGAGATGGAGTTTCGCTCTTGTTGCCCAGGCTGGAGTGCAATGGCATGACCTTGGCTCAGGCTTACTGTAACCTCTGCCTTCTGGGTTCAAGCTATTCTCCTGCCTCAGCCTCCCGAGTAGCTGCGATTACAGGCATGCACCGTCACACGTGGCTAATTTGTATTTTTAGTAGAGACGGGGTTTCTCCATGTTGATCAGGCTGGTCTCAAACCTCCCACCTCAGGTGATCCTCCCACCTCAGCCTCCCAAAATGCTGGGATTACAGGTGTGAGCCACCATGCCTGGCCTATTGTTTACATCTTATACAACTTATTAAAATTGTTTCTGTTTATCTATTAATTCCTGAGAAAGATATGTTGAAGTATCTTGTGTTGGAGGTAGATTTTTCTGTTTTTATTTCATAGTTCTGTTCATTTTTGCTTTATATTGTGAGGTTACGTTTTAAAATCTTCTTGGTGCATTACATATTTTATTATTATATACGTATCTTTTTTAGCTATAATAATTTTTCCTTAAAGACCATTTAGACTAATATTAACACAGCCACACTGCTTTCTTTTATTATATATTCCTGTTATATCTTTTTCTATCACTGAACTTTAAATCTTTCTGTGTCCTTATGGTCTTTTATTCTAATAATACTTTACTGAAGAGGAATTACATGCAGTAAATGAGGTATAACTTGCATAAATTTGATGAATTTTTAACTTATATATACACTCTATAATCCTACCTAGATCAAGATAGAAAACATTTGTATCACTATCCCTCTACATAAGATGCCACTGCTCTCTAACCACTTTTATCACCATAGTTTTGTTTAAAAAATTCAATGGTCATTTAAGAAAATTTCAAGAAGAAAATAAAGTCTTTAATTTACGTACTTAATTACCATTTTTGTTGCTCTTCATTCGTTTCTATAGATTTTGCTTTATATCTGGTCTCATTTTCCTTTGGTTTGAAGAACTTCCTTTAATGTAGATCTCCCAGCAGTGAATTTGCTCAGCTTTTTCTAAATCTGAAAAAGTTTATATTTCACGCTTATTTTTGAAAGATAGTTTTGTGATATAAAATTTTGAAGTGACAATTACTCTTTTTTAGCACTTTAGAGGTATTGTTCTGTTGCCTCTGAATTTATCTTTTGCAGATGAGAAGTCAGTGGAAATACTTATTGTTCCTTGGTATGTAACATATCATTTTTTATCTAGTTGCTTTAAAAATATTTTTATCTTTCTTAGTATTTCCTGGCATTATTTTATATTTTGATTTATTGTTAGCTCTCTTACTTTCTAGAATCTAAGCCCTCTGAGGAAAGGAAACTTGTGTTTCCATCCTCCTTGCCTAGAATAGCAAGTATGCAATTACTATTTTCTGATTAAATGAAGGAATGAGTGCAAACTGTGGCCTCTGCTTCTCTGTTTCCCTTTATCTTCACTCTTAGAAAACAAAAATGAGAAACTCACTGATTTCACCAAAATCTCTTTTATACAAAACATTTGTAAAGATAATAGACTTTAACTACCATATAGTACACACACACACACACATACACACACACAGGGTCATACATACACATATTGGAATGGGGAGAGAGAGTGGGAAGCTTTAAATCAAAGAAGCAATTTAAATGATAACAATTAACATTAGAAAATTTCATTCTTAAAATGTTCTTCAGTAGCTCCACCATAGTAAAATTTTCACTGGCCACTTCCTCTTAGAATTCCCTCTTGCTGATTCTTCTCTCCTCCTCTGTTTTCAGCATTCTCATCCATGTTTTCTTTCCTTCAAGTTTCTTACTAACAGGAATTGTAGCACTCTGTTTAAACAACACATTCTTTACCTCCTTCCAAATATAAGTGGTTAACATTTCCTTGTGTGATTCACTGGATCCCCTCAAGTCCAGATTCATAGTAATTATAATGCATTTGTTTATTTGGATGATAAAATAATTTTCTTATTTTTAGCAAAATAAATCATTTTGTACCATTATTCCAAGAAGAATTTGGGTTTTTTATTTTGTTACGGGTTTTTTATTTTGTTATGGAAACTGAAATGAGAATATCTGCATCAAATTCAAGAAAATGGGCAAGGTAATCCTAATCTGGAAAAAAAAAAAACTCCTTTGGTTACTACCAGCATAGACTATTTTCTCATTAGATTAAAGCAAAATGGAAACCTGGATAAAATCAGAATGGATTTCCTCAATACCAAAGAGCAGTCCTTTCTCTCATCCACCTTTAAAACAGAACCTTCCTATAGAACACCAACCCCTTGGATGCTTATGTAATCATGTCAATTTTTATTCAATACTGTAAAAGTGGAATTCCCTTTTCTCCACACTTCCTCAACATAAATGTAGATGATTATTGCATGTTTGCATGTGAGTGTTGGGGTAAGGAGTAGTTGAGAGAAGACAGTAGTTGAGAGAAGGGTATAGGCTCTCAGTGGGTTATCCCTGAGGATATATCTCTGTGTTTTTCTTCTATTCCTTCTTTTCTTTATTCTCCTTCTTTTTCTTTTTTTCCCTTGATATAGTTTGCAAAGTTTTTAAGGGTGCGTGCAAAAAGTATTTCAGCTGTGGTTGGTGTCAGTGTAAGTCTTTCTAGATAACTGATGTTCCAAACGTTGCCAGATTACTGGGATTTTATTTCCTCTTTTATCCTAGAATCCTTATAAATCACCCGTATTTTTTTATTTTGTCTTTGTTAATTCATAAATACTTTTTTCCTCCAAAAGATGGATCTTAAAGTGGGTAACCACAACAGGCTTTGCTTTTCCTTCCTTCCTCTTGACTTTTTTCCTTTTTTTAATACCCTACAGTCTCCCAAATGAAGGTACATTGTTTCTGTGTCAATTGCCTTCTTCTGATCCTTTAGCTGTGGCACTAAACTGGGAACGAGATAATCTGGTTTTAATCCCCTGTTCTGCCCTTAATGAGCAGCCTGCCCTTGAACAAGCAGCTTAAACTCCAGGTCATCTTCTCTTCATCTACAATCGACAATGCTCATACCTGTCCCCATTACTTAATAAGAGTCAGATAATGTAATGGATTTGAATACATTTTATAGAATTATTAGGATTATAAAATCATAATTGATCACAGGCGATGATATCAAGCCTCCATACATATGTTTTGGGGTAGGATTTGGCTCTACTAACTTGGTATAATCCCCGCACACACAAAAAATCTATTAACATGTATTAGAGTTATAGAAGATAAATATTAAGGAGATATAGAGCAAATCAAGCAAGCAAAAAGAAGATTTACAATGCTCTATCTTTTCTTATAGAATATTTTGAATGTCCAGAGAGTTGCATAGATTTTCTTTTTTATTCCTTCCATTAATCCAGTGTTGAAGTTCCCATAATTTAGCATGAATAAAAATTACTGTATAATGTTGTATATACAAAAATATGTATACTCTACTTTATGGATAATTTGAGGGATTTTCAAGGGTAATTTCGACTACGTAATTTTCACCTTACATGCTGAATTTAGAACTTAACTCTGCATAAGATTTGACTCCTCTGCGTTTTCATCGTCCCTGTGTCCAAAAAGGTGGCAAAAAAGAGAACTTTTATATTATGCAGAAAGATTCCTTGAAGAGAGCAAATACATTTTTTAAAACCTAGGCTAGCAGTGGTTTTGTACGGCTGATATATTCAAGGAATGTAACACATTATTATCACTTACATTTTCGTTTTCTGAGAATAGAGGCGTAGTTTTTAGGACCCCAGAGAGAATCAGTTTTGCATAAGTCGTGAATTTCTTTATCTAATACCTATATTTTAACTACACATCCTAACTCTGCTTTCTAGTTTGGCTTTCAGAGTGTAGGTCACAAAAGCCTAAGCCGTGCCTCCGAAGGTCAGACCAAGCGTTCTCATATCAGAAACAAAAAACTCTGTTTTAATTCTTTCATTTTTTAACAGCCCAGCAGGCTTTCTTTGTTTTGTGAGAGTGGGTAGTTCACTTTTCTCATGCTTGAAAATTATGCCACCCATTTATGTGCTCTGAAAGCAGGTTTTGAAATGGGTAGGAAAAGACAAGCCATGGCTATTTTGGTAGAAAATTGAAAGTACTCAGGTGGAAGGGAATCAAGAAACAAGGCTGTTAAGTACTGTATCAGGATTGCAGGCCCATCCGAAGTCGAGGAGCACCTGTAGATGAATTTCCCTTCCTTTGCCAAGCCTTCCCCCTGGTGACCCCCATTTATCTTTAACAAGAAGTCTTACACAAGTGTAATTCATAGGTAACAAGGCAAAGCCTCTGCTATTACTGTTGGGGTTCTCGCTTTTTGCCTGTGTGCCCTAAAATGGTGAATTTAAAAAAGCAATTGTAAGAATTAATCAGAGAGAGAGAGAGAAGCAAAATATGTATCTTGTAAATGGTATTTATTTCCAAAGTTCCGGTTTTTTTTTTTCTATGAAATTGTGTCTCCTTATACAAAAGGTATGTGAGTCTGGTTCTTGCTTCACTCAATATCGTTGAAAATGTTTATTTCTGGCCATGAAAAAAGCAATCTATCTACCTAAATCAGAATGTTCATATGAGGGAAAACTGCCCTACATAGAAAAATCAGATGTTCCTTGAAGTAGCCCAGAGGGTGGAGTCCATATGCTGCAGTGAGAGTTCCATACTTAGGAGTCTTCGAATTCTGCACTCTGGACTCCTACGGACCAAGATGATCAACTCTGAGGAAGAAAGGTAGTAGCCTTGCACCACAGGACTTTAACTGACTGATTCTGAGAGCCACCGTCTAACAGCTTGCAAAATTTGGGAAGAAAATCCCCAGAGTGAGATCTGAGGATTGTAAATGCAAAGGGTTAAAAACAGATAATTTCTGGATTCTTGCTGTGATCTTTGTCATAGCAAGTCTGAACACACTGGAGCTTTCATGCTCTGCTAGTGGGATAAAAATAAACTGTTTAACCTTTTAAATGCTGGTAATTTGGAGAGGTTTGCCATTTTTAGTTCTAACACATGAGCTTCTGAAAAGCTAGGAGGATAGAAATGGCTAACTAACTAAATTTGGAACCTTAAAAAGGTCAGAGTAAATCTGGTGCAATCCTGTCTTTTTTTTTCTTCTACAGAACGCATGTTACATTCTTTAAAATTGTGAAAAAGATTGTAAAAAGGACAAGTGATGACAAAACTTGAACTGTGAAATATTGTTATAGGGAGGAGATAAAAAGAGAATAAGATGTTTCGGGCTGATGATTTTAGATCTTGAAGTTTGATTTTCATAATCTATTGTATCTAGCTTGAGATGGTTGTTTAAATAGGCAGTAGGAGGTTTCTTTTTTTTCTTGTTTAGCATTCTATGATTTTTCCCATCTTGTAATAATCAGGGAATCATGAATATTATACACTTCCAGGCCTGCTTCTAAATAGCAAAAATTTGATTCCTCTCCCTTGCCCCCGTGTTGGTAACTCATGATACTTCCTAAGGATGTTTTCTTCTCTACTGAAGTCTTCACATGTGAAGAAAATTGCCTTAAAAACCCTGGGCTCTGGAGGAATACGCCAAGTATCTCCAGTAGAATCTCCAAGAAGTGAGGCATGCTTTTTGTGCATGGTACTTGCTTTTGTTTGGTGTACATGGAAAGAGACACGATTTCTTTCCTTAAGGATTTACAATGTAATCAGGCAGATCAAACATGAAGAGATGAACGGACTGAAAAATCTTCTCCTGGCAACATGAATAGGAACAAATTTGTTAAAAGAACGCAGGGTAAGGAAGAATCACATTTGGTGTGACCTGTGCTCTGATGGACAGAGGGCGTGGATTAGCTCTCCAGCCTCTTCTCACCAAATTCCACCAGGCACGCCATGTACCGAGCGCTTTCATTTCCTTGAATATACTCACTAGTCTCTCACGCTGTGCTTGTACTCATGTTGTCACAGTTGCTTCGAATGCTTTCCCTCACATTCTGCCTGTTGAAACTCTACTCCTCAGTCATTTCATTCTGCATGTCTACGCTAGAGCTGATCCTAGTCCAACTTGTGTTGTAGTCACTTGCATATGTGTCTTTCTTTCACACCACACTCTGAGTCTCTGGAAGGTAGGATTGTTCTTTTATTTAGCTTTATTTCTCAGGCACTTAATAGAGTTCAATACATATTTAGTAAAGTATATGGGATTGAATTATTTGTGAAGGAGAGTAGTGGTAGCTCCAAAATGATCTCGGAGGTAGAAGTGTGAGAATCTGCGTATCTGTGTGTGCCATAAGAAGAAATCTGAAGAGGAGGTTATAGGTTCAGTATAAATGCCAGTTTTGAAGGGATCACAGTGGAGGTATCCCATACTGTACACATGGGACTCAATAAATTTGAGACTGAGCCTGGGATACAACATAGATGTTGATGATTAGGGAATATGATCTTGGTTTTCCATGGAAACTTCAAGGTTTTAACTTTAAGAAAAATGGTTTTCTTATATTTGATTTCATGATTCCAGAGGTAAATGGAATACCGTTATGCTATTTCCTTTAAATAGCCTTTCCTAGTCTGTAGTGATGGTATTTTAAATAAAATTACTGAGAGACATGAAAGTTAGCTTTTTTTCTGGTGAGATTTGGGCTGTATTTTTTTTGGAAGAGGTAAACATGGAAGAACAAGAGGAAACAAAGAAAAGCAGAGGAACTAGTGAAGTATGAAATTGAAGTATTGACTTATGTCTGGTTCTTTCTCAGAGTTCCTTTCTTGTTTTTTCTGCTTTATCCCTTTTTATATTCAAGACAGCTTCTATCATTAGGCACTAATGGCCCAATGTAACTGAAGGAGCTGCCCAAACTTAGCCTTAAATAACTTTCTTTTAGGACTACTTTCTTGATATCTCTTCAGTGTTATTACAAGATGATTGAACATGAGTAACTGAAAACTTGCCTTCTCTGAAAATAGTGAGTTTCAACAGCGTGATGTCTCAAGTTTCTTTTCCTTCTAATAAGAAAACCTCCAGCCCCTCCCTGCCATCACCTGCACCTACCTCCCTGAGTCAAAGAATTGCTCTCAAAAACATTTTCTTATCTAGTTGAAAGACTAGGGAAATAGGCCATTCCTCTGGTGGAGATGCTCTTCTCCCTGGGTAAGAGGACACATACCTGACCAATCTTTCTATATTGGTTGGTCCATTCCCTGAAGCTCTCTGAGCTTCCAGGGAGCTAAGATGATTTTGGCTGCCTTTATGTACTTTACCTAATGAGCTGACAAACTGGTTTCATCTTAGTGGGTATTCTTTGGACTAACTAAAAAAGGATGATTTAATTACCTTTATTCTTTTTCAAATGAGAGATCTGCATGCTGACTCTTCCACATGAGTGCTTTTAAATTTTCAATACAGGTTATTCAAATTGCTTTGGTTTCTTATGCACTTGGTGGAAAATCCACTCAGATTCACCTTTTTAAAAAAATGCAATCTTTGGCAGTACTGAGTTTTTCCACATTTCAAATCAAAGTAAGAAAATGCCTTTGGGATTCCTGGCTTCAGAGAAGAACTAGGGCACATTCATTCACATACAAGAGCCAACATTTCAGTAATGCTAATGAATTTCCCTGACTAGAAACTATTTTTGTGGCAGTAAATATTACTCTCTCATTCCTTATTCCAATGCAGATACCTATTATCAATTTTGAAGACTCATTATCAAAGAAAAAGATTTATTTTGCAACAAAATTGAGTAGGGATGCAATTGAGGTGATCAGATGGCTCCTGGATTACAGTAAGCCATTATCTGACTGTCTCTTATAATTCTCCACAATATACACCATTGGAAACATTGTTTAACAGAACATTAACTGCAGTCTTGCTACTGCCAAGTGTTCTAGATGCATCCAGGTAGTCTATAATTAATGCACCTGCAGAGTTGCACAAAGAACTTCATACACTGTCCATTTCAGTGGAGAGCGGCTGGAATGGCACCTGCACAACAGGTGCAGTGCAGGACAAGACAAAAAGGCCAAGTTCTAACTAGAAAGCTTAATCCCTTTCAGTATGGACTGACTAGCTTGAGGTTTCTTTAGAAACAGCAGTATTTTATTATATGAAAGAGATGGAGTAGGATGTGGTAAGGGTTAACAAGAAGATGGGGAACCTAATGCCTGAGATCTGGTTATATTACTGGGAAAATTAATAGTATGTGTAAGGAACACTGAGACAAGGGGATTAGGAAATGGGAAAAGGGCACCAGGCCTAGGGTGCAAGAGGAGTTTCCCACAAATGATTGCTAGCTTATTCGAATTTGTATTCTGCTAATCTGTATTCAGATCGACCACATACATAAGTTTTCAATAACCATCAAGAAAAATGTAAAAATATAACCCCCAATTCCTTATAGATGATATTAGTTTTATTTTTTACACCTAGTCCTTGGATTAGTGGTTTACGAATACAGCCCTTTATGAATTAGTTCAGGAGCGTTCATTTGAGAAACTTAAGATAATTTTGAAACTCTTTGGCATTCTTCATTTGTATGACATCTACACTGTGTAGGAGGTTTCATTTTGTTTAATCCTCACATTAATTCTAAAAAGTAGGCTTGGAGAGTGTAATTGGTAATACCATAGGAATAAGGAGGTCTAAGAGAGGTCTATGTGAATTCAAAGCCAGTGCTCTCCAATCAGAATTGTACCTCTCCCCTTGGTTTCCTAGGTTCTGGCCACATGAGCTCTCCTTTCCTCAGTGCACTGTCCAGCTCATCCACCCTTAGGCCTGTGTATTTTCTGCTTTCTCTGTTTTGAACACTTTCCTCTGCCCTTCAAATACCTAGATCTTTCACTCATTCAGATGTCAGCTGAAATGCCTCCTTTCTGTAGATTGCCTTTTCTAAAACCTGCATCACTGACTACCAAATCTTCCTGTTTTATTGCCTTTTACAACACGGAGAATCTGAGATCATTATCTTTATATGTATATCGTCTGTCTTCCTTCACATGAACGTAGGTTCTCCGAAGGCAGGAATCTTGCTTGTCTTGGCCATTGCTTCCCCCACTGCCAGCTATGACAGAGCTTGCCATGTAATAGGTGCTAAAAAAATTACATATGGCGTTAATAAAATGTCACTCTAATTTCTGGAAGGTAGGTTGACATTCAGAGTAGTGAAAATCTATTAATGAAAGGGCCACCTTGCTAGTAGATATGGGATCAACTTTCACTTCTGACTTTGGAAATAAAGATAAACTTGGATGAGAGTGAAGGAAGGATGAGATAAGAGAGAATGACAAGAAATTTACAATGAGGAAGATACAAAAATAAAAATAAGTAATACAAATAATATTTATATTCAACAAATGTTTATTGTCTACTAGGATAGGATTCCATACATCTGTTTTATACCTTCTGTTCTATAGCACAATTATTAAAAATGTCCTCTTCACCCTTAAAAGTATTCCTACTTGGATGATAAAGTATACGCTCTCCTTAACTATGGGCTCTTCTCTGTTCTAGGCAATGAGGACGTTGCACAAGACAGTCCCTGATACCCAGAGTTTACTGCCTAAGAGAGGATACATCCTTCAAACCAATAATCTGCTAATAGCAAGATCCAATAGTAAGAAGTTCTTTGCTTTTTACTTTTCAAATCACTTTTATGTACCTAATCTCATTTGATCCTCCCATCAATTCCATGATGGAAAATACTTATAATTGGCTTTTAAAGGAAGAGGAAACTGTTGCTGGGAAGTTGAGTGACTTGGTCAAGGCTAATTAGCAGCAGAGCCAGGACAAGAACTCAATAGGAAAATGCCTGCATTCTAGGGAGACTTTAAACTTTGCTCCAAAGAGTGAAGGAGTTAGAAAAAATGCTAATTTTTATCTTACCTAATGAGGCTTAGAGTCTTTCCAGACATTTTTATAATTCCTCTCGTTGTTATCATCTTGAGGCCGACTTGAGGCCAACTCAGTGCCACCTCTGCAGATTTTTCTAGTGGAAAAAGATTATTGTTTTGGAAAGGATTTCCTACGTACTTATTTTCAGTAGCATTGTTTTGCCTCGTTCAAACTAAAACCAAAACTCCAGTTCTCCAGTTTGCAGAATAAGCAGCAAATAAATGTAGCTAAGAGCTATGGTACTGGTCTGCAAAGATGAGCCCCCAGTGAATCTTGCTTCCCAGTATTTACACTGTTGTTGTGAAATCCCTTCTTCTTGAATCTGGGCTGATTCTGTGACTTGTTTTCAACTAATAGAATGCAATGGAAGTGATGCTGCATCCCTCCAAAGCTAAGTGAATAGAAACTTTGCTACAGTGTCTTGGGTCTTTTGGATTGCTCACATGGGGAAAACCATGGGATATGTAAGATATCTGACTAACCTGAGACCATGATACTGTGAGGAAGTCCAAGCTACCTACACTGAGAGGCCACATGGGGAGAGAGGGAGAGGGCTAACCAACTCCCAACAGTTCCAGCCGTCTTTGATAAGGTGCAGGCTTGTGAGTGAAAGGGCATTTTAGACATCCAGCCCAGTTTTGTCTTCATTTGATTCCAGCCCTCGCTGCCATGTGATTATAATTTCTTGAGAGACCCCAGTGAGGCCACTCACTGAGCCAAGTTATTCTGCAGAACTGAGAAAAAAATAATAACAAAGTGTTGGATTTAGCCACTAAGTTTTGGGGGGGTAGCAATAGATATCAGAACAATAGAATAGAACCTAGAGTCAGTTGCCTTGGGTTAATTCCTGCCTCTTACTAGCTTTGTGTTCTTGGGTAGATTACCTAATACTTTGTAACTTAGTTTCCTCATTTATAAATGGGTGTCATAACAGCATTTACTTTATAGGTTTGTTATAAGGATTAATTTAATTTATTATATGGAAAGGAGAGTTTGGCACTAGAAAGCATTCAATAAATAGCTATTATTACTATTAACTATATCTGTCAATAAATCTTATTAATCCGTTCAAATCTGTGTTTTTCTTAAAAGGCTTCATGGATATTGAAAGAAACTGAGAATCAAATTTGCATACTTCTGAGTCACTTGGAAACAAAAAACAAGTACAGTCTTAGATTCTGAGGGAACAAAAATTAAAAATCACATTAGGAAGAGAATTCCTAATGTAGGAACTCATCCTGGAAGATTCTTCAGCAAAAGTACAGACAATAATAATAATACTCCATGAAGTTACCATCGATATTGAATGAATTAATGAATGTAAAAACCTCAAAACCCTGCCTGGCCCAGAGTAAGTACTCTGTGTCTAGTTTACCTATTAATACTGTACTATTATTGTCCTCTATCTCACAATCTTCTACCCAAGAGCCATCTCAGGATTTTCCCACCATTCATTAGAGACCAAATGGTCTCTGCAAATGCCCAGGCTCCTGATTCCTAGTTTTATATGGACTGCAAAGCGGCTCCTCGTGCTGTTTTTAAGTTCCTTGACCTCCATAAGCTCTTTTTAGTGATGCTCAGAAGCTGGAACGGTTGAGTTTCAGATATAGATTGGAGAGCTTCCTTACTAACTCCAATAAAATAGCTCAGAGTTTGGCTCTCACTTTTAAATACTATGCAGATGGCGCTGAACCCCAGCCAAACTGGCGGCAACTTGATTTCCTCTGGTGAGTGCTGGTGGGGTGTCTACAGGATGGCATTCATTCCCATCTCCCGTCCCTTCTTTCTCCTCTCTCTCCTCTCTCTCATACACACACACACACACACACACACTCATACTAACATTCTGTATTTTTCCTTCTAGCCTGAGTATTTTTTATAATGACATGACCAGCAATAATTAATAAAATCATTGGTTTCCTGCCTGAACTTGTACTTATGTTAGCTATCTCATCGTGTGGAAATTTTCCCTTCAGCGCCAGATCAATAGCGTCCCCTTTGTGATTCCCCACTGCCAGGAGAGAAAATGTTCGCAAAAGGAGATCTAAGGAGCTTCCTACCGATTTAGAAGAGACAGAAGAAAGGACACTCTGTGCCAGCTGTGAAAGAAGCTCTTATATGCTGATAGGAATGTTATGAAATATCTGTAAATTTGGAGCTTGTTTTCACGAGCCGTAAAACGTAACCGCATGGAGTGGATTTTTGAACACTCTTAAAATAAACATAAACTAGGCTTTGATAAAGGGACCCCTTTTTTGTTTGATTTACTGTTTTCCTGTAACAGTGTAATATTTTTGCATGCAGAAATGTTGTAGGCTCAAGAAAACATTAATCAAATAAAGTATGTGTAATATGACGCAGGCACACCAGATGTACGAAGGGCCTGCAAGTGAACATTCCGGCACTTGTGCTAGATAATAAACCTTTTGGCCCTCATACGCAACCCCTGAAAATGAAACTGTCTAGTTACCCACATTATATTGGGTTTCTGTATTGATTTTTAGGTTAACGTGAAAAAATTGAGTAGAATGTTATCTTATTTTGCTTTGGAATCAGAGAATATCAGACTTGAAATATACTTTTAGGGACCACTTAATATGACCTCTATCATTTGGTTTTTAAATATTTTTAGGCTTTGGAATGGGTTTGGATCTACCACTCAACTGCTTTATGACTTCAGACCAGTTATTTAAATTCCCTGAAGCTCAGTTTCCACATCTTTGAGGTAAGCATTCCAATTTGTACCTTGTTGTGATCTGCAGTATAGAAAGTACCCAGCATCCTGCCTCACATAAAATAGGTGCCCAGGAAATGGCAGCTATGATCATTTTCTCCAGTAGATGAAGCAGTCCAGAATTATATTGTGTCGACTGTTCTTTTTCATGTCTAAGCAAGATCTTGATGATTTAAAATTATTTATTTATTTTTGAAAGGAATAGTTTTATCAAAGTAACAAATGTTTCTTTAACAAATAGCATATAGTATTTGTCAGAGGACATACAATTCAAAACAACACTCACAGCTTTCCCCATGCTGCTTGCACAAAGGCAAAGTCAACCATTTTCATTTTTAAGTTCCCTATTGATTATCTTCATATCTCTAGATAATATTTTTTTTTACTTTTTAAAATTTCTAGATTCATCAACCTTATGCCACATTATTGAACACCTTCTGTGAAAGGTGCATATGTAGCTCACTGCATGTTGACTTCTGTCACTCCTGTTCTCAATGTTTGTTAATCACATTTTCATTATATATCATTATGTACTTATATTCTTCTGTTTGTTATATTTATAACTTTAAACTTCTATTTCTTGTTTCACTAAATTTTGACAATATTTCCTCACTCTCCAAACTTAATGATGGGAGTAATTTTGCCCCGACCTGCCACGTCCCATATTCTGTCAGCTGCACTTTTATTTTTATATTCTCGGGGTAGGTAATGTTTACAGTTTATCCCGTAATCATAGCCAAGAATCTTATTCCAGGCTTTTCTATGTTCACCTAAAAATTTAAAAACGAATAGTTAAATATATACATGCATAAAATAATTATATATATTAATATAATGTATAATATATATACTTATATATATATTATCTGTAAGTTTGTAAATATTATTCCCTCTTGGGCCAGCTCAGGTCCAATGTCCCAAGCCAGTAGGAGAATATTTCTAGCATCAAGATGAAGTGAATTTTCTTTTCTTGTAATCAATTAGATCAGCCATCTCCAACCTTTTTGGCACCAGAGACCAGTTTCATGGAAGATAATTTTTCCACAGATGAGGGTGGGGGTGGGGTGGTGAGGAGGATGATTTTGGAATGAAACTATTCCACCTCAGATCGTCAGGCATTAGATTCTCACAAGAAGCGTGCAACCTAGATCCCTCACATGCCCAGTTCACAACAGGGTTTGTGCTCCTATAAGAATGTAATGCCACTGCTGATTTACAGGAGGTGGAGATCAGGCAGTAATGCTTGCCCACCGCTGTGTGGGCAGGGGGCCTGGGGACCCCTGCATTAAGCCACATTTTTGTTTGCTTAATATTTAGTCTGAGAGTTTCTGATAAAAACATTCTGACATTTCATGAAGTTTTGATTGATCATTTCTGCATAATTTACTTTGTTTGAATCCTGAAGTTTATCTATGCTCTTATTAATTGTTTTTATCTGAGAGCTACTCTTTTCATTTTATGAAGCTTATCCTTTCTCCTCCTACTCTCCTTTGGCAGGGTTTCACTCTACAACATGCTGTATTGCCATTCCTCAGGATTTGTCTACTATTCTGGGATGAATCTATAGCTTACCTCTTTACTACACAGAAGTATATGTTCAGCTAACTTTCTGAGAAAGATGAAAGGGTTTAAATTTTGTAAGCCCATGCATATATGTAAATGTCTATAATTTCCCCTCATACTTGACTGAAATTTTAGTTGGGTATGGAATTCTAGGTTGGAAATAATTTTCCTTTGGAATTTTAAAGTCATTGCTTCATTGCCTTCTAGCCTCCATGTTGCTGCTGAAAGTCTAATGCTTATCATATTTTTCTTCCTTTGTAGTTACTTATTGTCTCTGAAAGACTTAGGATTTTCTATTTTTTTTCATTTGGATGTTCAAATTTCTCAAAAATCTGTTTAGGTTGTGAGCCTTTTATTATTTAATGTGCTGGACACTTAGTAAGCAAACTCCAACTGCAGACTTATGACTGCATTTAGTCTGGGAACATCTCCTTTATTAGTTCCTTGATCATTTTTCCTTCTACTTTGTCCATTGTTTCTCTCTAGGATGCCTATATTGCAAGTACTGAACTAGATATATATAGAGAGATAGATAAGTGTGTGCGTGTGTGTATGTGTGTGTAATTTTTTTCACTAATTTGTTTTCTGTTTGTTTCTTTGTTCTACATTCTGTAATATTTTCTTAACTGTATTAATTTTCTAATTAAAATTTTAAATTTCTCCAGTTAGTTTTCATTTCTGAGAGTTCTGCCGTGGTCTCTGATGAAACCTTTTTTATTGCAAACCATTCTTGTTTCATGGATGTAACATCTCTTCCATCTATTTGCTAGGTGTTGTATGTTTTCTTCCATTCCCTGAATTACCTCTGTTCATCTTAGTCTTTTTCTTCCATGCTACTAATTCTTCTCAAATATCTTGTTTTGCCCACTTATATTTTAAGAAGAAATACTATATATAGAATGGTGTGGGTTTCCTCTACTGTTCTATATGTAAGATATTTTTCCCATTAAGTCCCTCTAATAACTGGTGATTCTATGTGAAGTACAGTGGAATGGGGTGAGTCATGTCCTTTAGTGGAATGGGGTGAGTCATGTCCTTTAGAAGACTTCACTTTAGAATGAGTGGGCAAAAGCTCTTATTGACAAGTTAAGGACTCTCCAAATTCTAGAACTACAGCTACTCCAAGAATGAATATCTTCACTTGAATCCTCAGCTTTCTTCTGGCATTTTCTACCACTTATTTTCAGGACCCCTTACCCACCCTGCCCTCCCCACTCCCAATAACCTTTTTTTTTTGTTTTTTTTTTTTTGGCCTAGGAGTAAATGCCAATTGCCTGATGCAATAAAGATGCCTTCAATTCATTCTCAATGTTTCGCCTTATTTATAACTCCTTCCCTCCACAGAATTTTTGCAATTCTGAACCTAGGGTCTGTCTATTATTTCAACAGCTCAGCATCCACCTTCTCTGCAGATTTGAAGACAGGACAGTCTTGGGTATAGTGTTTCTCCATTGTTTCATTTTTCAAAAAAAACTTCTAGGTTATACGACAATATATTCTCAGGGAATATAATTGGCCACAGTGTGTGCCCAATTTACTTTCTTGAACTAGAACTAGACTTAGGGGTTGAAAATTTTAACACTTACCCAGTTCTTTAAAGGATGGCTCAAACTTAGTCACCTAAATTGCAAACTTGTTACCAGGTTAAAGAACTCTAATTTTTAAATCTCATATTAAAAGACATATGATCAAAACAATTTTTTTCACTTTCTTCAGCTTTTTGAAGCATTATTTAAAAACTACAATGTATCAATATGGATCTATAAAACAAGTTGAAATCTTTACAGAGAAAAAATATTGATTAGATTGTCAAGTCCTATATATCAATAAGCATAACCTGAACTTATCTAAATCTATATCTAGTTTATTTTCATAAGAATTCTCACATAAGAATTGTAATGCCTGACAAAATTACCATCAACTGCTGAAATCATAATGGTAGGTTGTATTAAATTTGAAACTGGATAAATACTAAAAGAAACAAGCTCCATTGGCCAAATCTACATAACTGAGTTAGGTAAAATACTTACTAAGCACATGTATGAATGAATGCATATAAGAAGCAATATGAATTTGTCATTTTCCACTCCTTGCTCCAGTTAAGAGACAAGCAAATTTTAAAATTGACTTATGACTTTGTTAGAAAATGTAAGCATTATTTGGAAATCTCAGTATTTCACAAGAGAAACTTTTATGTGACATCTGAGTTAAACTTTTCTAGCAATAGCAGTTCTCAAAAATATCTGGCCAAACTTAACTTACCTCTTCATGATAATGGGGCCTGAAAAAGAAAATAACATATGCTCTTTAAACTTCTAAATTAACATACTATTTTCTCTTGTTCTTTAGATGTTAACCACTTTGTTAATTAAAACTCCCAAAACCTGAATTGTTGGGTGGCTCGATTTTCCATAGAAAAGTTTCCAAGATTGAATTTTCTGAAAATGGCATCTAAGATTACCTGGATCTGGTTCATGTTGTTCATTTTACAGATAGCCAAGGGAGAGATTAGGTTAAAGTTATTGCCCCTCAGTTACACAATAATTCAGCAAGACTGGAAATCTGTTATTTAGGAAATAATTTTAGCTTGCCGCTGAGGTTACAGAGCAATGAATGGCTCCTTTCTGGATTCTTAAAGTTTACCCAGCACATTTATGTGGCCATTTTTTTTGCCTGGTGTACTTATGTATGAGTTAAATCAACATGACTGTATCACGTTTACATTAAACCTCTTTCCTTATTTCTCCATCTTTTAAAAGTATTCTTTCTTTCTTTTATGATCTCTGTTTTCGTTTTCATTTCTTTTCTCTGCTGTCTTCATTTAGCTGTCACCTCTGCTGAAGACAGTTCAAATGTTTCTGTGTACATTTTTTCACCAAGAAGAAAAAATAATAATTTGGAATTAAATATTTGTTTTGATTTTAAATTAAAAACGAGCTTTTTTAAAAAAAGAGTACTTTGTAAGTGATAAAGTACTATGAGAATGTCACATATTAGTATTAAATAGGGCTTAAGTGACATAATCCAAATCAAGTTTGTATATGAAAATATCTTCATGTTACATCTTTAGCTTGATTTTGTGATTTAAATATTACTATGGATTTAAAATCTCTAAAGGATAACAAAGAGTACAAGGAGAATACTTAATAGTTATATTAGATATAACATACTTAATCATTCTAACACATATAATTGTATGTTGGATAAGAAATATATACTTTAATTCCATATTATGAATAGGTAAGCAAAAACTTTCTTAAAGGAAAATAATTTCTTTAAGTGTAGAAATGTTGTTTTGATCTTTTAATCCAAATTCTTTGATAATTTAGACTTTTACTATTGCCCAACTATTTTTATTTAATACTGTGATGACCTATAAAAACCACTAGTTTTATGGAAAAAATGTATTTTTAAATATAAAGAGAACTTTATAGGAATTTTTTCTTTTAAATATGTTAATTTCTTTTAAAATAGGACATTTTAAAAAAGTAATTCAAATATGTAATCCCAAACTATGTTTTAAGGTAATTTTCAAGTTTCCATTCTGGGAATTTTGGATACAGTTATAATGATAAAAAGCACATTCTCTTCACATATTTCTTTTAGACACTAGAATTGCTGATTTATTCAATTTCCAGAAAAATCATAAAATACTAAAGTGAAAAGATATTCCACAACGGTTTACATGTCAAGTTTGACATAAGCCACAAAGGTCTTTCTCTTACAAAGGTCTCCATACCTGAGCATTTCAAATACAACTTATTTATAAGATGGAGAAACAGACTGCAGTAAGTACAAATAGTAGAAACAACACAAATAGAACTTGAGCAAATGAAAAGATAACCTCTAAAGACAATACCTGTGGGCAAACATTGTCTGCTTCTGTTACATGAAGCAGTCCTATCACCAGGCTGGGGAAAAACCTGGTGATTTTTCCAGGGCAGAGGCATGGTGCAAAAGGAAGAGCAGGAATCTAGCCTGGACAGGGACCCATGCCCACCGTTTTCCCCATGGGTGTGGCCAAATCAATGAAATGGACCAACTCTCAGTTTCCTCCTCCGAAAAATGTGTTGAATATCTAACGGGTCCTAACAGGTCTGTGTCTATTAAATAAGAAAATACTTCATAAATCGTTTGCCTAACTATAACGGGCAAAATGTATGCAAAGTATTACTAGAAAATCTTCACTGTAACAATGGAGTTAAAGAGAAAGGTGAAGTATAGCAAATAAAAAATGAAATTAGGGAAGGTAAACCATTTTTAAATTAAAGTGATTTTTGACATAATTTTGGTTCATAAACACATGTGGGTTTAGTTTTCTTTTAGACACAGCATAGTGGTAGAGTTCATTATAGATTTTGATTTATCATTCGATTCATAAATTTTCTTGAATAAAATTACTTCTTGTTTATTCTTGCATAAAGGAAGAACTACTTGGGAATATCTTCATACTTTTCTGCCAAAAGCTACTCAGGAGGCTGAGGTGGGAGGGTCGCTTGAGCCTAGGAGGTTGAGGCTGCAGTGAGCCCACCAGTGTGCTCCAGCCTGGGCGATAGAGGGATACCCTATCTCAAAAAAATAAAAATAAATTAAAAAAAGAAAAAAAGAAAAAAGAAAGAAAAAGAAAAAAAGAGAAAATAAATGTGATTAAGATACTGTGTTTTGAATTGTAAATTTTTTTTCATTTCACTTGAGAATTTCTAAACAAAGTGTCCTTCATTTGCTGTGCTGAGACAATCTAACCATGGCCTGCATTGATTTTGGTGATTGTGGCTCTCCTTGCCTAGATATATAGAAGCCCAATAAAATTTGGTGGCATGTTTCTGTTGCCCCATCTCCAAAATGGCAATGCCCTCTGTCATCCCAAATTATTGTGCTGTGGTCCAAGACCCAATGTAAGTTAGGTTCTACCTAGAAGCAGCATCTTTCTGCATAGTTACTAGATAGACATGGCCAGTCAAGCAAAGAGATAGGCATAAAATATAAGAAACATGTTTAAATTTTCATTCCTAAGGCAGAATAGAGCTGCCACATGGCAAAGTTCCAGGTGAGTCCGCCTGGAATTGAGTAATGTGGTGGTGCTGACTAAGTAGAAGGGTATCTGTTTGGGGGCAGCCTGTACATTGGGAGAGGACTGGCTCTTTCTCCTCTCTTTACTACATGGCCCATTCCTACCACACTACTCTGTGCCATGTGGACCACATTTGTTGACGTGGCTGGCCAGATGCCTGCTGTTGAAAGCATGTCCAGCCATGTGTCTCATCCTCACCCACCACTTTATTTTTGTTGCACTTTCAACCAGATTTTGTGGCTAATGAGGATATAAACACTACGGTAGGGGAGATGCCAGTGGACTACTGTGCTTTTTCTTGTGAGCATTTTTTTAAAAATTAATATATTTTACACACTTTTCTATTTATGCCAAAGCTGCATGATATTTAGAACGCGCTTTGAAGAAAAAGAAGGTATAAAGAAGAGAGGTCAGGAAGGAGGACTTCTGGAGACATAAAGCAAAGGAATGACATTTGTCGCTATTGATTGTTTCCCATGGCTGTCTTGCAGATTCTTCATTTTCCTTCCAACCATCCTTCTCTCAGTCCCACCACCCTCAGTTATGCATTCGTGCACTCACTGCATATCCTGTTCTCCAACACTCACTTTCATATTAAGCTCCCTTGATAGGCTATAAGTCTCGTAAAAATCAACTGTTTTTCAAATAACCTAACTGTGTAATACTTGTTTTATCCAACACATATTTGCACAAAGGGGCTATCCCAGAATAGAAGCTCATTTAGTGAATGTGAAACTGATATTATTTTTAGTAACTTAATAGAAGGCTGAAGAAAGAATGGGTGCTCAAAAAAGTCATGTTGAATTGGATTGAATTGAATTGATAGCAGCTCAGAGACTAAGGACAGACATGACAGAGGATGGATGAACCAGTCTAGGAAGCTGAAGAAACTGGCAGGATATGAGCAAAGGCATGATCAGACCTTAAGAGAACAAAGGGAGGACGTGACACTTTGCTGCTGTATCAGTTCTCTCTCCTTTGTTACAAACCACACCAAATATAGTCACATAAACAACAACCATTATATTTGTTCACAATTCTATATATTAATCACATTGGCTAAGTACAGCTGGGCAGTTCTTTTGTAACTCTGGCTGGGGTCACTCATGTGACTACAGTCATCTGACGGCTCAACTGGAGCTGAATGGTCTAAATGGCCTCACTGCATGCCTAGCAATTGTTGCTGCCTCTTTTCTCATCCGAGCTTTTCTCATCTGTCTTTAGCAGGCTAACTCAGGCATTTTCACGTGATGCCTGCATTACCAGGGAACAAGCCCTAGTGCACAGGCACTTTTCAAGTCTTTGGTTATGTCATTTGGCCAATGTTCCATCGGCCAAAGCAAGACCCATGGCCAAGCTCAGAAGCAGTGTGGGAGGGAATGATACAAGGGTCTAGATGAAGGAGGTATCATTCATTAAGGATTATTACTATGCCAATCTTCCACAGCTGTTATATTGTGTGACAAAAGTTTTGTTGATTGTTGATTCTACTTCCCAGAGACTTCCTAGGACTTGGAATTAATATAGCTAAACTTTGAGTCCAACAAATTATGTCTTACGTAGTAGCTCCTCTCACTACCTTCTCAGTAATGTTTCTGAAAGTTCATTTTCAACAGCCATAAATTTGCATATAAACCTGGAATAAGTAGTAGCTCTCCTCTATGATATATATTTTATTAAATTGCATTAGAATGGATTACATTTTAGTGCATTCTAGACAGGGAAAATACAGTGGTGGCACAATTTGAAAGATTTAAATTGGCTGCCCACATTTGTTGGTGTGCATTTTTCCAAGCACGTACTGGAATGATAAGCACAAACAAAAACTTGGGCTCTTGGCCTTTTAAATGTCCAAGTTGGTCTTTTAATTGTTGATTACATAATTATGGTACTTTATCAACTAATCTGTCCAAATATCTAGTATACTTTTTGGCATTCTTTATATTTTTACTTAGCAACCAATCAAGAATGTGTTGAAATCCAAGAGAGAACTATTGAACAATGGGTCCATAAACCCTGCAACTGAAGGGAGTAAATAGTTTTACAGAAGCAAGTTCAATTGCTTTTCATTACATGTCTCTGGGTGGCCAAATGCTTGGGCAGAAAATTAAACTTGCTTAAGCTAGCCACATTTATACTTCTGTGACTGAAACACAATCTTCCAATTTGTGTTAAATTACTATTGTAAAATAATTTTATTATTTGCCAAGTGTTTCAGTGACATGAAAGGACAAATCAGCAAAGATCATTTATAGTTTAGTTCCCTAGCCACTCCCAAAAGGTTACCTGGAAGCTTGTTGATTCCTCCATGGACTGGATGGACTGGGAATGTATACGTATATAGATTCTCTATCGTCTTCCAAAACTTATATATTTAAAAACAAAAACAAAAAAACAGGACTATGACTGCTGGCCATGGTTGTGTTGCTTTTTCGTCCTTTATTTTTTCCTTGGCAAATATTATTCACTGACAGATCAAACTTAGGGGCTATGAATAGTTAGCTCCATATGCATGCAGAGTTCTTCCTAAACCAACTTATTTGTTGTGCCAGATGTTATTATGCTTCTTGGAATGTAAGCTTAAAAAGTGATCTTAGTATAAGTTAATAGACAACTCAGTGAGCAGGTGTTTCATTGACATGAGGGAGTGGGTATATTTAACATATGGGAAGAATACGAATAACTGTGGCCAGAGAGCAGACTGTGATAGATTGTGAAAAGAACTCCAGTTCTTACCCCTTCCCTGTTTCCACATATTTTACAATGTTGACTTTGCAGCTGCTGCCATCAAGAGGCAGAGCCTCTTCCTCACCCTTTAAATCTGGACTGACTTTGTGACTTGCTTTAGTAATAGAATACAGTGGATGTATCCCTATGCCGGTATCAAGCCCAAGTTTCAAGAGGCCTTGCACACATCTTTCTGTATGGTACCCCTTCTCTGTGGGATAGCCTGCCGAGTGAGGAGAGACCACCTGAGACAGAATTGAGCCATTCCAGCCAGTTCACTGAGTTAGCCTAGACCAATCAGTCCTTAGCTGACCTGTCAATTTGATAGTGTCAGGAAGCAGAGAAATTCTAGGCACACAGGGGTGGGTCCCTGGCAAATTCTAGGCGCACAGGGGTGGGTCCCCAGGTCCCTGCCCTCAAGCCGAAAAGCCTGAGACCACAGCTCAAAGTGAGAACTGACATCCCTGTTTACCGGCTCAAATGTTGCCTTTTTCTAAACCACCCATGGCCCACCCTGCCCCCATTCTGTGCCTATAAAGACCCCAGACTAAGCCAGCAGAGAGAAGCAGCTGGACGTTGAAGAGAAGTGACTTGACTTTGGAGGGACAGCTTGATGGTGTAACTTTGGAGAAGAATCTGGCCGGAGATGACCAGACTTCAGGGGAAGACTACTTTCCCGCCCGATCCCTTTTTCAACTCCCCTTCTCGCTGAGAGCCACTTTCATCGGCAAGAAAATCTCCCACATTTACCATCCTTCAATTTTTCGTGTGACTTAATTTTTCCTAGACGCCAGACAAGAGCTCGGGAGCTACAAATGCGGATACAAAAGGGCCCACTGAGCTGTTAACACTTAAAATATGTTAACACTAAAAGAGCCCTGTAACACACCCTCTGGGGTTTCAGGGGTTGTGGGCACCCCCAGATGCTGCCACTGGGCCCACACAGAGTTTGCTCCTGCCGGCGCCCGAAAGCACTGGCCCCAGCTCCTGCACCCGCTCACCTGCACGCTCCCTCCCACGAGGGACGGAGCCTAGCGGGTTTGAGTGAGTAGAGTGTTCACTCCCGCCAGCTCCAAAACAGCCAGCTGGTTCCGGGGTATTCACACACTCCAGTTCCTGCCTCATTTGCTCACACTCTCCCTCCTCGGAGGAGTTGAAAGCTGCAGCTGGGTAAATGAGGCACCCCTGTCAGGGGTCACTCCAAGGGGTCAGGGAAATATCCTGCTTCAAATTCAGACTTATAAGCAAAGACAAAAATAAAATAAATGATCCAGGCACCTGGTCAACACATAGACTTATGAGAAATAATGAATGGTCGTTGTTTTAAGCCACTTGGATTTAATGTATTTTAAAGCGAGAGCTGACTGACACACCCTCTTTTCTCTCTAGCTGGTCTGGAAAGCACTTTCTTAGGGCCTTTTATAAAAAGTCAGCTGAAGAGTGTAGGCAGCATAGCTTACCCTAAACTGACTGATGATTCTCTTTCCTTGATTATACATTTAAGTGTTGGTTTGCTTGTATAAAATTTGTTTCTGAAGGCAGGGCACTAAATATTTTTCTTTAAATCCTATACAAATCCCAGCAAAATGTCTCTAATGTACTGGGGTTTGAAAATTTTTTTGCAGATTTTTAATTATATCCTTCTAAACATCTGTACATTTAGGAACATTATTGTTTAGCTCAGAGTAATAGGAGTCTATCATTTGGGTAAAGCCTCGATCTCAGACAGATTTGGCAAACCATTTTGCACATTCTCTGTGCCAATTACCCAGAGATAATGTGAAATGGGTTTGATAAAACACTTGGTTTCTACTTTTCCTCCAGACTTGTCCCAGCTAAGATCTTCTGGATTATCCAGCCAGATCAATGCAAGGCAAAGCTTCATTCTGCTTAGAGGTGCCATCAGTAATTTGCTGGAAAAGTAAAGGGTTAATCCCTGGGTAGGTGCTGGTTCTGACAGCTTTTATGTGTCATAGTCAATCACAGTGAAGTCATTGCATTCTGCATACTGCCAGCTTCCTCTGGTAACTGATGAGGCACTTTTGGTAATAGCATTCTCATTTCCAGACATTGCCTATTTTATCATTTGCAACTGTAGGATATTTTTGACATCCTTGTTTCTTTATGTAAGATCACAGTGACTTTATGTCAGTAAATTTGCCGATGCACACTGGTCTGCTATGACAGGAAAAGCACTAAATGGATGTAATTCAGTTTTAAATATAATTAGTAAATTACTGGGAAATATTTCTATTGTGGATATCCTTACATTTTGTCAAATACTCTAATCCATGTACTTAAAAAATAGCTAGTGTCAAGTGAATTTTTTATAAGAAGCAAGAATAGGCACGGGAAGTATGAAGTTGGTTTAGTGACAAGCATTTATTTTAAATAATGTCACTTTCTTTATAAACTATGAACATCAGATATATAAACGCACACATTAGATCTGTTTAATTATTTGTTATACTTCACATAGCAAAGCAGAAAGGTACAGGGAATTTGCTGCTTGCCTAGTTTGAGTATCCCTGAAGGTTAGATACTTTTATTTCTATTTTTTTAGAGGAGAATCTGAAATCAGAGAAATTAAGTTATTTTCTCTAAGCGACTCAGGGAGTAAGAGGCAGATACAGGATTTGAATGATGTATGTATAGTGTCAAAGCTCTTTACCTTCTGCCTCTCTGCCTTCTGCCTAATTCCAGAAGTCTCTGAGATGATCCTTTCTGCATTTGCTGTGACACTCATAGCCTGCCTGGCCTTCCCATTGCAATCCCTTGATCATACTTGCCAAGCTTGAGTTTTTCAGATTTTTGCTCCTGGAGGCTTCCAAGCTTAATTTTCCTTCTCCTGCACATTTATTTTCTGCACTTCAAACCCTCCTTGGTTTGGTCAATTCTGCTGTCAAACAAGTTTCAATTCAGACAATGTGGAGTATAAGGGTAGATTTTTCTGGGTTATTACTGGCTTGCAAAGAACTGCTTTAAATATACCCTAGTCCTTTTATGTCATAAGTGCCAAATCAAAAAATTCAGAAGTATGATTTCTTCCTGATGAATATATATATATACACACACACATACTATATATATATATATAATCAATTTCTCATACATACTGTGTAATAAAAGTCGCTCCTTTCTGGTACCTGATTGAATTAGGATAAACCCCCAGAGAAGCAAAATTAGAAGCAGTTTTTTCTTTTTAGAATTCCTTCCCCAGGGCAGCTATGTACAGTTGTGCAAGTTGCATATTACCTCTGGGGGACATTATTCACATTTATAGTATGATAGATTTTATGTATTGATTGGCAACAATTTTGAGGCAGATAACAGTAAAGAGTCTTGAGGAAGCTGCAGTTTACCTTAAATCTCACAAAGGTATCATTTGGGCCAGCACTGCCTGCCCGTTTTGAAGAATCATGGCAATAAAAGAACATCTTTAGACTCATTTTTCGTGCCCCCTCTTAATACCTAGATAATTTTCGTAGGTGTTAGTACTTTTTAAAATATGTATTATGTGGGCGGCTGAGGTGGGCGGATCATGAGATCAAGACATCAAGACCATCCTGGCCAACATGGTGGAACCCCATCTCTACTAAAAATACAAAAATTAGCTGGGCGTGGTGACATGTGCCTGTAGTCCCAGCTACTCAGGAGGCTGGGGCAGAAGAATTGCTTGAACCCAGGAGGTGGAGGTTGCAATGAGCCGAGATCGGGCCACTGCACTCCAGCCTGGCAACAAGGCAAGACTCCATCTCAAAAAAAAAAAAAAAAAAAAAAGTATCATGCACTAAGGTTTTGAGAAGTAAAATACTTTGAGTCAGGTGGACCAAGATATCCAGGTTGATATAACCATATATTATGGGGGCCTGGTAAGAAGCGTTGTGGGCATGTAAATGCATCAGGGTCTACCTAGAAGACAGCCAGAAAGACCTATGTTTGGGCAACTTTTGGGGCATCTGGATTCTTGTATAGAAAAAGGAAAATATGGTAAATAAAAGAACTATATTTTGAATGTGAGTGCAAAGTTGTCCACCAAATACCTGTTATAGTAACCATTCTGGCTCCGTGTGTGTCTGTGTGTGTGTGTACGTGCGTGTGTGTGTATGTGTGTGTGATTACTACTGTTGTAAAATATTTAACTTTAGATAAGACTATCAGAAGATAAGAAGATCCCCATTCTAACTTTTTCCACTTTATTCACAGAACTGAAATAAAATTAGTGTTGCAAACCAAAGCTTTATTTTAGGCATAGTTTCTTTACAGTCCACGTTACATAGATTAAACAAAATGATCAGAAAGCTTTAAACATTTTTTTTCTTCCTTTGAGGTCAACACTAGGTTTGCCCAGTGGTCAGCTTTGCAAGCTATTTCACTCCTATTTTAATGGGCACATAAAGATCATTGCATTAAAATTAATTCCCATCAGGGTTTCCAAGTATTCTACCCCCAGTTGAGATTTTAGGAAAGCTGTGCCATTCAGAGGTTGAGAAGAAACCCAAAGAAATCATTATATCAGGTTGGAGTTAAGTGATTTCCACACAGGAAAAGTAATTGAAAAGTATATATTTTGCATAATGAAATAGATGACAAACTGGGCAAGCTGGTCTATTAATGAGCCTCCTGTAAAGCCAAGAAGCCACTGAAGCCAGGAGTGAATGCATAAAGAGGAATCTCTGATCTCAACTTTTAACAATCAATTTTAATCAAACCATTTGAGGCACTGAGTTCTTAGGACCCTATGACGGTGAGGGCAATTTGAAAGAAGAATAAAAGAAGACTTTTTATATGAATTGCAAAGTAACATAATCAACTTGGAGTTATGATCAGGAAAACTTAGTTTTACTTTGGATTCTACAGAATTCCACATTTATTAAGGCCAAGGCCACCTTGTCTGTTACATCTTCCCCAAAAATTAGTTTTCAGTGGTGAGGCTTCTGAATGGGGTTTCAGTTAAAAACTTAAAGAGGGCAGTTCTTTCTGGAAAGATCCACCCAGTATTAACTGAAGTAAAAGCAAATAAATTATTAAGGAAATGCAATAGTCAACTGCATAGGTAGACATTTAGGAAATATTATTCTTGCACTAGGTCATCAATAATATTTATTTGAAGATGTTCTCCTGCCAAACAAATATTTAGGTAAATGGCTTCTTCAAATATTTAACGATTAAAAATCTGTATTTCCTCATTTTTAAAGGGTTAACAAAATATATATATTGTCAGTAGATGTGTGATGTACTTTTATTCTGATTTATACCAGTTTGGCTGTACAATTATCCAAAATTCCTGGAGAATTTCCAGCTCTCCACTTCAGCTTGTATTGCTCATGTTGCCTTCTAGGAATGAACAGCTCACTAATGTAAAATGAAGTGCACCTTCAAAGAAAGAGTGTATCCAAACCTAACAGGCTGAAAATTAGTCATGTAGAGCTGTGGAATTATAGAACATGGTAGGTAGGGGTGTGGGTCTCTCTTCTCCTTTCTGTGAAACTAAGAATTTATAGTCCAACTGGTGGTTCTCAACCATGGCAATGACCATTAGAATCACCTGGGAGAGGTTTGAAATAAGAACTCCCCACCCCCAAAGATTTCTGCTTTAACTGGTCTGGGGTGGGGTCCGGTGCCTGTTTGTTTCAAACTCCCCCGATGATCCTAATGAGCAGCCAGTTGCAAACCACTCATTTTAATCTAAATGATCTCATTTTTCATGAATGAGTACAGAGACTGTGAAGGCGAGGCACAGAGCCATGACTGACAAAAGACAACATTCCTTAAAAGGATTGAAGATTCCTGCAGCCATAAAATCTCTTGTCCCTGAACTTACATTGTAAATATTAATGAGTGCGTCTCATTTCCTTTCATGTGAAAATGAGAAATAAGGCCTTAATTTGACAACTCTATTTTCCAGGAACTTGCTTTTCAAAGGATTCAAAATCCCATTTGATAGAATGATAGAATCTGTGAAAGCAAAGATTTTTGATTTACTACAACAGTGCCTGGCGTATAGTAGACACTCAATTAATATTTGTTGGATAAATAAATGAATGAATGCATTTATAGTTGACCCATTACATTATAGTTTTGAATGAGTAATCTGAAATTTAAGTAGTTTAGTGATGGATCAATAAAACTGCAAGAAAGTGTGATAAATCCTATAATTGACAAATTAAATACAATTGATGAATTAAATCACCTGGTTTTCCTCTCTTTATGATATCAAAGAATTTGGCTTTTTGAAACACTGACTCTGTTTTGGGACATGAGTCTCCTTCTCTGTTTAATCTATCTTTGTTTTGCTATTTTCCTTTTCTTTCTGTCCTCCTCCTTTCTCTTTCCTTTTCTTCCTCTTTCTTTTTCTTCTATCCTTTTGTCTTCAATGTCTAAAGCCAACCTTGGTGATTTCCCTTTTCCCAAACCTGCTCTTCCTTTTCAGTTTCCCTGGGTAATGGCCACATTCAGGCTGGAATCCCTGAATCACTCCACCCTTCAGCTTCTCCAGCCCACAGCCAACCAAATTGCTAAGAGTTCTTAATTTCTACCTGCTAATGCACACCATAATTCCCAGCTTCACTGGCTTGTCTCTTTTTCTAGGTATTCACACCTAACATTCCCTATTCTTCCAAGCTCTTTCCTCTCCAATTCAGCTCTATGCTAAAGAGTTTTCTTTTGAAAATGTAGATTTGTTTCTATGACTCCTCTGCAAAACTTTTTGATTACATTTACTCCTTGGATTCTTGGCTCCTTAGCATGGGGCCCAGCACCCTTTCTTATTAACCTAATGACCTGCCTCACTGACCCTGGCATCTATCCATTCAGGTTTTATTGTCACCATACCAAGTTGCTGGCTGTGACTGATGCCCTAGATCTTTGCTCATTGTAGAAATCCCTTTCTTTGACTTTTAAAGTTCTACTCACTATTGAAGTCCACATTTTGCCTCTTCTGGGAAACCTTTCCTGAACTTTCTTTTATCATTCATCCCTCTACAGTCTGTGACTCAATAGCATTTAGCTCTTTCTTCTATTATAAACCATGTTTATTCTGCCTTGTATAATGCATAGCAATTTATATGTCTGTCTCTATCACTAGATTGTACAGTCCTTGAAGGCAGGAACAAACCATGTCATTTATTATCAAATCTCTATTCCCTAGAGCATTTTAGCTGCTTAAGAAATCTTTTGTGTAGTTGATGAATGGTTATAATTCTGGAAGCTTTAGTCATCCTAGTAAAATTATGTGGGAGAAGTTTTTTGATTAAAGTTCAAAAATGACCCTAGGTAGGCAGTTATCCCAAACAGCAAATGACTGACTTGAAGTGAGGAGTCATTATCAGGAAGATATGTACCTGCTGTAATACCCTGTATTTGATATTTTATGTCTTTGAAGTAGTGCATAACAAAAATACTCTTCCAAACATTAATAGACAAAATGAAATTGTAGGCAAGAATCACCTTGCTGTTTGTTTATATGGAGAATTAACTCAATGGAGCAACAAGAAAGACAGACACGAAGCCTTGTGTTGAGAGCATCTCCAATGTATTCCCTTTAAAAATAGAATTTAAATCTATACCTGTACCTCTAATTACTCCTTATTGAATAATTCTTTAAAAACACTAGGAGGTATTATAATTTCTATTTTAGCTTTGGGAGACTGTAACATGACCAAAGTCATGTAGCTACAGTCTTACGTTGAATAAACACCAAAGTCTATGCCAAGTTACACCAAATCCCTCCCTGTATGTTTGTTGTCTTTGGATTTAATGTAGGACTTATCATTGTTAGAGGACATGTGCTTTAAAGGTGTTTTTCTCCTTTTAGTTATGGGCTCATAAAAAGAATTAAAATCATATATTGATTTAAGGTAAAATGTGGGAATAAACACTGTTGTGCTGATTCACTCATATTCTTCTATTGACATTCTTATTTGGCCAATAGGCCATACTTTGATCCTCTGGGGTAAGGGCACCTTCTGAGTCATGGGAGCTGAAGAAGCTGATTGACCTGCGTAAATTTTAAACTCATGACTTTGTTTTTCTCAGCCCTTTGTCTAAATGGATCCAGACAATGGATCTTTTATATTTACCATATACAGCTTCTTCATAGAACAAAGAAAGAGATAGCGAGAGAGAGTGCACTCTAATATGCTTATTAAATCAGAACATTCCACTCTTGCACTTTTTCTTTTTGATTCATGTCAAGCTCTCTATAGGATTAATTAGTTAAATATGGACACTTAGAGTCTTTTCTGAATTTTATTTTGTTATTATATAAGTAAATGTATTACCTGCCTTCATGAATCAGTATTTTGAAACAGCTCCTGTTTGATTTGACATTTTCTGAGTCTAAGGCCATCAAATTACTATTAATTCTAGACAAAGGGCACCAATTTTTCATTGTGCAGATCATAAATAATCCTCATGAATAGATTCTTTTTAAATCCTAAAAGGGGGCAAACATTTTCCCTGGCATTACACCACCTGAGTCAAATTTCATGTCAACTAGATGCCACTTTTGGGCATCATCTTAGCCAGCATATAATTATCAGACATGTAAATATGGCTTCACAGAACATGTAGGAATGTGAGTAAAGATGGAATAGAGGTAGGACCTTTGTTTGTCACAATATTCTAATTTAGTCTTTATTGAATTATCATTGTAATTAATCTTTATTTTATGTCCAGAGGGTTCTTACATAGAATTCAAGAGCCTAGGCTAGGAACAGAGAGAGAATAGAGACCTCAGAATCCAATCTCTTGTGAGTTCTCAAAAATAATTAAAAACATATATCTACGGATGGTAAGATGTGGAAATAATTATGCAACAGGAATTATTTCTTCAAGAGGGAGGAATGTGCCTTTTCTGCTAGTCAGGAAAAGTCCAACACAGGAGAAGATGAGCAACTTTGGTTGGATTTGAAGGCAGAAGGGCAGAGCTAGATTAAGGACTGGGTTGCCCAACCAGCTGGTCAGAGCACCACTGTTTAAGAGACTGTTAAAAAAAATCAGTGCACTCAATCAGAAACACAGCACCCTTCAATTTGTATTTCCATACACAGTTCCTTATTGGAAAAAAAAAAAAAAAGATAGAATCAGTACTGTTTCTGCTATGTACTCAAGTGATACCTTTTTTTCTAGCCTTGACCTAAATTTGTGGAATATCTTTGGTGAGGTACATATGCAAGTTGCATGGACTTCACCACTAACTCTGAGACCACAAGCTGCACAGGAAAACATGAAATATACTTGATATATAGCACAGTGCTTTTCCAGAAGAATGACCTGTTTCTTATTTGTATTCCAAATGCTTGAATATGTCTTCCAAGTGTGTAAATACAGGACTATTTAAGTTTGCTAATAAAAGTATGCCTTGCCCAGTCCCATCAAATAAATGGAGAACAAATGTTTAAACAACACCATTTTGAGAAGGTAAAAGAGCATCTTGTGGGGAGTCAAAGGAGGTACCCATATATTAGCATGGAGTCCTGTCTGTGGAGAGGTAAACAGTTCCATCAATCAGTAGAAAGTGGTTGAATAAACAGTTTGTGCAGAGTTAATGGATCCCCTAATGCCACCAACTGAGGGAGCCTGTACTCCATAGATGGTCTATCCTGGACCATAGTGCTTTGCAAAGTGTTAACATGCTGCACTAAATCATATGGTCACCTCTGAGCTTGTTCAACAAGCACACTTAAAAAGGGTCACCAGATCTTTTCAGGGACCTGTAATTTGTTGGAGCCAGAAAGAGATGAATTTGAAAAGTACGGCTTCCCTGCTGTAGAGATCAAATCCATTGTCCGAGCTGTGTTTTGTTAACTTTGTACATAGGATCTTCTTTAGCAACTAGGGAGACACAGCTGCTCTTTATATCTAGAAGTGAAAGAAATGAGTCTGAATGGAATATGTTGGCTCTGCTGAAAATGAAACATTTGCTTTACTGAAGGACTTGGGGCTCAACCCGGCATGTGAAACTTCTGCCAGAGCTCAAAGTGGAGGGAAAAAAAGGGAGAAAGCTATATAATTTGTTTGAAGTTGTCAAGCACACACACACACAAAAACTGGCCAACAGATGCGAGAAACAAGAAAAAAAAAGATAAAGATACTTTAATTTATCTTTCTGGATTATTAGTTGGCTCAAAACAAAAGACTATGAAAATGGGAATTGTTAATGCTTTCTGAATCACCCCTATTTTTATAACTGGATAATCTAGTTGCTTCTATGTTAGCCATCAAGGAAAGATTAGAAAAATGCGGATGTTTGATCTGCATGTGCTTCTTTTTGTGTGTGCATAGGGAATCTACTGTTCTAATAGATTTAGAATCTATATTTGATATTTCCAAATCCTTTGGGAAACACATAAACAAAAGGGCAGGAATCACAAAGCACCGCCTAAGGAAAAGATTCTCTTTGTGTTCCACGTAGTCCCTCTTAATTCTATCTGCCCACCAGCCTGCGAATTCTCTGAGCGCAGAGGCTTTGCTCCAAGAGCAACTGAAAATAAGAGAGACCAAAAAACAAAGGGGCAATTTCATAAAAAGTAATCAGCCAATCTAATTATTTTGGCTGATTAATTGATTTTATTTTTTTCTTCTTGGCTTCCCCTCTTTGCACTTTATTCTTATTTTGATGAAATGATTCACTCACTGCTGAACAAATATTAAATGCTGGCTACTATTACTATCGAAGTCTAGTTTGGGACATATTTTTGTATCTAATTGCTGATATATTAGGATCAAAGGTAAATCATGAAAAATACTCCGTAAAAATAAACATGACACTATGGAGCTGAGAAGTTATTTCACAGACATTATTTTAAATCTTGTCCCCATATTTGGGATGATTTTAGTTAGGGCATCATAACAACATGAATAAACGGAAAAACTTCACAGAAAGCCTAGTTTTATTTCCTTCTTTGCTTATTGTTTAGCTGAAACCGATATTTAGAAATATTTTTTCTATTTTACAAAATCCTCGTATATTCTCCTTGAACCATTGCGTCTCTGTTACCATATTCCCTATCATCATCCCCCTCCTTTCTGATGTCTTGTCTCTCTTCACTTCCTCCCCTGCTACTGTCTTTTTTTTTTTTTTTTTTTTAGAATTTCTTTTATTTCAGGAGCAAATGTTTCTTTTTAAGATGGTTAGTTACTTAAAATGAAGTCAGAACTATGTAATAATACGCAGGAAACAAATGGAATTATTTTGGGGGTGTTTCCAGATTTTCCCCCAATTAAATACAAAGCCATCAGCACCAATCATTGCAAATATGCAATCTAATCACTTAGCATATTAGAAGAGCAAAAATAAGCTTCCCCATATTTCACAAATTGACTCACACTCTACATATTTTATCCTCAATAATGTATGCATTTTCCAGCTGGCTAAGGCTGCAATCTTTCTGCATTTTGGACATTTGTCACTCTATTCAGCCAGGCAGGAGAAGCCCCTGTGTAGCAAGCTCCTTGCACTGCAGGCATAGCATCTGTGAAGGAGTTGCTGACATCTGATGATTCAAATTGCAGAAATGATCCAGGACAAATTATGAACGTCTGGGTAGTGCCCAGAGATTTTGAGCTGAAATGACTTTGCCCTTGGAGCCTTGCAGATTTGGTGAACTCTTGGGGCCACAAGCTTTCTTGTGCACAGCCTCCATAGGACATTGCCCACAGGTCCTCTTCTCTGTGTCAGTTATCATCTTGGGAGTGCCAACTGAGCTTTCCTTGGCCTGAAATGGAAAGGAAGTGGTTCAAGTTTTAGTTTACAAACCCCCAAGGCAATTGTAGCTTTCTTTGAAATGTAAAACAGTTCTCTATCAAGCACTGCTTAAGGCGTCATCCCACTATCAAAGTCAAAGATGATTTGATAGAACCTTACAAATCCTCATAATCTATGGTAAGTAGTAGTAGCTAAGGCTTTGGCTCTGCCTTTGCACGTAGGGCAGAAGCAGGAGGATAATTTATCCCACTTTAGGGTAATGAAGTGTTAACAAAAACCACATGAAGCTATTATTACAACCACAGACCACAGACTGCTAAGAGGGTAAACTCTCTGGAGACATACCTGTTTTCAAGGAATCTTTTGCATCTCAGCTTACCTGAAGGCATTTGCTAAACACAAGGTGATGTAGCTGAAATACCATGATTCATTAGACCTAATGAACAATGCTGAGCATATTGTCTCTCAAATATAACCCGCTGGCATTGATATATATGTACTTTAACTCATTCGTCCCAACTTTATTAGGTACATATGTCTACAGCAGACACAAATGAAACATTCTACAACTAGGCTCCAAGCCAAAAACTAATTTATTCTTTAATGTGCTAGTGATTACTTGGTGGTTCCTTGAGCAGAGATGACAGGTCTGAGCTAATGGAGTTGTACTGTAAGTTAATATAAATCATGACAGAGCAATTAATTACAGAAACCACTGCAAATCCCTTTGTTAGTTTTCCCCATCACCAGAAGGATTTAATAATATTCATTTTGCTAAATTCCAGTGACATTTACAAGTCTTAAACCATTTTTAATCAAATCAATATCACTGGCTGCTAAATTTAGTTGTGCTTTGCTTGCAAGTCCTGGAATACATCGATACTAATGTTTCCTACCTTCTGTTCAAATGAATCACATTGAATACCCACACTTCCTCTTCATTTGTTTACATTGAGTAATTGGGACCTGAAAAAAAGTTAAGACCTGGAGAACCCTGACTATCAGCAGGAATGAATTAGCAGGTAGAAGAAGAGATCCATAATTCAGTGATTACGCCTGCATCATTGTATCTAATGTCCTTCATCAGTTTCCCCTAATTGGCCTAAACAAAAATACTTCACGATCATGGAAATAGATTCACATTTCTATAGACTTTTTCAAGTGTGGTAGGTTAAAAAAGGAAAGATGAAATTTAGGCACTGGAGCAATATGCTTTCATAACAAAAGAGCAGTACAAAGGTTCAAAAGCACCTCAGCTTCATCTCTACATTCTTTATTCTTTAGACATCTATAGTTGACTTCTCTTTTTAAATTGAGTAAGTGAAAATTAGTTGGTTGGTATGGCTATAGAAATGCTAAATTATCTCTATAAGAATAATAAAATCTTCATCAGGAATTGATTGTATTATAGATTTTTAGAATAAAATAGCCTGCTGTTCCTGGATGGCCCGTGTTGCTAGATCAATATCAAGCTCTATTTTTTTGTATGTTTCCTTTTTTTCCCCAGAAAAGCTCTATCTCTGGAAAGAGTGGCAGCTCCCATAGCAATGTGCCTTGCACACGTTCAGTAGATTTTGTGAGTCTGTCCTGCCTTTTTTGCATAATTGCAGATTTTTATTGACTTTTTATTGACTTGCTTTCGACTTGATCTGTGGGTGTCCCTGACTCTGAGCCTTAAAATGTTAGAGTAGCATTCTTTCCAGAAAGGTCACTGTTCACATGCTTTTATATTTGTCATGCTCCTTAGGAACTCAGCACTTCGTGCTTTCTGCTGTAATCATTTCTGTTCATCTTTTTTTCCTTACCAGATTGTAAATACCATTAGGATAGGGATCTTGCTTTATCCATTTTTATTCTTTATATTATCGATACCTAGCAAAGATGTTTCTACATGATCTTGTTCAATAAATGTTCAGTAACTGAATGAACATATGCTACCCAGATGGGAATGTGAGGAGGGTGTAAAACTCAAATTAGTTAATCAAATAGCTTGTAAAATAACGGGTTGGGTGCAGGGAAATATTGTTAACCTGGGAGAGATGTTTTAGGCCTAGAGTTTAGAGTGAAGAATTGACTTGATGAAGGCTAGCAAAAAGACCAGAGCTCGGGGTAGCTCTGATGGCTTGGAGGCTAATGATATGATATCTTTGTACTTTTGTAGGAGTCCAGCTCCAGCCTCTACTTCCATCCTTGGAAGCTATGATGTATCTCAGAGGCCTGAATAAGAGTCAGGTTTTGAACTCTGTGCCACTTTCCAGCTTTGTGATCTTAGACAAATCCAAGTATGGCTTTTGACCTTGGTGTAGGCACTTATGCTTTTTTCAGCCTCAGTTTCCTCCACGTTACAGTGTGAATAAGCAATGCCTATGTGATAGCAGTGTGAGGATTAAGCGATGGTGTGTATGAAATTGGCTGGTGTGGAGTAGTGTCTGAGCCCTACTCCCAGAGGGCCTGTGGATGGCAGCCATTGTAAGAAGGGAATAATTTATACCTTTTCGAACTGGGGGACACATATGCTGGAAGAGATGGATGAGTAACAGCTTTCTCTTTGTGTTATTTACCATCCTGGGAGTCTGGTCAGTGTAAGACTTGCTCTGGCTATGGGTCCTGGTTTCCAACAAGGGGGCAAATTCCCTCTTTTTTTTTTTTTTTCTAGGAGAAAATTAATACAAAGTGTGTTGCTTTTCACATGTATCAAGATCACCAATTCTTATTGTTACCCACAAAATGAGTGAGTTCAATTGCTTCAGAGGTGTCAGTCCAATAACCACAACCAAAAAGGATTTAATAAGGGGATTTGATTACTTGCAACAAGTAAGGAGTAAGGAGGACACGGGATGGTTCCCAAAGCAGCGCCTCCCTGAACAAGGTTGGAACCAGGGCTTTCGTTGGTCATTATACATAGAGGTGGAGTAAAGACACTTTAGACGCAGTTGCTGACTACGCTTCTACATACATTGCATGTATAGAAAACAATAAGCTCCTCCCAGGGCAGGGATTTTAGTATGGTAAGAAAGGAAGTTTGTCAAAGTTCATCTCCAACTCAGATATCTCCGAATCCAACCCATTTTTGTTTTTCAAGGGCTGAGCTTCTTCCTGGAAGGTTTGGAAACAAGGACTCAAAGTGCAGTTATAAGTGGATAATTTTTCACTGTGCATACCCCAAATCCTGGGTTACATAATCATCATCCTATTCAGGAAAGCAGAATAGGAAATTATGTTTCACATAACCAAACCACTGAGCCCCTCATATATTCTGTCAAGAGGAGGTTTTTATTTATTTATTTATTTTTACAATGGCGCGATCTTGGCTCACTGCAACCTCTGCCTCCCGGGTTCAAGTGATCCTCCTGCTTCAGCCTGTCTAGTAGCTGGGATTACAGGCATGCACCACCATGCCTGGCTAATTTTGTGTTTTTAGTGGAGACAGGGTTTCACCATGTTGGTCAGGCTGGTCTCAAACTCCTGACCTCAGGTGATCCACCCACCTCGGCCTCCCAAAGTGTTGGGATTACAGGTGTGAGCCACTACAACCAGCATGGAGGAGTTTTAAAGAGACCTTTTTCCTGGTTTCCTTGAGACAGTTCTGATACAATGGCTGAGGAGTTTACGTGTTCCTGCAGTTTCCAAAGGGAGATGAATTATTTTTTAAAAGGACAATGTATCTATAGTGGGCCTAAGTGGCATTTACTATTCCTATGTATATGGAGCCAGAACCATCCTTGTAAATTTTTTTTTGAACAAATAGTTTCTACTAATATTACTACTACCATTATTTCTATCACTATTATTACTATTACTATCAATTATTACTTCTATTGCAGCTGCTACTTAACATTTATGGAGTGTTTAGCTGTTCTAAATTTTTTTTGTATATTAACCCACTTAGTCCTTATAAATATCCTCTGAGGCAGGGACTATAATTGGGGAAACTGAGGCACAGTTAGTAAGTGGCAGGGCTGTGATTCAGATACAAGCAGTTTGATTCCCAAGTCTCTGCTGTTAGTGAAAAAAGTCTAAGACTTTGAGTTTGGAGATCCAGATTCCAACCTGAATCCTTTACCTAAATAGCTATGTAACCCTATCAATCTTCCCATTTCTCTGAGCCTTTTATATTTCAACTGAAAAGTGAGAGTAAGAACTATTAACTTAAACACCTTTGGTCCCCACATGATGTGGTAAAGAAAAAAAAAGGAGTGAGAAGGTTACTCCAGTTGTTATTGCATCTCTCAGATAATGTTGGGTGGAATTTAAGTTATAACCCACAGCTGTATTTTGAAGGCACTCCTTCATTTTCTCGTCCACATCTCTCCCCTGCTGCTGGTGTTCCAGAGCAATGCATGCTCTCATCCCCACTCAAGTCTGCCTCCAGCTGGTCCCTGGGCTGTGGTATGTGGCACTCATCTTTTATTCCTCTCTGCTTCACCCTTTCCCGGACCACTCTCTGCCCCTAGTCACTCTCTACACATTCTCCCAATTATTTTTCACAAAAAAAGCTAGGATATTTCTTTTTTTTTGAGATGGAATTTCGCTCTTGTCGCCCAGCCTGGAATGCAGTGGTGCGATCTCAGCTCACCGCAATCTCCGCCTCCTGGGTTCAAGCGATTCTCCTGTCTCAGCCTCCTGAGTAGCTGGGATTATAGGCGCCTGCCACCGTGCCCAGCTAATTTTTTGTATTTTTAGTAGAGACGGGGTTTCGCCATGTTGGGCAGGCTGGTCTCGAACTCCTGACCTCAGGTGATCCATCCACCTCAGCCTCCCAAAGTGCTGGGATTACAGGTGTGAGCCACCACGCCCAGCTGCTAGGCTACTTCTTATGGATGGGAGAGGGGAAGAAGTGAAGGGCACAGGAGTAAGCTTCCTGATCAGTCGGGCATTGGAGAGGGGCAGTCATGTAGAAGGTGAATGAAGGAATTAAGGAAGGAATAGCATTCAGTCTTAAAAGCAAGGGTCAGGCTTATTTATTTTGTATAAGAGCTTTATTGAGATATAATTCACATATCACAAAAAATTCATCCTTTAAAGTGCACAATTCAGTGCTTTTTAAAAAAGTCTTCATTGAGCTGTGTAGATATTGCCAATATCTAATTTTAGAACATCTCATTGATACATACAGGAGGCAGAAAGGCAGGATCCCTGGTGAGGGCTCCACCTTCAAGCCTGGACCCACGACCCTAAATGAGAACAGGAATTCTTGTTTTTGTGTCCAAATGTTGCCTTTTTCAAGACCACTCTGGCCCACCCCACCACCTGTCCCGTGCCCATAAGAACCCCAAACCCCAGGTTCCATGAGCAGAAGAGCGACAGAGCAGCAGAGTGGCACAGCAGAAAAGGAGAGAAGAGAAGAAGCGTCTGAACATCGAAGAGGAAGCTGGATGGTTAGAGAGCAGCCAGGGATAGCCAAACTGCTGGGGAAGATTATCTTCCCACTCCATCCCCTTTCCAGCTCCCCATCCTGCTGAGCACCACCTCCATCACTCAATAAAACCTCCACGTTCACCATCTTTCAAGTCCGTGTGAACTGATTCTTCCTGGATGCCAGACAAGAACCTGGGTACCAAGAAGGCAGGGTGTATGTCTCCCTGATTCTTCACTGAGCTGGCCAACACTGAGCTGTCTGCAGATGGCAAATGCTAAAACAATATTGTTTGTAACCCATGCCCTCTGGGGTTTCAGAGGTTGCAGGCAACTGGTAGACTCTGCTGAGGGCTGGTATGGGGTTTATTCCTGCCGGTGCCTAAAGGTACTCACCCAGGCTCCTGCACCCGCTCATCTGCATGCTCCCCCTCCTGCAAGGGGCTTGAGCTCAGTGGCCAGACAAAATGAGCCACTCCCCATCGCAAGCCTCATGGAGGGGTCAGGGATCTCTCTCATCTCATCATTACTTCAAAAGGAGATCCCATGCCCATGGGTAATCCCCACTGTGTCTCCCTTGCTCCAATCCCTGGAAACTAGTAAGCTACTTTTCGTTTCTGTGGATTTGCCCATTTTTGACACTTCATACAAATAGAATCATATAATATGTGTCCTTTGTGTCAGGCTTCTTTCACTGAGCATAATGATGTTTTATATTTCATCCAGGTTGTAGCAGGTATCAGTACTTCATTCCATTTTAATGGCCAAATAATTTTCTACTGTGTAGATGAACTTCATTTCATCTATCCATTCATCGGTTGATGGGCATTTGGGTTGTTTTCGCTTTTGTGCTATTATGAATAATGCTGCTACGAACATTCATGGACATGTTTTTGTGTAGACCTAGGTTCTTTTTTAATTTTCTGGAGCATATACACCTGGGAATAGAATTCCTGGATCACATGGCAATTATATGTTAAACATTTTGAGGAAATGCTAAACTGCTTTTCAAAGTGGCTGCACCATTTAACAATCCTACCTTATATGTAATTAAAAGCAAACAAACAAAAAACCTTACTTAACAAAATTACTGTACACTACCTATTTTTGGCACACTCTAACTAATGGAGGCTACAGGTTCTTTTAGGGTCAGGCTTTATTGTACACCCTCAATAGGTATGCTTTCTTCCTCACTCTTTGAGGAACTAGATAATCAGGGTGACAACGGTGTGATGAGCGGTTAGAACCAGACTAGACTGTCATCTTCTTGAGGGTAGGAATGCATTCTTCCTCGTTGCTGTAACTACAGGGCAGAGTACAGTGTTGGCAGATAACAGGCACTCTATAAACATCTGAGAGAATAAATGAAGGAAGACATAAACTCAGAGACGGGCCTGCTAAATGTGAATTTTCATCCAAACAACTGACCTTTCCATTTCATGAAGTGAGCTATTTAGCAACATTCTCTAGCATATGGATTATCTCTGTCTGTGGCATCCATTCTTCTTCCATCTGTTGAGGAATTTCATCTCCTTTCAAAGTCACATGAGGAGGCCTTGGTATATACTCTGCACATGGCACACATGGCATTTTATTTTAAAAGGATGTAACAGTATCACCTAGATTTGGCAAACATCATAAAAAACTTAATTTGGTGATCAGTTCCCAGATTTTTTCCCCCTTTGATAGAATACATTAATAGATAACATTAATTCAGGTCCCTAACACATATAAAACCTAGCAGTATTCAGTATCTGGTGTGTTTGCTTTTATTCTTAAAGAATCTGAAGGGATTTGACATTTTGTTTCATTCATTCACAGTCTCTTTTTTCATATCTAATGAACACGCTCTACAACAATGGCCCTCAGATCTCCACCATCTGCAGGGGACCGCATGCAGGTCATAGGCTAAGAACAACACCACATCAGTATTGAATAAAAAAGTGAAACATCAAAGGCAGAGCTGGCTATGAGGTCTATGCTTTCAAGACCTCGTAGCTAGTTCCTCCTGTTTATTATTTTTTGTTTGATTGGATGATAAAGTAGTATGTCATTCCATGGTCCACAACCTGTGGTCAATTCCCTACAGAGGAACCAGATTGGGCAATATTTTTGTAAGCACATTTGTCCTAGTAGGGAAATAATGAAAACAAGAAGGGTGGGCACAAAAGATGTCTGAGGAGAGGGAACAAAGTCCTTTATTATCGAGGAAGATGATCTTGGGGTCTCAGCCAAGAGTCTTTTTATCTGGATGGTGATAATGATAATGATTCTCTCCGTAAATAATGTAGGCAAAAGAGGGATTTTTGCTGGTTTGTTTCTCTCTTTATAGTCAATTGCACTCTATTTTCCCTCATGCCTGACTCACCCCCAAGCTGCCACGATTAGGACACATTTGTACCTCTGATAACCCAGGCATCAACTTTTTAAAATGTTGAGCTAGTGAGTTAGGTCTTAACGGAAAAATTTTCTCCTAGTATAGAACCTCTTTGGGCCATGAATAATTAATGTCAATTTATAGCTCAAGGGATGTCTCTGAGGAATCAATATAGTGAATTAACTTCCCCCACCCCCTTCACAACAAAATCTTTTTTAGGTATAATTAAGCCTTAGGAAGACCTATACTCTCTTTAAAAGAAAATCTTAAATATAATTAACATTAGTTTTGTTTTCACTGTATTTTACATTTTATTAAATATTTCTAAAAGCTAGAAGCTGCACAGAGGTGGCCTAGGCTGTAATGGACATACAAATTGAATGATTAGGAAGTTACAGCTCTTACTACCATGGACAGGGCTCTGGCAAAGCGGACAGAACAAAATTAAAAGATGCCAGGATAAATATTCCAAAACAAATCCTCTTTTGTGCCACCTCCGTCACCCTATCCTTAAGAAAGAGATGAAGAAAGTTGTTCTTGAAAGATATGTCTTCGTGTCAGAACAATGTCCAAGCTCTTGGTGATCACAATGACAATGCTATGGCACCCACTTTTATTTTCAAGAGAACCTTATCTTTATATCTCAAATTTGAAATCATCTCTGAACATGGCTCTTGCCTGTTTCATGGCATATTAGACAGGGATGGGGACTGCAGTGATGATCCCTGTTCTGACATCCCTAAATTTCCCATTGGTCCTGGTCCCTTTGCATTAACTCCAACCCTGCCAGCTCTGGCTAGCCCCTCCTTTTCCAGCAATCTCATCCATCATGGGAGCTGTCAATTGGGTGCCTCTGAGGCCCAGGGCTTGCAGAAGATGTTCTGAGGACAATGTCCATCTGTCATATATTATTACCAGTTTTCCTAAATAAACCCTGTAGTTAGGGAGGAGCAATTCTGGCCTAGGGAAAGGTACAGAAAATCAGAAAAGAGCTGAAGATGTCTAACAAGCCAGATCTTCTTTATTGAAGTTTCTACCTACTCCTATTGTCATCCTTCATTCTGAAAAGAAGAAAAAAGAAATGCATCCTGTGCTGAGCTGGAGATGAAAAATACAGGGTTCTTGCCTGCCTTTAAGAAACTTTCTGCCTAGAGTGAGGAGGCAGGCTTGAGAACAAATTAATCCACTCCATTGTTAGAGGAGCTCTAAGGGAACCAGGGGCTGGGGATAGTGGGGCACAAAGGAGAGTGTCAGAGAGGCTTTTCCGAGAAGGTGCTTAATTGTGTGTTCAAAAGTGAGCCGGTGCCCGCTGGGTAGACAAGGGGGCGGGGGCATTCCCAGCCGAGAGCAGGACCAGTGAGGGCAAGCACTGGGGAGTGCAAGGGGCTCAGTCCTGGGTCTTGGCAGAGCCTAATTGCCTGCTTCCTCCTTGAGCCTGAAGTCGGGACTTGAAGCTGGAAAAACTCTCAGGCCAGAGGCAGATTTCTTTGCGGGCCTCAAAGTAATCTGTAGCCACCCAAACCTTCAAATCTCTCGGGGAGGTAGTGACTCCTATGGTTAAAGAGATCCTTTTCAGGAAATGAGCTTTTGATAACTCCTGTCTCGCCTTGCCTTCAGTTCAGACAGGCTCAGGTAGCTGCCTTCTTCAATCAACTGCGCGTGAACATGCTCACAGTTACTGCACTTCAGCCAGTGCCCCTCCTGTGCTAGCCTACCTGAGATTCATACATTTGCATGTCTGTTTTCTGGGACATTGATAACTGACTGAGCTGAGCCTTCCACCTCAAACATCTTTAAAAATTGTGACATGGTTTCATAAGGTATAAACCCCAATGGACACTGTTCTATGGTATCTTAGTTGGTTCAGACCATTATAACAAAATACCCGAGGCCCGGTGGCTTATAAATAACACAAATTTGTTTCTCACAGTTCTGGAGGCTGCGAAATGCAAGATCAAAGCTCTGGCAGATTCAGTGTCTGGTGAGGGTTCATAGATGGCACGTTCTTGGTGTTTCCTCACCTGGTAGAAGGGAAAAGGCAGCTTTCTGAGGTCTCTTCTATAAGAACACTAATCCCAATCGTGAGTGTTCCACCCTCATGACCTAATCACCTCCTACAGGTGCCACCTCTAGCACCATCACATTGGTGATTTGGTTTTAACATATGAAATTTGGGGTAACACAGACATTCAGACCTTAGCATATATCTAAAACTTTCTGTTAGAATTGATGCTTGCCAGGTTGGATAGCCCACATCTGCATAATAGTGGGACATTCCCCTCTTTCTTCAGAGTACCCCCTCCTTGTTCCTGAGAGTTTCCAAAGGAGGCCACAAACCTTCTTATGCAACTGCCTGCCAGCTTCAGTGCCACATGAATCCACTCCCCTCCCCAGGCTGTCCACCTTTCCCTGGGACCATGGGTTCTAGAGGCAGACTGACTGCACTCAATCCTGGCTCCAACACGTACCAGCTGTATGGCCTATGCAAGTTACTTAGCCATCTTGAGCTTTCATTTCATCATCTGTGAAACCTGGAACAATATGCTGATTTTGAAGATACAATGAAATAATATTTATAAGACAGCTAGCATGATACCAAATACAGAGTAGAGCTTACTAGATGTTAGGTGCTCTTTTTACCACTGTTGACACTGTTGCTGCCACAACCCACATCCACTGCCTGCAAAGTTGCTTGGTGAAGTCCCTTTTTTGCTATGTAGGCCAATGTACATGCCCAGGGAGCAACTTCTGAAAGTTTCCCGTGTCCCATCCTCGGGGTAACAGCATGTTTATTTTCATGTCTGACAATGAGTCAAATCTGTGCACATATATATGCCCTGGACCTGAAGTAACCTGGCTTATACTCAGAATTCTACCAAGTGCCCCAAGCTTGAATAGCTTCTGGCCTTCACTCCTCTAACCAAAGGTGCTAAAACTCTTTTGATAGGCTCTTATCTTCCATTTTCCTCTTCAACTTTCCTGGCCTTTGTTTATAAGCAAATGTCCTCTTATTTTTTTAGGTAGGAAACCAGAGTTCTCATGCATATGAGAAAAAAAGAGAGATACAGAGACAGAATTGGGATTTAGGTGTGGGAGAAGGATGTGGAGGGAGTGGAATTTGATTTAAACGAGCAGTTGACAACCAAAAATGCAGTAGGATTGATGGTTCTATTATTAGAACATCTATTTGGCACTGTTTGTTTTTTTTCTCTCTCTCTCCAAACCAGGTTCTTAAAACAGAGACTTATAACCTTTTGGAATTAAGATGAAAAATTATTTTGAACAATACTGTGTGCTTGCTGGCTGGGTGTGATGGATCATGCCTATAATCCCAGCACTTGGGAGGCTGGGTTGGGAGGATGGCTTGAGGCCAGGAGTTCAAGGTCAGCCAGGGCAACATAGTGAGACACCCATCTCTACAAAAAAGTTTAACCAGGCATTGTATCACATACTCTAGTCCTAGGTACTTGGGAGGTGGAGGGGGAAGGATTGCTTGAGCCCAGGAGTTCAAGGCTGCAGTGAGCCCGTGATCGCACCATTGCATTCCAGCCTGGGTGACACAAGGGGACTTTGTCTCAAACAAATAAACAAAATACTGTGTGCTAGCAATCTAAACTTTTTTTTTTTTTTTTTGAGACTCACATGAAAATTTCTTCCATTCTTGTTGTGTAACATTTTGGGCAGTCACACGTGGCACCCAGACAGGTGAAAGCTGGGAGTTGAGAATAAGAATACGGAATGGGTGTCCTTAGACCTTGTAGATATGACTGATGGACTTGGTACTATATTATGACTCCAGTGTGAGAGGGTGACAATGACCCAGGGCGATAGGCTCGAAAGCTGTGTATGTAAAGAGAGCTTATAGGTGATTTATTTATCACATGGTGAACTGTTAGATTCAGGAATCTCCTATTGACTCTTAAAAGAGATTGAGGTGAAACCAATAAATGTGACTTATCCAATAGTTGTTATGATACTTACTTTTATCATTTGATTTGTTTAATTTTATAAATTTACATTATAAGAAGTTTCTTCTCCTAGAGAAACAAAACAAATAAGGTTAAGTTTCCAAAAAAAGGTGGGACTTAGCCAGCAATCTCAGCTGCAGACAGAGACAAGAACGAAAGCTGTTTCATACCCTTATAAAAATAATTGCAAAGATAGTCTTTGGCTGTTAAATATGTAAATGGCACAACCATTTTGGAAAACAGTTTGGCAGTGTCTTAAAAAGTTAAACATGCACTTATGACCTAGCCATTTTAGTCCTAGAATATTTACCCGGGAGAAATGAAAGTCCAGGTCCACACAAAGACTTGCACATGAATGTTTACTGGTGCTTTATTTGTAATAGCTCCAAACTGGAAACAACCCAAATCTCCATAAGCAGATGAATGGGTAAACAAATCATGTTATACAATGGAATACTACTCAGCAATTAAAAGGAATGAGCTGTTGACAACAAACAACAATGAAGATTAATTTCAAAATAATTGCATTGAGTGAATGATGCCAGACCTCCCCCAACCCCTCAAAAAAAGTAATACTGTGCGATTCCATGTATATAACATCTAAGAAAATGTAAACTAATCTATAGTGACAGAAAGCAGATCAGTGGTTGCCTGAGGATGATGGCAGGGTGGGGGTTGGAAACAGGAGTGGGAGAGAGGGATTATAAAGGGGAATGATAAAAGTTTTGGGGGTGATGGATATGTTCATTATCTTGATTGTGGTGATGGCTCTATGAGTGTAGGCATATGTCAAAAACCATCAAGTTACACCCTTTAAAAATGCAAAATTTATTGTATGCCAACTATGCCTCAATAAAGCTATAAAAATTCCTAACAAAAATAATTAATTTTTACACTCAATATTTTTACATTTCAAAGCTACCTATCAGCAAAAGTCATTCTGCTGGCTCTTTTAATTTCTAAAGGGATCCTAAAACCTTAACCTTTATCAGCATGCCCCATGCTAATCACATTAAAAACTGTCTTCTTCAGTGTAATAATAATGACAGTTAATATTCATTGGGCACTTTCTGCTGAATGAAAATATGTCAGTGATTTTCCTAGTATTATCTCATATAATGCTCCAAAAAAACTTTCCAGTGTAGGTACTGTTATTAGCTCTATTTTGTAGAAGAAGAAACTGAGGTAGCGAGGCTTAGTCCAACAAAGGGCTAAGGGTAGAGAGTCCTAATTCAAAACCATATACAGTCCTACTTCTGGATTCTTTCCCTTTCACTAATAGGACATGAATACAAACTCACTTGGCAGAGGCAATGAATTCGTGCAGAAACAAGTCTTGTTGCTGTAACCCTGCAGCCCTTTCCCATGCTCTTTGGCCTCCTGGCTCTCTGTAATTCTAATTCTTTGTTTGAGCTTTTAATTCCCCACAGCATACTCTCCCTGCTTGTTTTCTAGATTCCCTACTGCCCTGGTTATTCTTCTAGTTGCTGGGCTAGTTACCATTATGATCTTCAATCCCTGCTCAATGCACAGAGCTTTGTCTGATTACTTACTCTCAGCTTTGATTAGTGACTTCTGTCAGATTCTTCAGGTAGAAGAAATCTTTGGAGCAGGAAGGGATGGATCCAGTTCAAGGTCAGGATGTGTGTCAAACTCTCGTCAAGGAATAAAGGGACAAGGCAGACGGACAAAATAAGAGAGAGGCTAGGACAGGAGGTTGGCAAACACTCAGGTAGAATCCATAATGAGAGTCAGCAGAGTGAGTGGTAAGTGTAAACTTAGCCGGAAAGCCCACATAGCAAGAAAGCATTTTGAGCCCTGCTGCATGCTGGGCTGTAGAACTAGCAGGAAGAGAAAGCAGGGTTGATAGGGCAGCCTCCAAGTAGCTCCTGAAATGCCCTGCAAGACACAAGCTCTCCTACCATACATTGAGGAACTGAGGGCTTCTGGCCCTGGGGCCAGCTTTGCCTGGGTTGACAGGGATCGCCAGAAGGCCCTACAAAATGTGGCTTCATAGTCTTTTTGCAGTCTGCCAGTCTCCCAGATTATTTTGGACTCCCTCTCTCTTTTTAATAAGTGGGAGAAAAAAAGAAAGATGGAAGATGACAATAAAAACCATATGGAGGCCTCTTCTCTGGCTGAAATCCTTTGATCTTTTCTCCAAACACGAGAAAGTACCCCTCCCACTCTGAAGTGTTTTCCAGCCTCTAGAAGAACAAATGTCTCAGGTAAATTTAATGCCATGGTTCACTACTTCATTCATTTGTTCAAATACTAACTGAGCACTCACTACACGCCAGGATCTATGCCAGGAACTGAGGGTACCAGGAAAAATTCCCAGTCATAGCCTGTACTGAATCCACAGTCTAGGGAAGGGAGATAATTACAAGATGGTGATACTATGCACAAGAATTTAGGGAGCTTTAAGAGGGGACACTTAAGGCAAGAGTGAGAGGGAGGGGAAAAAAGTGGTAGATGCTCTACAAGGCTCCCTGGAGGAGATGATACAGATATTGAGAGCTGAGCCATTCCTAGTTTTCTTACCAACTCAAATGCTTCCTTTCATAGAGCTTGGAGACTCTAATATCTCAACTTCTGCCAGGATTGTTTTCTGGAAGCCCTTATGTGTATCTACTTAAAAAAAAACAAGACAAACCACCAAACAATATAATTTAAACAGAAAGAAGACTCAACAGGTTTTGAAACATAGATTTAGAGTGGTTTCATAAGAGTAATCAACATAGAGAACTTGTGATCCAAGGAATTGGAATGTCTTCAAGAGTCAATATGCTCAAGTATGAATGGGTAAATTAACAGCTTTAGGGAAATTGGGTGTGTTCATTCATTTATTCATTTTTTTTTCAGTCAATAAATAAACATGCTCTTTTCCAGGCATAGTACTAGACACTGAGGATTCAGAAATGAAAAAATTTGTTTAGCAGGTTGACCATAAACATTTGTTGATCCATAGCTTGCTTTTATGGAAGATATTTACCTTATGCCACAATGGTCCCTTAGCATTATTGTCAAAATCAGTCCTATTTTTCTAGGTTGTTCTAACCCAGTATGATTCTTCTTGGTTATTACTAAAATACTGCATACTAACAGAAGGACCTTGGCATGTAGACATCTATTTTCTAAATGTTTGTGAAGAAGCAGTAGAAATAAATAAGATCTGATGGACAAAGGGCAAATTTGCAAATGTTGCTGCTGCTTAGTAACCTTATATAACACAGGATTTACTATATTTTTGGGCACATAAAATGATCACTTTTTTAAATGTTTTAACTAAGTTCTGGAAATCTTCAAATAAGTCTGTTTTACAGAAATAGATACACTTTTCTGAAAATATGTTCTACCTTTCAATTTAAAAGAGTATATCCATTTCATTGTTTGACTTAGGAAGCTGTGCTGCCAGTTTTATAAGATTATGAGTCTGGTCTTGATGCTGTATGCTAATCCACTCTACATCAGGCTGGAAGCTTATCTTGACAGGAAAACTTGGAGCAGACCTCGTGGAATGATTTTGGCATCACACACTGGAGTGGAAAATATTCGCAGGCTGCAACAAAGTCTGACTTGGGCTGCTGTAGGAAAGGCAGCAACTGGCTGGGAGACAATTAGTGTAGGAAAGTCCTGGGCTCCTCTCTGAGAGGCCTGGAGGACGGTACTATACACTGAGAGGGGGAAGTACCACGGAATCATGTGTGTTTTCATGAGAATTGAGAGGAATGGTAGCTACGCATGCCAAGTTAGAAAAAGAACACTACCACTGAGTGCTTCCATCGTGGTCTTTCCGATCCAAAACCCTTCATGTGCAAAAATAAGGTGCCAACTGAAGAAAGAATACTTCAGGGGTTTTAGAAGACAAAGGCTAGAAAAACCCTCAGGCACAGGTGTAACTAACTGCTTGTTGCGAGTATGTCAAATCCCAAACAGGACGTGAAATGACCCCTCCACTTGTTTTGGAAAGGTTTGGAGTCTATGATTCTGGCAAAAATATAAGTGCTTTTTTCTACGAATGGGCTAGTTTGGTTAGAAATTTTCGCTTTTTTGTAGGGGCAGGGCACTCAGATTTGCCTTTAATATACTTGCAAGCTCTTTGAAAACTGTCATGGACAAATTTGGCAATGCAGATTTCTAGGACTAAAGACAATGGTGGTATACCTATTTTGACTCAAAGAAAATAAAAATGCCAGAGATTTTGTGACAGCCTCTCGTGTTGCTATCCCTGGGAAAAATGGAGAACTGGATACTACTCACTAGACCCAGAAGCCTAGGGTAAGAGTGAAATCTGATTAAGGCGAAGTGGAGAATATGATTTCACACTTTCCACCTTCCCCAAAAAGAGAAACTGTATAATAAAAGAATGTTTGTGCACCACATGTTCTGACTCATAGGTGGGAATTGAACAATGAAAACACTTGGACACAGGAGTGGGAACATCACACACCGAGGCCTGTTGTGGGGTGGGGGGAGGGGTGAAGGATAGCATTAGGAGATATACGTAATGTAAATGATGAGTTATTGGGTGCAGCACACCAATATGGCACATGTATACATATGTAACAAACCTGCACGTTGTGCACACGTACCCTAGAACTTAAAGTGTAATAAATATATATAAATAAAAATAAAAAAATAAAAATAAAAAAGAATGTTTGTGGCCGGGTGTGGTGGCTCAAGCCTATAATCTCAGCACTTTGGGAGGCCGAGGTGTGCGGATTGCCTGAGGTCAGGAGTTCGAGACCAGCCTGACCTACATGATGAAACCCCGTCTCTATTAAAAATACAAAAATTAGCTGGGCGTGGTGGTGCGCACCTGTAGTCCCAGCTACTCGGGAAACTGAGGCAGAAGAATCACTTGAACCCGGGAGGCAGAGATTGCAGTGAGCTGAGATCGCGCCACTGCACGCCAGCCTGGGGGGCAGAGCAAGACTCTGTCTAAAAAAAAAAAAAAAAAAAAGTTTGCACAGTGAAATCAGGTAGACCCCACAGAGATTGGTCCCATGGGTGAGTCATGGAATGTGCAAAATTCAAGGAGGCTGGAGAAATTCTCTCCACCACATAACTTAAGGGAAGATAAACTGCTTCCTGTGCAGGAGTATGGGAAGAGGAGCTATAGTTAGTTACCTTGCCTTCCAATTTATGGGACAGGGGATGCATGATCCAGAAAGGGTTGAAATATAATGCAGCTGTCAATTCCTTAAGAGCAAAGAGCATGCTTTAGTCTCCATGTCTAGTATGTGCCTGGCACAGAGTAAGTGGTTGTTGTTAAATTGAACTAGGTTACCTTTCTGGGCTCCACTGGGAGTGTCAAATATTGAAATGAGCACCACACTTTGAAACCAAGAAGGGCAGAAACTATGTGAGCATTGACCATTTCCAAGGAGGAAAGCAAAGGGCCCAGTGGGATAACTGGAGCTAAAAGGCACTCCTGAGATGTTGGTGGTGCATGCTGGCAAACAGGGACAGTGGCTTCCCAATAGGGCACTTTCAGGGCAGCCTAAGTGGGAGGAGCTGAAATCTGGGGATTGCCTGGACAGGTAGCACAGGAATGGCCAGCAGCATGTGCTGAAAATGCTTATTAGTGCATTCATACTAACAGCTCCAGTACTGGGCTAAGTTACCATTCAGAGGCAGCTCAGGCCAGCTCTAAGCTCTGCCTTTAAGCCTTCATCGGATACCACAGACACTTTATAAAACTATGTCAGCATAAGAATTACTTCACATTTTCCCTTCAACGTCATTCTCAGATCCCAATTCTGTCATTGTCCTGTATTCTATCCGGAAGAGTCATGTCTGCACTCTTTTTATAGACCTGGTTCCTTTCAGTGGAGAGTTGGACAGATCACAACATGTGAGTTGAATTTCTACAAAGAACTTTGTCTTCTTATCCCTGTGGTCAATATAAATAATAGATTCATGTGCATTAATACACCCAGTATGTGTTTCCTGGCTAGACCTCAGTTTCTACTTATATTAAGACCTCCTTTCTCCAGGAGAGATTGATTGGACAAATTGGTTGGAGCCATTCTAAGATGGGTAACTTAGAAAAGCAGATTTTTAGGGGAACTGGGGAGTCTGTATCTCTCTTCAACCATGGTACAGATACATTTATTTCATTTATTTTATTCTTGTAGGTCTGTCGTTGGTCCTTGGAAATTGGTGTTATTATTTAGTTTTGCTTTGTTTATTATTATTTTTAACTATGAAAGTTTCAGGGATGGTCTTTTTTCTTTTACTGCTTAAGGCAATTCCATCTCCTTCCCCTTCAACTCCTCCTCCTCTCACTTTTCTGAAAGCGATTTATCTCTTACTAAGAAAATTCAAGTATAAGAAGGGGAATTCATTTCAGCCTAGTGTAGCCTGAGGGCATAGCTTAGAAATAGAAAGCGATATAACCATAAAAAATAACCAAGAAAGTTAGGTTTCTTGGTTATTTGCTGTATAAGTGATTTGCTGTAATGGGATGCTTTGAGAGCTGTTTTCATTTTCTATTGATGCTGTGACAAATCATCAAGAATGTAGTAGTTTTCTTACATTTATGAAGGTCAGAAGTGCTAAAATGAAGGTGTCGGCAGGTCTGCATTCCTTCTAGATGGAAGCTGAAAAGAAGAATCCATTTCTTTTATTTTAAACTTTTATTTTAAGTTCAGGGGTACATGTACAGTTTTGTTACATAGGTAAACTTGTGTCATGGGGGTTTGTTGTACAGATTATTTCATCACCCAGGTGTTAAGCATAGTACCCACTAGTTATTTTTCCTGATCTTCTCCCTCCTTCCATCCTCCATCCTCTGATAGGCATCAGTGTGTCTTGTTCCCCTCTATGTGCCAATATGTTCTCATCATTTAGCTCCCACATATAAGCAAGAACATGCAGTATTTGGTTTTCTGTTACTGCATTAGTTTGCCAAGGATAATGGCCTCCAGCTCCATTCATGTCCCTGCAAAGGACTTGATCTCATTCTTTTTTATGGCTGCATAGTATTCCATGGTGTATATGTACCACATTTTCTTTATCCACTCTATTATTGACAGGGCAGTTAGGTTGTTTCCATGTTTTTGCTGTTGTGAATAGTGCAGCAATGAACATATGCATGCATATGTCTTTATAATAAAATGATTTATATTCCTTTTTGTACATACCCAGTAATGGGATTGCTGGGTCAATGGTGTTTCTATCTTTAGGTCCCTGAGGAATTCCCACACTGTCTTCCACAATGGTTGAACTAATTTACACTTGCACCAACAGTGTGTAAGCGTTCCTTTTTTTCCACAACCTTGCCAGCCTCTGTTATTTTTTGACTTTACAATAATAGCCATTCTGACTGGTGTGAAAAGGTGTCTCATTGTGGTTTTGATGTGCATTTCTCTAATGATCAGTGATGTTGAGCTTTTTTTCATATGATTGTTGGCCGCATGTGTGCCTAGTTTTGGAAGTGTCTCTTACGTCCTTTGCCCACTTTTTAATGGGATTATTTGTTTTTCTCTCATAAATTTGTTCAAGTTCCTTATAGATGTTAGATATTAGACCTTTGTCAGATGAAAAGTTTGCACATATTTTCTCCTGTTCTGTAGGTTATCTCTGTTTACTCTGTTGATAGTTTCTTATGCTGTGCAGAAGCTCTTTAGTTTAATTAGATCCCATTTGCCAGTTTTCGCTTTTGTTGCATTGCTTTTGGAATCTTTACCATGAAATCTTTTCCTGTGCCTATGTCCTGAGTGGTATTGCTTAGACCATCTTCCAGGATTTTCATAACTTTGGGTTTCACATTTAAGTAATCCATCTTGAGCTAATTTTTGTATATGGTGTAAGGAAGGGGTCCAGTTTTAATCTTCTACATACGGCTAGCCAGTTATCCCAGCACCATTTATTGAATAGGGAATCCTTTCCCCATTGTTTTTGTCAGGTTGCCCAAAGCAATTTATAGATTCACTGCTATCCCTATTAAACTACCATTGAGATTCTTCACAGAACCAGATAAAACTATTTTAAAATTCATAGGCAGCCAAAAAAGAGCCCAAATAGCCAAGGCAATCCTAAACAAAAATGAAAAACAAAAAACAAAGCTGGAGACATCATGCTAGCTGACTTCAAACTATACTACAGGGCTGTGGTAACCAACACAGCATGGTACTGGTACAAAAACAGACAGATGGGCCAATGGAACAGAATAGAGAGCCCAGAAATAAGACTGCACACCTACAACTATCTGATCTTTGAGAAGAATCTATTTCTTTGTAGTTTCTAGCTTCTAGAGGCCATCAGTATTCTTCAGCTTTGGCAAGCAGTGTAGCATCTTCAAATCTAAATCTCTCTCTCTCTCTATCTCTCTCTCTCTCTGTCTCTCTCTCTCTCTCTCTCTCTCTGAACTTGCCTCGTCATCATATCTCCTCCTATGACTCCAACTCTCTTGCTTCCCTCTTTTCCTTATAAGGACTCTTATGATTACATTGGGCCCACGCAGATAATTCAAGATAATCTCCCAATCTCAAGATCCTTAAATTAGTCATATCTGTAAAGTCTCTTCTGCCATGCAAGATAGCATATTCACAGGTTCTTGAGATTGAAATATGGGCATCTCTCCTAGTCCATTTGGGCTGCTATAACAAAATACCTGAGACTGGATAATTTATAAACAACAGAAATTTATTGCCTACAGTTCTGAAGGCTGGGAAGGCCAAGATCAAGGTGCCAGCAGATTTGGTGGCTGGTGAGGACTCTTTGCTTTGTAGATGTTGCCTTTTTGCTGCATCCTGACATGGTGAAGGGCAAAAGGGGCAAACACATTTCCTCAGACTTATTTGACAGGTGCATTAATTCCATTCACGAGGGCTCCACCCTCATGACCTAGTCATCTCCCAAAGAGGTGGGGTACCTCTTAATACCAACATATTGGAGATTCAATGTCAACATGTGAATTTTGGAGGGACATAAATATTCAGACCATCTTTGGGTCAAGGGGGATCATTATTCCGTCTACCACAGGGCTCTTTTTGTTACTTAATTTCTTTGGACTTCTATTATACCATTGATTCATATTATAATGTGGATCCTAGAATTCTAAAGAGATTCAGTTAATATTTGATCCCATTTTTACCAATTAGATTCGATTCACATTTTACTGAGCCCATATACAAAACAGTGTTTTAAATGTCAAATAACTGTAATAGTGAACCAACCATGTATGTATGAGTGGTTTCTTGATTTTTCCTTTCAGGTAATATTGACAATCATTTCCTTTAACTGTCAGAATTAGTGCATTAATCCTGTTAGGAGTCTGAAAAATATTAGAAACCATCAGTTAATTGTTAAGACCTTAATGTGGTGAGGTCTCTGAAACTGATAAAAGTAAAATGATTTACATCAATTAAAATGTTGCAATATTTTAAAGATAAATGTCAAGAACTGTGAAGGGTGTAAGATTTTACTGTACTTGCAAGTTAAGATGTTAACTTGCTACAGTTTCGTGGATGCTGGTTGAAGACATGGGACTCCTGGGTCAGAGACATAGGACAGTTTATTACTTACTGCAATGGCTGTAAGTGGCCAGAGTATCAGCATTTTTACACTGATTCCCAGTTTCCACAGGGTAATGTAAAGAGGGTCAGATGATATCTGAACAATTAATGGGTTGTGTTACATGAGAGGAATGTTGGATGTAGGGAAACTAAATCTTTTATAAGATTCTGCTCTTCACTCTAGAGGGAGACATTCTCTCTCTTCTAAGGCTACTTAATATACACACTTCCTTAAAAAATAGTCTGGAACTAACAGAAGTCAGCTCTTTGCTTATAAGGCATGCCAAAACATGAGGGAACCATGGAGAATTGTTTCCCAACAATACATAGGCCAATTTTTATTCTTAAAAAACCCAACATTTTAGGCAAATATTCCTTGTAAGCCTCAAATTGATTATGTCTTGAATTAAAATCTGATTTTACCTCAACCAAACTCCCTCTGCTTTGTTTTCTTTCTTTTCTTTTTTGTTTATTTTAATTTATATTTATTTATTTATTTTTTTGAGAGAGAGAGGGTCTTGCTCTGTTGCCCAGGCTGGAATGCAGTGGAGTGATCATGAGTCATTGCAGCCTTGACCTCTTGGGCTGAAGCAGTCCTACCCTCTCAGCCTCCCAAGTAGCTAGGACCACAGGCACATGCCACCACATCCAGCTATGTTTTTAATTTTTTCGGAGAGAAGGAGGTCTCACTGTGTTGCCCAGGCTGATCTTGAACTGCTGGACTCAAGTGATACTCCTGCCTCAGTCTCCTAAATCTCTAGGATTATAGGTGTAAACCACTGTGCCTGGCTGATATCAACTATTTACATTATACATAAAAAAGATTTTAAAAATAGTTTTACTTTATGAGCTCATTGTAGTGCTAGAGCATAGTGCTTTTTTAAAAAAATTTATTTTGGTTACATGAGTAAGTTCTTCAGTGGTGATTTCTGAGGTTTTGGTGCACATATCACCTGAGCAGTGTACACAGTATCCAGTCTGTAGTCTTTTATCCCTCACTCCCTTCCCACCCTTTCCCCTGAGTCCCGAAAGTCCATTGTATCATTCTTATGCCTTTGCATCTTCATAGCTTAGCTCCAACTTATGAGGGAGAACATACGATATTTTGTCTTCCATTCCTGAATTACTTCACTTAGAATAATGGTCTCCAATTACATCCAGGTTGCTGCAAATGCCGTTATTTTGTTCTTTTTTATGGCTGAGTAGTATTCCATTATATATATAGTGGTATATAATGTATACCACTATACATTATAGTATATAGTATATAATGTATACTACTATACATTATAGTATATAGTATATAGTAGTATTCTATTATATGTAATATATAATAGATATATAATAGATATATAATATATTCATATATATGATAGATATATAATATATTCATATATATGATAGATATATAATATATTCATATATATGATAGATATATAATATATTCATATATATGATAGATATATAATATATTCATATATATGATAGATATCTAATATATTCATATATATAATAGATATATACATATATAATAGATATATAATATATTCATATATATAATAGATATATAATATATTCATATATAATAGATATATAATATATTCATATATATAATAGATATATAATATATTCATATATAATAGATATATAATATATTCATATATATAATAGATATATAATATATTCATATATAATAGATATATAATATATTCATATATATAATAGATATATAATATATTCATATATAATATATAATATATTCATATATATAATAGATATATAATATATTCATATATATAATGGATATATAATATATTCATATATATAATGGATATATAATATATTCATATATATAATGGATATATAATATATTCATATATATAATGGATATATAATATATTCATATATATAATGGACATATAATATATTCACACATATATATGTGTGTGTGTGTGTATATATATGTGTATATATATATATGTATATATATATGTGTATATATATATATATGTATATATATATGACTTTCTTTATCCACTTGTTGACTGATGGGCATTTGGGCTGGTTTCATATTTTTGCAATTACAAATTGTATTGCGATAAACGTGTATCCAAGTATCTTTTTTTGTATAATGACTTTTTTTTCCTCTGGGTCAATACCCAGGAGTAGGATTGCTGGATCAAATCAGAGGTGTCCTTTTAGTTCTTAAAGGAATCTCCACACTATTTTCCATAGTGGTTGTACTAGTTTACATTTCCACCAACAGTGTAAAAGTATTCCATTTTCACTACATCTATGCCAATATCTATTATTTTTTGATTTCTTGATTATGACCATTCTTGCAGGAGTAAAGTGATACTGCATTGTGGTTTTGTATTGCATTTCCCTGATCATTAGTGATGGTGAACATTTTTTCATATATTTGTTGGCCATTTGTATATCTTCTTTTGAGAATTATCTATTCATGTCCTTAACCCACTTTCTGATGGGATTTTTTTTTCTTGCTGATTTGTTTGAGTTCCTTGTAGATTCTGGATATCAGTCCTTTGTCAGACATACAGATTATGAAGATTTTCTATCACTCTGTGGGTTGTCTGTTTACTCTGCTCATTATTTCTTTTGCTGTGCAGAAGTTTTTTAGTTTAATTAAGTCCCATCTATTTATTTTTGTTTTTGTTGCATTTGTTTTTGGGTTCTTGGTAATGAAGTTTTTGCCTAAGCCAATGTCTAAAAATAGCCAATGTCCTAAAATACTTAGGAATATACTTAACGAAGGAGGTGAAAGACCTCCACAAAAGAAAACTACAAAACACTGCTGAAAGAAATCATAGATAGAACAAACAAATGGAAACACATCCCCTGCTCGTGGATGGGTGGAATCAACATTGTGAAAATGACCATACTGCCAAAGGGAATCTACAAATTCAATGCAATTCACATCAAAATAACACCATCATTCTTCATAGAACTAGATAAAAAATCCTAAAATTCATATGGAACAAAAAAATAGCCCACATAGTCAAAGCAAGCCTAAGCAAAAGGAACAAATCTGGAAGCATCACATTACCTGACCTCAAACTATACTATAAGGCCATAGTCACCAAAACAGCATGATACTGGTATAAAAATAGGCATATAGACCAATGGAACAGAACAGAGAACCCAGAAATAAAGCCAAATACTTAACAGTCAACTCATCTTTGACAAAGCAAACAAAAACATAAAGTGGGGAAAGGACACTCTATTCAGCAAATGGTGCTGCGATAATTGGCAAGCCACATGTAGAAGAATGAAACTAGATCCTTTTCTGTCACCTTACACAAAAATCAACTCAAGATTGATCAAGGACTTAAATCTAAGACCTGAAACCATAAAAAATCTAGAAGATAACTTGGAATGATAGTGCTTTTGTAAACTGCCCTGTTTAGCATAATAAAGCTTGTCAATCCTTTGTGAAACCCTCAGATTTAAAAATATTTCACTGGCCCAAATGAAAATTTCTGGGACCCTCAGAAAGTATTCCTATCACCTCTTAATTGGGATGTCCCCCTCTAGGTGCTTGTACTTTAAAGATATTTTCTGCAATCTTTTCCAAGAGTATTTCTGTGATACTCCTTAAAGATTGGGGGGAGACCTTTTCACACAGTGACTTTTGCAGGCTTGGGTAACTGTTGTCTTGAAGTACACAGTAAATTCTTCATTTTCTGACCTGAACTTAAACCCTACATCATATCTGAACTTATAAATGCGCATGCCTCTCTTTCTTCCCAAACCAGGTAGAATTGTTCTCCTCACCCATCCCTCAACCCCTCCATGTCCCCCACAAATAAGAGTAGTGCACTTACAGAATATGTTCTTATCATTCCATATAGAATGGCATTAAACTATTTTCCCCACTGAATTATAAGCTTGGGGACAAGGACTATCTCATTTATGAGTGGACCTAGTATACAGCAGATGTTCAGCAAATGTGGGTTAGATGTATCTTTTTTCTATTTTCTCTATATGGTTGAATCATGGCACCAATCATTTACTTTCCTTTAAAAGAAGGGACTTTGTTTTGTTTGCTTTTGTGACCATAGAGCTTCCTTGTGCAAAATTAGAGCATAATGGGCTTAATACAAGTTTGTGGATTGTATAAAAGAAGGAAAGAAAGCAGAGAGTTTTTTTTTTTCAGAACCTGAACCTGAAGTTTTTTACTCTAGCTTGGTGTCTAAGACGAAACTCCAGGAGGTATAGTTATTTATGGGCTGCAGGACATCAAGAATCCTCTTACTTGCTGTAATTTCCGCAATCTCAATTCAAAGTACAAACTCTACTTCTAACTCTTTTATTTCTTCTGTTTTGTAAAAATGTAAAAAAATCTGGAAAACCACAGTGAGATCAGCTAAAATGTGATCAAACTTTTAACCATTTATGCCTTAGTGAAACTACAACCACCCCTCCCCACCCACCCAGTTCTTTGCACACACCATAACATGTAATTGTTCTCATATTTTCCCATTCTCAGTGGAGGCATGGAGAAACATGAGCTCCCTTTCTGAATCCAAGCATGACCCAGCTGTTATCATATCCAGAAGAGTCAGATAGTGAGGGAGCTCTAAGGTCACAAAATACATAGAACAATTTTTAAGTTATTGTTCACATGTTTCCTTTAATACAGCCTCTATATAAGTGATGAACTAATTAATGCCAGAACCAGGATCATGGAATAAGAATGAAGACCATGGCTGAGGTGATTACATAGGCAACTCAAAGTAAGAAAGTAATTCAGTCCAGTCCAATCCAGCATTTATTGTGTGATTATATGTCAGACATTGTGATAAGCCCTTTGGAAATATAATCATGATTAGGATATAATCATTAACTTCAAGGGGCTTATAAATTCTAGTTGGAGATACAGACAGATGAATGACTAGCTATAATAATGAACAGAACAAAAATATAATAAATAGACATATAAATAAAGTATTTTGGAAGCACTGAGGAAGAAAATCTATTTTGATTAGTGGTATCAGAATACTGTTCTCAGTACTGATATCAGGATTCTAATATCAAATATAACCGTAACAAAGGAGGTAGTATTTAAATAGGGGTTTGAAAGATGAACAGAAGTTCTGTAAATGGGGAATATGGGAAAGGTGCAGTGCAGGTGGAGGGAATTACTTGAGGAAAAGTGTGAAGACATGGCAGGGCACAGCAAATAAAAAGCTCTCACTGGTCTGTTGTGGTTGAATCATTTGATGTGGAGAGGAGCATGAGGCTGAAAAAATAGAGATGAAGCCAGATTTATTTAATAAGTATTTATTGAACAATCATTGTATTCCATTGTTTTCTTCCATGGAAAGTAGTTTTCTATAAGTTAAGTAAAAAATCAGGCTACTAAGCACTATGAATAGTGATGTCATTTGGCAAACATCCTTGCCTCCATAGAGTTTTTCTTCTAGCTTGGGGATGGGGATGGCAGGACTGCCACAAAAGAAATAAATGAGCTATAAAGTTATGTTATGGAGTGTACTAGGCCATTCTTTTGTTGCTATAAAGAAATGCCTGAGGCTGGGTGAAATGGTTTGGCTCTGTGGCCTCACTCAAATCTCATCTCGAATTGTAATCCTCACATGTTGAGGGAGGGACCTGTAATCCCCACATGTGGAGGGAGGGAGCTGATTGGATCATGGCGGCAGTTTCCCCATGCTGTTCTAGTGAGTGAGTTCCCATGAAATCTGCTGGTTTTACAGGAGTTTGACAGTTCCTCCTTCACGTGTTTCTCTCTCCTGCCACCTTGTGAAGAAGGTGCCTGCTTTGCCTTCTGCCATGATTGTAAGTTTCCTGAGGCCTCCCCAGTTGCGTGGAACTATGAGTTAATTAAACCTCTTTTCCTTATAAATTACCAAGTCTCAGGTAGTATCTTTATAGCATTATGAAACCAGACTAATGTACTGGGTAATTTATAAAGAAAAGAGTTTGAATTGGCTCATGGTTATGCAGGCTGTATAAGCATGGCTCCAGCATCTGCTTCTGCTGCTTCTGATGAGGACCTTAGGGAGATTATAATCATGACAGAAGGCCAAGAGGGAGCAGGTGCATCACATGGCAAGAGCAGGAGCTAAAGAGAGAGGTTGGGGGGAGTGTCATTCTCACACTTTTAAACAACCAGATCTAATGAGAACTCACTCACTATTGCGAGGGCAGCACCAAGCCATTCATGGGGCATCCACCCCCATGACCAAAACACCTCCCACCAGGCCCTGCCTCTAACATTGGGGATTACATTTCAACATGAGATTAGGAAAGAAAAAACATTCAGAGTATATCATGGAGCAAAATAAAGCAGGTATTACTTTCAAATAGGGTGGTCCAGGAATGTTTGCTGAGAAAGTAACCTGTGATCAATGACTTGATGGGGCTGAGGAAATATTTCTAAGGAAAGAGTGTTCTCACAGAGAGATCAGTGAGTCTAGTGGTTTTTATTATGGCTCCCTTTAAAGAAATAATGACCTCTTAATAAAATAAACTCTGGAGACTCTAAGGTTTCACACTGGAGAGAGAATATCTTCTGATTACTGATAGCCCTTTGAAAATTCAGGGACAGCATCTGGGCCATGGATGATCAGAAGATATTCATTCCAGGATGAATCCTTAGAAGCTACCCATCACCATTGCCCACTAGCCCTCTGAGACCAACTTTAAAAGCTACTGGATTTTCCTAAAATACAACTTGAGAATTTTATCATTCTTATCCTCAACAAATTCAATGAATCTCTATTTTTTAAAGGAACAAAATCATGATATAGCAGGAATTAAGAGTCTCAGGTGCTCAAGATAAGGTCCACCTTCCCCATTCTCTAGATGCCCTTTTATAAGCATGACAAGAGGTCCCAGAAGTTCTGAGTGCTCCAGGAGTCAACAGAGGGTGCCATGGAGATCTGCGTGTTCTGGCTGAAACTGCCTTGTCATGGGTTCTAAACTGGAAGGGCCCTAAGAGTCTATAGATCATGGCAAATCCATGTGCCCTCTTCCTGCCCAACTGGAGTCTCATCACCACCATCAGTCTTGGGACCATAGGACTGATCTAATTTTATTCTTTAATCCTATTTATTTCATTACCTCAAAAAGCCCAACATGGTGAGGTGATAGAACTCCACTCTTACACTGCCCATATAGCTGTGCACATCTTTTTCCACGATCCCATTTCCTATCTCTCTCCCATACCTGCAACCCTTCCACTCTGCCTCTTGGATCACCCTTCAGCAGAAATCCGTTATATGCTCCACCTCGTCTTTTAACCGTCCTTTTACTTCTGATCAGATCCCTGTCATTCACTTCACTAGCTGGAAAAGCTGGTTCTCTATTGAAGACACTGCTTCCCCTTTCAATTGATCCCTGTTTTTTCCTCTCTCATTATTGTGTGAATGTAGGATAGATGCCCTTCTTGCTTCTCATTGGTACTTCTAGGCATTTTCTCTTATTTCTGCTTATAAACCTCAGCTTTGAGTCCAAGTCATCAAACCATAAACCACCTACTACCTCCTCTTTGCTGTAGGCAAGGAGGCACCTGGAGCCACTCGCTCTAATTCCTTGAACAGTTGAGTTTCTGGCTATCACTGTCTCCAACATTGTCTTTCATAATTTTTGGTGATTTTATTATTCTTTTTATATTATTATTTTTTGGGACATGGTCTCACTTTGTCACCCGAGCTGGAGTGCAGTGGTGCAATCATAGCTCATTGCAGCCTCAGCCTCCCAGGCTTGAGTGATCCTCCCACCTCAGCCTCCCGAGTAGCTGGGACTACAGGCATGCGCTCCCATGCCCAGCTAATTTTTAAAATTTTTTCTAGAGACAAGGTCTCGCTTTGTTGCCCAGGCTGGTCTCGAACTCCTGGGCTCAAGAGATTCTCCTGCCTTGGCCTCCCAAAGTTCTGGGATTACAGACATGAACCACTGTGCCTGCTGGATTTTATTATTCTTGAGGACAATCCTTCATGTGCCTTATTTCTCTGGGACTCCTCTCCTCGAATGACCTTATCCTCTACTCTTTGGTTCCTTTGTCAAAACCTCATTATTCACAATAACTACAACCTCTGTTATCTCAATTTCAAGTTCCCCCTCTCTGATTACCCTCTCCTAAGTTTCCAACTCTCTCTCCATTCTAAAATTCCTCCCACCCACACCATAGGTTTTGCCATTCACGGATCTTTTTTTTCCCCCCAATAAGGAGTCTTGCTCTGTTGCGCAGGCTGAAGTGCAGTGGTGTGATCTCAGTTCACTGCAACCTCCACTTCCCAGTTTCAAGCAATTCTCCTGCCTCAGCCTCCTGAGTAGCTGGGATTAGAGACGCCTGCCACTGCACCTGGCTAATTTTTGTATTTTTAATAGAGACAGGGTGTCACTATGTTGGCCAGGCTGGTCTCAAACTCCTGACCTCGTGATCCACCCACCTCGGCCTCCCAAAGTGCTGGGATTACAGGCGTGAGCCACCACGCCTGGCCTGCCATTCGCAGATCTTCTCAGCTGCTTCCTGTGTCTTATCCTTCCACGTTTTCACATTTCTTTTTTCCTAGTCTAGGGTCTGATGTCATCAGAAGTAGTGTAAGAAAATGGGACGAGGTGGGGTTTGCAAGTGTTTATTTGACATTAATTTAGAGAGCAGATTACTGGGGTTGGGGGGTAGGACAAGAGAGAAATACTCAAGCTTGTTCTCAGTTTCTCATCTACTGTCCAAGAATCCCATTTGGTTGTAAGCTTGTCTGTCCCACGGGAGAAAACCAAAGCCTGCCAAGGAGCTGGGTCCTTAGGAGGCAGGTTAGTGATTCCTGATACTCATATCTGCTGATTGGGGGCACAGGGTGGGGTAGTTTAGCTCCCCAAGTGGCTCCACTAGAACTTTCTAACTATGTGCAGTCCTCTTTCTGAGGGAACTCTGATGAAGGCTCTTTTCTTCAGAGGTTTATAAAATTCCAGGGATGTTTTAGTGACCCTTACGGATTTAAGTCGCTGGCTGTGGCTCAGTAGCCTATCTCTGAATTTGGCTCTGGGAGTTAGGGAAGGCTTCACACAAAGGAGGTGACATTTGAACTTGGCTTTGAAGGATTAGTAGGATTTTGCCAGAAGTGGCATAAGAATTCTCACTGGCAAGAAAGATAATTACTAGCAACCTTTTTTTTTTTTTCCTGCTTCATAATATTAAGGACAATTTAGACCTTTGTGCCTATATATTCATACATCATATGTTTATGGCTCGAAGTAAATATGATTAAGTAGACAAAACCCAACTTTATAAATCCTCTTTTTTATGTGCAAAGTAAATATTTTTAAGAAGGGGGTTTGATTTATTTACATTTTTAATTAAATGAAAATTACAGATAAAAGATGCTATACCACTCGTCTTCCTAGGAAAAGAAAATATTGCAATGTAATTAAAAGGATGCCTCAAATTATAATTAGATTTGAAATTTAATTATGACTGGAATACTTCATCCTTATGCACACTGACACCTTGTTGATACCTAACCTTTAAAGTATTTTTATTATATTTACACTAAGATCTTAATCTGTGGACTAAATAAAACCCTTAGATTCAAAAGAAGTATTAGAATTCAGCAAAGAATACAATATTCTTTTTTTTCTGGAAAAAAAAGTGTGTTTTAGAATTCGCATTTTAACCATTGCTAAATCTTATTTAACAACTTCCAGCTGAAAACAGTTTAATAATCTCTAGCAGAGATGGATTGGTATAGTAAGACCTTTCTTAGCTAAGGAGAATATTCTTTTGTTCATACCTGATAGAGTTCCTCTCTTCCAAGTTGAAAGGACTCTAGGAAATCCCAATACATATTCAGGAATCACATTTTCCAATAAGAAAATTCTCATTATGGAGTGTCAATTCTATCTATCTATCTATCTATCTATCTATCTATAAATCTATTACTGTTACTTGATGGAATCTCTTCTGCAGTAAGCTCCGGTTAAATACATTTGCTATACTTAACTTCCTGTGGCACCATTTGACACTTCTTGCAGCTTAGAAAACAATAAATTTAACAGTAAAAATGATTTAGCTACAGTACAATGTGCCCTGCGAGAAATGTTTTGGGATAAAGATTCCCAAAATGCAATTATTATTAGCTTGATTTGCAAAATATTATGTAATAAAATCTGTTTGAAAAATTGCCAGTTTAGCTTACCTGGTGTCGAAGAATGCACTTAATATAAATTGAAGTTCTTTATTCACGAATAAAAGTCCGAATTCATAGCCTTTGTGGCAATCTTTAAAATACTTGCTTGTTAATTAAATAATTGAATAAATATATATAGATAATGTATTATGTGCTAGGCATTTCCTAAATTTCGTATAGTATATGTTGGTTCTAATTTACTACAATCATCAAATGGATTGGCCTTCAGGACAGTAAATATAAAAGACTTGCTTTTATAAACTCAAGAGGAAAAATACAAAGCAACAAAGTTCGATCATCTGAAATTGACTCATTTTCATTCTACTGAGTTTGAACTTACATGCCTCACTTAGCCCCTCCTTACTGAACCAATTTTCACCAGACAACTTCTGCTCCTAGATGAACTGAATTTCTACAAATGGCCTGCCTCTGTGGTCCTCTGTATAGGCAAACCTGTCATTGAAGTCCTTAACTCTTTTGAAGGGACTTCAAAAGTCCATTGAAATCCAAAACTTTCCTTGAAGTTAAGTCAAGTTTTGCCTGTTTTAGGGCTGCAGGATTTCATCCAGAAAAGCCTAGGTGGTTAACAAGGAAAGGACATGTTAACCTGGTTGGATTTCATCACAAGTGGAATTTGGTCTGACAATTTTGGCTCTGTTAGGGGGTTTAAAGCATATTCAGCTGTGGAAATGATAAAAGGATTCTCCTACCTGGTTTTATAGCACAATAGCTGAAAGACCAGCAGGTATTTCCAAGCATCTTTTAGTGCATATCCCAAACTGCTTCACCAGCTGGATCTTCAGTGAATGAAATAACCCTGCTGTTAAAGCATTTGAATCCCAGTCAAAGTCGTTGACAGTAAAAATCCAGGTGGCTATGCAAATTGGTCATTTCCTTAAATAGTAATTTGAGTTTCACTAGGTGAGCCCTGCTAATAATGACAAGCAACATCTGTGTGGTATGTTTCAATTCATGGAACAGCTTTTATGTATATTATCTCAATTAGTCTTCACTAAAACTCTATGAGATGAAGAAATGGAAGTTCAGAGAGATTAAGTGACTTGCCCAAGGTTATACAAGTAGTAAGTGGTGAGCTGGGATTTGAACACAGACACAGGGACACAGTGGGCTTCCATTAGACTATGAGTGACTGCTAGTGCAGATGATTATTGATTCATAGATTTTGATTCAAAGAATCAAGCTGCTTTGTCTTCTTTTGGGGGTCCTATTTCTATAGGTCTTTTTTTGAAAATAGGATAGTGTGACCAGCTGAAGTGCTTGCTGAAGGCAGAGAGAATACAGAATTAATAGAAGAAAAAAGTAGTTACAAATATCAGCTATGACTACATGACCAGATACCAAAATGAGACTGCAAATGTCATAAGTATTTCCTTCCTATTTTCTTCTGAAAATATTTGTTTATATATATATATACATATATTAAGCAAATATTTTTATTTCCTTATTATGTAACATAAGATGTATTGACTTTATATCAGTATTTAAGTATTGTTAATTTTACCTAATAGTATGTAAGTTATGGGATGCCAGTAAACATTATTCAAGGACCTTACCTCCTCTTCTGGGAAAAGGGTTAGTGTGTTTCAGCTGTATGCAGAACAGTTCTATCATATTAGGTGAAATTACGACCATATTATTTTCTTTATTTGGAAATTTAACCATGGTTCAAAGAGATATGTATGGATGCTAAGTTGATAAGTGGTGAATTTGGGTTGGTTAATTTTATGCACCAACAAGACCGGGCTAAGGGATGCCCAGATAGCTGGTAAAATATTATTTCTGGATGTGTCTGTTAGGGTATTTCTGGAAGAGATTGGCATTTGAATCAATAGGCTGAGTAAAGGAGATCATCCTCACCAATGTGGTTGGGCCTTATTCAATCCATTGAGGGCCTGAATAGAACAAAAATGTGGAGGAAGGGTGAATTTGCTTCCTTTCTCACGTGTGTGTGTGTGTGTGTGTGTGTGTGTGTGTGTGTGTGTGTGTGTGTGAGAGAGAGAGAGAGAGGGAGAGAAATCTCTATATATATATCCTGTTGGTTCTGTTTCTCTGGGAAACCCTGACTAATACATATAGATTATATTTTGAGCTCTGGGCTCATATTACTAAATTTTCTAAATTTATAAGAAAAGCTGGAATTTCTGATTTTCGTGGAAACTTTCCCAATTTTTAAATGTTAGCAACTGTGTCAGTTTGGGTCATTGTTCTCAATGCTTTATTCCTCCTGTAGTAGATTTCTACATTGACACCCTTTTGCCATGTAACTCTTTAGGCCTTCCCAGTAGAACGAATAGAGTAGACATTGCTTGCCTCATTGGTTTTGGATTTGGCCATGTAATTTGGATTGCCCAGTGAAATGTGAGGAAAAAAAATGACCTGTGGCTTTAAGAAGTGCCTTTTATTTTCCATGTTTCTTATGCTCCTGCATTTACCTTGAGAGAGGCTTTTTCTGCAGCCCCAGATGGAGGAGACACAGCAGACTGGAACCTGACCCGCAGCTTGGATCCAAGTTCAGTCAATCCCAGCAGATGCCAGTGCATTCCTGTTGAGCCCAGCAGAGCCCCAGCCAATAAGCAAACCTGTGAATAAGAAATAGATGTTTCTAAGTAATGGAGATGTGGGGTTATTATGCAGTAATATTTCAGCAAAACCTGACAAATTAAAACATTTTTATAAAAAAATAGTAACAGCTTAAATTACATACAGCTGCAGACTGGATGCAGCCTGTGGGCCACCAGCCTGAAATTTGTAAAATGGATCTTTGGCAGTATCATTGCCAATTCTAGCATTTAGATCTCTGGGTTAAAAACAAAAACAAGAACAAAACCTTATGCCAAATGTTGGATGCATGGAATATTTAGAGGAAAAGAAAAAAGCTGTGAATTTAAGAAGTGACACCTAAACAATGTCTGTGCTCCTTGTCAGAAGAGACATATAAACGAAGATATATAACTAACTGAAAATGAAGTGAAATGAGATATTTTCTGTGTCATTTAGTGGGATTAACAGGATCAGCCACATTTTCCTCCGTCAGCACTACTTTATACATATAGGCCAAATGCTTAGGGAAGGAATTTGTTTTCTGTCATCCATTTTTGTTACAGTTAAAGTTTTTCAGAGTTCCTGAAAAAAGTTAGAAGATTAATGTTCATATTTAACTCTTCATTCTCCTTCACTCTAAAAGAGCAATTTTAATTATTGAAAGAAATATCTCATGCTTTACTAAGTCTTGGGAAATGCAGTAATTTATTTTACACAGCTAAGATCACCTGGGGGAATTAAAGAAGATTTACTTCTCTGCAGAATTCAGGAGGAAATCAGCATAGGCAGACTTAGAGCAGAGGGAAAGAATGTCAACAACCTCCAATCACAGAGACAGAAACTTGCATGTTCCTCAAAAGACTGAGTGAGAGGGAGGGTCACATCAGATCTTCTAGTACAAGTTACCTCCCGCCAAGAAAAGGCTTCCATACCTAAGACAAGAGCAGCTCTACACACGATGTGATCTGGATGTGATTAGGACCCTTCAATAGAGCCATTTCCTTTTTATAAATGTATGATGTGATGGCAGAGGACAGCACTGAGAGCACGCTAGGGCATGAGCACATTCCTTATTGATCATTCACAGCTTCCCCAAGCTGAGGCAGCCTAAGCCTACATATTTTCCAATCTTAGAGCAATGGTACTACAATAGTCAGCTACACAGGCTTCCATGCGAGTCATGCCAACAGTCCTTAGACCTGTTAGCAGGTCAATCCTGCTATCAAAATAATTATGTCATTTTAATCATGATATCTGCCACAGAAGAGAAATATAGGATGCTGTGAGGTTGCAATATTATTGTCCCCTGCTAGAATGTGACATCAAGGAAATATCACCAAATAAATAACATTTAAGATAACACTTGGAAGACAGGTGGGTGGTATTTAGTCTGAGAAAGGGATGGGATGATGGGGTCATACAGGATGTGAGAGAGGGAGAGAGACAGACAGACAGAAACATAGAGAATATCCGAAGTTCTGTGCTAGTATTTTTTAAAGGGGATCACAAAGTTTGAAGAAATGCCCCATCAGATGATTATTGTTTCCTCCTCATCTTTAGTTTAAAGTGATCTTCTATATCATGAACAGAAAAGAAGATTTGAAGAGGTTAAAGATTGTTGGACAAAGTGTGAAGTAAAATCAATAAGCATTATGGCTAAGAGTCTGGAAATGAATATCAAACAGACCTGATTTAAATCACAGTTCTCTACTTACTGGCTTTATGACCTGGGGCAAGTTACTTGTTTAACCTCTCCAACCCTCATTTTTTTTTAAACCTGCAAAACAGGGAAAATAATGCATATCTTAGAGTGCTACTGTAAGGATTAGGTGGAACAATACGTGTCAACTGTTGAGCATTGTGACTGTCAGACTGCAAGCATTCAGGTGTCGGAGCAGAAAGGTGAGCTGTCCGTGGTGGACCTCAGGTCAGAATGAATGAGAGTTTTAGTTGGTGATAGTATAATATTTGTAAAGCCTTAATCCATGTATAATCAATTCACTTATGAAGAATTTAAATCTGCCTTCAAAGTTATTTTCTCTTAGGCAGGTATATTCATTTTCTAGGGCTGCTATAACAAAGTGCCACCAACTATGTGACTGAAAACAACAGGAATGTACTGTTTCACAGTTCTGGAGGCCAGAAGTCCAAAACCAAGCTGTCAGCAGGGCCTTGCACTCACTGAGATCTGGGTAAAGTCCCTCCTTGCCTCTCCCTGGCATCTGGTGGGGGCATCAATGTCAATCCAGAACTTCCTTGGCTTGCTGCTTCTGCACTCCTATCTCTGTCTCTGTCATCCCATGTGCTCTCCCTGTGAGTCTGTCTCTGTTTCTTCTCTTCCTGTAAGAACACCTGTCATTTTGGATTAGGGTCCACCCTAGTGACTTCATTTTAACTTGATTACATCTGCAGAAGCCCTATTTCCAAATAAGCTCACATTCAGAAATACCGGGAGGTGGGACTTATCTTTTTTGGGGACGCAATTCAATCCCCAAGAATATATGAGTGAAATGGTTACAGGGAAGAAGAGCCTGTTTACCAGTGAGTTAGATAATTCTTTCTATAGCAAGTTGAGACTTCTAAAGATACATGATCAAAGTGCTCCATTCTTCTGGTGCCTATAATTCTAAGCGTGCCTGGATTACCAACTTAGGGTTCTGATTACTTTATTTGTATTTTTCTCAGTTCTAAAAGTCTTCTTGAGTATAATCTCTGGCTTTGACACAATTTTCTTATCTCTTATGATAAAGAAAGGGGGTTGCGGGGAAATCTACATCCTGAAAGGAATTGATCATTTTAAAAAAACTAGTTATGAGGAAAGCAGGGTGATACAAAATGATCTTTTAGCTGAACTAAAGACTTGCTAATGTAGCTTCTTTTAATAGGTATTATTGGAAGGTTCAGGGTGTTTTGGTTGATTTAAGATTAAAACTAAGTTATAATATCGAGTGTTCCTGTTTTGATAGGAGATTCCATTCTCTGCAGCCTTTATTTAGTTGGTGTGCTTGGGCTTGTATTGTAGAACTTATGGTGATTAGGTCATATATAACCTTATAAAGAAATTAAAAAGAATTTAGGATTTTTAAAAATTAGGGAAATTTCCTTCTCTGGGCTAGGTAGTGTTTAGGATCTTTAAATCATATATAGAAAAATGTATTTTCAGATCCAAAGTGAAAAAGATAGTAAAAGGGTTTATGTCCTCTTCTTCTTGGTTGTGTGCATTGCTAAGATGTAATATTTGTTACTCCATCAGTGTGCTCAAGCCCTGTTGTCTGATGATGGGAACCTCCCTGTCTCCCTGGCATGGCTCAGCCATAACTAAGGGTGAATGAGGATAGAGTGGTGCCATGTCTACAGCCGAGCCCCTGAAGGGAAATATGGGGCCACCATTCAGTGAGCAAAGAGCGTGACTTGATCTCAATCCTCCCCGCTCCAGCCAATTGGTCTTTTAAAAATAAAATGTCTCCTTTAAGTCCTACTTTCAGGCAAAGTCTCGTTTGACCTCAAACAAAAGGGCCAAGTCCTTTTTCAGCAGATTAGAGAAATTTATATTTAAGCTGGTGATTTTCACATGTTATTTATTTTCTCTCAGTGCAGGTATTTTACGGGGATGGATACAGTGACTGCAGTTGGAAAAATGGCTACAGTCTGTGTTTCCTAAGGAGGGAAAAATCATTGCCTGTCAGGAGCTTGGAGATTTAGTCCCCAGGCAGAGATTTACCCAAGGATTCCCTTAAAAGCATAATATGAGAAGACAATACCGTGCCAGCAGGTCAGCTGCGTTGCCACTAAGGGAAGATTTGTCATCCGGGAGACTTTAGTCTGCGGATCTACTAGTTTACTTAGCCTGAAGGTTTTAAAGTCCGAAGTTGAACTCTGGAAGAAACGATAATGGGGAGCTTAAAAGTATCACTGTTGGTTTAACTAGAAAAAAAGAGAAATTCAGTCTCTTGAATCTGGGATTTAAATTAGCTTCACAGGTGTCCACTTTATCTCAGCGACATGTCCTTCTCGTGGGTTTTTTTTTTTTTTTTTTTTTTTTTGGGCGGGGGGTGAATTTTAAAAATCCAAAAGGAGGGCCAGGCGCGGTGGCTCACGCCTGTAATCCCAGCACTTTGGGAGGCCAAGGTGGGTGGATCACCTGAGATCAGGAGTTTGAGACCAGCCTGGACAACATAGTAAAACTCCGTCTCTACTAAAAATACAAAAACATTAGCTGGGCATGGTGGTGGGCACCTGTAATCCCAGCTGCTCGGGAGGCTGAGGCAAGATAATCTCTTGAACCAAGGAGTCAGAGGTTGCAGTGAGCTGAGAATGCACCACTGCACTCCAGCCTGGGCAACAGAGTGGGACTCCCTCTCAAAAAAAAAAAAAAAAAAATTCCGAAAGAAGAATATAGTCAAATCTTAGGGAAGAACTCTGGAGATTAAAAATAAGGGAGATACAATATAAAAGACATGAAAATAGCTAATAACTAAAACTTGAAGGACTTCAGTTTAAATAAAAAACTGGAATACATAACAAAGTCAAAAGAATTATATGATCAATAAAATGGGTAATGATAAGTACAATTAAGTTGTTAAAGTATGAATGAAAATTGTATTTTTTTAATGAAAAACACCTTCTAACCATTAAGCAAAGAAAACAGTAGAGGAAAAGGCAGAAGCTATACAAGAGAAAAATATTGACAAAAATATAATTTTAAAAAGTTTTTAAAGCACAAAATTTAATAAAATGTAGGTTAGTAGAATGGTGCTTTTCTTTTTTCTTTTTTTTTTTTTTTAAATATATTAACAAGAGGACCTAAGAAATGTCTGGCAGTAGTTCAAAGTCAAAGGCCAACATCAATCGCTCATAAAGCAACTTATTAAAGGGCCCTTAATGTAACGGACTGCACATGTCCAAGTCTCCTCCTTCAACTATCCTCCCAAGGCTGGGACTCCCCGAAGGTTCCCTTAATGGACCTTGGGTCAATATTGTTAGGACAGAAAGCCGTGGGCATTGGTCATTTTCTTTTATATCTAATCTACTAGAAATTATTTTCCTTCAGGTCGAGAATTTCTTATCTGCTATTTGAAGGCAAGACTGTTGTTCTTTTATTACTGTTATTATTGACAGGTTATGGTTAGTAATGTGAATTTTGTTATTATTAGTGGTGGTGATGGTATTCTTGCTTTTAGATGAGAAACTGAAGCTGGAAGGAGTTAAGTGATTGACATCAGATAATACAGCAAGCAAGGGGCAGGGCAGAGTTGGTGCACTGGGAACCCTGGACGCGACACCCTGGCTAGAATCAGGGCTGGGCTGGTGAACCCAGTGTTCTCTGCACAACAGCAGCTTCCCAGTATCTGATAAGGCTTCTGTCCACGGTGGAATTAAACAGCTCAGGGGAGAATAACAAAAATGTTTATATATAAGGCTTAGGAAATAGGATTTAGTTTGGGGAGAAGATTAGAAAATTAGTAATCCAGGAGGAAGTTTAAGCTCATTTTCAAATACACAAGGATATTCCATGACAAAATCCTGACAAGACTGCTTCTGAAGTGAGCTCCTTTCCTGTATCTTTAAAGCTGGGATAAGCCTGTGATGAGGCAAACATTTAGGTGACATCAAGCATAATCCAGGCCCCTGTTTGCTCCATCCTTGGATCCTTAACTGTTTCTTCCTTGCGCTGCCATGTTTGGAGGATGCAAAAGACACACTGGGGAGAGACACCTGCTGGGTGTAATCATCCTAAGACCGCAGATTACTTGTTGAACATATTCCCTGCTTTTGTCCCCACTCAGTTTTCTGATTTCCTTGTCCTGCTGTTTGATTCTGGTCCTCCTCCTTTTAGTGCTTCTCTGGCTCAACATTCCATTTGGCACCTGTAGCTCCAGGAGGGAGACAGGAGTCTCTTTCTTTGGGACCAAGGAATGTAATAATGGTTAGGCAGCTGTCCTTGGCTCATGACACTCCCTGTCAAAGGAGAAGAAGCAGAGAGCAAGTGCAGTCCCTCCTCCCAAGTCCTCTCTCTCTCTCTTTCTCTCATTGGCTTTTGTTTGACCTGAGGTGCCATCTCTGAAGAGGAGCCCAGAATTCACAGGATTTTGAAGTCACAGGGTAGCTATTTAAAAGCACAAGACTTGCCTAGAAAAGTTTTGAGTTTGCTGTTTTGTTGGTGTAGGTAGTTTCAGCTCCTGGGAATAGGAATCATGAGCTTCTGTATCTTTCCTACAGAAGTGGTCCCAGCATTCCTCTCAAACCATGTATAATGAAAAGTAGACTCCAATGGTGTGCGCAAATTTTAAAGACCGGTTGGGATGAAGCTTTCTCCGTGATGAGCAATAGTTTGCAATATTTATCACAGGAAAGCCCAAGCTGGATCAGTGGCCAAATAGAGAATAGTCTTATGTATCTGAAAGATATTAGGGCTGGCATGAATTTTGTCTAAGTGTTGAGCTGTGATTTGGCTGAGTTGTCCAAAATCCACAGACTGTCTGGAGTAGGGATGCTAGATTTAGTAAAATCCCCACAAGATCCCCAGTTACATCTGACTTTCAGATAAACAACAGATTTTTAAAAATATAAGTATGTCCCAAATATTACATAGTATATACTTATACTAAATAAACATTCACTGTTCATTTGAAATTAATATTGAACAGGATGCCCTGTAGTTTATCTGACAATCCTAGTCTGGAGATCACTCCAGATTCATCTGGAATAACTCCCAGATCAGAAGACAGGTGACTTCCTTCACGGCAGAATAGGGAACCTACTAGCAGAGGGAGACTATCTGAGAATGACTATTCTGTTCTGAAAATCTTCATATAAAAGAGATGGGGAAATCTTTGATAAAATTTAGGACTCCAAAATGCTCTTTTCTCCTCTTCCTCTTCCTCCTCCTCTGTTAAACTATTGAGTACTATCTAATAGTTGTTTTTCTTTTTTCCCTCCTTTTCTCCTCCCTCTTTTTTCTTCTTCCCTTTCTTTTCCTTCCTTCCCTCCTTCCCTCCCTCCTTTTTCTTTCTTTCTCTTTCGTTCTTTCTTTCTTTCCCTTCCTTCCTTCATTCCTTCTTCCTCTTCTTCTTCTTTTCCTTTCTTTCTCTTTCTTTCTTTTTTCTTTTTTCTTTCTTTCCCTTCCTTCCTTTCTTCCTCCTCTTCTTCTTCTCCTTCTTCTCCTTCTTCTTCTTCTTGTTCTTCTTCTTTTCTTTCTCTTTCTTTCTTTCTTTCCTTCCTTCCTTCTTTCTTTCTTTCCTTTCTTTCTTTCTTTTTCTTTCTTTCTCTTTCTTTCTTTCTTTCTTTCTTTCTTTCTTTCTTTCTTTCTTTCTTTCTTTTTTCTTTCTTTCTTCTCTCTCTCTCTCCCTCTCCCTCCCTCCTTCTTCCTTTCCTCTCCTTTCCTTTCCTTTCCTTTCCTTTTTCTTTTTTCCATTTCCTTTCCCCTTCCCTTTTCATTTCACTTTCCCTTCCCTTTCCTTTCCTTTCTAAAATTTGTCTTAGATGTGTTGAGGTAAGTTTGACTCACATGTAGTGAGCCAAAGAAGTAGAAGAGTAACTTTTTGCAAGGCATTATTTTATATTAAGAAGATAGCTACTGTGACTTGAAGTTGGGGAATATGCGCACTTTTGATGGTAAGATACAGAAAATGAACATAGAGAGCAGAGACTGTATTTTTGTTCACTCATAGCCAGGGATATATTTTTTCCTCCTTGTTGTTGAAACTGCATGGTATATTTGTAGACATAGAAGTTTTAGACTGTGGTCTTATTCACAGAGATGTTGGACCTCTTGAACTGCTAGCACTTCTACTGATTTGCCCTATGGAAATTAGTGTCTCCTGATACTATATCCCTTGCTTTTTCAATCACATGACAGCCAGCAAAATCTAAGGACTTTTGGTTGTTCTGTTTTCTAAAAAAGTGGCACCTTTTGAAGGGTCCCAGTTTAGGCAATGGGTTTTTATTTTCAACTCAGTACGCTTTTCCTGGGTACTAGCAACTTTTAAATAAGTATCAGCATCAGGTTCCATCCAGCCTATACCTAGCTTTGAACTGAAGGCTGGCTTTATTCTGCATTACTCTGGTTGTCATCCTATTGGTCAGTGGTTCTAACCTGCTGGGTCTATACTTTTAGAGGCACTGACATAGTCAGTTTGGGCTCCTATAACAGAATATCATAGACTGAGTGGCTTAAACAACAAATATTTGTTTCTCACAGTTCTAGAGGCTGGAAGTCCAAGATCATGGTACTGGCCTGATTAGGTTCTTGATGGAGGCCTTCCTCCTGGCCATCTTTTTGTTGTATTCTCATAATGTGAAGAGAAAGAGAGAGAGGAAGCAAACTGTCTTGTCTCTTCTTATATGGGCATCATGAGAGTACCCTCATTATCTAATTACCTCCAAAAGGCCCCTTCACCAAATGCCACCACAGTAGGAACTAGAGTTTTTCAACATATGAATTTGGTGAGACACAAACATTCAGCCCATAGCAGAGGCATTTGCAAAATATATGTACCTTACCTTTTCTTCTTAAGATTTTGAAACATTTTCCCCGGAAATGTGCAGGCGCCTCTGGTTGAGACTCATTTTACATAAAGAGAGGTTTTGATGATGAAAGTGTACAGTGCATGTAAATGATTCGTAGGCACACTAAAAAATGGTTGTAGCAATGAAAGGTACAGTTTTGTAGATGAGGCAGAAAGTATTTGTATGTCAAAATGTCTGTAATTTAAAGAGTGAAGCCTAAGCATAGAATGCTACAACTCTATTTCAGGTCCAATGCAAGAAAATGACTAGTACTGTGTGTCAGCCTGGACCTGCATGAGATGTGGGATCAGAGCCAAAAAGACGAGAGTCAATGAATGACAGTAATCAGGATGGTAGAAAAAGAAAAGGATTAAAGGATTAGGCCCAGTAGCAGGGTAGTTGCTACTGGGCCTATTCCTGTCTTTAACTACTATCATAGTGCAGTAGGGCCAGCTTTTGTTGTTGTTGTTGTTGTTGTTAAGATGGGGTCTTGATGTTGCCAAAGCTGGCATGCAGTGGTGCAATTATAGCTTACAGTACCCTCAAAGTCCTGGGCTCAAGTGATCCTCCTGTCTCAGCTTCCTTAGTAGCTGGGACTATAGGTGAGCACCACTATGATGCTAATTTAAAAATTTATTTTTGTAGAGATGAGGTCTCACTTTGCTGCCCAGGCTAGTAGGGCCAATTCTTAAGGATATTTAAGGGAAAAGAAAACTAATTAAAATAAGCTTATTTAAAAATTACATATCAAGTTTTTAGTACCTAGTGTATGTGTATAAGTCATTGAGTGAGGCACTGAGGAGCTAAACAGAATAAAGTGACTCCAGCCTAGTTGTGTGGGTTTGACAGACAAGCAGATTTATAACTACAAGAAATATCCATGGAATATTATTTAACCACAAAAAGAATGAAATCATGTCATTTGCAGCAACATGAATAGAACTGGAGGTCATTATGTGAAATGAAATAAGCCATGCTCAAAAAGACAAATATTGCGTGTTCTCACTCATATGTGGAAGCTTAAAAAGCTGATCTCATGAAGTTAGAAAGTAGAATGATAGAGGCCAGGAAGGGTGGGTGGGTGGGGATAGAGAGGTTGAGGGGGATAAAGAGAGGCCAGGATGGGTGGGTGGGTGGGGGAGATAAAGAGAGGCTGATTCATGGGTAGAAACACAACTAGATGGAAGGAATATGTTCTAATATTTGATAGCAGAGTTGGGTAACTGTAGTTAACAACAAATACATTGTATATTTCAAAACAGCTGGAAAAGAGGACTTGAAATAATCCCAGCATATAGAAATGATAAGTACTCAAGGCATTGGACATCTCAAATACCCTGACTTGGTTATGACACAGTCAGTGCATATAACAGAATATCACATGTACCCCATAAATATGTATAAATATTATGTATCAATAATAAAAAAAAGAAGTATGCATAGGTTGTCATAAGGGCATATAAACGAATGAAGAGAGAGTCAGAAGCCATTTAAACAGAGCCTTTAAGGATGACTAAGAGTTATTCAGGGAGAAAAAGGGGAAGCGGGAATTGGTAACAAAACATACAACAGTTCAGTAGGGTGAGGGATTAAGTGGAGAGGGAATGTGTGTCATCAAGGTGGCTTCCGTATGTGGTGCATAGACCGGTAATGGCATGGCTCTGCAGAACTCTGTGGAGAGTCAAGTGGACCCTGTGAGCCACAGAAGCCACTACAGGCCTGCAGCGCAAGGGCCACACTATGACTTGCTTAATGGAAAGAGCACTCTAGCCTCAATGTGAACAGTGCAAGGAGAGCAGTTTTCTGAAGAGTGGGAACACATCAGTGTTTTAGGACCCATCTTCTGGCCTTCTTTTGTTCTCCCTCCTTCCTTCCTAAGTTTGCTCCTCTCTTTCTATCTCCTTCCTTGGTGTCTGTTTCCTTTCCAGTGTTCATCTTTTTCTTCTATTTCTTTCAGCTTTCATTTTTTATTTTTCTTCTTTTCCATCTTCATTGTGTTTTCCAGTCTCCCACTTACCATTTATCCATTAAAAAATCCACATCTTTTTTAAATTTCTCATAAAATACATTGCCTTGTTGCCCATTTACTGCTTCAAGAGAAAATGGATACTACCTAGGACTAAAAGGATAGTAATTGAGCTTGATCAATGTCCTAAGTTGATTTTGTTTTGGCCCAATTGTCTCAAAAGGCAACTTTGCCAACAAGACAAAGGGATGTTTTAAACTCTAAAAGAACTTCTCTTTAGATATTGAGAACCAATGTTTAAGAACTAACATAGAATAAATCACAGAGGGAAGAAGAACTCAGGTTCAACTCAATGGAAATATCCATTCACTCAAACACCCTTTCTACTAGGTGAACAGGAGAGGCGGGAACATAGAAGAGAAAGGCAGGGAAAGGAGACCCTCACAAGAAACTAAAATACCTTTAGTTGTCAAATTTAAGGATGCTGTTATTTCCATTTCCCCCATCATTACCAGGAATAGAGATTTCAGAGCAAGAAGAGGTAAGTTAAAGAAAATATAGACAAGTAAGAGCCCCCAACTCCATACCTGCAAGCACTTTTATCACCATTTTAATTTTAATGAATAATAAATGTGTGGGTTTTTTTTTTTTTTTTTTTTTTTTTTTTTGAGATGGAGTCTCACTCTGTCACCCAGGCTGGAGTGCGGTGGTGCAATCTTGGCTCATTGCAACCTCTGTCTCCCGGGCTCAAGCAATTCTCTGCCTCAGTCTCCCAGTAGCTGGAACTGCAGGCACCCACCACCACACCCAGCTAATCATTATTATTTTTTTAATTTTTTGTAGAGACGGGGTTTCACCATCTTGGCCAGGCTGGTCTTGAACTCCTGACCTCGTGATCCACCCACCTCAGCCTCCCAAAGTAAATGTGGTTTAATGGATGTTTTTAAAGTACAGATTATATTATTAAATTGCCTGGCTTTCAGTTTTTTAATTTAAGCCAGTGTATTAGTTTGTTTCACTCTGCTGTAAAGAACTACTTGAGACTAGGTAATTTATTAAGAAAATAACTTTAATTGATTCACAGTTCCACATGGCTGGAAACGCCTCAGAAAACTTAACTTACAATCATGGCAGCAGGTGAAGGAGAAGCAAGCACCTTCTTCACAAGGTGGCAGGAGAGAGAGAGTGAGGGGGAAGTGCCATGCTTTCAAACCATCAGATCTCATGAGAACTCAGTCACTATCACCAAAACAGCATGGGGGGAAATCCGCCCCTAGGATCCAATCACCTCCCACCAGGTCCCTCCTCTGACACATGGGGATTACAATTTGATATAAGAATTGGGTGGGACACACAGCCAAACCGTATCAGCCAGGATAGTACAAGAGTTCTTATTTATCTTTCAGTAATATTAATGAACATCTGTTATATCTTGTTTACATTTGTTTTGCATTTGTTGTGGCCCCTAATTTATTTTGGTTTTATGTAGCTATGGCTCTTGATGTATTTGCTATGACACAGACCCATTGCCTGATATATTATGATCTTATGATTATGACATTAGGTGAAGGGCTGCCATTTTTATTAATTCCTTTCAGCAGCAGGTGTTGAGAAAAGGAGAGAGTACTTTTGGCTTGCTCATGGCCCCAGGCAATCCGGCTGCTGACTTTGCTTTCATTCGGTATATTTAAGTTTCAGGTCAGGCTGAAGGACTTAAAAAAGGGAGAGCAAGTAAGGAAGGGAAATATAGTAACATTCTAGATTTGGATGGAAGCTGAGAAACATTTATCCTCAGGATTAAATATGCCCCTTACCTTAGGTCTTAGCCCAGTGATACAGCATCATTTCCTGCCCATTGTAATTTAACGTGGGTGCTCCCTTGCCCTCTGGTTCCTTTTTCATGTGAGAAGCATTCCCCAATGATAATGAAATTTTCTTTCCTTAAGGTTTTTATTTCCATGGATGACCCATATTTCAAACAGGAAGCACATACTCTTTCTATTAGTGTTCAGTTTTCTGTATATTTCTTTTAAACAAATGTAATGAGCAACTAAAGTATATTACGTACCACTGGAAGAAACTGCAGAGAACAGAAAGCTGCCTAAGACAGAAACCTTGTGCCCTCAAGGAGACACAAAACATGTACACAAGTCTGTTATCAGCCAGGCAAGTCCTAAGAGGGCAGAGGTGATAAGGACCAAAGAGATGAGGGACTGTACCTTGGCAGTGAGTGGTTTATGGGATATGTCCTTACTTTTTAGAGTAATAGACTCACATAAACTACCAGAGGAGAGGTTTTCTATCCTTATAGCATCTGTGCATAATCCTGAAAGTGGTCCTCATAGGAAGCCACAGAGGAAGGTGGCAAAAATATCCAGGGATTGGTTCTCCAGGAATCCCATTTGGGCTGCTCTGGGTTTACTTAAGCACATTTTTATCTTCTTGAAAACAAACCACATAAAGGACATAAAGAACTTTGGGGAAAACATATTTCCAAACAAGAATCTAGTTTGAGCTAGAACTCGGTGTAGAGCGGGCACTCCATATCCACACTGCCCATCTGGTAGTGGAGGGTGTAGCTGCTGGCATCATGGTCTGAGGAGGCTGGGGTGCAAACTTGAGCATCTGGGCATGAGCTTAGAAAGATCCTTGATATGTGATGGGTTGAGGATGGGGGTGAGCATGACCTGCAATCTTCTTCCCAATCTGCTTGGGAGCTCAGCATTGTGAGAAGCCAGACCAGCAATTCTGAATATCCCAAGATGGACTTAGTCTTTGCCTACTGATAGTTTAATATAAATGAAGCCAAAATACTGGAGCATTAAATAAAATGAGAAAGTTGGTGACATTTACTAGATAAAGGGGCTTACAGTGTAGCATTTATATTTAGATTCAACTTGTGATTAAAGTCTTCCAAAAAGACAGCAATTTTGAGAAAGGCATAGTTGGAGAGCTTGGCAGAAAGCCAAGTGATGAAAACAGAGTGTTATAGTAGAGAAGATAGAATGAAAGAATGTGCTAGAAGTCTGAAACAATGGGAAAAGTGAAGGTAAACAACCTAAGCCTACTTCATTTGGCCACAAAGCTTTTGACTTTCATTGAAAGGTGGAGAAAGGGGAGAAGATATTCCAATACAATACAAAATCCACTCAAACTTGATTCTTGAAATAGATCCTTTCAATATAGTGAATTGGGAATTAGAGGATGAAGTTAGAGCAGCAATAGATTAACAGTTAGGCCTTAGGGAACAACAAAGTTTTACTTACAGATACACAGAAAAGAGGAATTATCAAATTGACATTTATTTTCTTTTCATTTGCTTCTAAACTTTCTTTTTTGCAGTATCATGTTATGACTCACATTTTCTACCTATGTTACACTTCCATAAAAACCTAATAATTTTTCTGGTTTGGGTTGATTCGCTCTGTTTTTCAAGTGAGAAAAAACGGTCAAGGGAAGAATGTAGAGGAAGGTGATATATATATATCAGTTTCATCAGGTGCCGTGTGTTTGCTTGAGTCATGGATGCAGCACAGAGGAAACTATTATAATTTCAACAAAACAATAGAAATACTCAGGTTGTGGAAAGAAAACTTAAATTTCATACTTGTCAATCAAAATTAGAATTTTAGTGAGACACTGCAAAACTAACAATGTCGATAATTTAGATATGTATTAATTACATCTCCAACTGATCTGACTATAAAATTGGAAAATCATAAGGTAACTGACTAGATGATTTTAATCGGCTGATTGAATATCAGCCACTGGAGTGGTACCTGACTGTGTTAATGATTGAGCAATAATTTGTGGTTTTTCCTCCTTTTTCAAATTACCATTAGAAAAATATCTTACGTAAATTCTAAGTAGGCTTCCAAATGCATTTTGATCATTATTTTGAAGGAGATATCTGGAATTTTTGGAAGCTTGTTTTTGTTTTTTATAGAGCAAAGGGCATAAGCCAAAATCAAACAGTGATTTATTTACTTAGAAAAGCTAATTATAAAGTTCAAAAGTCATACAAATGTCTCTCTGTAATGATATGTGATTCTGTGAAACAAAATCTTTTGAATCTTCCATTCATTTTGGTAATTCTTGATACAAGAACAAAGGGATCATCAAAAAAAAAAAAAAAAAAAAAAAAAAAGGAAGCTGGAAGAGACCTGAGCAACCATTTTCCTCACGTAAGTAAACCAAAACCTAAAAAGGTTAAGTGAATGAATGAGTTACACAGCTAATAGCAGGAGGACTCTGCTGTGTGAAAGTCTTTAAAATAACTCTCCACAGCATTCACAGTAACCTAACAACCTGTCACAAGCACCTAACAACCTGCCATAATCTGCCTCTTCATTCCTTTCCGGCCCATCTTCTACCTGTAGTCCAAAACTTCCACGTGTAGTCTTTGCTCTAACCATTGGTTACCCAAATATATGCTGTTTCTTGCTTTGCATTTATAATTGGCTACCTAGATGGCTACACTTTCCTTCTGATTTGCTGAGCTAGCCACTATTTTTTTTTTTTTCCTGAAAAACGCTCCCTGACTCACTAGAATGACTTCCACAGCCCACCTCTTGGTTTCTGCGGCCCTCTCCATCCATGGATTTTGCATCTCACAGGTTCAACCAACCTCAAATCAAAAACATTTGGAAAAAAACAATTAAAACTTACAATAGAATAATAAATAATACAAATTTTAAGAAAACAATACAGTGTAACAACTATTTACATAGCATTTACAATGTATTAGCTACAAGTAATCTAGAGATGATTTAAAGCATGCAGAAGGATATACATAAGCTACATGCACATACTATGCCATTTTACATAAGAGACTTGAACAATCACAGATTTTGGTATCCCTGGGGGGTCCTGAAACAAAACCCCCGTGGATATGGAAGGATGACTGTACTTCCCTCATAATCTTACCATGCCCTATCTTAAATGTCTTACTAGAATACAGCTCGTTGAGTGCAGAAGCTATTTGAATTTGTACAACCATAAAAACATTAATGATTATAATAATAGTTAACATTTGTTGAGTACTAACAATGAATATAGACTGTTCTAATTGTTTTATTGGTATCAACTTATTCTTAAGCACAGTGTCTAGCACAGAAACAATAGGTAATTTTTGGTTGATTGTTGGAAGTAATGCATCTATGCAGGAATGACATTAGTGCTAGAATGATGTCCTCAATAATTCTCAGTCCAGAGATTTTGGTAGCTTCTACTGCTGGTTATCTAATCTTCACACAGATGGAACTGGATGTGAAAGATTGTTTGCCTACCCTTTTCTTGTGGATGTTGGAATCCACAAGTTAGAGAGAGGATTATATAAACCTTACTGATGTAGATGCAACTATTATAATTTGGCTTAGAAAACTTGGAAACTCAGGAAAAGGGTCTTCTTTATAGTGACATTATGGTTTACTACAGGAGTTTTCTAGCTAAACTGAAAACATTTTATGCCTAGACAGACTAATATAGATAGTCAGCCCATACTCTAAAATTTACACCAATTTCTTCATATCTGCAAGACCTGAGGTATTAAGTGAAATTTACCAAACTCTCTTTCTGCTCACGATTCTCTTTATTTCCATGAGATTATGTATTTGCAATGCCAGGGAAGGTGCATTTTTAAAAAAGTCACATCTATAGAATAATGCTTATGTGTCATTGTACATAGAACCTTTACCAAAATACCTGGCACCATCATTTCTTTTTGTATTTAGCAAATAAAGTGGAATGAAGGAAATCATGTTGATGAAAACCAGTACACATTTAAAATGTCATTCAAGTGCCATGGTAGTTAGAATAAATATTCAGCTGAAAAAGAAAGTTTTCAAATTTTGCTGACTCAGCCTAGAGCCCAGATCAGTGGGTGAAGTGGGGTGGTCCTTGACCCCTGAAATAGTGTGCAAAAATGTGGATTTGCATGTTTATGTTTAGGAGAGTGGTTCTGAGGCTTTTACTAGGTAGTCAAAGGGGTCTGTGTCTCTCTAATGATTAAGAACCACCACCGTCAAGCTTGCCATCCAGCTTGTGAACCTCTGCAATATGGGTTAGGAGTCCGTCCTTTAAAAGCATTCGTTTCAAAGGCAAAATTTAGTAAGTTCAATAAACTGTGTGCTCAGGTGGTCCTGCTCAGGTCAAGGGTTGGTTGGCTAATCATGTGCAAGAGCATTGTCTTTGTTTACTACACTGTAACAAACTTGTCTGTTTCTCTTACTGTCCTTGCATCTTGTTTGGATTTCGTAGGTTAAAATAAAAAGGTCCTCATGAAAGGGTTTCTTTTCTAAATTGGGCTCTATTAAAAACTACCAATAATTTGGAAGCTATTAGGTAACCTTTGTTTATCGACACAAAAGGAAGCTTACCATCCCAGATTCTATGGTGATGAATAGAAACCATGCCATAAACTGGAATTGTAACTTTTCACTATGGTCATCGTTTGGATCATCATTCAGATTCATAACATTTATAGAACTTTTATTTTGAGATTTTAAATAAACACGTCTATTCTTGCTGTGAAGGTCTTTACATTTCTTTTTTCTGTTTAGGACTGTTTAGGGCTATGAATTCCCTAAAACTATACCAATGTGATTATAGAACTGAGATTCTGAGGTAAAAAAGTTGAGAAATTCATATTTGTATGTGTATTAAATAAAATAATTATTTCCAAAAGCTACATATTGTTTTAGCAGCTCAAAATCAAAGCATTCTAGTATTCACTTTTTTAAGGTAGGAAATTATTTTTTATTCTGTATTGCTCAAACACAAAGCAAATTACTGATATTTTTTATTTTACATGAAAAGGATACTCTCACAACTGAGAAGATATTAATCTAACGGCTTGTGGCCTTTTTCTAAGAATTTAACGTTCAGATTCTTGAAGAACCTTAAGTTCATTCTTTATTTTTTTTAAGATGTTTATTTCGCTTATGATATAGTTGCTTTTCATACAGTGATTTTTGTAGTTTAAAAAAATGTTTAAATATTGGGTAAAATTTGCCATTGTTGTTACTGTTAAAATAATGTTTAGAAATACTTACTGAAACTCACTCATTAAAACAGTAAATATGAAAAGCACATTATTGGATATTTAATATTTAAACATATTGAGAAATGGGTACTATAAAAGATGAAAGCGATTGATGGTAGGCCTGGACTAAACAATCTTAAAGGCAGCTTCTAGCTTTGTGATTTTAGACTTTTACCACTGGAAAAAATATGATGGCTGTGTTTCCCACCAACTGTCTAAAGCACCAACTTAAGTGTACATCAGTGTAATGCTTTTTATTTGAATAAGCAACAAGAGTTGCTTATTGATAACTTGTTACTGCCTTCTTTATGCTAACAAATTGTCCAAAGAGGCACTTGAGAAATTCAGATAAGCATCATAATCTATTCAAGGGGTTGGGTTTTGTTCAAAGATAAATAATCAAATAGAGTTAAAATAAGAAAAGAATTAGACTAATTCACATCCTGTATTTCTTTATCTGTCGTTTGACGAATATGTGCCTTCAAGATTTTAAATGTGTATTTGTATTGACTCAGTGATTTGTTGCAATAGGTTTCTGTTCCTCAGAATTTTCTTCATAATGGCCATGTTAAGCCCTTCTTAACCTGTTGCTAGCGGGTCTGTTGCATTTCAGGTTGCTTATACTATTAAAAGACCAGACCCTTATATTATACCTTGATAAATAATTTTCTCCCAGTGATTACTTATTTACCTTATTTTAGTTTTTCCTAAATCTGCTAAAAACTTAATGAGCTTTTCATTCAAGCCTGATATATTGACCCTATTTTTAGTGATGGTTTTAAACCACTTCTTTGCTTTTCTCAAGGTAACCTTGGTGATATTGTTACATTTGTTCATTATCATTTTTTATGCAGCAACTATCTCTATTGATTTGTCTGTGGCCTTTGATTCGATGAATCACAACATATTGCTATTTGAGTGTCCCTCAATTTGGCAAAGTTTAACTACAGTGGAATGGTTCTCAGGCTACATTAGTGAATAAACCCCAGTCGTTTTGTTTAATGGTGTTGAATCTGAGGTGAAAATGTTACATTCAAAGTTACCTCCGGAGCTAATTATGGGGCTTTTTACTTTTTCAGTTTTTATTAATGACCTGCCGACATCATACAGTTCATGAAATGCTCTGGATGTGTACATGCTGATGATACGACCTCAGACCCAGCAAGAGCTCAGGCAAGTGTGCAGGCATTGTGTGTTTAAACTAGAGATTCATTGAGTGATGCTCACAACACAGATACAAATTTTGCCCCAAATATACAGGCTCACAATTTTTTTTCTAACTACACAGAGCAATCCTGGATAATTTTATATTTGCCTACTTTATAAATGGAGGTAGGAGCACAACTAGCTGAAATAGATGATGAAATGATGAAATGTGTATCTGGGCTTTTATATACCATCCTATTCCCATATCAAATGTAATATAATTTTAGGTGGTAAAAACTTAACATTTCACGAGCGTGCTATTTCCCACTGAATAATTTTTTAAAAAATTGGTTGTTTATACCCATCTCTCTGAATGTAAATATGAAGGTAATGCCCCAGAATGCTCTTTTCTTAAATTTGGAAAATTACCAAGGAGGAAAATATTCTCTGCAGTAGCACAGCATTCTTTGAGACTAACTTGTCAATTACAATTTTGTATTCATCCAAGTGATAAAACACATGTAAGGCCTGAATGCTCACTGGGTATAGTCCATATCTTTAGAAGTAACTTCTCAACTCACAGAAGTCTCCCTTCACTGCCTCCTTTGTAGACGGCAGGACTCTGGACCACATTTAATATTATAAGATTCCCTGAACTTCCCTTGGACCAAAGCAGAGGAATTGAGTTTGTAGATGGAAACAGAAGAACAAACCAAGTTTGAATGGATGACCTTTGCGGCTGGGTTTTCAGTATGTCTTGGGTCAGAGGCAGCCAGACATTCTGTTCTGAGAGCTCTTCAGATGCTCATAATGAACCTCTCTTGTCTGTAGAAGTTGTGCATGTACTAATGACATAGAGATGTGAGGGACAGTTTCTGTACTCAAGGAGCTTATATTCCCATGTCAATAGTAGTTAAAGGAATATGTTTTGAGCAAGGCTGCCTGGTTTCAATTTCTGGTTCTGCCACCTGGCAGAGTAACATTGGGCCAGTGGCTTATCCTTTTTGGCTTCAGTTTCCTCATCACTAATATACATTTCATAATCATACCTCCCTCATGGAGTTTTTGAGGGTCCAATTTGATAATACATGTAGGGGGCTTACAAAAGTGACACACATTGAAAGTACTGAATAAGTGTTTAGCCATGATTATTATTAAAGAAATAAGCATTCTACAATAAGGTAAGTGCCACAGAAGTAGAAACGAAACACTCTGAGAGCACACGATGAGAATCAATTATATCTTAAGGAAATGATGTTGGCTGGAAGAGAACTTCATAGAAGAGATGAAATTGTAAAATACTAATAGCCATTCTTTATTGCACAGTTGCTACGTTATAGGCACTGGACTGAGCACCTCAAAGACTGATTTAGTTCTCACAACAATGCTCTGTTTAATGTTTCTCCTTTTACAGAGGACACAGAGGCTCAGGAAGACTGAGTAATTTGCCACAGGTCCTAAAGCCGGGAGGTGGTAGAGCTGGGATGCAGCTGGAGTCAGTTCTAGATTCACACCTAGGTTTAAGTGCACTGATGCTCATGCTCCTAACAACTATATAACAGTTCCTTTTCCCTTAAGCTTATCTTCAAAGGATGCATGTGAGTTTGCTGGTTGAAGAAGGGTGCTAGGCGGAGAATAATTTGACACGGTGGGGAAAATATGTGCAAAAGTAACAAAGGTGTGAAAATAGGCAACAAGAGTTTGGGGATGACATGGTAAAAGGCCATTTAGGTCATGCTAAAAAGCTTGGATTCCGGCTTGGGAATAGTGGAGAGCCAATCAGATGTGCATGTGAGAGAAGAATCAGAGTGGGCATTGGTTCTGGATGGATTGGAGGGCCATGACATTTGGAGGTGGGAAGCCTTTAGAAAGAGGTTTATTATATCAGTCTGGGCAAGAAATAGTGAGAGCTTGAAGTTAGGAAGTGAGGGGAGAATTAGAGTAGCAACAACCGATTTGAGAGGCTTTTCAGTAGCCGATTGAACAAGGTTTGACACCTGATGGCATCAGTGAGGGAGAGGTAGGCTGAGGCTGACTCAGGTCTCAGGCCCCGTGGCTAGTGGTTGAAATGAATGGAGATGGTAAATAGAAGCAGCTTACATAAAATCCATTTAAGGATTTGTTAGGTAAAATCAGTGTTAAGAAATAGCAAAATTTCTAAAGGAGGTGTTGAGGATATGAGGGGGTGTTTTCAGAGAAGATTTACATTTGACAATGCAAACTTCTATTGTCTGTAAGAAGAGCAAAGGAGAAACTAAAGGTACCAGCACCTTGGAAATTTTCCAATTGCCATTACAGGCTCTTAGAGGGTCAGCGGAAATGGCAAGTACGCACAACTTTCAATTACAGTAAAAGCTCACTGATTTGGATTAATTGGGGTAAAGGGCAGCCTGACTAAATAAAAGTCTGATTTATAGAAAAAATTTAAATAAATTCAGTTTGATTATTTTTAAGTATTTTAAGCTAACTCTGTTTTTATTTAAAATGTCAAATTGCCAAGGATGATTTGTGAATAAGATAAAAAAGACCCAATATAAAGGGCAATTATATTAATTAATTAATTAGATAAATATTTAGTGCCCATCATATGCCAGGCAATAGTGACCATAAATGATGCCTCTAAGTGTCACAATCACTTTATGTTTAAAAATAACCATTTTCCTTTTTTCTTGCAGATCCAAATCTTTAAAAGGCATACATATCTGAAAAATTGGTCTCAAAATGAGTTGCCTTGTAAGCCTTTTCTTGTTTTCTAAAAAGGAGAAAGTTCTCCACTTAGATAATCACAATTCGTGAAAGAGAACTTAAGGAGGTTTTCCTGTACCAGAGACTCCTATGGGTCTCTATGCTTCTATTTTTACAACTTTTCAGTCCATCTTCCTGTAGTGGGCATTGTTTCTAAAAGGCAAAACTGACCCTGTTGATTCCAGGTTTCAGCTCCTCCCATTTTGGGTATTATCTACAGGATAAAATCCAAGCAAGTTCTTTGGCATAGAATTCAAGGCTGGTCACATCACAATTCTTATCTCTCTCTATGTAATGAACTCAAAATTTCCACCTGCCTTGCTTCTCACACCCCGCTGCTCCTTGTGTCTGTATTTTTGCATATGCTGTTCCATCTGTTTAGCAGTCCCTTCCTATTTTGTCTTTGAACTTATATTCATTCTTCAAAACCTTGCTTAGGAGGTACTTCCTGTTTTCTTTCCCTTCTAGACAGAATGACTCATTCCTTTGTCTGTTTCACTTCTGTGATTCTAATATTGCTTGTATCACATGGACATTTGTTTATTTGTTTAAATGTGTCTCTCCCTCACTAGACTACAGATTCCTTGAGGTCAAGGGCCTTGTGGCATTTAACTTTGTCTCTATGTACCAAGCACAGCACCAAACACAAGATAGACACTAATAAGTTAATTACCGAATTGAATTGAGCAGAGTGTTCTTAACTACTGTGGGCGCTATCAAAGTTGCTAGCTTTGCCCTTTCATCCTGCCCACTTGCATTCAATTTACTCTTACCATAACAAAATACTGGTCGGCATGGGTGGAAGTAGGGGTAACTGGTTGTGATTGTTAATTTTAGGTGTCCACTTGACTGGGTTAAGGGGTACTTAGCTGGTAAAACATTTCTGTGAGGGGTGGGTAGCATTTTTAGAGATTAGCATTTGAATCAGTAGACTCAGTAAAAATGATCCATTCTCACTCATGTAGGCAAGCATCATCCAATATGTTGAGAGCCCAGATTGAACAAAAATGAGAAGGAAGGGGGAATTTGCTTTCTCTTTTTGAGATGTAGGGCATCCTTTTTCTCCTACCCTTGGAGATAAGAACTCCAGGTTCTTGGGCCTTCAGACTCCAGTGGTCCTACAGGTTCTCAGGCCTTTGGACTCAGATGAATTACATCACTGGCTTCCCTGGTTCTCAGCTTGCAGGTAGCATATTGTGGGACTTCTCGGTCTCTATGATTACGAGTCAATTCCTATAATAAAAACCCTCTTTACCTATCTATCTGTCTTTCTGCCAATCTGTTTGTCTATCCTATTGGTTCTATTTCACTAGAGAACTCTAATATGGGTAAAATTTAAAATCAGATAATGTTATTTCTTGCTATAATTTTGGGTTGAAAGGGTACTTTACTATGATGCATATGTATTTTCTTGCCTTTAGATTTATCTGTACATTCCTTTCCCAGTTCTTCAACCCACTCCCATCATATCTTCTTTCTATCACTGCCTCTCTATCACTTTCTGTCTAGGTTCAAAGTCAAGTCCATAATTAGATCAGAACTTTATGTCTCGATTTAGTGATGTGTCATCAGAAGCTCAGAATATTTCACATTTTGGGGTTAGGCACATTTAAGTGCTATCATTCACCTCCATAAATTCATGCTACATTTAATCTTCTGACTATTAGCTTTCTCCACCGTCCAACCCTCCCAGCAATTCTGCCTTAGGGCACCTAAGAGTAAGTGATTGCTATGACAAGAAGATAAGTAATTAATTAGATTGATGTTCAAAGAGTCCCCCGCAAGTTGTCAATACCCATATTTATATCATAATGCTACAATTTTGGCAGAATTATTTCCTTTTTATGAAAATCTGATGAAGCAATTTTCAGATTTCCTGACATGAATCAAAAATTTGAAAAATACAGATATAGACCCATACTCCTGTTAACTTTCCTCCACTTTGAGTAATTTTACACTTTGGGATTTTAAGTTGGGAAAGAATAATAATCAAATATGGTTAAGAATGGGTTTTCAAACAAACTTGCTAGTCTGTTTTTGAAAAGTCAAGGCATTCTAATATAACTTCACTTATTAAAACAGTTTAGTAAGAGAGTCTAAATAAGTATTTTTAATCCTTGCTGGATTATAGCAAAATACAGAGGAAATGGTAAAAAGATTTTTCTTAATTTCTATAAAAAGTAATTTAGTAATTGGAGATGCTTCTAAAGTGCTACAGAATGTAGTATGTGTGAGGCTTTAAGTACTCTCTCTCTCTCTCTCTCACACACACACACACACAAATAGTATTACAAGAAACAATAAACACAGAATCATTCCTAAAACTACCCAGAGAGAAAATGAGTAGTGAAATTTATACTAGGTGATTGTTTTAAAATTATCCAATGAACATAAAGTCCATACCACATTTTTATATATCCAGATGTTCTAGAGGTTGATGTTTAGGATGTTGCATATAATTAGAAGTTTAGATGTCTATGGAACCCTGATAGTGTTTTTCCTGGGTGAACTAATTTTGTTATCCATAGTAAGTTGGAGAAAATAACAAAACAAAATGATAGGTGTTTTATCAGCATTATTGTTCAGAAATGCTGATTCTTTTACTTGAAACCCGTATTGTTAAACTTTCCATTTTATGTCACTGAAAAAGGCAGATTTAATACTAACAAAAAGCTATTGTGAAAAGGCTTCCCCGGGTCCTTGACTACTGCATGAAAAAAGTTAATCAATAAAGGAAGCCTATCACAGAGGATCATAAGTTCTACAACTGATGATCCCAGGACTGTAATTGGCCTTCTTGTTTGTATTATTACTCATCAAAGCTGGATAATTACTAACACCAGCAGAAGACAGCCCCTCACTGCCCTTTGTGTAAAGGAAACTTCAGCTGGCATATCCCTTAATGATAGTCTTTGAAATCTTATCGATGAGCGTATTCAATTCTACTTTTCAATTGTGTGGATAATATAGTATTTTAGCATTTTGGAAGTGCAAAATTCATGAAATCATGTCTGTCCAGTATCCAGATAAAGTCACTCTGTGCCACCTGGTGAATGTCCATTTAAGAACAAGCAACAAGTTCAGGTTCTGTTCACCTCCACTTCTGGAACTAGGGCCTCTTGATAATCTTTGGCGATACTTTTAAGTGTGGGGCTTTGTTGAAGGCAAACCTGAAGGGAGACTGTGAGTAGCTTCCTTGGGATATCTGCTCTGATTTTATGATCCTAGTTCAGTTGAACACAAATACATTAAGTATCAAGAAACTGCACTTGCTCCAAGAAGGTGATGGCGGTGGTAATAGTTTGGATAACCCCTCATAATCATATCATGATATCTAAAATAAATGAAGTGAACATTTTTACACCATTATACCCTACAATACAATTCAATAAACATTATTAAATGCCTCTTGTATGAAAGGTCCAGGGATAGAAAGTCACCTTTACAAAATAAATGATTATAAACATTCTAATTATAAGAGTTCACTTTCCAAAAGCTCTGTACCATTCATTGTCCCTGTGGATCAACCTTTTATCAATTTCTCAATGCTAGTGCTTGGATTACTTAGCTTTAAGTCATAAGTTTACTGCAGCCATTCATTCATTCATTCAACACATTTGTTGGGTGGTTGGGATGTGTAGGCATTATACTAGTTGCTGCAACTGAAGAACTCCTGGGGTTCTTGACTATGTTAACTGCCTTCCTTAGCCCTAGACGGATCCTTTTTCCTGACTTATACCACAGGCTTGAATCCTGACTCCTCCCCTATTGATTCAAGCTGTGATATAATTCTTGACTGGGTGAATTATTTTACTCTGCCTGGTCTGCTGCTTGTGGCTCCTATCATCAACTCCTGGCCTTAAACCCTGATATCTGGGCTTAACTCCTGCCTTACTGGTCTCTGCCCCAGGACCTAGCTCTGGGTTCTTGGGCTTATCTTTGATTTGTGTATGGCTATTATTACTAGAGTTCTGCTGTTGCTCTCACAGATAATTTAGGGGGTCTATGCCAGTGTAACAGTGTTTCTACTGATGGCTCCAGGTCAGCATATTCTCTCAGCAAAAGAGTGTATCTGCTATCTACTCCCACAATATGCACTGTAACGAGCAACCATAACACACAACCCAGTATAAAACAGTAAGCATTTACTTAGCTCATGAGTCTTTGGGTGGAGAGGAGAGTTGCATTCTGGCTCACAAGTCACATACAAGGCAGGTTTATTGATTCTGCTGGGCTTTCTCACATGTCTGGGGCCTAGGCTTGGACGACTGGACTGAGTCAGCCTTTTTCTTTACAGTCTCTCATCTGCAAGCAGGTCAGCTGGGTTTATGTTCATGGCAGTACCAGGCTTCTAAGAAAGAGAGAAGGCAAGCAAGGATACTTGAGGCCTAGGCTCTGTACTATGACAGTGTCAGTTTCACTGACCCTTTTTGTCAAAATAAGTCACAAGGGCAGCCCAGATGCAAGGAGAGGGGAAGTAGCTACAAAAAAGTTGAAGAGTGTAGCTGCAAAGTCACAATTAGGAGTCTGGAAAACTGGGGCAACATTTGCAATCAGTCTTCCATAGTGAATTGGTTTCCAACCATTAAACATTGTGTTTCTCGACAGTCTTTAGCTTGGACTTGGGTAGGAGTGGGGATGTGAGCCTGAAGTATGGCAGAGAGAAGGGAGACTGATATGGGTTTGGCTATGTGTCCCACCCAAATCTCATCTTGAATAGTAGCTCCCATAATTCCCATGTGTTGTGGGAGGGACCTGGTGGGAGATAATTGGATCATGGGGGTGGTTTCCCCCATACTGTTCTCGTGGTAGTGAATAAGTCTCATGAGATCTGATGGTTTTATAAGGGGTCTCCCCTTTTGCTTGGCTTTCATTCTCTCTTGTCTGCCACCATGTAAGATGTGCTTTTTGCCTTCTGCCATGATTATGAGGCCTCCCTAGCCATGTGGAACTGTGAGTCCATTAAACTTCTTTTTATTTATAAATTACTCAGTCTTGGTTATCTCTTTATCAGCAGCATGAAAACGGACTAATACAGAGACTAACATGATATTTTTCCATCACCCTATAGTGCAGCCCGGAGAGCTGTGAGCAGTGCCACAGGAGGAGATGACTGGTGAGTGAAATAAGCAAGATAGGAGTTGAAGTGTACATGAAGCAGAGTCCAAGCCTTCTCCTTCTGGATGTTCAGCTGGATCATCCTGACTGCTCCCACTTTCATCTTGGCTTTCAAAGGCAAGAGGAAATTATAAGGAATATTCTGAGTGGCTTTCATCCAGGAGTTCTGTGGGACCCGCAACACCTGGATGGTAGATGCAAACAGATAAAGAATATTGGTCACCAAAAGGAGTTCTTTTCATCATAGATCTCTGAAGGTAGACACCTATTTGCAGACTTCTCAAAGGTATGTAGCATGTGGTGGTAGTGATGGTAGGATGTTTCCAATGCAGGCTATTTCACAAATTTAAAGGTATTGTTGCTTCTTGTTTAAGATGCACACCTATTTGATTTGCCTTCAAAAATAAAATGCTTTTTTATTCTGTTGTTTCATCCTTTTAGTTACCCATACTCACTGACTTGAAAACATAGTGGGCCAAACAATATTTTCTTTTTCTAATATTTTTTAGAGACAAAATTTATCTCCAGGGAAGCATTAATACAGAAAGGTTTTGCTGAGAAGCAACATATATTTGCTCAGGTTCTTGAAGTATTATTGTTGAGTGCTGTGCACTTGTACCACATGCTTTTTAGGATAAATGAGCTTGGACTGGCTTGGCTTAGCAGTATTTTTTGGGGTGAGTTTACAATGGGTATACTCCATGTGTCCAATTCACTCTATTTAAGTATAATTTATTTCTGTTTCTTTGTAGTTTATTTATATCTGAATGCTTACTTTAACATTTGGTTAGCGTTTTATTTACTCATAAGAATGCATTAGCTACAAAGGACAATCCCTCTCTTGTCATCAGACAATTACATTTAATTATCCGTATGTGAGTAAGATGTATAAAATGATGGCATCTCAGAGTCTCCAGAGACCAGCGTCATTATTTCTCAGCTCTACTGATGCAAAAGAGATGACAGTTTATTTTCCAACTTTATGTCTTTTTCTCCTCTATGCTGGATAATCCTCAGAAACACCTGTGACTTTTATTCAACTTTTTGACTAACAATTGTCATGGTGTCTAACACGTTTTAAGCATTGTTTGACAAAACACTTCCTGGCAATGAGTTGACAATAGGTCCTTTCTTCACTTTCTTGGCTCTTTCTCCCACCTCCGACACAGCACTGCCCCCAGGTGGGAGAAGGAAGGTGAAGCCTAGAAAAAGATATCACCTCATGTGACCCTATGGAACACGTCGTATTTCTGGCTGAAGAAGCTGAAGATGAAAGATGCAAAGGCATGAAAGTGAATGACATAGTCTAAGGAAAAAGCAAGAAGTTCTGTTTGGCTAAAACACAGAATTATGGAGATAAGCCAGCATAGAGAGGGTGGATCTATGACAATCCTCTAGGATGTGAGGAGCCTTTGAAGATTGTTTAACAGAGAGTTTCAATATCTAGTGGCATTGAGGAAGAAAAAGTTAAGAGAAGAGCATTAAAGATCAGGGTGATAGTTAAAAAAAATCTGTTGCAAGAGATAGACAAGACAGGACTAAAGCAGTTACAAAGACGGGGCTTTATTTTGTTTTTCTTGTGAGACATTTTAGAGATTGTGTTGACAGAATTGGATGTTAAGGGTAAATGAGAGAGGAAGAATTAGATAATGATGTTAAATCTGACTGGGAAATGACAATGTTACTAATGGCGCTGCTAGAAATAGGAAAAGATATGAGTTCAGTTTTAGGTGTACTAAATATGATGCAGGAAATCAAAGTTGAGGTAGTCAATTAACTGAGAGAAGTTGCATCCTGTGTTCAGGAGAGAATTTGGGGGTAAGAGTTATAGATTTAGGAGTCATTGACATATGTGAGACTAGCTGAAGACATGAAATGAGTTAGATTGCCCAGGAAGGAGGTGTGGACTGAGAAAATAAGCATGGCAAGGATGGGAACAAACATCAAAATAGGTGGGACAAAGAAGAGAAATCAACCAAAGGAAGAGGAGAAGACAAAACAAAAGATTTTAAAGACAATTTCTGATGAAAACTTCTGCAAATTGTTTCTTTGATTTAATCTTAAAACAATATTGTATTAATAAGTACTATTATACTTATAGTACAGAATCCAAATACTTATTTGGATATATTTGCTTGCATATACAGAAGGATGGAAGCTGGGGATGGAAAAACCAGTATTGATTATTCTCCTATTTTAAAGAGATATACCCTTCTGATCATATGGGCAAAATCCTTCCATGTGTCCAAGACCCTAATTAAAGCTAGTTTCAAGGCTCAGAGGTAGACTTCCTTGTGTTATTTGTCTCTATTTTTTTTTGTCTTCAGGCACAATTAGTTTTAATCAAATTTGGTAATTATTTATTTTTTTAGATATGTAAATGTAGTATTATCAAACAGGCCAGGCACGGTGGCTCACACTTGTATTCTCAGAACTTAGGGAGGCCAAGACAGGAGGATTGCTTGAGCCCAGGAATTTGAAACCAGCCTGGGCAACATGGCAAAAACCCGTCTCTACAAAAAAATACAAAAATTAGACAAGGGTGGTGGTGCACACCTGTAGTCCCAGCTACTTGGGAGGCTGAGGCGGGAGGATCACCTGAGTCAGAGAGGTCAAGGCTGCAGTCAGCCATGTTTGCACTACTGTACTCCAGCCTGGGTGACAGAGTGAAACCCTGTATCAAAAAAAAAAAAAAAATTAAATAGCACAGGAGTATTTTTTCTAAGTGAATGTTTTACTCCCTCAACTCAATTGTTTAGTCTTATTTCCCAGGAGCCCAGTGTTTGTATTTCTTCTGTATTCTCCCAGAAATATCTGTTTTCATAATTTTTACATACACATACATGTATATGCAAGAAATTCTCAAAGATCTGCACACCTGCACAATACTTCAACAACCTTAATGTTGAATTCTTTCCAAGTGTGTGCAAACCGTATTTACTGGACTTCTCTAATTCTAAATATGAAAGAGCTGGGAAGTTCCTTCTTATAATCTATGGATGTAGAGTGACCTCTTTGTAGATCGTCTTTGGCAGAAGCCCAATGTTTTTTTGCTCATATCTACTTATTTTTCAATTACCATCAGCCCATATTTTTGTGTTATTTAATGCTCCTTTTTGCATATTCAGGGCTATATGGATGTGCTCTACTTGTTGGAGGATTGTCCATCCACTCTTCTTCCTGTACTTACCAGGACAGAACAGCCGCAACTTCTCAGACAGTTCATTCTTCTTTTCCTCACCTACTACCATCTAAGAAAGGTAAGATTGAGTATAGAGAATTTTTTCACCAGTGAGATGCAATATGAGATCCATTAGAAAGCAGAAGAATGGATCAATGGTTTAAAAGTTTTAAGAATAAATTATTTCCCTACTCTTGGGGAATCTTGAAGAAAACTCGTTACAGTGCTTGAGACTCTAGATACCAACAAGTGGTCACTTTTTCCTTCTTATGGGAACGGATGCAGCTAATAAAGTGTGATGACTTCCTTTTTATAATGCAAGTCTTGTTTTTGTCACCCCTTTTTGCATATCTATTCTGGGGAAGAATAAATAATATCTGTAAATCCCTTTAAAGAAATTGTGATTGTTTGCTTGCACTTTTGATATATATAGCTCATGAAATAGGTTGTCTTTTTATATTTCAAATAAGGTAAAAGACTGAATTTGGACTTTATCATGGGCCCAAAAGTTCTGTTCATGATAATAAAGATCCAAAATGCTGACTTGCTTTTCTTAAACAGGTACTTGATGACTGTGGCTTTAGACAAGAGTCCTTTTCTTACCACAGGGTGGGCAGCACCAGCTCATTAGAACCATTTGTGTGACTGACTGAAGACAGCTCACCTTGGAACACTGCAGGTAATACGTGGGTAGACCTTGGGCTCAGCATATCATAGAGATTCCTATCATGAAGAACAGACGGCCCAAGATGCCTCACATGTTATCAGAGTTCCCCAAATCTTGTTAACATTTAGATGTCTAGAGTAATTTTTTTTGTTGAGTTCCCTAAAGTAGACAAGATTTTCTTCATGTTTATCTCCTACTCTATAAGTACATAGCACGATGGCTTACTCTGAGGCTCACAAAGTGTTTGCAACAGTGAATTAAATGTTGAATGTGGGGCATTTACAATTCTGATTGCTTTCTTAGTCAATTTAAGATCGATGTGGCGATATATAAGTTGCACTGCCAATTTGTCCTCAGTTTTCTCATCAGTGATGCAGGATGAATAGTACCTTTCCTTATAGAGTCATGAGTAATACTGGAATAGTTTGTTGAAGTGTTGTTAAATATACTAAGATTCCAATGAAATGTCTATGATATAAGTAGTTCCTTAGTTGCATATTGATGTTTCTCATAGACAGTCATTGTTTATTGTTTGTTTGAAAGTGGTTTGAAAATAATAGAGACTATCTTAAACCAGTGTACCATTTGATTTCTTTGTAGCAAAAATGTTTACTTGCTATGCTTCCGCTTTGCACTATAGTGAATGTGGTAGCTTCTGGAAACTGCCCTGGAAAGTTAGGTGACACAATGAATTATTTTTGGAATGGTAATTTAAGTCACTAACATCATTACTTCTCATTTTCTTCATGCTTTTGGACACCATTGGAGGTGGGGAAGGAGTACATTACTGTAATGTGGGGGTCATATAATATGAAATAACTGAATTCGTAACTCTTCTACCTACTTGGCAGAAAAATCAATGGGCTGCATTTTATCATTGCACATGGGGACAGTTATGTAGTGCTCTATAGATTATAAACATTTGGTGGGACTCTAGGAAAAGCTAGAGAGGAATATCTAGATAAAAATTAATGACAAGTATACTTAGAATGTCCTGGAACAGTAAAGAATAAGAATTTCTTTTATGTCAGTGACCTAACATCTTCACTTGCCATGTCAAACCTTTTCATTTGTTTTAATCAGTGCTGACAGTGGCCTTCACTACATTACTTGAATCACATTTTTCCACAATGTAAATGCTTCAATTTATAGTCTTTTTTGTATTAAGAACAAATAGGGCAGCCTTAAAAATCATACAGTCATAGGTGTTTGATTCATTTCTTAATTTTGTTGTTGAATTGTTTTGTGGCACTTAGGTTTAGGATCTGTCTTTCCTTGAGGAAAGGACTGTGCATCCTTCATCTTTGTATCTAAGTGTCCTACACTGCACCTTGCACATTATAGACCCTCAATATTTGCTGACTAAATGCTGGACTGACTGAGTATTCTTAGTGTCTTGAAAGATTTCATGCACAAAGAACGCTTGACTTTTTCCTCAGAGATTACTAGCTCATTCATTCCATCTTACGTTATGATCATTTTGCAGATAAGTAAACTGAGACTCACTAGTAATTTGCCACAGACTTTGTAATTATACCAGGGATCAATGTTCCTAGCTATAGTGAAAAAATTCATAAATTTAAAGAGGAAACACTATGTGTACCAAAATATAGGCTGTGATAAAAAAGAGAGGAATACTGTTCACCATTTCTGATCTTGACAGAGAGGTTAGGTTTAAATCTCAGAACTAACTTCATTTTTACAGTTATTTATCATTCATTGAAAGAAGTTGCTTCGAGTTGTCATGGCATTTGGTCGTAAAGAATTAGTCCATCAGCTTTAGCTTATTAGTGCTCTCGGAAAAAAAAATGAGCCTTGTCTTTCTTTGAATTTGTAATGCATGCATTTGTAGGACGTAAAGCTTTCCCTAGGTGCTGGCACAACAACGTACATTTTACTGAGCTGACTTACAACGTGGTCTGGTCTCTAAGAGATTGCAGCAACAAACGAAGGCATAAGTAAAATGGGAGAGCTCTGTGCTGTGCATGGTCCATCAACATTAATGAGCATTATAAATGTTCTACGAATGAAGTACAAAATGGACCTCTGAAGTTGTTTTTATTGGTATTTATTAATGGGACAATCAATCAGTTCTGTGGCACTTATAAACACGTTGAACAGATAAGGTTCCTGCCCTGAGAAGCTTAGAGTCTAATTCAAAGTTATGACAGCTATCATAATACATTTTAGTGAGCTGGGTTACTCTCCAAAGCATCATGACACCCATAGGACAGTGGAATATGGTCCTGGTCATTGATGAGCTGGATTCATTGCTTTAGCCAAATAATATTTCAGAACCATCCCAAACACTGCTGCTCTCACCAATGGGGGTGATTATGTAGGTACTGATCACTCACGTTAAGGGAGAGGATAAAGAACTAAGACAGAATTTTGGAAAATAGAAGTAAGCAAATAAAAAAGCACACAGAGAACTTCCAATTGCCATACTGACTCTATAAAAGCCTCCAATCTGGCATTAATCATTTCAGTCACTTATAAGCAGGTTTGTGTCTCCCTTTTCATAAGCGTCTCGCCCTGCTATAAATGACATTCTGTTTTATGAAAGTATAATGTGAAAATCTACTGATAAGCCAAATAATAAAAACTTTATAGCATGTCAGGGCTTTTTTATTATTATTATTTAACCTCAATCAAGTTATAATACTGAACACATGTATTCTTGGCCTAAATCACCTTGTCAAGTTTAACTGTATATTCAGCTTCATTTACGTGACATACGATCTAATATTGGAGAACAACAATACCATTGTAGTGTTAATTGAAAACTCCAAACTGAGAGCCAGAAGAAACCACTGGTCTGATTGCTGAGGGTCCCAGGGAAGGGGATCTATTCCCACACCTGCAGTTGGTCCATAACACTAACATTGTTACCAACATCTGGGTCTAATCAGTCCAGAAGCCCTCATATGCTGCTCCTGGGGCACATAAATTAAGCATTACATTCATTTTAAAAGCCCCCTCTTTCAGTTTTTTAAGGACAAGATAGATTCATGGCTCCACAGAGTCTAACAAAGTAGAAACCACAAACAGAGTAAGCTACTACCACAGGCCTCGTGGACTTGACTTACCAACTCTTTGCCACTTAAATAATGGAATTTTATGTTCAGCCCTGGCTATCAAAAATGTGTTTCCACCGAAAGTGAAGTTTGACTGAAAAGCTGCATTAAAAATAAAAGCAAATCCTCAGAAAGTGAGCCAATTTGTATAAATCAGACTTTATGTAAGGATATGAGATAATATCTAACAGAGAAATATAAGCTTAGGAGTCATAATTTGCCTCATTCACTTCATAACTGGAAGGCCTCTTAGAACTGACTCTTCATAGTGTACTTTAAGAAGGTTTGCATCCAAAGGGACTATTCAGAATGAAAGTTAAAAAGTTTTAGATCTTTCAGTGGGACTTTGGATGGCTGGTTTCTGAGGATAAAGGGTCTGCTTGACCTGGTAATTATTTTCTGCAACTGCTCTGCAAAGTGTAGCTGTTAGAATAAGTTCTGCTGCCACTCAACATGAGTGAAAACTAAATACCCTCTTATGTTTTATGCAGATGCCCTAGGTAACCAAAGAGTTCTAAAAGAGAAAGTAGCCTGTACAATTTTTGCAGCAACGCTTATTAAAGATATAAATACAAAAGAAAACAAAATAACAGAAAAAAAAAAAACCATTGACAGTTTTGCAAACTACTTGCTTATGTGTTTGAGACCAATTTGTTGTAGGGGAGAATTTTTAACTTGTTTGGTTTTGGTTATTTTCTCTCTTTCTCTGTTTCTTCTTCTGTTATATTACAAGAAAAAAGAATTGCCTGTGTAGCTCAAGAGGCTGGGAAGTTAGGAAAATAATTCTGTGGGTTGATAAAGTTTGTGCTAGTTGGATAACTGTTTTATTTATTTGTTGGCTCCGATATGGCAGCTGGCCTTCAAGGATTTCATGTGCACTGGATAAATTACCTATCTAATGAGCATCTCTGAATGGTCTAACATTGGAAGATAGTAAATGAATGAGATTAATGATCACCAAATAGAAGTGGGAAGAGGGAAGACATTGTTCCTTGGATTTATATCCAAAAATAGGATAGGCATTTTTTTCCCTTAATATTATAGAGAACATTTGGTGATATGGTTGGTACTTCATCTCACCCAGGTACTTCATCATTGGCTCAAATTATTTTATCTAGTCATAGTCTGCATATGAATAGGCATTACCTATAGCCTTATGAATAAAAAAAAAAAACCTAACTGGTATGTTTATGTTTAAAAATGCAGTGGTTCATAAGGAAATAGCATTTTGCATAATAGATTTCCAGAATTCTTGGGTAGAGCACAGATAAGAAAATTGATGATCCCCAAAGGTACTGCACAGTTCAGGATATGATATTCATAAAAATGGCCTGATTCACGAAGAAAGATTCAAATAATATTCAAACTACCATTTTTTTTTTTTAAAAACAGGATATACTTTTACATTTAAAAAAATGCTCCTTACTCCACCGCCCCCAAAATCAGTTTCAAAGTCAATGTTTCAATTATCTGAAGAATGCAGGGATATAAGGATGGGTAGTTCAACAAAGCCAGGTACATAAGTAAAACCTGTATAGACATTTGGATTTGTCATTAGAGTGCAAGGAATAATGGAGCAAGAAGAACAGAGCATATTCTATGTGCCAGAAACTGAAGTAGGCATTTTGTGGTAGGACTCATGGCTAAGGCCATTCTCTTCTTCTAAACTAGCTAGTTCACTAGCCTGTTTCTTACAATGCAGCTGTTTTGTGGAAATATTTATGTTATTAGTCTTTGATTTGGGTTAGAGAAGTTGGAGGTGTTCTCACATTCAATGTGTTGTGAATAATATATTGCACTCACATTCTACTTTTTGTGATTTATATTTTGAAGATAGCTTAAAGCTAGTTCAAGGCTACCACATCTGTTTGAAGAATAATGCACAATTTATAAAGGTATAGGGTTTCTTTCACTTGTTTAATGAGAAGTGATAGGCACAGTATGAGGCTGGGTGAATTCCCACAAGACAGACTAAAAAAGTGTTGACAATTTTCCATTTCCCAAATAATGCATGTGGTAAAACCCCACAGTATATCCGTTTAAAAGCATCTCAATATTCAGTTTAAATGTGTTTTCAATACCTTGTTCCAGTAAGATTAGTTTTGTAATTCCAAATACTTTCAGGAAGTGAGTATGCAATTTGCTAACAGACCATTCGATGTAGACTTGAAACGCAACCTAAGTTATCAAATTTTAGTTTGTTACCTTGAGAAGTTGTAGAATACCCACAGTTGTCCAAAATCTGGATTTGTATCCATTTCTAGTGCTCCATGGTGGGGGAACCACGGGGTTATATAAAGAAAAATTTGAGAGCTACTGCACCCTTAATATCAGGGCAATCTACGTTTCCCCAGACAAAAATGAGGTTGGGTCACGAAAGGATCACAGTAACAAGGTTCAAAAGAACAATCCTCTAAATCAGCCACAACTTGAATAATTGCTGACTCCTCATATTCTTCCCAAATATTATTAATAGATTCCATTAACTGAGTCTATTACACACCAAGTGCATGGTAGGTGGTCTATATGCATTATCTTATTTAATTACCATAACAGAAAGACAAAGAGAATTAAACAACTGCAGCCCATAGAGACTAAGCAACATGCCCAAAGCCACACAACTAACAGGATTACCTGATACTTTACATAGTTCTTTTATAGGATTTGTCACAATTTGTATTTATGTATTGACATAATTATTGATTAGTGGCTCTCTCCTATCTTGTAAGGGCAGGGACTGTATCAATTTTACACCTAGAGCCTGGAACAGTGCCTAGCACATTATAGGTGCTTATTCATTTATTGTCCTTATCATTTGCCTATAGCTGCCTCCAATCCAAGTGGCCATGGTAATATACGCCCATATTTTTCTGCTCCCATGACTTCGATGGTAACATTAAAGAAGGAAATGTGGACTTTTGAGTTTCCCGTGACTCTTCTTATATCTTAAGTGGAGTTTTTGTTACGGCTTTTTTATTTTATTTTAGCCATCTCCCTACCGCAGGCCTCTCCACAGGCACAGTCTCCAGTGAGGAAAGTGAAACTATGGGACGATGTTAGTAGGACCTGCCTTGGTAGACTTCAATATTACCCTTTCCTTATGATCTCAATGGACCAAACTTGACCTCTTCAACTCTTTCTGCCGTTAGAAAGGAAAATCTTTCTCATATGCCTCTGAGGTTTCTTGCATATTAGGCCTCTGTTGGACCTCAGACTTTGTGAGCTGCAGGGTACTCAAGGTTACGCTCTTAAGCAGGGGCTCCTGCTATGCTTGAGTTTGCGTTGTTTTTAGAGGGCTTTCCAATCTGCAATAAGACAGAATTTGTGAACCGGTGCCCCCACTCACAAAACACATTGCCTCCAAGTGCTTCTAAGAAAAATGTGACCTAGCCAAGGATTAACAGAAAATGAGAAGTTGGAAGAGTTGATGTTAAAATGGAAGAGTAATATACTTGACATTAGGGCTCTGCCAAAAATGTTGTACTTTTATTGCCAGTTTTGGACTAACCCGATAGACACTGAGGTCACTCTGGTCTTCTTTCACGTTCTTTGTCATGGGGTTCTTTCCAGCTTGAGAAACTTGATGCAGGGTGTTTCCTCTGCTTGGGCTGTCCACTACACCTCCCGTTTCCATGTTGCCACATTCCCTTTCCTCCACTGGGTTTCAGCCTGAATATCACTTCACCAGAGAAGCGATGAGGAACATTAGGAAACCTTCACTTGGCCCCTGTAATTCTTTCTTAGCACCCTGTATATTTCCTTCACAGCACTTGCCACAATTTGTGCCTTTATATTGTTTTATTTATTTATTGATGTAATATCTATCTCCTTTCCTCCAACCTACTTGAAGGCAGGACCATATCTGTCTTAATCAAGGCTTCTTCTAACACCAAGAGCTCTGGCAAGATTAGAAAATGTGCCCACTGATGTCCCACCGACTGAGCATATTTTGCAGGGCACAATCTGTTTCCCCAGATCTTACGACAGGTCTTGACACCTAAGAGCAATATCTTATTTGTTGAATGAAATCATAAAATATAATCGTCTTCTCTTCTGAGATACTTTTCTTTCTGCCAATTTGGATTACATAGTTCCCCCAGGTCTCAAGGCCTCAGTGATCTTTTGCCTTAAGAAACTCTCAGAAATGACATTTGGGAATTACTTGGATATTAGGTACCTATGCTATTCTTCTGTTGTATGTCCTTTAAATAGCTTTTTGTCTTTTTCCCAAATTATATGATTATTTGTATATGTCCAAAAAATTAAAGCTTAGAGCAACATTGGTGGGAAATGGGAACTTATAACCATGTTAGTACTGAAATAGTAGCAAAGGCAGATTGCTGCAGTGGAGGGTGCCTGTAATCCCAGCTACTTGGAAGGCTGAAGTGGAAGAATTGCTTGAGCCCAGGAGTCTGAGGCTGCAGTAAACTATGGTTGCAGCACCACACTGCATTCCAGCCTGGGCAACAGAACATGATCCTATCTCAAAAAACAAAAACAAAATCAAAACAAAACAACCACAAAAATCAATAACAATGACTAGTGAAAACTTGAGTCTTCACAGAGATTTCTGTCCAGCCATCAGCTTAAAAGATAAGAGACACTTTGAAAAAAAAACAACAACAACAAAAAACCCATGGGATAAGGACAGGGAACTAAATGACCAAATTCCCAGTAAATTTTAGTGGCACAATTATTTAATAAAATCACATCTACAAACATTGATTTATTTTAAAATAAGAATAAGCATAAGTAAAACACATACTGTGGAAGGCAAAATCACGTTTAGATGTGTAAAAACCTACTGTAGGAGAACAATATGGGACAGGGTAGCAAAGAATTAAAGTGCATAAAAATGTATTTAATAAATAATCAACAAAGTGCAATGGACAGAGTACTCGAGAATAGTTTGGACTAGATGCTTTTTTTAGTGGGATTCTTTCTCTTAAGTATTAACCTGTTTAATTGGAAATGAAATATTTGTTTTTTTTAATGGGAAATCTGCATTTCATTGTAAACTAGAACACATTGTCCTCGACGTCTTTACTCTTTGCTAACATATTCTAAGTTTCTTTTGTGTTTAATATTTAATATAGAAAGAGAAACAGTACCAAAAAGCCTAGAATAGAGGCATATTTATATACAGGTTCTAATCACTGTTTTTGGCCCTTGGACAAAATTGTAAGAATGATTTCAAAGCCAGTGCCTGAACTCTGTTTGGGCTCATTCAGCCCAAGCTTGTGAGTTAGGCTCCTCTTTTGCCACTAGCTCAGCCTTTCTACCCCAACCTGAGTCATTCCAACCCACACATCTGATTTCACACACAAAGAAACTTGTAATGTTAATTCTAAAATTATAGACATCATTACTGAGCTAATCATTGTATTACGCAATCATTTTTGTTGTAATTGTTCCAATGAACCAACATGTTTTTTAACAATTTATATAGAGGACAATAGACTTTATTAACTTCTATATTCAATGAAAAGTCAGATCACTGGTTAGAGTTCACTATTTCTCTTGACTGTGCTTTGGAAAATTATATTAATTGCAGAATTAAATGAAATAGAAAATTTCCTTATTCTACTACTGATGGTATTTTCTCCCTGTGCCTCAGTTTCTTTATAAAATGGAGATAAAATATTTGATTTGTCACCTTATTGTTCTATTTATTAAGGTAATGCTAGTGGATATAACTGATAAATCCCACATTCTCAATGGCCTGACAAAATAAAATCTGGCACTTGTTCAACATAAGTATTCCTATCTGAGTATATCCTCTGTAATTAGTGGTTTAGGAGCCATGTTGCTTCCATATTCTGGTTACATCATCTTCACATGTGGCCTCCAAATTTACTGAGGAAGGGGAATGACGCTGTGGGAAAAGAAGAACTGATACACACAGCTACAGCCTGTAAACGACACACATCACACCTCATGCACAAGCACAATGCACATCCCATTCCTAGATATAAGGGAGCAGGGAAATGTCGTCCTAGCTGGGCAGCTGCCTCCAGCAGTAACTCTACACTAAGGAGGGGAAATAGGATCCTTTGGCGGTCAGCTAGCCTCTTTAACAACGCCTGTTTGTAGAGTTGCAGGGAGGACTAAATTAATGAATCCAGGTGAAAAGCTTAGAACAGTAGCCATTATATACAAACTAGGGATAGAGAACCCTTCCTCCTCCTCCTCCTCCTTTCTCTTCTTCCTTCTCCTCCTCCTTCACATTTTCTTATGATGCTTAAATAGTTACCCCTATATTACTACTTGAAACTCAGCAATTGCTCTTTATAATCAACATTTACCCTTTTCTTAGGATATTTTTCTCTAACTTTTGCAAAATTATTAATATTCTATTTCCTTTTGTTTTATCTTTTGCATACATTTGGGCCTCTAACGTATACTTAGATTATCAAGAATCATAGTTGGATTATCATGAATATCTAGGTTTTGTGATGCCTCTGGGAAAATCTTTTGTTAGAGGATACTTTGTTCTTTCTCTTTTCATGGAGAAAGCAATCTGAAATTTCGGCTGGAGAAAACATATAAATTTGTCTGACTCTTCTCAAAAGCCTGGTCCTCAATTAAACTGCCTCAAAGGTAGCACACGCTCCTTGTTTGGAGGGTTGGTTGTTATTCCCATAATTAACTTTAAGGTCACATGTGCCAGGACAATGTTCTCCTATCTATACAGACATATTCTGAAGTATGTCCTAGAATTTAGTTTTGGTTTTACCACTTAAGATAGTAGAATTGTTGTCTGGGCCAACTCTTCCAATCTTTCCTTCCTGCCGTGAATCTTTAGGTCCAGGAAACACACATAGCTTTTTTTTTTTTTTTTTTTCCTCCAACTTGTACATTTTGCGTTTGTATAGACTGAAGCACACTTTGTTAACAAGAAAATGTCTCAGTATACCATCTGTAATTTCAGTTTTCAGTTTACTGTATATTTGCTGAAGCAGCGGTTAAGAGAAACGTGCAGCTAATAGAATAATGTGTAACAAATAGTGAATTGTATGTATTTTAAAGGGTTATACTTTGGCATCTTCCCCTTGCAATCTTGAGAGAATGAAACTGGACTTGCTCTCATACCAAAAAGAACAACACTAGGCAAAATAAATATGGCAAATATTTTTAGGAATTGAACAACAGGTAGTTCAAGATTGTAATTTCTTTTCTTTTTTTTTTTTTTTTTTTTTTTTTAGACAGAGTCTTGCTCTGTCGTCCAGGCTGGAGTGCAGTGGTGTGATCTTGGCTCACTGCAACCTCTGCTTCCCAGGTTCCAGTGATTCTCCTGCCTCAGCCTCCCGAGTAGCTGGGACTACAGGCGCCCGCCACCACGCCCAGCTAATTTTTGTATTTTTTAGTAGAGATGGGGTTTCACTATATTTGCCAGGCTGGTCTTGACCTCCTGACTTTGTGATCCACCCGCCTCGGCCTCCCAAAGTGCTGGGATTACAAGCATGAGTCACCGCACCTGGCCCAAGATTGTAATTTTTGAGAAAAAATAAAAAAAAATATGAGATGAGGTCTAGAAATGGTTATGATCACCCGCAGCTTTTCCTACAGGCACTGTCCTGCCACAGAGCAGGCTTATGGAACTTAAGTAGAGTAGCAGTCTCACTTTGCAGAGAAGGAGATTGGAATTTTAGGCTATCTCAGTTCCTGAAATTTGCTGAGCAAGGTACCTGAAAGGCAAAAGCTTCACAGATGAAGGTGCCTAAAAGTCTATGGAGGAGTTTACTGCATGTTGTTGGCAAATGATTGAGATGCATGTGCACAAGACAAGTTGCCAAGAGTCCCAGCAGAGATTTCCTGATACATTGATGGGAGATTTGGGGGTTTCAGCCCAGCCAACATAAAAAGACTTTGCTAAAAGACTTAGATGTTCAGTTGAGACTCCATACCCTAGAGTAAGGAGCATGTGCCAGGACTAAGCTTAAAATTGGAATAAATCTGCCATAACAAAAAATAAAATCAAACCTAATAGACCAAAAGTTTCTGCCAATAATTTAATTGCCTTTCAGAAGAAATTCAACATCCCTTAAAGAAAGATCACATAATCCAGACTCTCCACTACATATCATTCACAATGATAAAACAATTACTAGACATGCAAAGAAACACGAAATAGTGGCCCACAGTCAAAAGAAATATCAGTCATTATAAACAAATCCTATGATGATCTAGATATTTGAATTAGTAGACAAGGCCTTTAAAATAGCTATTATCAATGTGTTTAAGGACTAAATGTAAAGTGTGATTATAATTAATGAACAGAAAGGAAATCTCAGCAGAGAATTAGGAACTATGAAAAGTTAATCAAAAGAAAATTCTAGAACTGAAAACATGATAATTGAAATTTAAAAGAAAAAAATTACTGGGCTGAGCAGTCCCTCTTCTGAGTAGATAAAGAAACTGAAATCACTACCTTATAAAGATATCTGCACTCTCAAGTTAATTTGCAGCATTATTTCCTATAGCCAAGATATGGAAACAACCAAAGTGTCCATCAATGGATGAATGGATAAAGAAATTGTGATACACTCACACGCACACCAACATGCACCATACACAGAAAAACAAACTGTATGATTTTACGTATATGTGGAATCTTTTTAAAAAAGTACAATAAGTGGAAATAGGAAATAAAATTGTTGTTACCGGGGGTGAGAGAGTGAGACAGAGAAAATGGGGAGATGTAGGTCAAAGAATACAAAGTAGCAGATATGTAGCATGAACAAGTCTAGAGATCTGATGTACATCATGAGGACTACAGTTAATGAAATTTTATTGTATTTGTGATTTTTGCTAAGAGAGTAGATTTTAGGTGCTCTTGCCACCAAAAAGGGGTAACTAAGGGTAACTATAGGAGATGATGGATATGTTCATTTGCTTGACTCTTACAACCATTTCACCATATATATCAAAACATGTTGTACAACTAAAATATATACAATAAAAGAAGTAAAAAAAGAAAGTAAAAAAAAAATCCCTAGGTAGGCTTAACAGCACATTTAAAATGGCAGTAAGGGACAGTGAATTTGAAGGTATATTGTTAGAAATTATCTAATCTGAAGAACAGAGAGAAAAAAGACTGAAAAAAAAATAGCGCCTCATTGACATGACAGAAATTTCCTAATGACTAAAAGATCAATTTCAATTCATCAGGAAGACAGAGCAATTGTAGATGCATATGTTCCTAATAGCGTGTCAAACTATGTGAAGCATGAATTTATAGAACAAAAGGGAAAACAGACAAATTCACAATCATAGTTGAAAATTTCAATATCCTACTCTCAATAATTGATAGTAAAAGTAGACAAGAAAATAGTAAAGAATATCTGAACAACACTATCAACTACCTTAACCTGCTTGACATTTATTTAATACAATACTCAACAACATAAAATAAATCTCAGTACATTTCAACAAACTAAAATCTTTGAGCAACAGTGGAATTAAATTAAATGTCAACAATAGCTTGGTATAAGAGAAGTCCCAAAACTTGTAAATTAAACAATCTACTTGTAAATAACTTATAGGTCAAAGAAGAAATTACAGGGAAAATGAGAAATACTAAAACTGAGCAATCATGAAAACACAACATATCAAAATTTGTGGTATGGAACTAAAGCAGTATGTAAAGAAACATTTATAATTTTAAATGCTTATTTTTTTTATTATACTTTAAGTTTTAGGGTACATGTGCACATTGTGCAGGTTAGTTACATATGTATACATGTGCCATGCTGGTGCGCTGCACCCACTAACTCGTCATCTAGCATTAGGTATATCTCCCAGTGCTATACCTCCCCCCTCCCACCACCCCACAACAGTCCCCAGAGCGTGATGTTCCCCTTCCTGTGTCCATGTGATCTCATTGTTCAATTCCCACCTATGAGTGAGAATATGCGGTGTTTGGTTTTTTGTTCTTGCGATGGTTTACTGAGAATGATGATTTCCAATTTCATCCATGTCCCTACAAAGGACATGAACTCATCATTTTTTATGGCTGCATAGTATTCCATGGTGTATATGTGCCACATTTTCTTAATCCAGTCTATCATTGTTGGACATTTGGGTTGGTTCCAAGTCTTTGCTATTGTGAATAATGCCGCAGTAAACATACGTGTGCATGTGTCTTTATAGCAGCATGATTTATAGTCCTTTGGGTATATACCCAGTAATGGGATGGCTGGGTCAAATGGTATTTCCAGTTCCAGATCCCTGAGGAATCGCCACACTGACTTCCACAATGGTTGAACTAGTTTACAGTCCCACCAACAGTGTAAAAGTGTTCCTATTTCTCCACATCCTCTCCAGCACCTGTTGTTTCCTGACTTTTGAATGATCACCATTCTAACTGGTGTGAGATGGTATCTCATTGTGGTATTGATTTGCATTTCTCTGATGGCCTGTGATGATGAGCATTTTTTCATGTGTTTTTTGGCTGCATAAATGTCTTCTTTTGAGAAGTGTCTGTTCATGTCCTTCGCCCACTTTTTGATGGGGTTGTTTGTTTTTTTCTTGTAAATATGTTTGAGTTCATTTTAGATTCTGGATATTAGCCCTTTGTCAGATGAGTAGGTTGCGAAAATTTTCTCCCATTCTGTAGGTTGCCTGTTCACTCTGATGGTAGTTTCTTTTGCTGTGCAGAAGCTCTTTAGTTTAATTAGATCCCATTTGTCAATTCTGGCTTTTGTTGCCATTGCTTTTGGTGTTTTAGACATGAAGTCCTTGCCCATTCCTATGTCCTCAATGGTAATGCCTAGGTTTTCTTCTAGGGTTTTTATGGTTTTAGGTCTAATATTTAAGTCTTTAATCCATCTTGAATTGATTTTTGTCTAAGGTGTAAGGAAGGGATCCAGTTTCAGCTTTCTACATATGGCTAGCCAGTTTTCCCAGCACCATTTATTAAATAGGGAATCCTTTCCCCATTGCTTGTTTTTCTCAGGTTTGTCAAAGATGAGATAGTTGTAGATATGCGGCGTTATTTCTGAGGGCTCTGTTCTGTTCCATTGATCTATATCTCTGTTTTGGTACCAGTACCATGCTGTTTTGGTGACTGTAGCCTTGTAGTATAGTTTGAAGTCAGGGTGTGATGCCCCCAGCTTTGTTCTTTTGGCTTAGGATTGACTTGGCGATGCGGGCTCTTTTTTGGTTCCATATGAACTTTAAAGTAGTTTTTTCCAATTCTGTGAAGAAAGTCATTGGTAGCTTGATGGGGATGGCATTGAATCTATAAATTACCTTGGGCAGTATGGCTATTTTCACGATATTGATTCTTCCTACCCATGAGCATGGAATGTTCTTCCATTTGTTTGTATCCTCTTTTATTTCCTTGAGCAGTGGTTTGTAGATCTCCTTGAAGAGGTCCTTCACTTCCCTTGTAAGTTGGATTCCTAGGTATTTTATTCTCTTTGAAGCAATTGTGAATGGGAGTTCACTCATGATTTGGCTCTCTGTTTGTCTGTTGTTGGTGTATAAGAATACTTGTGATTTTTGTACATTGATTTTGTATCCTGAGACTCTGCTGAAGTTGCTTATCAGCTTAAGGAGATTTTGGGCTGAGACAATGGGGTTTTCTAGATATACAATCATGTCGTCTGCAAAGAGGGACAATTTGACTTCCTCTTTTCCTAATTGAATACCCTTTATTTCCTTCTCCTGCCTAATTGCCCTGGCCAGAACTTCCAACACTATGTTGAATAGGAGTGGTGAGAGAGGGCATCCCTGTCTTGTGCCAGTTTTCAAAGGGAATGCTTCCAGTTTTTGCCCATTCAATATGATATTGGCTGTGGATTTGTCATAGATAGCTCTTATTATTTTGAAATACATCCCATCAATACCTAATTTATTGAGAGTTTTTAGCATGAAGCGTTGTTGAATTTTGTCAAAGGCTTTTACTGCATCTATTGAGATAATCATGTGGTTTTTGTCTTTGGCTCTGTTTATATGCTGGATTACATTTATTGATTTGCATATATTGAACCAGCCTTGCATCCCAGGGATGAAGGCCACTTGATCATGGTGGATAAGCTTTTTGATGTGCTGCTGGATTCGTTTTGCCAGTATTTTATTGAGGATTTTTGTATCGATGTTCATCAAGGATATTGGTCTAAAATTCTCTTTTTTGGTTGTGTCTCTGCCTGGCTTTGGTATCAGAATGACGCTGGCCTCATAAAATGAGTTAGGGAGGATTCCCTCTTTTTCTATTGATTGGAATAGTTTCAGAAGGAATGGTACCAGCTCCTCCTTATACCTCTGGTAGAATACGGCTGTGAATCCATCTGGTCCTGGACTCTTTTTCGTTGGTAAGCTATTGATTATTGCCACAATTTCAGATCCTGTTATTGGTCTATTCAGAGATTCATCTTCTTCCTGGTTTAGTCTTGGGAGAGTGTATGTGTCGAGGAATTTATCCATTTCTTCTAGATTTTCTAGTTTATTTGCGTAGAGATGTTTGTAGTATTCTCCGATGGTAGTTTGTATTTCTGTGGGATCGGTGGTGATATCCCCTTTATCATTTTTTATTTCGTCTATTTGATTCTTCTCTCTTTTTTTCTTTATTAGTCTTGCTAGCAGTCTATCAATTTTGTTGATCCTTTCAAAAAACCAGCTCCTGGATTCATTAATTTTTTGAAGGGTTTTTTGTGTCTCTATTTCCTTCAGTTCTGCTCTGATTTTAGTTATTTCTTGCCTTCTGCTAGCTTTTGAATGTGTTTGCTCTTGCTTTTCTAGTTCTTTCAATTGTGATGTTAGGGTGTCAATTTTGGATCTTTCCTGCTTTCTCTTGTGGGCATTTAGTGCTATAAATTTCCCTCTACACACTGCTTTGAATGCGTCCCAGAGATTCTGGTATGTTGTGTCTTTGTTCTCGTTGGTTTCAAAGAACATCTTTATTTCTGCCTTCATTTCGTTATGTACCCAGTCGTCATTCAGGAGCAGGTTGTTCAGCTTCCATGTAGTTGAGCGGTTTTGAGTGAGATTCTTAATCCTGAGTTCTAGTTTGATTGCACTGTGGTCTGAGAGATAGTTTGTTATAATCTCTGTTCTTTTACATTTTCTGAGGAGAGCTTTACTTCCAAGTATGTGGTCAATTTTGGAATTGGTGTGGTGCAGTGCTGAAAAAAATGTATATTCTGTTGATTTGGGGTGGAGAGTTCTGTAGATGTCTATTAGGTCCGCTTGGTGCAGAGCTGGGTTCAATTCCTGGGTGTCCTTGTTGACTTTCTGTCTCGTTGATCTGTCTAATGTTGACAGTGGGGTGTTAAAGTCTCCCATTATTAATGTGTGGGAGTCTAAGTCTCTTTGTAGGTCACTCAGGACTTGCTTTATGAATCTGGGTGCTCCTGTATTGGGTGCATATATATTTAGGATAGTTAGCTCTTCTTGTTGAATTAATCCCTTTACCATTATGTAATGGCCTTCTTTGTCTCTTTTGATCTTTGTTGGTTTAAAGTCTGTTTTATCAGAGACTAGGATTGCAACCCCTGCCTTTTTTTGTTTTCCATTTGCTTGGTAGATCTTCCTCCATCCTTTTATTTTTAGCCTATGTGTGTCTCTGCACATGAGATGGGTTTCCTGAATACAGCACACTGATGGGTCTTGACTCTTTATCCAATTTGCCAGTCTGTGTCTTTTAATTGGAGCATTTAGTCCATTGACATTTAAAGTTAATATTGTTATGTGTGAATTTGAGCCTGTCATTATGATGTTAGCTGGTTCTTTTGCTGGTTAGTTGATGTAGTTTCTTCCTAGTCTCAATGGTCTTTACATTTTGGCATGATTTTGCAGCGGCTGGTACTGGTTGTTCCTTTCCATGTTTAGTGCTTCCTTCAGGAGCTCTTTTAGGGCAGGCCTGGTGGTGACAAAATCTCTCAGCATTTGCTTGTCTGTAAAGTATTTTATTTCTCCTTCGCTTATGAAGCTTAGTTTGGCTGGATATGAGATTCTGGGTTGAAAATTCTTTTCTTTAAGAATGTTGAATATTGGCCCCCACTCTCTTCTGGCTTGTAGCGTTTCTGCCGAGAGATCCGCTGTTAGTCTGATGGGCTTCCCTTTGTGGGTAACCCGACCTTTCTCTCTGGCTGCCCTTAACATTTTTTCCTTCATTTCAACTTTGGTGAATCTGACAATTATGTGTCTTGGAGTTGCTCTTCTCGAGGAGTATCTTTGTGGCGTTCTCTGTATTTCCTGAATCTGAACGTTGGCCTGCCTTGCTAGATTGGGGAAATTCTCCTGGATAATATCCTGCAGAGTGTTTTCCAACTTGGTTCCATTCTCCCCGTCACTTTCAGGTACACCAATCAGACATAGATTTGGTCTTTTCACATAGTCCCATATTTCTTGGAGGCTTTGCTCATTTCTTTTTATTCTTTTTTCTCTAAACTTCCCTTCTCGCTTCATTTCATTCATTTCATCTTCCATTGCTGATACCCTTTCTTCCAGTTGATCGCATCGGCTCCTGAGGCTTCTGCATTCCTCACGTAGTTCTCGAGCCTTGGTTTTCAGCCCCATCAGCTCCTTTAAGCACTTCTCTGTATTGGTTATTCTAGTTATACATTCTTCTAAATTTTTTTCAAAGTTTTCAACTTCTTTGCCTTTGGTTTGAATGTCCTCCCGTAGCGCAGAGTAATTTGATCGTCTGAAGGCTTCTTCTCTCAGCTCGTCAAAGTCATTCTCCATCCAGCTTTGTTCCGTTGCTGGTGAGGAACTGCGTTCCTTTGGAGGAGGAGAGGTGCTCTGCGTTTTAGAGTTTCCAGTTTTTCTGTTCTGTTTTTTCCCCATCTTTGTGGTTTTATCTACTTTTGGTCTTTGATGATGGTGATGTACAGATGGGTTTTGGTGTGGATGTCCTTTCTGTTTGTTAGTTTTCCTTCTAACAGACAGGACCCTCAGCTGCAGGTCTGTTGGAATACCCTGCCGTGTGAGGTGTCAGTGTTCTCCTGCTGGGGGGTGCCTCCCAGTTAGGCTGCTCGGGGGTCAGAGACCCACTTGAGGAGGCAGTCTGCCCGTTCTCAGATCTCCAGCTGCGTGCTGGGAGAACCACTGCTCTCTTCAAAGCTATCAGACAGGGACATTTAAGTCTGCAGAGGTTACTGCTGTCTTTTTGTTTGTCTGTGCCCTGCCCCCAGAGGTGGAGCCTACAGAGGCAGGCAGGCCTCCTTGAGCTGTGGTGGGCTCCACCCAGTTGGAGCTTCCTGGCTGCTTTGTTTACCTAAGCAAGCCTGGGCAATGGCGGGCGCCCCTCCCCCAGCCTCGCTGCCAACTTGCAGTTTGATCTCAGACTGCTGTGCTAGCAATCAGCGAGACTCCGTGGGCGTAGGACCCTCAGAGCCAGGTGCGGGATATAATCTCGTGGTGTGCCGTTTTTTGAAGCTGGTCGGAAAAGCGCAGTATTTGGGTGGGAGTGACCCGATTTTCCAGGTGCGTCTGTCACCCCTTTCTTTGACTCGGAAAGGGAACTCCCTGACCCCTTGTGCTTTCCAAGTGAGGCAATGCCTCGCCCTGCTTTGGCTCACGCACGGTGCGCGCACCCACTGACCTGCGCCCACTGTCTGCCACTCCCAAGTGAGATGAACCTGGTACCTCAGATGGAAATGCAGAAATCACCCGTCTTCTGCGTCGCTCACGCTGGGAGCTGTAGACAGGAGCTGTTCCTATTCGGCCATCTTGGCTCCTCTCTTAAATGCTTATTTTGAAAAATAATAGTGCTTTGAAAGCAATTTTAATTTCCTAAGTTTTTACCATTTAAAAAAGTGAGCAAGATAAGAAGATAATAAGAAAAGCAGAAATCAGTTGAAGGATCACATTTTTTTTTTGAAAATATTGATGTAATTGATAAATATCAGCAAGATAGATCAAGAAAGAGAAAAAACACACATACATTATTAATATTAATCATAAAAGAGGATAATTTCAGTATAGGTCCTAAAGATGTGGAAGAAAATATAGGAATATTAGGAGCAATGTTAAGACAAATCATTTTGACAGTGTAGATGAAATAGACAAATTTCTTGAAAAACACAACATACCAAAAATGACACAAGATGAAATAGAAAATTCCAATTAACACTATATCCATGGAAGAAACTCAATGTGTTATCTAAAATTTTCTATGAAGAAAACTTTAGACCCAGATGGTTTCACTAAATGAATAAATAATACAATGGTTACACTAAGTTTTTATTTGATGAGGCCAGCATAATCTTTATAACAAAACCTGAAAAAGATATTATCGGAAAGGAAAATAAACACTATTCAAGAACATAAATGCAAAAATTCTTGCAAAACATAGTAAATAGGATCAAGCAATGTGTACAGGAGACAATATGTTAAGACCAAAGGGGGCTTATTTCAGCAATGCAAGGTTTAACATAGAGAAAGCAATGGATGTACTTCACCATATTAACAGAATAAATGACAAAACCATATAATTATTTCAATGTTTGTTGAAAAAGATATTTGATAAAAATAAATATTCGCTTGTAATAAAATATCCAGCAAACTAGAAACAGAACTTCCTCAACCTGTAAAAGAGCATCTATGTGGAATCCACAGCTAACATATTTAATTGCTAAAGACTAGATGCTTTTCACCTTCGATGAATAACAATGCAAGGATTACTGCTATCATCATTTATATTCAGCATGAAACTGGAAGTCATAGCTAGTCCTATAAGTCAAGAGAAAGAAATAGTATAAATGTTGAAAAGAAAGAAGTAAAATTGTCCCTCTTTGCAGAAGACACAATTGTCTACTTAGAAAATCCTCAAGAGTTTACAGAGCAATTACTAGAAATATTAAGTACATTTCCCAAGACTGCAAAGCACAAAGTCAATATTCGAAATTCAATTATAGTTCTTAAATACTAACAGCAAATAATAAGAACACAAGCTTTTTAAAAACTCCATTTACCGTATTGTTGAAAACACTAATACTTAGGAAAAAATAAAACAAAAAATGTGCGTGACCTCTACAATAAAATATAATAAAAATTCTAATATAAATTTAAGATAATCCAAATAGAGAGCTATACCATGTCCATTAATTGCAACACTTAATAGTAGTAAGTTGTCTATTCTCCCCCAAATTAAACTGTAGATTGACTGCAATGCCAGTATGCTTTATAACAAAAATGGACAAGATATTTATAAAATGTATAAGGAAATCAAAGCTCCCAGAAAAATAAAAACAATCTTAAAAAAAAAAAAGATAACCTGTAATCCCAGCACTTTGGCAGGCCAAGGCGAGCAGCTTATGAGGTCAGGAGATAGAGACCATCCTGGCCACCATGGTGAAACATCGTTTCTACTAAAAAAAAATACAAAAATTAGCTGGGCTTGGTGGTGCACACCTGTAGTCCCAGCTACTTGGGAGGCTGAGGCAGGAAAATCTCTGGAACCTGAGAGGCGGAGGTTGCAGTGATCCGAGATAGCGCCATTGCTCTCCAGCCTGGGCAACAGAGCGAGACTCTGTCTCAAAAACAAAACAAAACAAAACAAGAAATACATTACCTGGCTTAAGGAATTACTATAAAGCTACATTAATTAAGATAGTATGGGACTGGTACAAGGATGTTAAAATAGATTTATAAAATAGAATAGAGAGTCCAGAAAAAGATCCAATTCATTTTTGGCAAAGGTGCTAAAGAAAAAAGTGGGAAAGAAAAGTCATTTCAACCAATGAAAAACTGAAAAATGTATGGAAAATAATTAACTTTGATTTCTATCTCATAATACACAAATGCTAATTTGAGATGTCTCATAGAACTAAATGTTAGAGATAAAATTAAAAAGCTTCTGGAAGAAAACATAGAAGAATATTTTTGAAACTTGGCAATGAGCAAAGATTTCTTAGACAAGACACATAAAGCAATCATCATAAAGAAAAAAACTGAAAATTATACTTAATTAAAATCTACTCAGCAAAAGTCTCTATTAAAAAACAAGATTAGTCAAGCCACAAAAATATTCATAAAACATATATCTGACAAAGACCTGTATTCAGAATATATAATGAGCTCCTAGAACTCATTAATGAAAAGATAAACTCTCCTATTTAAAAATTGGCAAAGGCTTGGACAGACACTTCACAAAGGAAGATATACAAATAGCCAATATACACATGAAAAAGTACTCAGCATCTTTAATCATTGAGGAAATGCAAACTACAAGCTAAATGAGATTCCACTATTTACTCCTAGAATGGCTGAAATGGAAAATACTAACGACATAAAATATTGGTTAGAATATAGAGCACGCAGAATTCTCATACATTGTTAGGAGGTGTGAAAAATGGTACAACTACTTTGGAAGAAATTTTGTCAATTTCTGATAAAGTTAAACCTACACTTCCCCTGTGACCTAGAATTCTACTCCTAGGCATTAAGCCAAAAGAAATGAAAAACATATGTCCATGAAACTACTTGTTCAAATGATTCATAACAGCTTTATTCCTAATATCTTCAAGCCAGAAATAACCCAAATTTCAAACAAAAGGTGAATGGACAAAATTGTTGTGGTATATTTTTTCTACAACATTAAATGTAATGGAATACTACTAATCTATACATATGAATAAATGACAGATAAATATAACAATATGATGTATCTCAAGGACATTAGTTCTAGATAAATAAGCCAGACACAAAAGCATATATGCTATGATTTCATTAATATGAAATTCTAGAACAAACAAAACTAACTATGATAGAAAAAGTAAGAAAAATAGTTGCCTCTGGGGTGGGTTAAATTGACTGGGTAGAGGATGAAGGAAATTTCTAGGTGATGGAAATATTCTTTACCTTGATAGTGAGGTGTGTTATATGTCTGCATGCAGTTGTCAAACTTATCTTATTGAACACTTAAAATGTATGCATTTTCCAAAGGCAAATTTTACAAAAAAAAAAAATGAACTGTAAAAATTAACTATTCCTGCTGGATGTGGTGGCTCACGCCTGTAATCCCAGCACTTTGGGAGGCCGAGGTGGACGGATCATGAAGTCAAGAGATCAGGACCATCCTGGCCAACAAGGTGAAAACCCGTCTCTACTAAAAATAGAAAAATTAGCTGGGCGTGGTGGCAGGTGCCTGTAATCCCAACTACTCCAGAGGCTGAGGCAGGAGAATTGCTTGAATCTGGGAGGCAGTTTGCAGTGAGCCGAGATCGCGCCATGGCACTCCAGCCTGGCAACAGAGCGAGACTCTGTCAAAAAAAAAAAAAAAAAAAAAAAAAGAAAGAACTATTCCTGATACATATGCTTAATAATAGATTCTTTTAATAATAATAGATTCTTTTATCTATTTATCTATTTTATCTATTTATCTATTTATCTATCTATTTATCTATTTTATCTATCTTTTATTTATTTATCTCTAATAATAATAGATTCTTTTATCAAGATAAATGGGATATTCCTTAGACCATACACTTTATAAATAAATAGTTCTCCTTTTAGATAGATAGATTATAAAGTGGTTGATTGATTGGTAGGTATATTTTAATAGGTACGTAAGTAGGTAGGTAAATAGATATGGATGGATGGATGGATAGATAGATGGATGATAGAGCTGCGGATCTAATCACAATAAGATATAAGCTTTGCATAACTTTTCTATTACTGATAGCATCTGTGTCTCTATTCATTTACACTCTCTTGACATTTCCCCCTTTCCCCATTCAGCAGTTAGCAAAGATACGTATTTGTAAAATAGTTCAATAAACTTAAAGGAATGTTTTTGTGACAGTGAACTGGGAATCAGAATAGCGCAGTGGAACGAGTTCAGTTTTTTAGATCATATAGACCTGGTTTCACATCTTGGCTCTTCAATTCATTAGTTGGGTGACCTTGTGCAAGTAACTCAACCTCTCTGAGAATCTGTTTCTTTGGCCATAAACTGGAACGATATGTGCTCTAAGGGGTTCATTTACTCCTCTATTCGACAAGAAAGATTGAATTCCTATTGTGTGCCAGAAACTGGCTGTACATTTTGAAAAGGACACTTGTATCCAGAACAAACACAAACTTCTTTAACTCAACAATAAAAAGACAAACTACCCTACTTGACAGGCAAAGACTTGAGCAGACACTTCAGGGTGTTGAGTGGATAAGAGGAACCCCAGAGTAAATGCTGGAAAACTAGTTAATAGGCACTTTCTGTAGGTTGAGGTGGAGATGATCTCGGTCTGAAATAGGAGGATGGCAGTGAAACGAGAGATGTGGACGAACTCTAGATATACTGAACAGGTAAAATTCACAGAACGTGTGAATTGAATATAAGGGTTTTGAGTGGGGAGGCAACAAGGCCGTTTCTTGCCTGCCTAACTGGACAGATGGTGATGCCGTTTTCTGAGAGAAGAAATGCTAGTAGAGAATCAGATTTAGAATTTTTGAGATAAATGTAGAAAGAGCATATCATGATGACTGGCCCAGAGTAAGCACTCAATAAATGAAAGCAACTATGGCATGGAACAAACCTAATTATGTCATGCACATCAAACCTGTACACTTGATTTTAGTCACTATTTGGGAACAAAGTTTTTTTTTTTAAGTAAACATTTGTCAAGCACAAAAATATGTAACCAAAGGCATGTGCACAAACTTTGTTTGGATTTTGTTTAGATATTGCTGTTCTAGAAGTTAATTACTCTAATTATAATGTTTCTATTTTGAGAATACTATGAGACCACTGAGTTTCTCCTGCCTCTCATCTCTGCACATGTAAAGATATCAGAAGTTCAGAAAAATGTGTAGTAATTTGGCTGACCAAATAAAACATTTTTATTAAAGAATTTAATGAATTGGTCAAAAAAGTCCTATCTTACACTGCAGAAAAAAAAGAGATGTAAAACAATAGATATAGCACTTGATATTTCTGTGCAAAGAGTTGCTTTAAAAGCATTATATAATGCTTTTATATAATGTATGCATAGTAATACTACCTAACTTAGAAATGAATTTTCATGCTGTCTTGTAATCAGGTTACATATTAAAGAAACTTGTACAGCTAACAAAACCAGGCTTTGAAAGAGATGACTAAATCACCCTTATTTTGTATTTCGTGCTTTCAAATCTGAATTGAGATATTTCATTACTCTTAAACCATGGTGAAATCATGGAAGGCATCATAACAAGAGCTTAAACTCTGGGGAGGCTATTAACAATTTTGCGTTTACACTTCCTACATGATTGTGGAAATGTGGGTTCTAATTCCCCATGAGGCTTTTATTGCTGTGTTTGGTAAAACTGCTGCTATATCAACAGAAAGGATGAAGCATTACAGTGGGGCCCCTTACAGATCTTGCTTTAGAAAGTTAAACGTCGATGTCAAAATGCTAAAGGCATACCTTAAGTTAGATGAAAATTAGCTTCCTGTAGAGAAAGAGGACATTCTACAACAAATATATAAATAATGATCATACAAAATATATGGACAATAATTCTATTGTAATTGAAGCATAAGAAGATACAGGTTTTATAAATGGAGAAATCAGATTTGGTCAGGGAAACAAAAGCAAGTGATATTGCAGTGTGAGTGCGACTTTGGTAGAAGTAGATGGTGAAAGAAGATATTTTATTATAAAGAAGAGCCACGAGCAGGGGCGCAGAGATTGCCTAGACCAGAGGTTCATTTAAGTAGGGGTAAAGGTAGTGGAAAGAAGAAAACTGTTGCTGAGAAGTGAAGAAGGTAGAATCATAGGCTTCGGCAATTACTGTGTGGGTTGTTGTGTGTGGAGAGAACAGAAGGTGAATCGTGATGCTAGAGCATCACCATTGAAGTCATAAAGAAATGATGAATGACTGGAGTCTAATTTCAGAAAATTACATACGTTGGAGTCTTATAGCTCAGTTTATTAGCATGGCATGGGAATTAGTTTCAGGTTATGTTTAGGAGACGCTTTGGTGCCTAATATTGAATTAGGGATTGACTCTTGAAAGTTTTGAATTACATAAGAGGTGTTTGAGGTAGAGACAAAAATACTAGAATGCTACTTTACAAGTAAGCCACAAAGGCATTTTAGAGTTTTCTGAGCCATAAGAACATAAACAAAACATTAGAACAACTTATTAGCTTAATTAAATGCAGCCAAGTTGGGTATAGATCACATTTTAGGACAAATTTTAGGTTCCTGGAGTCAGGGATGAGCTTCTTTTAACATATGCTCTGGCTTAAGTCAGCACTGTCCATAGGGTAAGGCAGGATGGAAAATTTTATTTTTGTAAGCTATTAAATGGTGAATAGGAGATTGAACTTAATACAGGGCAGTATCATTACGAGAAACCATTAAATCAGGGTGGGAAAGATAATTCTACTGTTTTTCCAACAGCATAGCAATTGAAAATAGGAGGGAAGGTTTTAGCTTGAACATTCTCTCATAAGTCCCTGTGGGTTATGAACTGACTAGTAGGGATGTTGCCCAAAACTGTGGCAGCTGGTGAGTAATTTGTAGCCTGTAGCCACCTCATTCTAAGTATGTTTACAGCAAGTCTGTGGCTTAACTGTTTGAGTAAGAGTCATTCTCACTGGACCTATTATCACCAGGCCACTCCGTATTTATGGCATGTGGCCAAGTGATGCAGATGTCTGGAGACGTATTAGGTTGAAGATATGCTAAGTTAGGCATTAAGATTCTTAGAGTATAATAAGGAGGGAATTTCTGGATATAAGGAATTTTTCTTAGGGATCTGAGTAGATAATAAATATTTATCATCTTCATTGTTCCTTGTATCAGGGTTCTCTAAGGGGGCAAAAGTAATAGGATAGATATATATGTGAAGAGGAGTTTATTAGGAGAATATATGTGCACCATGATCACAAGGTGAAGTCCCATGATAGGCCATCTGCAAGCTGAGGAGCAAGGAAACCAGTCTGAGTCCCAAAACCTCAAAAGTAGGGGGAAGCTGACAGTACAGCCTTCAGTCTGTGGCCGAAGGCTTCAGAGCCCCTTGCACAGCACTGGTGTAAGTCCAAGAGTCCAAAAGCTGAGGAACTTGGAGTCTGATGTTCCAGGACAGGAAGCATCCAGTAGGGGAGAAAGATGGAGGCCAGAAGACTCAGCAAGTCTGCTTTTCCGCTGTTTCCTGCCTGCTTTATTCTAGCTGCACTCCCAGCTGATCAGATAGATGGTGCCCACCCAGACTGACAGTGGATCTGCCTCTCCCAGTCCACTGACTCAAATGTTAATCTCCTTTGGAAACACCCTCACAGGTACACAACCAGGAACAATACTTTGCATCCTTCAATCCAATAATGTTGACACTCAATATTAATCATCATATTTCTTTACTGTAATTGAAGACTGTGGTATGGAGAGCATCTGAGAAGGGTTGTGTGTAGAAGAGAAACTTCTTACAGTTGTGCTAGGAAACCCTGAAGTTCCCGTATGGACATTCTAAGGAATCAGGAAACCACAACCTCCTGACACAATTAGCGAGTTATTCTTCCGTCTCCAGAGCTGACCTAACAACAATGACTTGGGTGAGTCAATTCCTTTACCTGGGCTTCCTTGTCTTTACTTATAAAATGAAATGGAACAACTCCCATTTAGAATGCTAGCTCTTCAACTCACATACTAATAGGCTCAAGATTTGCACAAAGTTCCACAATTCTTCACACCTTCCTATATCCGTGCCCTTTGCATGATGACTTTATAGCTCCTCCATCAAGGGGTTGAGTCTGTTTCCCCATTACTTGAATTTGGGTTGATCTTATGACTTACTCATACCTCGGTCCACAGAACAGGATAGAAGTGAAAATGTGCCAATTCTGAGTCTAGCCCTCAAAAGGTCTGTGTGCTTTTACTCATTCTCTTGGAACTCTGCCACCACTATGTGAATAAGCCTGGGCTAGCCTGATGAATGATAAGAGACATGTGGCCCAGTCACCCCTATAGCTCCAGCTGGCAGCCAGCAAAACACCAGATGTAAGTGAGGCCATCATAGACCAGCCAGCCCCCTGTTAACCTGCCAGCTAATGGCAGATGCATGAATGAACCAAGCTGAGATCAGTTAACACTGGCTCAAATCAGCAGAACCACCCATCTGACCTATAGAATTGTGAGCAATAATATGCTTATTTTTTTAAAGAGAGGTTGACAAACTATGAGCCCATAAGCCAGCTGCCAGTTTTTGTAAATAAAGTTTTATTGGAACACAGCCATACCCATTTGTCTATGTATTGTCTATGGCTGCTTTCACCCTACAATGGCAGAGTTGATTAGTTGGGACAGAGACTTTATGGTCCACAGAGTCTAAAATATTTACTATCTGTCCCTTTAAGAAAAAGTTTGATAACTTACTTTTTAAAATCACTAAGTTTTGTGGTGATTTGTTACACAGTAATATTTAACTAGTACATCATCACATTAAGAAATTGATAAGTCATTTTGATTGTTTATTCTTGCAATCATTTTCATTTTCATTAACCATTTTTCAAACCTTAGTGGCTTAAACAACGATTTTATTATGTCTCACAATTCTGTACGTTAACTAGACTCAACTGGGCAGTTCTTGTGTTCCACATGACATTAGATGTTGATGTTATGTGGGAGTTAAGATTGGACTGGAATTTCTGAGCTGGTTCATTCAAGTGGATTGCAGTTGATACTGGCTTTCATCTGAGAGATTAGATGAAGTTGTTGACTGGGGCACATACATACAGACTATGCACATGGCTTGGTGGCTGGATTCTGAAAGAAAGCATCTCAAAGGTTAGAGTTTTAGGGGACTCAAGCCAAATCAACAAGACTTGACTTGTAATACAGTATTAGAAGCTTACTTTTGCCATATTGTATTGGTCAAAAATGAGTCACAGGGCCAACCTGGGTTCAAGGAGAGGGGGACTACACAAAGGAGTAAATACTGGGATTCAGATTTTTTCTGGGGTGTAGAGAATCCTTGAAGACCATCTCAACTAGAATATATAGCTTTTCCTTGTCTTCTTTGCTCTCCTGCAGCTTCTTTCTTCTTGCCTTGAATTTATGGTATAGGAATTACTAGATTCACCAGCATGCTTGATATACATATATACACATATATATGTGTTATAGATATCATATAGGTGTGTGTATATGTGTGTGTGTGTGTGTGTGTGTGTGTGTGTGTGTATATATATATATATATATATATATATATATATATATATATAACCTTAATCAGAATTCTTGGATTGGAATCTTAGGTTGTCTTTTTGACTTGGGCATCAGAGTGATGTTTATATATGAATTTTTTACCTTTAGAAAAGGGCATTTCACATCTGCTCCAATTAAAATGTGTGATGACTTTTTAACCTTGTAATTTTAAAGCCTTCAATCATATTATATCATTTTATCCATCTTTGAAGAGCTGATAATTTTGATTGGAAGGTAACCAAGAATGAAATATATGAAATAATGTAACAACTTTCCATGATTCTTTATTCTCCCTTTGGCAGCCATTGCCTCCCATGCACCTGTGGGCTCAGCATGACCCACTCAACACAAAGTTTAAAAGAAGTCAGAGTGCAGAGTATCGAGGTGCTACAATATTGCTCACTTTGGGGATTCCTCTCTCAGTGAGCATCTAAACTTCCAGTACTATGTGCCTTGAGCTCTTGGTTTCTTCTGTATTAACTAAGAGGTCAATTGCTTTGAACCACAAAATCCCTGTTACCTGCTTTGTACTCAATATTCAGAACATTGACTTGCTCTCTAGCAGCTTTGAGATTGTTCACCCTCAACGTGGCTATCTCTAGCCCATATCACCTCCTTTCTTTCTCAAGTTTCATGGCAACAAAGCTTATCTGGACACCTTCCAACACACACACACACACACACACACACACACACACACACACACACACACACCCATAGGTTTGTACAGTGAAAACAAAGCTGGAAGACACAAAAATTGTTTCTCTTAGTTTTATGCTGGGAGTTAAATTGGGTGGGGTTGAAATGAGGCATAAACCCCCTTCTTTTCCTAATTTATTTCCTGGAAACCTAGAGGAAAAATTATACTAACTCCTTCTCAAATATTCTCTTCTTCCTATTCATGACCTTTACATGTTTAAATAAAAATCCTTCACCTAATTCTGCTTTCTCTATAAATATTTCCAAAATGTATGAGTTTCTTACATAATTGCATTGAATATTTGTGCTTATCATCCTATTTTACCATAATATTTTGTAATCTATCCTTTTGTGCTCCTGGTTTCTTCTAGATTATTCCAAGGCCCTGAGGCAAATCTAATGACCGGTTGTCAAATGTTCTTACTCCTTTATTCACAGCTATTTTAGCTGCTTCTTATTTTTAATGTACTGTCCTTTCTTGCTCCCTTTTCCCTTCACCTGTTACTCCTGCTATCCCACACAATGGTCAGTAAGTGGCAGGTAAGAGATCACACCAATCCCATCTGAGGAGTGTCTTATAGAAATATGGTAAGCTGTGTGGAAGAGATCACCCTTTCTATAGGTATTACTGCATGAACACGCAAGATAAAGACCAGAATCCTGTGCAGGGGAGATAGACTCCATGCAACAGGACCAAACCCAAAGAAAACAAGTTTAGTGTTTAATCCAGAAGAGTTAGTTAGAAAAGGAGAAGGGATTTTAAAAAAAATAATAAAGCATGGCAATGCAGAGTGAAAGAAAAGTTAACAAAATGTATCCTGGAGTAATCTTATGACTGGAGTATAGACAACAGTGCCAGCTTTTTCATGTGGTCATGATGGGTTCATTTACGTTGCTGGAGTAAAATCCAACTGTTGCTCCCCAGGTTTGCTCCTCCTGTTTTTTAAAAAATTTGTTTTTGCATCTTTTTGTATATCCTACTCTGTCAATTTCTTCTTTTCTTTGTTTATGTCTCCTGACAGTTAGTCATGGTTCTAGGCTCTCTCCTCCATATTCACTGTTTTAGTTCTTTTAATTACTTTAAAAAAAAGGTTTTAATAGAGTAAAATGCAACCTAAATACAGCAAAATGCAAAAATCTGAAGTATAGAGCTTAATTTGTGTGTGTCTGTGTGTTTGTAGACAACCCATCAAACTATGGAAGACTTTCTATTACATCAGAAGGCTCTCTTCTGAGAAAATATAATCATGTGCAATGTTTTGGTCAACAACAAATTACATATACAACAGTGGTCTCAGTAGATTATAATGGACTTGAAAAATTCCTATTGCCTAGTGACTTTTCTTCCAATTGCCTACAGTATTCAGTGCAGTAACATGCTGTACAGGTTTGTAGCCTAGGAGCAGTAAGCTACTCCATACAGCCTAGGTGTGTTGTGGGTTATACCATCTAGGTTTGTATTAGTCCACTATGATATTTGCATAATGAAAAAAATTGCCTAAGGACACATTCCTTATGTATCCCGATCACTAAGTGACACATGACTGTATTACCCTGAGTATTAATTTGGCCTATTTTAAAAAAAATTAATTGCTTTTAAAAGACATTATTGGTAACTAATAAATGTTTCAAAGTATACAGTTTGATGTTTTGACATATATACACTTGTGAAAACATCAACACAATCACAATAATGAGCATATCCATCACTCCCAAAAGTTCCCACAGGCCTCTTTATAATTCCTCCCTCCCAAGCTTCTTTACTCTGGGGCACATACTTACAGACTATGCACCCTACCAGCCATTGTTTGCACTTTGCTGAATTTTATATAAATAGAATCATACAGTTTGTCTTTTATTTTACTTGATTTCTCCATTCATAAAATTATCTTGTGATCCATCTATTATACAGTATGTATCTCTACTTTATTCCTTTTATTGCTGAGTAGGCTTCCACTGTATGGATATACCACAATTTTTTTTAACCCATTCACCCATTTATATTGGAGTTGATTCCAGTGTTGGGCTATTGCAAATGAAGCTGCAGTGAACATAACATATACTTTTATTACTCATGGTAAATATCTAAGAGAAGAATGGCTTGAGTATATACTACGTTTAACTTTTTATATAATCTGCCAAACTTTTTCTTTTTTTTTTTTTATAATTATACTTTAAGTTCTAGGGTACATGTGCACAATGTGCAGGTTTGTTACATATGTATACATGTGCCATGTTGGTGTGCTGCACCCATTAACTCATCATTTACATTAGGTATATCTCCTAATGCTATCCCTCCATCCTCCCCCCCACCCCACAACAGGCCCTGGTGTGTGATATTCCCCTTCCTCTGTCCAAGTGTTCTCATTGTTCAATTCCCACCTGTGAGTGAGAACATGCAGTGTTTGGTTTTTTGTCCTTGAGATAGTTTGCTGAGAATGATGGTTTCCAGCTTCATCCATGTCCCTACAAAGGACATGAACTCATCCTTTTTTATGGCTGCATAGTATTCCATGGTGTATATGTGCCACATTTTCTTAATCCAGTCTATCATTGTTGGACATTTGGGTTGGTTCCAAGTCTTTGCTATTGTGAGTAGTGCTGCAATAAACATACGAGTGCATGTGTTTTTATAGCAGCATGATTTATATTCCTTTGGGTATGTACCCAGTAATGGGATGGCTGGGTCAAATGGTATTTCTAGTTCTAGATCCCTAGGGAATTGCCACACTGTCTTCCACAATGGATGAACTAGTTTACAGTCCCACCAACAGTGTAAAAGTGTTCCTATTTCTCCACATCCTTTCCAGCACCTGTTGTTTTCTGACTTTTTAATGATAGCCATTCTAACTGGTGTGAGATGATAGCTCATTGTGGTTTTGATTTGCATTTCTCTGATGGCCAGTGATGATGAGCATTTTTTCATGCGTCTGTTGGCTGCATAAACGTCTTCTTTTGAGAAGTGTCTGTTCATATCCTTTGCCCACTTGTTAATGGGTTTGTTTTTTTTCTTGTAAATTTGTTTGAGTTCTTTGTAGATTCTGGATATTAGCCCTTTGTCAGATGGGTAGATTGTAAAAATTTTCTCTCATTCTGTAGGTTGCCTGTTCACTCTGATGGTAGTTTCTTTTGCTGTGCAGAAGCCCTTTAGTTTAATTAGATCCCATTTGTCAATTTTGGCTTTTGTTGCCATTGCTTTTGGTGTTTTAGACATGAAGTCCTTGCACATGCCTATGTCCTGAATGGTATTGCCTAGGTTTTCTTCTAGGGTTTTTATGGTTTTAGGTCTAACATTTAAGTCTTTAATCCATCTTGACTTAATTTTTGTATGAGGTGTAAGGAAGGGATCCAGTTTCAGCTTTCTACATATGGCAAGCCAGTTTTCCCAGCACCATTTGTTAAATAGGGAATTCTTTCCCCATTTCTCATTTTTGTCAGGTTTGTCAAAGATCAGATAGTTGTAGATGTGTGGTATTATTTCTGAGGGCTCTGTTCTGTTCCATTGGTCTATATCTCTGTTTTGGTACCAGTACCACGCTGTTTTTGTTACTGTAGCCTTGTAGTATAGTTTGAAGTCAGGTAGCGTGATGCCTCCAGCTTTGTTCTTTTGGCTTAGAATTGACTTGGCAATGCAGGCTCTTTTTTTGGTCTCATATGAACTTTAAAGTAGTTTTTTCCAATTCTGTGAAGAAAGTCATTGGTAGCTTGATGAGGATGGCATTGAATCTATAAATTACCTGGGGCAGTATGGCCATTTTCATGATATTGATTTTTCCTATCCATGAGCATGGAATGTTCTTCCATTTGTTTGTGTCCTCTTTTATTTCGTTGAGCAGTGTTTTGTAGTTCTCCTTGAAAAGGTCCTTCACATCCTTTGTAAGTTGGATTCCTAGGTATTTTATTCTCTTTGAAGCAATTGTGAATGGGAGTTCACTCATGACGTAGCTCTCTGTTTGTCTGTTATTGGTGTATAAGAATGCTTATGATTTTTGCACATTGATTTTGTACCCTGAGACTTTGCTGAAGTTACTTATCAGCTTAAGAAGATTTTGGGCTGAGATGATGGGGTTTTCTAGATATACAATCATGTCATCTGCAAACAGGGACAATTTGACTTCCTCTTTTCCTAATTGAATATGCTTTATTTCCTTCTCCTGCCTGATTGCCCTGGCCAGAACTTCCAACACTATGTTGAATAGGAGTGGTGAGAGAGGGCATCCCTGTCTTGTGCCAGTTTTCAAAGGGAATGCTTCCAGTTTTTGCCCATTCAGTATGATATTGGCTGTGGGTTTGTCATAAATAGCTCTTATTATTTTGAGATATGTCCCATCGATACCTAATTTATTGAGAGTTTTTAGCATGAAGTGCTGTTGAATTTTGTCAAAGGCCTTTTCGGCATCTATTGAGATAATTATGTGGTTTTTGTCTTTGGTTCTGTTTATATGCTGGATTACGTTTATTGATTTGTGTATGTTGAACCAGCCTTGCATCCCAGGGATGAAGCCCACTTGATCATGGTGGATAAGCTTTTTGATGTGCTGCTGGATTCTGTTTGCCAGTATTTTATTGAGGATTTTTGCATCGATCCAGGGATATTGGTCTAAAATTCTCTTTTTTTGTTGTGTCTCTGCCAGGCTTTTGTATCAGGATGATGCTGGCCTCATCAAATGAGTTAGGGAGGATTCCCTCTTTTTCTATTGATTGGAATAGCTTCAGAGGAGCACTCAGATTCATAAAGCAAGTCCTTATGAATCCTTAGAGACATACAAAGAGACTTAGACTCCCACACAATAATAATGGGAGACTTTAACACCCCACTGTCAACATTAGAGAGATCAATGAGACAGAAAGTTAACAACAATATCCAGGAATTGAATTCAGCTCTGCACCAAGCAGACCTAGTAGACATCTATGGACCTCTCCACCCCGAATCAAGAGATTATACATTCTTCTCAGCACCACACCACACCTATTCCAAAATTAACCACATAGTTGGAAGTAAAGCACTCCTCAGCAAACGTAAAAGAACAGAAATTATAACAAACTATCTCTCAGACCACAGTGCAATCAAACTAGAACTCAGGATTAAGAAACTCACTCAAAACCGCTCAACTACATGGAAACTGAACAACCTGTCTCACTGATCTCTCTAATGTTGACAGTTGGGTATTAAAGTCTCCCATTATTATTGTGTGGGAGTCTAAGTCTCTTCGTAGGTCTCTAAGGATTCATAAGGACTTGCTTTATGAATCTGAGTGCTCCTCTGAAAGTATTACAATCAATAGAAAAAGAGGGAATCCTCCCTAACTCCTAGGTATATAACGAAATGAAGGCAGAAATAAAGATGTTCTTTGAAACCAACGAGAACAAAGACACAACATACCAGAATCTCTGGGACACATTTAAAGCAGTGTGTAGAGGGAAATTTATGGCACTAAATGCCCACAAGAGAAAGCAGGAAAGATCTAAAATGGACACCCTTACATCACAATTAAAAGAACTAGAGAAGCAAGAGCAAAGACATTCAAAAGCTAGCAGAAGGCAAGAAATAACTAAGATCAGAGCAGAACTGAAGGAGATAGAGACACAAAAAACCCTTCAAAAAATCAATGAATCCAGGAGCTGGTTTTTTGAAAAGATCAACAAAATTGATAGACTGCTAGCAAGACTAATAAAGAAGAAAAGAGGGAAGAATCAACTAGTCACAAAAAAAAATGATAAAGGGGGTATCACCACCGATCCCACAGAAATACAAACTACCATCAGAGAATACTATAAACGCCTCTACCCAAATAAACTAGAAAATCTAGAAGAGATGGATAAATTCCTCGACACATACACCCTCCCAAGACTAAACCAGGAAGAAGTTGAATCTCTGAATAGACCAATAACAGGCTCTGAAATTGAGGCAATAATTAATAGCTTACCAACCAAAAAAAGTCCAGGACCAGACAGATTAACAGCCAAATTCTACGAGAGGTACAAGAAGGAGCTGGTACCATTCCTTCTGAATCTGCCAAACTTTTTCAAAGTGGTTGTACTATTCCATTTCTATTAGCAGTATATGAAAATTTCTATTTCTCCACATCTTTGTCAATGCTTATTGTATTTGATTTTTTAAAATTTTTGCTATTTTAATAGATGGGTTTTCTTCTGGTTTTACTTGGATTGTTTTTTTCTTATGACTAACAATGTTAGCATCTTTTTATGTGCTTATTTGCTATCCATATATCTTCTTTAGTGAAATATCTGTTCAAATTCTTCACTCATTTTTAGAAATTTTCTTATTATTGACTTTTGAGGGTTCTTCAGGTATTCTGAATATAAATCATCAGATACAGGATTTGCAAAAATTTTCTTCCAGTCGGTGGCTTCTCTTGTATTCTGTTAACAATGCCTTTTGAAGAGCAGAAGTTTGTAATTTGGTAAAGTCCAATTTATCAATTTTTTCTTTCATTGATTGTGCTTTTGGTGTCATGTCTAAAAAAACCTTTGCCTATTCTAGGGTCACAAAGAATTTCTTCTGTGTTTTCTTTTTTGCATATGGATACCCAATTGTTCTAGCACAACTTGTTGAAAAGACGAGTTATGCTTATTTTTGAACTTCCTATAAATGGAATCATGCAGTATGTCTGGCTTCTCTTGCTCAAAATTATGTCTTTGAAATTTATTGATTTTCCTGTGTGTACCAGTAGTTTATTTTTATTCACTTGCTAAATATTATTTCATTGTATGAACATAGCACCATCTATTTATCCATTCTATTGTTGATGGACATTTCCAATCGATTGTTGACGAATCTGTAGATTACTTCCAGTTTCTTGCTCTTATGAATAAGGCTGTTATGAACATTCTTGCCTTCTGGTGATATAAGTAATAATTTCAGCTGGGCACATACTTAGGAATGGAATTTCTGAGTCATAGGGTATGAAAATGTTTAGCTTTAGTAGATATTGCCAAAAATATTTCCAGTGGATATACCAATTTCATCTTTCACTGACAAGGTATGAAAGTTCCACTTACTTTCCAATATTTGACAATATCAGTCTTTATTGTAGTCTTTTTAGGGGGCATATAGTGATGTCTAATTTTAGTTTAATGTGTACTTCCCTAAGGAATAACAATGTTGAGCATATTGCATATGTTTGTAGGCCATTTGGATATCCTTTTTTCTGAAGTAGCTATTTAAGTCTTTCTACATTTAAAAAATGGTTTGTCTAGCTTTTTTAAAAAATTGAAGTTCTTTATATATTTTAGATATGAGTTCTTTGTTGAATATATAGAAATTTTTAATTTTAGTAACATGAACCTTTTTCATCTTTTCATATATGACTTGTGTTCTAATGCCCCATTTAAGAAATCTTAAGCATAAGTTTATAAAGATTATCTCTTATGTTTTCCTGTAGAACTTCTGTTTTCATTTGAAATTTAGATCTATGATGAATCTGAAATTAATTTTGGTGTATGGTATGAAAAATCATTTAAAGTTCATCCTTTTAAATGTAGGTAAGTTGACACAACATTATTTATTGAAAAGACCGTCTTTTTCCCACTGAATTGCAGTGACACCTTTGCCATATATCAGTTGATTGCATATGTGTGGGTCTGTTCCCTGGCTTTCTATTTTGTTCCAGTGTTCTAGTGTTGTACAGTGTCCTAATTACTTTAGATACATAGAAGTCTTGTGATCTCGTAGAGCAAGATTTATTCTTCTTCTTCAAGACTACTGTCATTTTCCATGTAAATCGTAGAATCAGCTTAGCAATTTCTGCAAAATCTCACTGGAATTTTGATTGTGATTACATTCAATCTGTAGATCAATTTGAAAAGAATTGTCATATTTAAAATATTGATTCCTCTAATCCATGAACATGGTATATTCTTCATTATTTGGGTCTTGAATTTATCTCAGCATTGTTTTATAGCTTTCAATGTAAATGGCTTGCACAACTTTTATTACATTTATTCTTACATAGTTGACTTTTTTTGCAATTTTAAACAATACTGTTTTAAGAATTTTTATTTTCCAATTTTTGCTACAAGTATATAAACATAATTAATTATGTGCCTTGACTTTTAATGTAGTAAACTTGCTACATTGACTTAGTAGTTTTAATATTTTGTATGTAGTCTTTTAGTTTATGCTACACAGAATTGTATTCCCTGTGAATGATAGCTTTACTTTTATTTTACAATCTTTATGTACTTTATTTCTTTTACATTCCTTATTTCACAGGATAGAATATCTAGTACAATTTTTAATTGAAGTGATAATAATGTACTCCCTTGTTTTCTTATAAATATTTTTTATTTATCCAGCTAATAGCTATGCATACGTTATACTCTCTATATTATTTTCCTTCTGACTTGTCCTTTAAGTCAAGTAAGGAATTTCCTTCCAGGCAGTATCGCAAATTTCTTTTCCACATCACATAGTCATCTGGACTATGGGCATCTCCTCCTGGCTCATATTGAATATTGTTGATTATATATCTTATAGTTCTGGTTACAAGATGCTATATTCTGATTATAAGATGTTATAAGTAGCTAGGTAATTTTCTGTCTCTCAACTAGACAAAATTTCTGGAGTGCAGGGATTATGCCAGTTATCCATTATTCCTGGCATCAAGCACAGTGCCTGGCTCATAAAAAGCATCTGATAAATATTTAATAAATATTTACTGAATGAAAGAATGATGCACAAACCCTGACCTTTCACCAGTCTTCTATAGCTAGTTATTAGCTAGATGTTTTCATTTAGTTATACTTTCAGTGGGACACTTATGCTCTGAATTTAATGAAATAAACTTTTTCCTTCTATATTCCATTTCCAATGACTCAACTGTCCGGTTAATTCTCTGGGACATTAATCTGGTAGTTAATTTTTTCCTACTTCTTTTTTTTTCTTATTTGGCTTCCCGTATCAAATCAGTTCTCATAAGTCATTAATTCTTTCTTGCTGGGTTTTTTGGATTTCAACCACTTTTTTCCATTTCTGTAGTCATTATCCTAGTCTGATGCTGTATCACTTCATTCCTTGACTATGTTAAGTAGCTCTTGGTTATATTATTTGTTTCTAATTTCTATATTCTTTAGGCTACTCACCACACAACTAACAAAACAGACTTCTTTAAACATTACTTGAATCAACTATTTCCCTTAAGGAGTAAGTAGATGCCTTTTATCTATCCTAATGGTATCTCAACTTGCATTTATTAAACATCACGTACATACAACTTCATTTATCTCCAATGGAGTTATCCATTCCACCTCACAAAATGCAGTCTTCCTCACTGTATGTACTCTTTGTCATTGCTCTTCTAGAACCATGGAATGTCTTCCCTTTTTCTCTGTCATCCTGCTGCCGTATATATAACTTTCTTCAAGATCTGGCTTCATATTTACCTCTTTCAAAAAGATGTCAATAATTGTATCATCTCAAATAAAATGTTCCCTTTATATCCTCCTAATACTTACAGTTTATAAGTGTTACTCTGAAGACCATTTATCAAGGAAGCAAAATTTGGTGGTTCAAAAATGATATTTTAATACACAAAGCTTTGTGATAACATGTGCTTTTTACCATGATGGCAAATATTTTCCTGCTATAGAGTTAATGGATTTGGCCTATCTGGTGATGAAATGCAAGAATTGGTACATTCAGATGTGTGAAAGGTGTTGAGCATAAGCAACAAGGTCAACTATTCTTTTTCTTTGGAATTATAAACCAACAATGACTCATTTACTCTTTTCAAGTATTAGATGGAATGTAGTAATAAGTTATGGCATATGAACTCAGGCAAGAAATTGTGTGATATATAATTCATCAGGATGATTATGGGATTTGTGAGGACTGAAAGGAATCTGAATATTATCCAGCCCACTTTCTTCGGTTCACAACTGAGAGAAATAGAGTCCCAGGAAAGTTGTGACTTAGCCAAGGTCTCACATCTTATCTTATTAATAGCATCATTGTGATTTTAACCTAGGTCCCCTCATGTAAAGTACAAATTTTTTTTTCATATTACCTAGAGTCTCCTTTGTTGTTTTAAAACTGCCATCGAAGGGTTCAGCTGCACGGTAAGCCCCCAGAAGTCAGGAGCCATGCCTTTGCTTTCTATTACTTTTCCCAAAGTATCTTCCTTGGGGCAGGACCCAGTTTCAGCATTTACTAGATACCCTTTTCCGCAGGTTGTACTCTCCACCTGGAAGACCCTCAGTGTTTGCAGAATCAGAATAGAAGGGAGACTGTCTCCCCAAGGCCCTTTTTGTTATCTTTCGAATATAAGTTTCAAGACTTGCAAATGATCAGGACTCCTAAAATTTGTCTTAGCTATGAGCTAAGAAGATGGATTTCCTAAGCAGAATCAACTTCTACTTTTATTTTCTAAAATGTCCCTTTTAGGATCTGATCAGAGCTAGAAGAATCTGCAGAAGTTCATGCTCATCATGTGCCAGTGGTAGCATCCTTGCCTGCTCTGGGGCTGCTGATCGAGAATGAGCTACAGCAACCATGTGTTTCCATGGGTCTGTCTCTTCCACAGTCGTCCTTCCTTTCAGGAACCAAGTCAGATGTTGGGCTGAGGATGGTTCCCCTACCAGGCAACTGACAGAAAAGCCAGAATATTAAATTCTTTTTTTTTTTTTTTTTTTGAGACGGAGTCTCACTTTTGTCACCCAGGCTGCAGTGCAGTGGCGCGATCTTGGCTCACTGTAACCTCTGCCTCCTGGGTTCAAGCAATTCTCTGCCTCAGCCTCCCGAGTTGCTGGGTTTACAGGCGCCCACCACCACTCCTGGCTAATTTTTGTATTTTTATTAAAGACAGGGTTTCACCATCTTGGCCAGTCTGGTCTTGAACTCCTGACCTTGTGATCCAACCACCTTGGCCTCCCAAAGTGCTGGGATTACAGGCGTGAGCCACCGTGCCTGGCCCAGGATATTAAACTCTTGACCTGCAGTAGGAGCCAACAAACCTCAAACAAAGATTTCAAGCAAATATAGTAAGTCACTCTTCCTAAATGTGAAAGTTGAAAGAATTGCCGGAAGAATTTGAGGAAAGCAAACCATTTTCCTCAAAATGTAGACAGACTGCTGCCCACCTCCTCAGGTTAGAATCCTTCTAAGTTCACTTACTACCCAGGGGGCACATTATAAACAGGAGTTTTATTTTTTAAATACTAGATCAAATTTCCCAAAATGAAATCAGCTGTTTACAAGAGAGGAAAGTGTTGCTTATTTGTATGTAGGGGTCCAGGTAAACAGCCTGATCAGGAACTGACGAGCAGTTAAAAGTGTGATCCAGAGATTGATGCGGACAGGCATTTACCTTAAATGTGAAGTCTTATAATAGCCATTTAAATTGAGAAAGAAAGAATGTTTTTATGCAGCAATATTTCTAAAATGTTACCCATAAGCTCAGAAAGTTCTTTCATCCTGGGAGTTTGAACACTGTTAATTTGTTTTAAGTAACATCTATTATACCACTGAAGTCCTCTTATTACATAACAGCAGGACTTGAGTCATCTATTTACTTAGTTACTTACTTCATTCAATTATGGGTACTATAACTTTTAAACTTTATAGTCTTTCCCCATTTCTCTTTTACTTAAAGAAAATCAGCAAAACAAGAATTATCCCCATATTTTCCTTTGTGCGGAAGGTCCCATCTGAGCAACGGTATTCCAGCCGCCGCAGTTCAGTTTTCTCCTTACCAAGAGCACAGAAATGGTCTTTTTTTCCCCTTGAATGTGCATATTCCTGATGGAGCTTAAAAACTTCCATAAATCAATAAAGTAATTGCTACATAATGACCTATTGTTGGTGTTCGTGCCCAGAATGATGTCACAAGGGGGTAATGGAGCTACTGAATCAAAAAATGGCAGCTGTTTCCAATTTATTTGAGAGTCAGTTGGACAGAAAATTAAATAAACACATAGACAAGAAGGACAAGGGCAAGTCCTTGTATTATTCTTATGATAGTTTTAATTCAATTGCAGAAGTCAGCAGGCAGCTGATACTGTGGCCCAGAGTTTCATTAATTGCCTGTCTTGCATGTCAGTGAGACAGCACGTGCTCACTTCATCGTTTTCAGCTTTTGCTATTTGCATTTTAAAACACACACACCAGTGAAGCACAGATCAAACTTTGTGTGTGTGTGTGTGTGTGTGTGTCTGTGGTTTTTTTGTTTTTTTTTTTTCTTAGTACAGCCCTCCAACTCTCAGAAATAATCTGATTGGAAGAGGTGACTGGCTTTATCCCTACCTGCATTGATGGTGTCTCTCTCCTCCCTCAGGGCAGGCAGCCTAGAATTTTAAAAAATTACTCTCTTCTCCTTGGGGGAAGGCCTGAAGACTTGTATTTGTTGTGAAGCCTGAAGAAAAAAGCGCCACCAGTTCTCAGGGCTCCTCTCCACTGTGACTGGGAGCTTTGATGTGCCCTTTTGATGTTCCTGCCTTGAGGCAGCTGGAGAAGATTATCAAAAGTAGCCTTAACAGTTCAGGGTGGAGTTGGGGGTGCAGCACCATAACACGTGGGACTGCACATCCCTCACAGTAACTCACTGAGATGGGGTTGCCGTAGTGCAGGTGGGATTGCCAGGTGCCAGGTGCCCCTACTGCAGCCTGCACGGAGGGGACCGTCATTTTCAGACTGTCCTTTTAGCAGGACTTCAATGTCAGGTAATAATTGACTCATTTGCTATTTTCTTTTGGTATCATAACCACTATTATTTTTTTTTTAAATCATGAGATGTAATTGTAAGTAGAAAATGACTTCAATTCACCTTCCAAAGGGATTGTAGTTTTCTCCTAAGAATCAGAAAGCTCAATTTTGAAAAGATTCTCTTGTGGCAAAAGGGTCTTTGAAATGTAAACAAACAATCCCCTTTTATTTTAGGGACAAGAAAACAGAGATCTGGTATGTCAGTTTAAGATTCTTAGCATATGCTGATTGATTGTGGTTAGACTATGACTAACTTAAGAAGAAAGGAATTTACTACAAGGATATCCTGGGGCTCCTTGAGGCTCAGAGGCCAGCTTTGCAAGGATACTTGGTAAGGGTCAGAAATGAGGATGCCCCAGCAGACCAAGAAGCAGGAAGCAGGAAGAACAGTGTGGTATGGGAATGGAGGGTTCAAAGAGACAATAAGCAAGTGAAGAGAGGTTTTAGAGAGTGATAAATACCACAAAGGACAATGCAGCAAGGTAGGGAGTAAAGAAGCTCCGGTGTAGGGGCTGATCATTGATGGAATAGGTCAAAAAGAGGCTTCTCTGATAACATATCAAGAGAGACACCCACTAGAACTGAGGGAGTGCACCAAGCAGGTAGACACCAGGAGGAAGAAAGAGTATTCCACGCAAAGGAACTAATCAGGGCAAAGGCCCTGCCTTGGGATGCACTTTCTGTGTTTGTTTAGTAAGGAGACCAGTGTTACTGCAGAGAAATAAGAGAGAAGGGTAGTTTGAAATGAGGCCAGAAATTTGGGTGGGGTGGAAAGGGGCAGATCATATAGTGACTTGTAAGCCATTTAAGAGCTTTGGATGTTACTTTAATTGCAGTAATGGTTCCCAGGAATTAGTAGAGAATATGACCAGCATGACGGGACGCTGAAGCTGGGAGGTTGGCAGGACTCAGTTATGAGTTAGGCAAAACAGCTTACCCTGACTGAAATGCTGCCTCAACAGAAAGCACAAATGATTACATATTATGAGGCCTTTGGGAATACTCATGAATACTCAGAATCATGAATGGCAAATCTCCACAGGCAAGGATCTTCTGCATCTAAAATTTTTACTTTTGGGAGATGCCAACAAAAAACTATGTTCCAAAAGAGCCATGGTGGCCTACATGTATATTGTTGTGACTCGCATGTTTCACATGCAAATTTCACATCTTGAAACTCACCTTCATGGTAGTTATTTGGAGAGGAGCTGATGATAACCTTCAGCAGCTCCAAATATTCAGGCTATTACAAATGTATAGTTTTTGTGTGTGTGTGTTTTAAAGAAGTTTTATTGAATGACCTTCAGGAGAAAAGTTTAAGTTTACAGATACAAAACTGGTTAAAAACATGTTGAATTTCAGTTCAAAGTTTTAACCTTATTTCTTTAAAACAATGCCTTCAAATGGTAACCTAAGGCACCTCTAAAACAATATAATGAGTATGTCATGTATACAGGTGATTGCAGAGGGAAGCAGATTCCTTTACTTCATTTCTAAAGAGTAGGGGAAAAATCTTCTGCAATTGGGCAGATATAGTGGAAGGACGAACATCACAGTCAAGAGTTGGTGCCCTGCTTTTTCTTTCCCCCATGTTCCTCATGGATAGCTGAGTGCCTCTTGCAGGGAGATGGGAGGAAAGGCATGGGCATCATTAACAAGGAGAGAAAGCCAGGTAGATAAAAATCATGCTTTTCTTCTTGTTCAGTTAACAAGATTTCAGGGATCAGATTATTGTCAAGGAGGCATCTGCTTTTGAGAGTTGAGAACAAGCTGCTGGAAGGTTTCTGACATGAAGCTGATTTACAATGGGTTAAACCTAGAGAAGCAGACAGCCTCATAGCAAAATAAATGAGAGTTTTAAAAATTGAGTCTCTTCTTCATGTTTGTCTTTACATTGTTTTAATTGTCACGTGGTAAGTTATGCTCAATTTAATAAATAATTCAATTACTCAAACTTGGAAGAGCAGTTAAAAAGAGGAATTTTAGAATAAAATGTATGTGAGTTCAAATTGCAGCTCACTCACTATAAAAGTTATGACCTTAGAATGTAATTTAACCTCTTAGTTTTTGGCTCCTTGTCTGCAAAATGGAGAATGTAGTGGTGCCTACCTAATTTAAATGCCTTATAAATCTTAAACATTATTATGACTATTAAGAACAATTTGCATAGCTGTGGGCTTCAACAATCTGTGATAGTGCAATGGTGCATCTTCACAATTGCTGGCAGTTTGTATAAACAACCAAGACAGTTATTAAGACATAAGCTACTTCCTTAAATGATGAAATGGAACTTTCTTGTCACAGATGATCACTGTGAGAGTCTATAGTATACAATATGGGGGTAGGAAAATGGCCTGAGAATTCTGAGGAAGCCTCTCAGGCCTGCATCCTTCTCACCATAGATTTTATTTTATTTTATTTTTCGACTGGTTAATCTTGGCCAGAGGCTTGGGTGTGGAATGATGATAGTGGCATTTCCATAATGGTGGAGGCATAAAAATCACTGATAAATTCTTACTGACCATTTATTTGTCACATTGGCCTATAATCTTAGCCTTCTAGGTTACAACCTTCCCTTTCTCTTATTAATTAAAACAGATCCCCAAATACCTCTCACTTTGTGACTTCTCACTCTATAAAAAGTAGAATTTCAAAACATTATTTGTAATGAAAAATGTAATGTGTTTTTATTTTTTATATATGTATTTTATTTATTTAACAGAAGAGAAACACATCTGTCAAAGGACCTAGCCCTTTTTCTTTCATAACAGGGCTTCCAGAGGGTTATGTTTTGATGACACTAACATGGAACACTAACATTGAAGCCTAGCTTTTAGATATAGTTTCAGCAACTGCTGCTATTAGTGATTTCAATTACATATCCATGGAATCATGGGATGCCTTTTATTACAGTGTATTCTTTTAAAGAAAAAAAAGGAGACTAGACTAATGAAGTACTAATAAGGAGAAGATAATGGAGAAGATAGAATTGCATATAGTCACCAAGTTTTCATTCGATCTTGCTACTAAAATGCACTTCCCCTTCTAACTCATCTGTTCTCCAAATGCACAAAATACTTATACATGGAAGGTTTGTTTTACTTCTGGTTTTTCAGTATTCCATTAATATAGCATCAAAACATAACATGAATTGCTTTGATGATGTAAAAAAAAGGTATTGTCTGCATCTAAGCAACCATGTTGTCTTTCCATCTGAACTCTTTTAAAGCTGCTTAGTTTTGTGGGAGATTTGCTCGTAAGTCAGGTTTTATGAATCAAGAAAACTCTGTATGGTCTTGCTAAAGCAGCTTGAGCTGCTAATTTCTTTTTACACTTCTGCTCTCTGAGACACATGCACACACTTGTGGATATAAGCACATACCCTATTAGCTTTTTACACTTAATAGGGCCCTTGGCGTTTTTGAGTCTTCAACTAATTTGTTTTATTCTGCCTCCCTTCTGTTGTAGTCAGGAAAGTGAGTTGTCTTAAAGTTAAACGTCTTGTGATCAGCCTACATGAAGGGCACTGCACAAGTCCCATCGTCTGATTGATGAGATACTCTCCTCCCTGGTCTGTTTTCCTAGCCACTGGAACTTAGAGGAATGGGACTCGAATTGCAGTACACAATTTGTTTTGATTATGACTTTATCCTCCCCAGCTCCTTCAGCTCATGGATCTTATGTTTTTCATACAAATATTTAAAACCAATGAGACAGTAATTCATTCATCAAGGGGGTCTTGTCAAAGTTCTCTGTTCTGTATTTTGCATAGCATTATCACATAACAAAACATTAAGATTCCATCTCAATTAATCCTGACCCCAAGATTCTGATATCAATACTAAAGAAAGATAGGGCTACTGTGTCAATTTCCTTGGAAATCGAGATACGACTGGATTGTGCTTTTCTCAAGAATACACTGCATCTGATTTTTCTGGTGAATTGGGATCACATTCTGCTGATAAGAGTTAAGAGTTAATAGTATTTAGTAATCACTCACTCATCAGGTATTATTTAGAGACTCTGCCTCAGTTCTCTATTTCATCTTTTAGTGGCCTAAAAGAGCTAATTCAGTGCTTTACTTAAGCAAAAGGCATGACTTAATCACTGGAATAAATTAACAATAGAGTAAAAATAGGATTTACCTGCATTTCTGTGTCAGTGTTGAGCTCATTGAATTGTCCTTGGTAAAAATAAAAATTAATATAAAAGTGAATTATACCATGTAAATATCTTTGTGTGTATATCAAGGTTTTATTTTTAAAGTACTTATGATTCATTGTTTTTAATGGTACATAATATATTTATTACTATTGGTATTCATTATATCATTAAGTTCTAAGCAAAAGTAAGTTTTGTCTAACTGTACATAATTGTGTTGTCATTTTTATGGGAAATGCTTTATCAGCCTAATAACAGAGTGCTTGCAAATCCATAACTAAACACTGAAAAACTTCACTTGCTCACCAAAGCTTCTGTTACTATTTGAAAGTAATATATGTGCATGCTCTGGCTATGAGAATCCGAGAATGAAGCTTATTGATTCACTTTTGAAAACACTTTTGGCTGGACACAGTGGCTCATGCCTGTAATCCCAGCACTTTGGGAGGCCAAAGAGGGAGGATCTCTGTGGCCAGGAGTTCAAGACCAGCCTGGGCAATACAGCAAGACCCTGTCTCTACAAAAAATAAAATAAAATAAAATTAGCCAGGCCATGGTAGTGCACACCTGTAGTCCTACCTACTCAGGAGGCTGAGGCCAGAGGATTGCATGAGCACTGGAGTTGGAGGCTGCAGTGAGCTATGATCATGCTGCTGCACTCAGCCTAGGTGACAGAGCTAGACCCTGTCTCTAAAAATATTTAAACAATAAAAAATCTTGAGTTTTTGTCATTACAATATTTTTTTAAAAATTACCACTGACTTCCATTGCTCTTTGCCTGAACCTTGCATTGTACATTTTTGGCCATGCGATTCTCCATTCTCTTTTCCTCTCTAACCCCTTTTATTCTAGCCAATAATTTTATTTGGTCCAGTAATTAAAGTTAAAAATGAGATTCTATATCAGTTATGACAACAAATCCATTTTGTACTCACTTTTTTTTTTTTTTGAAGGAGTTTTGCTCTGTCGCCTAGGCTGGAGTGCAGTGCTTAGGATCATGGCTCACTTCAGCCTCAACCTTCTAGGCTCAAGTGATCCTCCTACCTCAGCCTCTTGAGTAGCTGGGACTACAGACATGTGCCACCACACTTTAATTTTTAAATTTTCTTGTAGAGTTGGGGTCTCATTATGTTCCCCAGGCTGGTCTCAAACTCCTGACCTCAAGCAATCCTCCTGCCTCAGCCTCTCAAAGTGCTGGGATTATAGGCATGAACCACCATGCTCAACTTCCTTGTCTTTTTAAAACACAAATTAGGGATTCCATGTAAACATGGCACTCTATTAGATATTGTAAAAGATACATAAAATAAAAAGTTATTTACTTCAAGGGCTTTAAAATATAAATACCACCTATGTTTCCCAGCAATTTTTCAGAACCTACACTCTCAAGTAATCTGTACTAGGCATTGTAACAGGATAGGGTCCCTTCCTGATGATCTCCTCCCACCTCTAAATTATTTTGACACTGTCTAAAGGTAAAGCAGCCCTGGAATGAAGGTATCTGTCTCTGATCATTACCATTGCTTAAAGGACCACTGATATGACATATTGCTGTTTTCTGTTGCTAAAGAGTTAAACTTTCTTGTATTGATGTCTTTTTCTTGGGGGTTTAGAGGATCTCTCACATGCTCAGGCTGATCTTCATTGTTCCAGATTTGTCATGATTTCTGGGCTACAGAGAGGCAACTAGAGATAAAGCCAATGAAATTTTGAGAACATTACTTGTGAGAGCCTGGCTGACTGTGGCGATCAGGCCTCTAGGAATGCCAGTTTTGAAGAGGGGTTAGGATGCATCTAGAGTCTAGACGCGATGTAGCAGGCCCAGAAATGCACAGTTATTTGACCACCTAGAGATTACGAGACTGAAGGGATATGCCACCCAGATTAACTTTCCCTAAGCTAGTATTAAACCAAAACAAAAAAAAGTCTAGATTTTGCTTAATTTTCTAAGAGGACATTGTAGAATAATCTTTTTTGAAAATGAGAGTTTAAATCTCAACATACATTCACAAGCAAACTTCAAAACCTCTAATTGCTCTGATTTTGGTGTTCTCCTCTTTAAACTTGATATATATGTAAACTTAATAACATTTTCTTCATAACACTTCCTGGAAGGTTGTGTGAGGATAAATTTTTTTTTAATTTTAAAAACAATTTAAACAAATTTAATTTAAAATTTAAAAAAATTGTTGTAGAGATGGGGTCTCAGTATGTTCCCCAGGCTGGTCTCAGACTCCTGGCCTCAAGCAATCCTCCCTCTTTTGGCCTCCCAAAGTGCTGGGATTACAGGTGTGAGCCATTGTGCCCATCCAGTATAGTAGATTCTATATGTATGTGCGTGTGTGTGTGTGTGTATATATATATATATATATATATATATATATGTGTGTGTGTGTGTGTGTGTGTATATGTGTGTATATATATATATACACACACATTAAAAGTATATTTATATATTATTTGCTATAATATATAAATATATGCTTACAATATACTTACATATAATATATAGTTATGTATATACATATGTGATTCTAGATAATTTGTTAAGTAACTAATTAGATATATTTTATACTATGTCAGATTTTCTTCCAGGAGAGATACAACTGTGTACAAGATGGAAAAGGACCTTACTCTGCCTGAGGTCAGGAGTTCTAAACCATCCTGGCCAACATGGTGAAACCCCATCTCTACTAAAAATACAAAAGTTATCTGGGCATGGTAGTGGGTGCCTGTAATCCCAGCTACTTGGGAGGCTGAGGCAAGAGAATCGCTTGAACACGGAGAGCAAAGGTTGCAGTGAGCCAAGATCATGCCACTGCTCTCCAGTCTGGGTAACAGAGTGAGACTCCATCTCAAAAAAACAGAAAACAAAAAAAAACCCAAAAAACAAAAGGACCTTACTTTTCTGGAGCTTATGACATAGAGAGGGAGATGGAAAATAAGCAATTAAATAAATGAACAAGATGATTTCAGATTATGATAAATGTTGAGCAGACAACAGAACATAATGTGATAAGAGAGACTCAGATGGGGAAAAGACCACTTCAGACTGGGTTGTCAGGAAAGGCCTCTTGGAGGAAGTAGATTGGAGAGGAGAGCTAAATGATATAAGGAAATTGAACATGTGAACATCTGAAGACATAGAGCTACTGGGAGAGAGGACAGCTAGTGCACAATCCAGAAATCAGGCAACAGCTAAGCATGTTTGAAAGCAGGAAAGGCCACCTCTGGTGAGGGAGAGGGAGAGTAAGTCAAAATAAAGTCTTGGAATTTCACTGGGACCAGGGTCCTGGATGCCAAGGTTAGTCCTGGGTTTTCATTCTGACTACAATAGGAAGGCAGTAAAGAGTTCAGCAGAGAAGAGATGTTATCTGGTTTACATTTGAAATATCTCAAAGAAATGAAGGGAGGCAGAGGGGAAGTAGGGATTAATTATGGAGGCCAATTCAGTAGTCCACGTGGTGTCAGACTGTGGCATTGTTTGAGTTGAGAGAAGTGGACAGACTAAGATGTGCTTTGGAATTAAACTAACAGACTGTATCTGTGTAACACAGAGAGAAAAATCAAGGACATGCTTTAGTTTATTACTTGACCACCTTGATGAATGAGGATTCTTTTTGCTGAGATGGAGCAGATTGGGACATGAAAAGTTTGTTATCAGCTGTGTTAACTTTGAAATACATATTACCAATCTAAGTGGAAATGTCAGACAGTTGGATATATACACCTTTAATTCAGCATAAAAATGTAATATTGAGTGTCATCTGAAAATAGATATGTTTAAAACCATGGATCTGAGTGAGAACACATAGAAAGAATACGTAGATATAGAAAAAAAAAAAGACAAAGTATCAAGTCACAGGGAATCCTGGCATTTAGAAGTTGAGCAGTAGTCAGCAAAGGAAAATGAAATGAAACAGCCAGTGAGGTGGAAAAAAAACTAGAGTGGAGTGTCATAGTATCTTAGGAAAGAGCATGCCTCAAGGGGGAGGAAGTTGAATGCTGCTGATAGTCCAAGTAAGGTTAGGACATATAATTGATTTGGCAAGATTGAGCTCATTGGTGACTAGAACAGGCGAACTGTCATTGCCGCCGTGAGGATAGAAGTCTATATGAAGTTGTTTTTCTCACTTCTAAAATATTTCTGCTTAAAGAACCAGGATTGATCAAGTAAATGTCATGAGCACATTCTTCCCTAAAAAAAGAGGGAAAATTCTTAATACAAAATTATCCATTTTATTTGTCATCCAAAGCAGTGTTCATTCATGCCAAAGATGTTATATCATCGTTATGCAGATTGTGGCTTTCTTTACTTTAACATTTTAGTCATGTCTTTTTTTGGAGCTAATGTATTTTATTATACGTCTTAGATTTATGCATTGCATATACGCTTTTAAAGCTCCAGTTAACAGTTCAATACAAAATTTTAAAAAATATGTATGCCGTGGTTTTCAGGCACAGAATTTAGGAAGAGATAGGAGCAAGTGTTTTTTTCCTTAGCATGTAGTGAATATGAAAAACCATGATAGTGGAATGCTTCCTTCTGACCTACACCCTTTTTGGATTGAATTTTATTACAGTGAACAGTTTTAGTAGGTATAATATTGCTGATTGGAAATAATGAGATTTTAAATAAGTTTATAACCTATATTTTCTTGAAGTCTTTAGTACCTAAATGATTACTTTTCTCCTAATAAAATTCTAAGACAATCCAATGAAAATAATATGGCCTATAAAATACCTGAAGCATCTGCCTAGAACACTGCCCACGGTTATTCAACGTCTTCAGGGCGCACAGGATGAGGCAATGGATTTCTTGTCAGTGTCTCTGGAAGTCGCTTTCCTCACATTGTAAGCGTCTCCATCGGGCTCTCTGTTGTTGACCCAGACATACTCTATGACTGTTCTGTATTTGCTATAGCCGAATTGCTTGTACATGTCGATTGCAATTTGGTTAGATACCAAAGAGATTGACCAAAATATCCACCTGTCTGTTGTTGAAGCAGAAAAGGTCATTGCAAGTGAAACCCGGAGGATGGTCATCACTCTACCACCACTGAGGCCAGCGTCCCAGGACCTGTAACTGTCCTGCCAGAAGTCTATCCTGTCTTGCCGACAGGGTCATCTTGACAGGTTATAGATGACATCTTGGAACCTTAACAGTTAGAAATGGGGAATCCCCTGCTCTTATCAGCAATTCAGGATTGAAATTTCTAGATGAGTTATTGCTGCATATGGCAAAGCTTATCCATTTTATGCTGATTCTTGTTTGCTAAATTTATTCCCCAATTCCGATGAGCTCTCTGTAGCATATAACCTGATTACAATGAAATTAAGAATTCTTGACTTTGGCACACCCTATTTCAAACAGAAAAAGACACTAAATATTTTTTAAAGCTTGCTTGGTCTCCCCTCTATCCCTGTCAGCTTTCTTTCATGCTGTCTTTATATATGACGCAACTCTCTTAAGTGACCTCTCTCTCTGTGGCCCACATGCTCCTCAGAGCTGTGCCAGTGAGCTGTGTGTTCCTTCTCTGCCAAGTTTTCTGTCCTTTTCCGTGGTCCCGACATGCTTCCTTTCTCCAGGATATTTTTTTAAAGATAAAGAGGAAACAAGAATACTAAGTATTATGAATAAGTCTTTGGCCTTTAATGAAGATAACTTCAGGTTAAATTCTTCAGAAATATTGGCTATCTTTTTTACAAAGGAACTTCAAAGAGCATTCACTTTTTTAATTGACCAATTTTTGTGTTTCTAACTACTCCATGTATTAAATTTAAAATATGAGCAATTATCAGAAATGCATATTTAAATTTTTCTCATGCACTAAAATTTCAACTTCTGCCAGTTTCTCTTAAAAGAGAGCTAATAGAGCAAGGACATTTATAGGTTTAGATACTAAAGAAAATCATCTTTAGAAAAATGGTATTACTATAGTCAAATTATTTAGGTCTTGGTTCAATGATATTTTTAGGTAATGCATACAAGTTTTTCCTCAAAGTAACACATATTTTAATATTTAAAAAATTAGCTTAGGAGACAATACAAATATTTAAATCAAGCAACATACATTTATGCTTAGAACATAAATTTTGGACAGCATTCTATATGCTATACTCAATAATAGCGGTTTGGATTAAGGTTGTTTTACAGAAAGGTATTAGCAAAATATAAATGAGTAACAAGTACACAAAATAATTTATCCAATTCAACTGTTTTAAATATTTATGTTAAATGGAAGAGACAGGAGGCATATGCCATATAAATTACCCTACGTTGAAAGCTCCTGAAGGCAGGGACAGTTTGCTTCTGCATTGCTTTATACATTTCCTAACATAGAAGTATATGTAAATAAACTACACATTTCTAAGCATAGTGATGCTGGGTGAGGAGTAGGCTGGGTCAATCTGAAATAAATAAATAAATAAATAAATAAATAATAAATAAATAAATAAATAAGCCAGAGCATCCTCCAAAGTCTTACTCTGAGTGATTTTCTTCTGTCCTGTGTTTACCTTCCCTCAATATCCAATTTACAATGTCTCACTTGTTGTGGAGGCCTCATGCGTATATCCTGAATTAATTGAATAATGTGTTTAAGGAAGCCTTTTATAGTATTCTACAGGTCATGGGGTATCTTTTATGCTTAGCTAAATTAGAGAACCATTTAATTTTTGCATATGTTTTTATACAATTAGGTCACATAGAGAAGTGGCAATTTCTTGCTCAATATTCAAAAAGGCCAAACATGAGAAACTCAGAAATTTGGAACCTGAGGCTGTGCCCTTTGCTGTGGCTGTTAATATTTTTGTTTCTGTTTCCTCATTGATTGATTAAATGAGAATAAGAAGTCTTTCCACACACCTACTTCACAAATGGTTTAAATATGGTAAGCACACATACTATAAAATAAATGAAATCCCCAGTAGAGCTTGGATGGACAGGGCCAAGAGGGTTGTTTTTGGTCATACAACTGACATCAAGCTCTCCTTCATGCCTGGAAGATTTTTCTCAACATTAGGCTAAATTTCTCATATGGGTTGGTAAGATCTGGACCACAGTGTCAAGAAACTTTTAGTTTTACTGCGTCCCAGGGTAGACCTCTGATACACAGTGGAAAGCATACATCATTCCTGTTTTTACCAAGTTCCATGCTCTAAAATTTATGGTCACTAAGAAACCAGTAGACCCTAGTGGTTAAGATCTCAGGCTCTGGACTCAGATTTACATCTCTGTTATTTCTCTGATATTTGACAAGTCTCCAAAGCTCTTTGAGTCTCATCATTGAAATTGGATGAAATTATTAATAATATCCACTACAAAGGTTTGCTCTCAGAATTAAATGAGATAGTACATGTACAGCATTTAGTGTGATTCCTAGAACATGAGCATTTCTCAATAAACGTTAGCTGTTAGCTGTATTGGATGATTACTTCATAATATAAAGTATGCTCGTTAGCCATTTCAGCCACCATTTTTAAGTAGAAAAATAATCAGTGAGTTTCTTTCTTTGATCCTATGCAATTCTCAGAAACTATTAACAAAGTGTAACATGAAGAATCTCTGGGCTTTGACACTGGGGGCAGGTAGGTGATGAGAAAACAGATAAATGAAAGAAAATAAATGGTGAGACACTCATATCAGCAAGTGCCCCGCCACAGTACTGAGGAGAATATGACACTACGGTTTGGGAAGATGCTATGGGAAGCGAGGTACGAGAGCCTCTAGGAAGTGTGCAATCTAGTTTAAAGATGAAATGGAGGTGAAATGCAGAGCAACAAAGCAGATTCAGAGTAAAAGAAGGGGAATAGAGCAAGAAAGCCCATAGCCCTGGATAGAACGACCAAATGGGTTGCATGTGATTTAAACATGTTACTGAAGAAGCTTGATTGTGTAGAGAGCAAGTGTAGGAAAAAAGTGTGTGTGTGTGTGTGCGCGCGCGCATGTGTGTGTGATTCTCTGCTCTTTCAAATCCTGTGTTCTGGACTTGTTATTTTTCCCACTGTTTGTCGAAATCTTGGGCAGCTCCATAGATTTTTCTCGTCCCTTGTAGTCATGAGGACTTATTGCAGTAATTAAGAATTTCCATCCGGAAAAGTCTTAAGTCTTTTGTCTTTTATCCAACTGAAAGCTTCTTCTCTGACAGACTACAGTAGGAGGCAAAGTTTCTCCCTCCCTCTCCCTCCTTCCCTCTCTCCCTCCCTCCCTCTCTCCCTCTCCTTCCCTCCCTCCCTTCTTCTTTCTTCTTTCTTTCTTTTTCTTTCTTCTTTTTCTTTCCTTTTTTCCTTTCTTTCTCTTTCTCTTTTTTCTTTCTCCTTCCTTCCTCTTTCTTTCCTTCTTTCTTCTTTTTCTTCCTTTCCTCTCCTCTCCTCTCTTTTCCTTTCTCCTTGTTTCTCCTTTTCTTTCCTTCTTTCCTCTCTGCTCTCTTTTTCTTCTTTCTCTCTCTGTATACATATATACATATATATATGTATGTATATATATGTGTATATGTATATATACAAGTATATACATTTTTCAATAAATTAATCTCCAATCATACCTAGAGGGCCTTCAGGACGAGCATTTACAAAATATTTAAGTATCGTTATGTATATATGTGTATACATACATGTATTTATATATCCATATACATATGTGTATATATATACATGTATATATACACATATGTATACATATATATATATATATCTCCTATCCCCTGCTGTTTGATCCCATCCAAGGTTGGAAGCAGTGTTAGAGGTGAGGAAACGTCTCACTGGCCGTGGCGAAGGCATATGAGCTAGCCCAGTCTCTTTAACTGGATCTCTCTTAGACCTCTCCTCTTTGATGGTGGCTTATGATTTTTTTCCCTTCTGCTTGCTAGTTTCTCAGAACCACTCTAGGCTGGAGTCACTCGTCTCATTCAGAGAGACTTCTAGGATGAGTCTCTTTGAAGACAGCACAGTCTGATCTTCTTCCATAGAGTCTGCATTCAGCCCATGGGAGATGAACTTTCTTGCCTTACCTTAGGTGGAGAAGCAGCCAACTCTTCATGAAACTCTCCCTTTCTTGGAACAGCCACGAGGAGGGACAGCTTCAGTCACAGCCTCATGTCTTCAGAATACTCTGGGATAAGTTAGAGCCACTCCCCAACTTCTTCATATTCTATTCATCACATCTTACTAAGCTTGAGGTGAAGGGATGTAACCTCTCCTCTTCCCCATGATGGGAGAGTGGGGTAGGGTGGACTGAATAATTGCACATTGAACAATTCTCCAAGGAATTTCTTACTCCCAAGTATTTTACCTCTCCCAGTGAATTTTTCACATTCCTCTGTCTAATTTGAAGACAGGTAGTGGGCAAGTTTCAGCAGAAATAATTTAACAATCCCTTAGTATGTCCTATGTATGTGGTCTAGCACCTTGGTTTAGAATGTAGGACTATTTGGGTCCTAGTGTTATATTCTCAATTGTAACACACACCTCTTATATACAACTTCAGATCCTCTTAGCCTCGCACGGATTCTGAGGGACTTCATGCAGGAGCAGGCTCCCATTGCCTAAGCTCAGACTCACACCAAGTGCTGGTCCTTCCTTATTGACATGGAGCTGTGAGAAACCATGTGTTGAGCTCATCAAAACTCATGCACATACCACCCAGAAGTACAGGGGATTTCTTGCCCCATGTGACAAAATTTTGACCAGTGGGAGATGGGAACTGGTGGATAAATTTCTTTCCTATTCTTCATCTTTCCCTTGAGGACAGACTATCCCAAGGTGCAGCTTGTACAGCTTCTTAGATGATCCTCAAAGATGAAGCAAGCAGTTGGATTCAGCAGTGGTCAATCTTGCATCCTCGCTTTCTCCTTCCCTGCTTCACCGCCCTTGTTCCTCACTCCAGCTCCCTAATAAAGAGACATCACATAAGTCCTCAGCCTGCTGTTCTGCTTTATGAGAACACAGGCTGTTACAGTGGTCTTTGAAGCCTCTGCTGAAATCTTCAGAAGCAAAAGAGTTGCATTTAATACCCTAGTACACATGCTTCCTGGGGTTGGTGAAATTATAGCTGGTTTCTTAAAGAGGAATGAACCCTATACTGGTTTTGGGGAAGGTGTGAGTAAAAGCACAGGGGCTTAGGATGATTGAACTCTTCTTTGGTCTTGACCAAGGTGATGGGAAATCTAAAGAGATGAGGTTTGAGAAACTGAAGGAGGGCTCTCCTGGAAAGATGAGTAATCAACTTGCTGAAATGGTATTTTGATGCATACTTTTGGTCACTAACCAGATCGCGTTTCCTCTGTGTATGCTGTGATCCCACAAAATAGCAGAACTTGAGAATGAGAACTCGCCATTCAGGTTCAGCCCCAGTTTAGAGCCTCAGGGTGGGAAAGAGTCATCGGGATCATGCTGTTAGTGGTGCCCTGGGACACATCCTCACACAAAGCTCATGCCCCTTTCACAGTCTGATAAAGTTTCTAATCTTTACTATGTCCTCTTACATTTTTCAATAAATTAATCTCCAATCGTACCTAGAGGGCCTTCAGGATGAGCATTTACAAAATATTTAAGTATTTTTATTTGCAAACTTTCATATTATTCTCTTTTTAAAAGCTCCTGATGGCTAAGGGATAGGGTACAAGTACAGGATAAATGTATAAAAATATATTTAATAAATGAAAAATTAAAGCTCAAATGCAATAATTTGACAGTTGAACCATATCAGGGAACTATGTTTCTTAATATTAGCATTTACTGATTTATATTGGCTTCGCAGTAAATCTTAGATAAACTGTCAATTATTTGCTCAGACTCAAGATACTGGCCTGTATTTTGCACTTTATCGGGTTTACTTTTTTTCCTGGTAAATTTAAGCACACACTCACACCCACACACACATACACACACAATTCACAATTTACTTCCTCATAGGGAGATCTTGACATATATTTTTTGAAAAGGCTTATGTTGTTTTTCAAAGTTGGGCCTCTGCTTTCCTTAAAATTAATTGCAGTTTACTCAGAGTTTTCTGCCCTCATCTACTACTTAAGGTCCCATTCTCTTTCAATGAGGAAGAATGGAAACATTGCATTTTACCTCTTTATGGGCTTGATCTATGTAACTATGTTGATTTTCAAGACTGACAGAGCATTCCCTGAAAGGCACTCAAACCCAAAATACTAATGTGAAAATAACTGTTGGTAGGGCAGGCAACAATTTCAAAGAAGCGCAGTTGCGTATCAGGAACTGTAGTGAATACTTGCCAATTCAGGTTTCTAGGAAAATGCTGATCACATTTTGAGAATGGAAATAAGTCAATTTAAAGTGGGCATAATTTTTTATTTCCTAAAAAAAATGCAGAAATGCAGTGATTTACAAAGAACCTATTTTCTCACTGAACATATTTCTAATCCCTGAAAAAGAATTACTAACTGAGAATTGCCTGACTACATAGCAGTAATCATAGACCACCCAAGCATAGTTTTTACAAGGCCAAATTTACAAAAGAATGTTATTGCTTGAGGTTATCAGAAGAAAAATAAGTGGCTATTTATTAGGTTATAATGATGAAAATAAAGGTAGTCAGTCATGCTAGGTTTCATAAGAATAAGTATACTCAACTATGACTCATGATCGTTTTTATCAAAGTATTTAACAAAATTTGCAGTGTTAATAAGTTGAGACGTAGATGGCTGAAAAAAACCTAAACTCTGCCTTAACTGCAATTCCATATGCTCTAATCAGAGAGTTATCCATCTCCACAGAAATGCACAGAAGCGCGACAATAAATGTGACACACATTGCATGTCTTTATAGGTGCAAATTGATAATTGGACATCAAAACAATAAGGTTATCTCATTGCCGAGGTGCAAATTGGCAGATTGCAGACATCAGCAAGAGAGAAGACAAAGGGAAGGGAGTACATGTAAAATCCTATATTGTTGCTGACTTTTAGAGAGCCTATATTTCCAGAAAGAGAGAAACACTACAGAAAACAACAACAACAACAGGACATTTAAGGGATCACATTCTCTCTGACTGCTCTGGATGAAAAAGCTTTTTATAAATTCCTATCCGCATTGTATGAATTGAAACTTTATCTAAACTTGTTATTTTTATTTTTAATGGTCCCGAATAACAACCAAGAATTAAATAGATAAAAAGGATAATGTAGTGATAATATTGTGCAAGCACTTGTGCTAAACCCTTTACAATTAACGAGGTTTGTAGATTAGTTTTGGTAATTGTCACAAGAATGGGTGTCTGTTTTGGAACTAGATCTTGAAAGTCGTGATGCCTCACTATAGTGTTTATATTACAAGGATGCGTACAAGTAAGAATGCTTTGGTGGTTCTCTATTGACATGCTAAAAATTCCATTTGAAACTTAGCAAACTTATAGTTCAGTCTCACTGTGGTAGAATTGGTTGTGTTATTAAAATATATACAGAAGTAACACATAAAGATATGGAAAAAAAGCACAAATTTATCAGATCCATCTAGAAGAAAAAGATGACTAACCCTTATATCAACAGGAAGAGACTGAGAATTACTAGAAAAACAACTATAAAGACAACATAAATCAAACAGCATAGAGTTTAGAACATCAAAAACTCAGAAATTTTCATCTATTATTAATTATGATAAAAAATTCTATCTCAGAATATTTTACACAGCAACTGTTGCCAAGAAAATCTACACCTTCCAGAGCTGAGGAAAGTTAGAAATAAGAACTAAGGCTCTAAACTTCCAATGAAGTTGGATAGCCATTGATAAAATATCCTAATGTCTTTGTACATTTTTCTTTCAATTAAAAAGCCACAATTTAAAAAGAAGAAAATTTATTATTTCAATGGCATTTAAATATTTAATGTCATGACAATTAGAATAGCTACAGATAATGTGGGAACTTAATGTTAGTTTCTAAAATAATATTTTACCATCAAGTTGTGATTTTTTATCTATATTATATGTGTACCTATAATAGAAAGTCTAAAAAAACCTGAGAAAAAGTTAATATTATGGACTTTATTCTGAATTGATGATGAAAGACCTTCACTAACCTCTCTATTAACCTTTCTATTAACCTTTTACAAATGCTTCTTATTAGCCAACGTAGACAAATAGCTGAGTAGGCTTCTTCATCTTACCTCCAATGGTCTTTGAGGAGCTAATTAGTAGAGTGAGGCACAGTTAGACTTTTCTTTATCTGCATCCAGTTCACATCAGCAGACTTTTTATCCACTGAACATCTGTATTCCAATTAGCATCATAACCTCATCTTTCCTGTAGCCACATCTGTGACAGAGATTTTTCTGGTAATGGAATGATGTGGGCACATAGATCAGGGCTAATATCAAAAATCTGGGAAGATCATTCAAACTTTGCTTTGGCTACAAAGCACTAGATGGAGTTGAGCTTTCTTACGTGTTGCAGATTTAAGAAGTTAGAAGGGGAATGTGTGTGTGTGTGTGTGCATGTGTTTGTGTGTGTGTGTGCACATATTCCTATAGAAGTATAAGTTTGTTACAATGTAAGTGGGTTTTCCAAGAATTCAAAGAATGCAATTTTCTTTTTCTGGAAATAAACCTGGGGCACCAGGGATTCTAGATGCCATAAGTTCATAATAAGTGGTTGCTAATTGAGTAATAAAATTGTAATACCCCTACTCAGAGCATGAATGACTAGGAGTCCTTTGAATCCAGAGCTACCCTGGGCTGACCACACTGCCTTGGGAAAATAACTAATCTTCATGAATCCTTAGTTTCCTCATCTATAAACAGTGATATTAATAACAATGTAGCTTAGAGTATCAATGAGTTACATGCAAAATTGGAATTACCATATTTACTTTGTAGGGTTGCTGAAGGAATTAACAGTATCTAAAATAATGTAGGAAGGTATTAGACATTTAATAAAGTATAGTTTTATTAAAGTGCTTACAAATAGTTTTAAAGTATTTAGTTGTTAATACCACATTTATAATATGTATTTCTCATACTTTGCATATCACTACACTTTAAAAAACTGTAGCACCTTTATCATGGAAAAAGAATGATATCAGAGTGAATATTGTCTTTCTACAAATTAGTGGTATAAAAATAAAAACCAGATTTTATGAAGCAAAAAAAATTGTGGTATATAGGTAAAACTGCCTAACCATTTAATAATAACATTGAACATTTTCCTTTCATAGTATATTATTGTCAATTCTATTAAACATCCATATCAGTATGTAAAAAATTATTATAGCAATATATCCATATTGTGGAAATCATATTAAAAAGCCAGACAAATCTATTCTAACTTTACCAAATAGATTATGTCAGCTGTTCAGTAGTCAGCTTGATATTATTGGTAAAATGTAAAACAAATATGGTATGAAATAATCTATTAAAATTGAAAGCGGGAAAAATAAGGATAATAGTTAATTGTACAAAAAGAGGATGTTCTGGAGACATTGTCTAGTTGTGGGAGATTTAATATTCAAACTTTATAAAAATAGAGGAAACATATATATAGGTGTATTGGATAAAAGTCTTGGATCAATGTGATATTAATGGACAAAATTCAACAGGAACACAGATCAAGAGGGGCTTTTGTGAAAGTCCTGATAAATAATGTCTCATCCTACTGAATTTGATGAGTATTACTGTATATGTGTGTGTTTGTGTGTGTATGCATATATATAATCTGGTTTTGGAAGACATTTTAATGTTACTTCAATACAATTTACAGAGAAAAAATTAGCCAGGTCTACAGAAAACCAATTTGGGGAAAATTTATTACTTTGAGGTGTTGTCACAAAAAGGCCCAACCTAAAAAGGTTTAACATGATCCTTTAGATAGCAGAACTTACTCTCCATGATCTGTTTTTCAGAGTTAACTCAAATATAAGAATAATATAATAATAAGCCATCTTAGGCAATCAATGGGCCCACAGCTCAGGAAATTTTGATTTTCAGGGATGATTTCCTGAAGGATGATGTGCTCTTATATATAATGATAATGCCTTATCACATACAATGCTTCCAATGTTTAAACTGTACTTATATACTCATTATCTTTTTTGCCCCTTGCAACAATCCTTTGCAGCATGTAGGGCATATAAGTTTCATCAACTCCACTTTATAGGTGAAGAAATCACCATGTCCACACATTAAGGAACTCACTAAGAATTCTGGTTAGAGCTGAGTCCTCTTCAGGGCAACTCCTTAATTTTCCAGATAGACAGTTACAAAAGGTATTTAGAATAGACTTGCTTTAATCTCAGCATTTGTAGCTGCATTAGTTGTAGATTTTCACTGCTATAAGTTGGTATGATTCACTTTATTAAATGACTAAAAATACAAGATTGGCAATTTATTCATTGAACTGTTCAGCTTCTTTTTTTTTTTTTGGTCCATTTTAGGACCACTCTGAGGGGCTATTAAAATAAATTTCAACACTAAAACTTCATAATGTTTATACCCTAGGCAGTACTTTCACCCAGTCCTTCCTTCCTTCCTTCCTTTCTTTTCTTTCTTCTTCTTTCTTTTTCTTTTTTTTTCCCATAGAGATGCTATTTTGCCCAGGTTGGTCTTACACTCCTGACCTCAAGCGATTCCTCTGCTTCAACCTCCCAAAGTGCTGGGATTACAAGAGTGAGCCACCCTGCCTGGCCTTTCAAATTAAAACACTTATGTCACACTATTTATTATCCTTCTTAAAAACAGAAGTTACATTTAATCCATTTTGTATTAATAGTAATTTGTACATATTCAACAAATGTGTGTGAAACAAGACAGTAGCTAGTACTCACTGTGGACCCATCACTATTCTTACAGCTTCTAAATATATGTGGAATTTATGGAATGTAGAATATTCTATGGAATATAGAATATATATTTAGAAGCTCTAAATATAAACAACCCTAGGAGGTAGCTGCAATGGTTAAATCTATTTTATAGCAGAGGCAACTGAGACATAAGAAGGCTATATTCCTTGCCCAAAGTTAATTATCTACAAAGCTATAACACAACTTCAGCCAGTCTGACTCTAGAATCTGGGTCTTTAATAAGTATATTATGGTTGAATCAAGGATAATCATCAGAATAGCTAACATTTTATAGTGATACTATGCTAGGTGCTATTCTAGACACTTTACGTATGTTGATTCATTTTCTCCTAAGATTTCCATGTGGTAAGTACTATTATTTTACCTTATACACATAAGGAAATTAAGGCAAAGAGAAGTTATGAAATTTGCCTGAGGTCACTCAGCTAGTGAATCGAAAAGCTGGTATTGTAATCCAGGCAGTGTGAACACAGAGTCCGTACTATTGACTACTAGACTTGCATAAAGAGGAACTCAATTTCTTTCACTTTCTCATGTTAAATTTAAAATAAGATGACAAATAAATCAGAATGACAGTTCATCAAATGTGAATTGTGATCTTGAAGTCCCCTTGTGAGTTGATTAGCACAAGTTTTTCATATCAAAATCTTCTTGGGAAACCAAATTCAGATAATAAAATTGCTTGCCTGGTGAATATAGAATGAGAATAAATTGGAGCTGAGTGTCTAGAAGGTGCTGGATCCACCATGGCCACTGTGAGAAATGAGCTATACAGACTGGCATTTCTTTGGTTGTGCGTTAGTGCACTCGTACCCTTGGATGGTAGGAAAACACATGGGCATATTATGAGCACCCCTGCTTAATAGTAGTGCTTGGTGGCCAATGAAAGTTTCAGCCACGGCAGCATTGCTTCCTGCCACAGTGTTCACTATTACACCTCCTTTCCCAGTGTTATATTAAGAATTGGAGTCTTCTTTGGGGTGCCCCAGCTCCTTGTGGGAATTCAGGAGCTGCTGTGGCTTCCTTAGTAGGTCACCATGTCCCTGTGCTCTATTCCCACCATCACAGCTCATGTCTAGCCACCATCATCTGTCACCTGGATAGCTGCATGTAGGTCCCAGCTAAGGGATAGCAAACCAATGGCCAGAAGGTCAAATCCAGCTGGAAGAAATATTTTGTTTGAGAACTAATGTTGAGAGCTTAGCAAAAATGGAATTTGTTGCCTTTGTTTAAAAATAGGAGAGTTCAATAAAATGGCCAATACTCAGCTGTCCTAAAACACTGAAAAATTGGAGGATCTGGAAACGTTGGACCTGTATTTTCCCATGGCAACAATCAGCTGGAAGTAGTTATCCAAATAAGGTAGAGAATGCTTTGTGCTGCCTAACTCTAGGAGCAAGTGCCGACCATGATAGCCTTTGACGCTATTATTGACTTGGTGGCTGCTTCCGTTACATGAAGCATGTGTGCTCTCTTTTTTGCCTCAGTCCCTTTCTGGTCTCCTTCATTCATCTATATTACCTTCCTGGTCCCATAGGCTTTTGCCTTTGCGATGCTTATCCAAAATAGTACGCCTGCCTTCAGTCTCATTTCCCTAAAATCCATTCTCCCTTCAGCCAGAATTAACTTAATAACTAATATATATATATATGTGTGTGTGTGTGTGTGTGTGTGTGTGTGTGTGTGTGTGTTATATATGTTTACATGTATGTTGTGTACAATCACCAGGCAATTTTCTATGGCTGGAGATGGCTTGAAAAAACTAAAAGAGTAGTGTCTTGGCCGGGCACGGTGGCTCACGCCTGTAATCCCAGCACTTTGGGAGGCCGAGGCGGGCGGATCACGAGGTCAGGAGATCGAGACCATCCCGGCTAAAACGGTGAAACCCCGTCTCTACTAAAAATACAAAAAATTAGCCGGGCGTAGTGGCGGGCGCCTGTAGTCCCAGCTACTTGGGAGGCTGAGGCAGGAGAATGGCGTGAACCCGGGAGGCGGAGCTTGCAGTGAGCCGAGATCCCGCCACTGCACTCCAGCCTGGGTGACAGAGCCAGACTCCGTCTCAAAAAAAAAAAAAAAAAAAAAAAAAAGAGTAGTGTCTTACATTTAATTTTAAGTTGTCTCTTTGTTCTATACACTAATCCCATCTGCTAGGTCTAAACTTTCAGTAAATACCTGCCTTGGTTCACCAGCCTTTGGTGAGCTATCCTTTGAGAAAATGAAGGCAAAATTGAGTTACACGGAGAAGAGGACAGGGGCAGGGATGCCAGACAAGAATTAAAACATCGGTAATGGGCACCATGACTGAACTCCAGCCTCCTGAGTGTTTATGGAGCAACTGAGAGGATGCCGGGTTCCTCACAGTATGGACACTGGAGGCTGGAGCTGTTGTATTGATTTCTAATGAAGGGATAATCTGCAACAGTTGGTGATTTGAAGCTATCCAGGCAGCAGGCCCTTGAGTCTTACTGGCCCACACTCAGGACTTTGTCCTTGCATGTGTTTACAGCCTCTTTTGTTTAACTCTGCTCCATGACATGCACCAAGCCCTACACCTTCCTCTGTGGTCGATCCAGCCATATACTATGGGGCCAGCTCCCCATGGAGATCCAGTGACACTCTCTATATCCATCCACAAATTCCTGTATGCTCTGTTTATTCCCCCTTGGTACCTCCAGATTTACATGGCTCCTGACTTCTGGCTTCCTCTAATTTCAGCATCACATTCAGTATGCCTTAGTGATATTGAGCTTCTTCCTATGCACTTAATATACTATGCTTTATAACATATATTCTAAGGTAATATGCTGTTTTCCATATCTAGAATTGTCTGATCATTCACTCATTCCACAGATATCATTGATGTTTATGTCCCTCTATGTCTCTGGCACTGTTATCGTTTCTGTACGTAAAGATGCATCACTGAACAAACAGATAAAAATCCCTGCAGCAAGGGAGCTGGTATTTTAGTAAGAGGAGAGAGGTAATACAGTAAGTAAGTAAATTATTGAGTGTATTAGCATGTTATGCATACTGGGAAGAAAATAAAGCAAGGTAAGCAGACAGAACATGCTGGGAAAGTGGCTTGCAAATTTAAATTGGATAGGCAGGTAAGGTTTCAATGTTGAGAGGACATTTGAGGAATAACATGAAGGAAATGGGGGAGTGGGCCGTGTGGGAAGAGCAATACAGGCAGAGGGAACAGCAGGCAGGCAGGAGGGGCTACAAGCAAATGAGGGAGGAAAAAATCAGTAGAAGATGATGTGAGAGAAGTAATGTATTATGAGGCTGGAGGTGTGAGGGGCTATTGTATGGGGCCTTAAAATCAAAGTAATTTGGCTTTTATGCTGAGTGAAATTGAAAAACATTGATGGGTTTTGAGCAGGAAAATAACATGGTCAAATATACATTTTTTTTTTTTTTTGAAAGATCACTTTGATTGCTTTGTTAAGAACAGCAGAGACCAGGCAGGAGGCTCCTGCAGTACTCCAGGAGAGAGGCAAAGGTGGCTTGGACTGGGCTCATGGCCAGGGAGGTGGAAGTAGTTGGATTCTGGATGTGTTTTGCAGAAGTGTAAGGTATGAAAGAAGAGCACCCTGCATTTTTTTTAACCTATACACATGGAAGGATGGAGTTGCCTCTTGATATGAAAAAGAGAGCAGGTGAAAAATACTTAGAGGGAAGGAGTTCAGTTTGTGATGTTTTAACTTTGATAATGGAGATATTAAGTGAGTATTTGTATATACACCTTTAAATATCAGATGAATTGTGGGCTGGGGGTATTAATTTGGGAGTTTGAAAAAGATGGCATCTAAATTATTGAATTGCCTCACCAATGAAGAAAGAGCACATAGAGAAGAGATTTAAGAATGGAGTCCTAGGACACTCCATACTTTAGGGATCAGAAGGAGGAGGAAACTAGCAAAGAAGACAGTGAGTGACCATTCAGTTAGGAGTAAAACTAAGGGCTTGTGGTATTGTAGGAGCCAAAAGTTTCTAGAAAGAGAGAGAAATGAAGGATGTCAAAGGCTTTGCTTGTAGGCCATGTGACATGAGAACTGACAAATGCTTGTTAGATTTCATCTTGGGATGACTATAAACCAGTGGAAATTATCCAGGAAAGATACAGGAACTGGTGCTGTGAGAGTGGGGAGACTTCTTGGAGCCTCCAGTGAGTGGGAGACCGTGGGCCCAAATACCTAAGTGGAGGGGCTGGCTCAGATAGGAGAAGCTCAGACAAATGACTGTGGCTGTGGTTCTCAAAGCATGGTTCCCAGATCAACAGTATAGCCATTACCCGGGAGCCTGTTAGAAACCTGTTAGAAAATTCCTGGGCCTCACTCCAAACCTACAGAATCAGAAACTCTGCGGGCGGGGTCCAGCACTCTATTATACAAAGCCCTCTAGGTGATCTCAATGCACACTTAAGTTTGAGAACCACCAAAACTAGGAAGTTCTGTTTTATCTTTTAGGATTTAACTCAGGGTCACCTCATTTACAAAGTGACATGTTTCCTCTCTTATAACGACTACTGTTTGCCAGGCTTAGAAATGGAACTGAGTTTCAGCTTATATTAAATGCATACCACATCAGGGGCAGAGCAAGGTTTGGCAAAGCTTGAAGCTTATGTCATTTGGAGGGACAGGGCCTTCTTTAACAAGTAGAATACATAATTACACATATAAAATTTGCTAAAATAATGCATATTTATTTTGAATGAAAAACACATTTAGAAAAAAATCACAAGTTTTAAGAGCTGGCAATACCTCAAACATCACCAACACACAAAAAAATATATTAACTGCCTAATATACCTGTATAATACTTTGTTTCTTATTTTTGTGCTATATACTCTTTAATAGCATTTTATATCATGGTATTTTTGTAATATTATTATATAGAGAAAAAAGATAATCTTTACGATTATTGATTGAACTTGAGTTTGTGTTTGTTTTATTTAAAGATTAGAAAAATTCCTTTTGGCTTCACAACCAGTATTTGGTGTTATCTAATATATTTTAAAGACTGAGGTCCTATTTGTCAAAACTTCTACCAAGTTTCTTTCACAAGTTAGCCTCAAATCTTCAGGGCAGTTCAGGGTTTCTCAAGTAGTAACTAATTTCAGATACTCTGAATTGAAGGCATTCATTTATCAGTTTGTTTTTGATAATTTGTTTATTAGACATATTATAATTTTTACGATAAATCTATCGATGCTGGCACTTCATATCAAAGCAACAAAAAATTTCCATATTTTAAAATATGTTTATGTAATTCATACCACTTCATTAACTGGACTAGCAAACATTCAAGAATCTACCCATTACTTCTGTTCAAAATTTGTCTTTCTCTTAAGGAGTTATTGCCCTTGAAATGATTTTAAAAATTTTGTCTTAACATTTACTTTTTTATATTAGAATAATTTCTATTGATTTTATTACTTATATTTATCATTTTACTTCATATGCCATTAATTATTTTACCTGAATTGTCTCTCAGTTCAAGAGAAAGAAGGTATATTTCACATGTACGCTGATTAGGAGTCTGTAATTTCTCACTTATTTGATGGAAATATTACAAACTCCTTTTTAGTATTACAGTTAAAATGTTGTATTCAAGCTTCATGAACTTTTAAAATAAACATTACACACTATTTTGTATTTGGTGTTCTTTTTCAAGTCTTCTCAATATATTTTAGAGCCTCTAAAATGGCATTTTACCCATCGTCTCATAGCTTAAACATCTTTATCAGGGTAGACCACATCTTTACACTTAAGAATATAAGCATTTAAAACCTCAAATTGGTATGTGTGTTTAGAAGCAGCTCAATGTAAGAAGAACCCAAAGAAACCAGAACTGCTAAAATATCAAAGTGGTCAAAATCTTCAAGCAGTATCGAGGTATTGTTTTCTCCAATGAGATTAAGGGAATGAACCCTGCATACGTGTTCTGCAATACATTTGCCCACAATATTGGGTGAGCAACACTCCCAGCAGTATTCTTGAACTATTCCAATACTGGGATGGCTAGTAGTGACTTAGATATGCACAGAAGTGCTCGTGAACCTTACAAACCTAATCCACTATCTCTAGCTCAACATCTCATTAGGCAGATCCCCCAAATTTCTGAAACCACTCCGGAGCCACTCAAAAGATGGAGAAAATGTATGAAGGATGCAGTTGTAAAAGAAAAACACAGCAGTCTTAAACAATTGCTGCTAAAACATCATAATTTGGCACGTTTTAAATTTGATGAAGGAGACACATTGCCAGGGCCCTTCTCAAGTTCCTGGAGGGTTCCATGTAAGAGAGAGTTCATAAAGTTGTTTCATTAGCTTCCAGGTAATTCTGCCTCTGTACGTCTTGTGAGGTAGACTTTTCTCGCTCTCTCTTATGTTCCTTTGGACAGTACCTTTTATGATAAATAATCTTTTTCTAACATCCTTTATGTATTTACCTGTGATTAGAGCCATGCCCTCAAGAACCCGCATTCTGTATTCTCTTAGAATGTTTAACAGATTATTTTTCACCATTGAAATACTGTTAGCAGAGCTGGAATTCTCCACATTCCTCCTGTTGACTCTGTAGACTTGTAAACACAATCTTTAGGAGATTTTAACTTTGACAGTAGAGAAAGGGTATTAGATAGACATGAATAAATCTAACATAATATCTTTCATGCCTGTTAAGGGGTTAAAATATGCTGTTCTGGCATATTGACTGTTTAAGTTACAGACACTCGAAACATAGCACGTGCAAAAAGATCACTTTGACCCTTGTGATGTTTCTTAAAAGCAGAAGATAGAATTGCCATGTGAAAGACACCCTCTCTATACCAGAAAGATGCAGCATCCTTATCCTCAAGGACAAGAAGACGAAACCAAGAGAATTCTGTGCAGATCTTGTTAGAAATAACTCTTATCTTTTAAGCCTCCCCACATAATTTAGTTGCTTCTTCACAGCTATTATTCATCCAGTTGAGTGTATAAGTAACTGACCTTAACTGCTTCTTTGTGTCTTCATTTCCTTATGAGGGCTTCTGTGCCACATAAGACTTGTACTATGCTTTTCTCCTGTTAATCTGTTACAATGTCAATTTAATTCCAGGACCCTAAGAGGATGGAGGTGGAGTTTTTCTGCTCCTACACCTGGATAGGCAAGACCAACCACTTACCAGATGGGGAATCTTCCAGTGCTAATAGTTCAGACTGTGCATACAAGAAACTGAGAGAAGGACCAGTACTGTTTTGTGGTTGCAGGTTGTTCCATGATGAGAATAGGGCCAACCATAATGGGAGTAGGCTGGCAGAGACTTACTTGTCTAGTCATGGGCTTTATGGCAAATGTCTCTAACACTTACCACCCAAAGCTATGCTTATGGTGTTGCAGTCAACATCTTACTTTATGAACTTATAATCTATACTGATGTTTATTGTTACTATGTTTTCCTGTTTACCTGAGAGGGGCCACACCCAAAAGGAGTGTCCTAGAGGTGGAAACATGTACTACATGTTCTATTATAGCATTTATCATATTATAATATGAATAATATGCTGCCTCTCTGCACTTCAGCTTAACCCATGACCTCTCTGAGAACAAGTAACATGTCGCATTGACCTTTACATTACTCCCCAGCACCACTTCTTCACTCTGCCCTATCCCAAGTCCTTCGACTTTGCCTTATACATGTGATCCTCTCTGAAATTTGTGTCTAAGAAATGATCAATGAATAAATACATGATTGAATCAATACCTTACTTCCTCCAGAGATGTTTACTTATCTTTAATCACATCCATTCTATGTTTATGATTTTAATTTGTAGGTTATACTTGAAAACAGTAGCCTGATAATAAATATAAATTTATCAGTTTCTCTCTATTGAAGTTTCAGAACCCCTTTTGCCTCTTCTCATTTATAATTCCTTTAAATTAGGTAGGAAAGCAAAAAGGAAATCTTAGTGAGGCAAATACTAGCTTCTGCTTCCTATGTAAGGAGATAATGGTACTGACACTATCAGCTGAGGATATTTTATACTTCAATGGTTTTGTGAATGGGAACTAATCCATTACTTTCTTAACTTGCTATCTATTTACTTTCTTAACCTATAGGTGCACAGGTGGATGACTTGGCAGGAGATGCCATTTATGGCCATGGAACAGTCAAGTTGTTAAGGGGACCAAGAATGTCAATGAACTAAAAGTTTCTGGACCAGTTTATTAGGCAAAAATTAAAAATAAAAATAATATTTGAGAACCTAAAATAAATTTGATCTCAACTTGCATAATATCTCTAACTCACTGAGGTTCCACGAAGACAGGCAGGTGTTTTTTCTTGTTGTTGTTGTTATGTTCCATGTTGTGGAGTTGTAGGTGAGGGCAAACACCCTTCGTATATGATGCAAGCACAAAGCAAGCTTTATCTAGAAAACTTAAAGGCAGATGATTGGCTGAATGATATGTGAAAACCTCATGCTCTCAGCCTTTTAGCAAGAGGGATGCAGAAACTAGATCACAGCAGGATGTACTATGGAATAAGTTCTAGAGAGATCCCCAAACTTTGCTGTTCTATTTTTAGAGAATGTGGGACAATGCGGGCATTTGTGGGTATGAAAGCAGCTTTGGGGGATGGTGTGGAGGGGGTAAAACGGGTTCAGCTTGGGTGCCAGGTACCCAGTGAAGGTGATACCAGTGCCCACATCCCCAAATCCTTTATTCTGGTGTGGTAGGGGCACTGGGCAATGCAGATGATGAGCAAGATGGTCGTAGGACAGTACCAGCCACAAGATATGCACTCAAAAATATTAAGTGAATAAATATGTAATTGAGGATTACAGTTGTTAAAATCCACTACAAAGTTTTCATAAGCATGAATTGACAATGGGATATTGAAAGGTCAAACATGAAACCCAAAATATGGGTGATTAGGAAGAAATAGTGCTAGAGCAGCAAATGAAAGAACCAGGAGCTGCAATGAGATATAAAACAAAGCGCAGGGGACAAATGGAGAAAAAAAAAAATCTGCGAATAAAAAGGGAAGTCAAAGTTTGGCCTGGAGCAGGAGAGAGCCTTATAAAGTTAGCTTCAAAGTACTGCTTGAATGAAAAAGAAATTACAGCAGACAACATACATGTTAATGAAGCTCAAACAATATTGAAAAAGAACCCATTATCATTACCTAGATTAAAAGAAAAGACAAGATTAACAGCTCAGACATCACTAGGACAGAATAAGAATTAGGCTTATCCACAAGCTCTCACCTTCCTCTCACTTTTTCCATCTTTTCTAGGAAGCCCAAGAAAAAGAGGTTGAAGAAAATTAACTCTGAAAAACTTTGGCTGTAGTTATGCATTTTGGTAATTACAGTGAACTAAGAGCAATAGCTCAACATAAGGGATAAAATGTGTGTCAAGTCTCAAGAAAGTACTCAAACACTTTTTAAAAACTCAGAAAGCAGAACTGTAAAAGGGTAAATGGTGAGGTGGAGGGAAAAACTTGGAAGGTAAAGGATGTAATAATTATTTATTCCTTTTCTAAAACAAAGATGAAAGGGCCAAGTATTTATTATTCTTTTATTAAAATAAGAATGATGAAGCTTTACTCCTTTTCCTGCAATTTTTTTTTTTTTTTTTGGCAAACCTCTCAAATATTTTGTAATAGCTCTAAAGAGAAAAGGTTATGGTCATTTTCATATCTTCTTTTGTAAAACACTGTTCAAACCTCTTGCCAATTTTTCCACTGTATTTTTTGTCTGATCAATCTGTGTACATTCTTCATATATTCTAGACCTAAGCTTGTAAGTTATGTGTTATAAATACCTTTTCCCATTTTGTGGTTTTATTTATCTCTTGGTATTGGTGTCTTTTTGTGAACAAAAGTTCTACTCTTACTATAATCTCAGTTAACAATCTTTTCCTTTATGGTTAGTAATATTTTGTGCATCCTGTTTAAAAATTATTTTACAACAGTAAAGGAATACAAATCCTTTTTTAGATTGCCTTCAAGAAACTTTATTAATTTCCTTTCATATTTAGACCTATAATCTACTTGGATTTGATTTTTGCAGATAACGTGTGCAGGAATTGATGTTCAGCATTGTTTTTTGTCTATTTGGCAATCGTATTGTCCCAGTCACACTTTTTATCTTCCTCTCACTGCTCTGCCTGTACTTTTTTCATAAATTAATAGTAAATATATGCATAGATTTCTAATCTGTTCTATTGATCCATCTATTCTTGCACAAATACCACATTGTCTTAATTACTCTAGCTTTAAATTGACATCTAGTAGGGGAAGTTTTCCCATTATGTTTTTCTTTTTCAATAGTGTTTAATCTCTATTCTTTTTCAATTTACATACATGTGAGAATCAACTTGTCAAATCACACACACACACACACACACACACACAGCATGCAGAGTCGAACTTCTTGAGATTTTTAATGGGACTGTATCAAATTTATAATCAATTGAATCTTCTAGTCAGTGAACATGTATGTTTTCTTTAATTTCTTTCAACAATATTTTGTGAAATTATGCCTTGAGAGTTTTACACATCTTTTAGATTTATTCCTAGATATTTTATTTTGTGGACTTTATTGTAAATGGTATCTTTAAAATGTCATTTGCTGACTACCTTCAGTTCAGCAACCTTATTAAGCTAACCTTCTGTTTCTAAATAATTATCTGTAGATTTATTTGAATTTTGTATATATTCAGTCATCACACCTGAAAAAAATAAAATATTTTTTCTTCTATTAAAGTTATTTTTTTCATGTCTTACTGCATGGCATAAAAAAAAGGTAATAAGGACATATCCTTGTCTTTTTCCTAATTTCAGAGGGAGAGTTTTCAAAATGTCAACCATGCTGAATTTTCCAATCTCAGACGGAAGGTTTTCAGCAAATATCAAGTGTAACATTTGCTCTAAACATTTGTAGATATTTCTGTCAAGTTAAGAAAGATGTTTTTCCTCTTATTTTGCAAGCGCTTTCCCATGAATGCATTTTGTAGCTCCTCTATTTTGTTAATACGGTGAAATATTGAATTTTAATGTTAAATGAAATTTTCCTTCCTAGAATAAACTCTTTGTCCAGTTTTGTTTTTCTCTTTACCCATTATTATATTTGTTTGGTAGTATTTGTTTAGTATTGCTTCATTTATGTTCATGAGTGAAATTGACTGCAATTTTCCTTTCTAATAATATACTAATTAGATTTCTGATATCAAATTTATATTGGCCTCATAAAACAAATCGGAAGTATTCTCAGTTTTTCTGTTCACTGAAAGAGTTTGGGTACATTTGACATTACTCCTTCCTTAAACATTTAGCAGAATCACAGGTGATTTCATTAGGTCTGGAATTTTTCTTATGATCAGTTTCACACTGTGGATTCAATTTCGTTAATAGTTACAGGAGTATTCGTTTTCTTTCTGCTTCTACCTGTATACTTACATTTTGGAAGTCTATCTTTCAAGCTGTATTTTCAAAAATTGTCTGAGATCTTTGCTTTTTATTTGGAGTATTTAGTTCATTTATATTTCATTTAAATATTTATATTTTTGCTTTCTGATTGTCCAACTCTTTCATATTTTTCTTCTTTCATTTTTCTTGCTTGCCTATATTTGGAATGATTATACATTTTTATGATTCCATTCCTCCCTCCTCATTTAGGTTGGAAGCTATGTATTCTTGTACTATATTTTTATGGTTACCCCATTATAAGGTGCATCTTTTTCTTATTAAAATATATTGTTGTTTGATACTATTAACCTTTTCCCAGATCACTCAAAAATTAAAAATACCTTAATTATTATCTTTCTGACTTTAATGACATTGTCACTTAAAAAAAATTCTATGTACATTAAACTGCCTAGGACATTATTATTGTTTATTTTACAGTTAATATCCATTTTATTTAGCTTTACTTTTTTTGTTGATTTCTAGGTTCTTTTTATTTTCATCTTCAGACTTTCTTCTGGGATCATTTTCTTTTTCTCTGAAGATATTCTACAGTGTGGTTCTTCTGGTGCCAAATTCTGTTAGGTTTGTTTTACTTGGAAATATATTTATTTTACCTTTATTCCCAAATAATATTTTTGCTCGGTATAAAATTTTAGGATGGCAAAGATATTTTTGCTGGATTTTGGAGAAACTATTACATGGCCTTTTGGCTTTAATTGTTTTTATTGAAAAGACAGCAGTCAGTTTAAATATTGTTCTTTTGAAGATAATCTTTTTTACCCATTTCACCTAATTTTAAGGTTTTTCTTTCTGCTGTGATGGACTCAAAAGTGATTTTCTTTGTACATGTCTTGCTTAAGGTTCATAGTGCTTTTTGAATCAGTGACATGATGTCACTCATCAGTTTTATATCAGCTGATAAGTCTTCAAATTGTCCTGCTCTATTCTCACCTGGAAACCTGCTCGTACACCAGTGCTTCCCTCCTCAGTAAAAAGAACCATCAATTGCCTAGGCAAAGTTATCTTTCACCCCTCTCATTCATACACCATATCCAATCTATTGGAAATTTTGAGAATACACGTGGAGATTAGATCACCTCTAACCACTTATGTTTCTCCCACTGAGATGCATGATTTTAGGTATTGACTTGACTAGATTAAGAGATATCCAAATGCCTGGTAAAACACTATTTCTGGGTATGTCTGTGTGGGTGTTTCTGGAAGCAATTAGCATTTTAATCAGTGGACTGAGGAAAGGAGAGCTTCCCTCACCAATGTAGGTGGGTATCATCCAATTCTGAGGGCTTGCATAGAACTAAGAGGTTAAGAAAGTGCAAATTCACTCTTTTCATGAGCTGGGACATCTATCTTCTCCTGACCTAGGACATTAGAATTCCAGTTTCTCTGGCTTTTGGACTCTAGGACTTATACCATCAGCTCACTGGTTCTCAGGCTCTCAGATTCAGAATGAATTATAACACTGGTATTCTAATTCTCCAGTTTGCAAGTGGTATTTTGTGGGACTTCTCAGCCTCCATAATTGCATGAGCCAATTCCCATAATTAATGCCCTCTTTATCTATCTATCTATCTATCTATCTATCTATCTATCTATCTATCTATCTAATCTCTCTAGCCTATTGGTTTCATTTCTCTGAAAACTAACAAACCTACCTTCATCAAGGTGCAATTGTTCTCACATGGACTACTGCAGTGGCCTTCCAACTAGTGTCTCTGCTTTTCTCCCTTCAACCCCCAATGGTCCAATCTTCACGCAGCAGCCAGAGTAAGCCTTTTTAAACCAAAATCATGTAGTGTCACTCCTCTAGTCTATCGTCCAAGGGGTTCCTCTCACACTTGGGGTAAAATTCAAAGTCCTACCACAGTGGCCCTTGGGGCCATTCCTTATCTGTCCTCTGGCTGTCTCTGACCTGCTGCTTACCACTTTTCCCCTGCTCAGACTTCTCTAGCCTCATTGAATTTCTGGCTCTTCCTGGAAGATATCAAACATGTTCCTGCCTTAAACCTTTGTAGTGTGGTTCCCTTTGCTGAAACACTCTTCCCAGATATTCACATACCTTGTTTCTTTAATTTATTGAGGTATGTAATCAAATTTCACTCCCTCAGAGAGGCCATCGCCATCATTTTCTATTTTCTTATACTGCCTTATTTTCCTCTTGGCACTTTTATTACTGATACTGTATTTATATTGGCTTATTTTTCTTTCTAAATATTTCTATTAAAACATGAACTCCATGTGAGCAGTAATTTTAACCATTTTTGTTTTTCTTATTTGTTGTATCACCAGGGTCTAGAACTGTGTTTGGCATATAAAAAACAAATATTTGTTAAATAAAATAATTAATGGCTATTGTCACTTTTTTTCTCAGTAAATGTATCAGGAAGAAGAAAATGGGTAAAGAATTGGCTGTAGTGAAGAAGATAGTTCAATAATTTTGGTTAGGGTGGTGTAGGCCTTAATTGTGGAAGCAGTATTGAGATCTTTTCAGAATTTTTTAAATCCTTTCCTTAAAATGTTCAAATCCAATAATGAAATTGAGTGCTAGAATAAATTAGATGATATGGTTTGGCTGTATTCCCAGCAGAATCTCATCTTGAATTGTAGCTCCCATAATTCCCACATGTCATGGGAGGGACCTGGTGGGAGGTAATTACATCATGGGGAATGGGTCTGTCCTGTGCTGGTCTCGTGATAGTGAGTAAGTCTCAGGAGAGCTGATGGCTTTATAAATGGGGATTCCCCTGTACAAGCTCTCTTGCCTGCTGCCATTTAAGACATGCCTTTGCTTCTTCTTTGCCTTCCACTATGATTGTGAGGCCTCCCCAGCCATGTGGAACAGTGAGTCTAGTCTACTAAACCAGTTTTATTTATAAACAAGCCAGTCTTGGGTATATCTATATTAGCAGCATGAGAACAGAGTAATACATTAGGGATTTAAACATATTAGAGATAACTTTTTATTTGATCATGATATAAAGTATTATTAAAATGATCTGAAAAGAAAATTCAACAGGGAATTTTCAGAACTTAAATGACTGTGTACAACTTTCATTCCAAAGAATCAACTTCTCAACACTCTGTCTTAGAGTATATCTGTACATCACTCATCCTTTAAAATAGTTATGCCTAAAATGAAGATATGTGACATTTATTTAACAGCCACATAAGTCAATACAATCCATTTAAGATAGTGTTGTAAAAAAATATAACTAGAGCCTAGAAAAATGTGAGATATTATGTTTAAGTGAACATTTTCAAAACTCTTGTTTTTTGAAATTCTCTCCAACAACTTATCTATATTTTAACCAAAGAAACATGGGTCAGCACTTGCATTGGTTATTAATCTACATGATCCAACCACATTGTGTGCCTTGTCAACACAAGGAGTGCAAAAGAGAGATAGATAGAGGCGTATTCTTAAAAGCTCTGAATAGATATTGCTTATAATTTTATTTGAAATTGGGTTTTTAAAATCATTTCCTTGTAAATTATTTGTATCTAATGACTGTCATATAATAGTCTCATATTTCTGTACTGATATACAGAGAAAAAAATTTCTTTGAGATTTCTAAGTGGTAATATTTTTACCTTTGAGTGAGGGTTCTTATTTTACAAAAATGTCCATTGGTCTAAACTTTAGAATATGAACATGGCAGATATGTGAGAGTATTTGTTAATTACCATAAATTTATAGATGGTGTCCCTCAATATTGCATATGGGAGCTGTATCAGAGAGGCTGTTTCTCACTGTAATTTATTCACTGATCTATTCATTCAACTAACATTGAGAGTACACTCTAAGAGGCACTATATTTGGAGGTAAGTGTGCCAAAAACATAAGATGGAATCCTGTCTCCAATGAGTTTATATCTAGCAGAAGGAGAAAGAAAAATGACAAGTGAATCTTACTGATGAGATTGGGTCATTGATCTGGGAGTACATGTTTATTGGCATGTTTTTGTTTGCTTAGGTTGAGTGTCCATCTACTACTCAACCACTCAAGGAGCATGAATTCTTCAAAATTATAATCGCTTCAGGAATCAATATGTATTAATGTTGATTATTTATGGAGAGTAAAATAAAATATAAAAGTAGTCTTAGGTATATACAGAGTAACATAGATCTCTGTTGAAAAGTAGTCTCCTTATATGTTTAAGGAGAATGAAGAAAAGCTCATACAAACTGACATTAGAGATAGATAATGAGAAGTACATTTAGCTCTTGCATAGATTCAAATACAAGAATATAATATTATTTACAAACACTTGGAGGAAAAACAACCAGCATTAGGGCATTAACAAAGAAAGAAGACGCAAGCCTGTTGTGTCTCTGGTTGGCTTGGTCACTATCAAATCAGTTATTGCCATTGCATGGACATGCTCCAGGGGTGGCTGATGACATTTATCTTCTTATTGGTGGTTCTAAACTGGGGTAGGCTGCTGCCTTGACTGCTCTTCCTGTAATAACTTCCAAGGACAACTGAGGCCACCTCGGGGAGTGGAAAACCTATGTCAGCAATTATATGCCAGCTACATTAGCTGCTACGTATGCAAAGGCAAATTAGACATGTGGTGGGTGCATTCATGGAGGCTACAAAATCAACACATAAATGAGAGGGATGCATAAGTAAGAAATCATTAAAAAGTTCCTAAATGCAAAGAAAAAGTTTCTAAATGCAAAGAAATATGTTTACAGTAGATATGAAGACAGTGCATTAGAAGTACACCTAACTCATGGCAGGAGGCTGCCATACTTTCCAGATTTCCCCGAGGAGCTAACCAATAAGCTGAGTCCTGGAGTGTGATCAGGAGTCACCCAAGGGAAGTAGGGAGTAAAAGGATATCCACAGAGGGAAAGATGCATTCAAAGTTAGAGAGGCAAGAGAGAGCGTGAGAGTGTGGCTGTTAGAGGGGAGAGGAATGTCACTGGACTTCACTTATTGACTGTGTTGGCTCCTGGCTGATCATTCTTGGTGACTTAAGCATTCTTATGAATATACTTTTCTGTACTTCTCCCTTCTCCTACCATCCCCCCAACAAGTAGACCCCAGTGTCTGTTGTTTCTTTCTTTGTGTTCCTAAGCTCTTATCATTTGGCTCCCACTTAAAAGTGAGAACATGCTGTATTTGGTGTTCTGTTCCTGAATTAGTTTGCTAAGGATAGTAGCCTCCAGCTCTATCCATGTTCCCACAAAAGACATGATCCTTTTCTTTTTTTATGGCTGCATAGTATTCTATGGTGTACATGTACTACATTTTCTTTATCCAGTCTGTCACTGATGGGCTTTAAGGCTGACTCCATGTCTTTGCTATTGTGAATAGTGCTGCAATCAACATTGATGTGCATATATCTTTATGGTAGAAAGCTTTCTATTCCTCTGGGTATTTCCCCAGTAATGAGATTGCTGTGTTGAATGGTAGCTCTCTGCTTTTAGCTCTTTGAGGAATAGCCATACTGCTTTCCACAATGGTTGCACTAATTTACACTTCCACCAACAGTGTATAAGTGTTCCCTTTTGTCCACAACCTTGCCAGCATTGGTCACTTTTTAACTTTTTGATAATAGCCATTCTTACTGGTGTGAGATGGCATCTCATTGTGCCTTTGATTTGCATTTCTTTAATGATCAGTGACATTGAGGGGCCAGATAGATACTATAGCAGCCATCCTAGTGAGAAAATGTGAGGGATAAGCAAGTTACTGCAGCTGGCATTTAAATACAGATTGAAAACAAGAACACATCGATCACTGTGCCAGTTAGTAGGCAGTTTGTGTGGAGGTGGAGGTGGAGGGGTGTTGACCAATGCTGAAAAGCAAGAAAAGAAGTGTCACCAAGGCCGGTCTGAGCAGCTTCCTGGGTGAGGGGTTATTGTATGACAAACTTTAAGAATTATAATGTATAACTTCCTAAAGTACTTCATAAATGAAGTACTGAGTCTTAGCCTGATTCTATTATATATTTAAATTATTCAACTCCCTTGCACTGATTCCATGCTTATTGGGCAAACATTTAACTATAATGTGACTTTTCATGTAGGTATTTCTATAGGGAAAGAGCCTGTCCTGGTCATATTGAGGGGAATATGAGATCTGCAATTTATTAAAATAATTTGGCTTACAGATTTGATGTATGGGTTTGATGATGTTGGTTATGGTGAGGCAGTTCCTATAAAATAAGGCTTCTGAACCTGTAAGGGCAGAATCTGGTCTTTGAGAAATTCATGAGGTATTATCTTCCTGCTAGGACTTGACTTTAGTGACATTTATGTCACTACCTCTCTCTTGTTTCTCAGTTATTTTTTATTTTTAGGGCTTACAATGTTACCTATAGAGAATCCAAGGAAGAGAGTTGGGGATGTTGATATGAGTTGAAATTGGGTAATGAAGAATTTGATATTCAAGCCAACAGATGTAGCAAACAACCGAAATTGGGTCTAGAAATTACTCCAGGTTGGAGACACGGACTTGAAAGTCACTAGCACATTGAAGAAGACCATGAGATTAGGCAAGACACCTTAGGAACAGTGAGTCAAGTGAGAAGACAACAGTAAAACCCCAAAAGATTGCCAATATTTAAGAGGTAGACAGTGGGAGAAAGAAAGAGGAATAAATGCCAGAGAAAGAAAGAGTGATCTGAGAGATAGGAATGGATTTCTGCAGCACAGAAACTAAGAAAGGAAGAAGGGCTTTCAAATATGAGGTAGTTCATAGTATGAAAAGGAAGCCAAATAAAATGATGAAGCTAAAAGGGTTTATTTTATTTAGTCAGAAAGGTTGTTGCTGATCTTGGAGGGGATGATTTCAGTGAAGTCATGGGACAGAGGCTGTATTTCAGGGATCTGAGAAGTGAACAGTATTTGGGTAAATGAGGGGCTGCAAGTATGGAAGTGGATGAAGTATTGATGCCCTGTGAGTCTGGAAAATTCCAGCTTAGCAAGTTAATTACTGGAAGTTATAAAGGTAAAAATGACCAAGATGTGCTGTCAAAATATGAAAGGTGCTGAATAATCTGTAAAATTCCATTTGTATCCACAAATAGAAAGCAGCTTTTCTCAACTCTGATTTTGTAAGAATTTTGGCCCTAATATCCTAAGAAGTCCATTGTATGTGATGCGTAAACTTCTTTCCCATGCATTGAGAGTGGTCCTAGTTGTCACAAGAATTGAGAAAAATGTCACTCAAATAATTTTCTGTGTTCTGATGCATTAGCATCACCTGGGAGTGTGCTGGAAGTGCAGAAACTCAGGGGCCACCCAGACCTACTGGATAAGAATCAGCATTTTTACAATATCCTCTTAGGATTGCAAACCATATTAAAGTTTTAAAGGCACTGCTTTAGAGCAACAGTTCTGAACCTTGACTGTTCTCTAGGCTCACATAAGGAACTTAAAAAGCTTACTGATGTTCAGCCCTCACCTTCACAGGTCCTGATTCAATTGGTCTAAGGTTGGACAAAGGCCGTGGCTTGTGAGCTACTTTCCAAAAGCTCACCAGGTGATTAAGTGAGGTCAGGGTTAAGAACCACTGGTCCTGGAAAATAAGAGCTTGGGTATCATAGAGCCCAGATTAGGATTTGAGAAAGAAGTAAGCTGACCACTGATCAGTAAAATGGAAGCTATGATGCTTTCTGATTTCTTAATTCAATGTTGTGGGAGGAAGATAAATGATACAAAACTCATTAACTGCTTTGAGTTTCATAGAGAAAAGTTAAACTTATAAATGTTATATAATATAATTATATGATAATGAAGATAAATATGCAAATGCTTAATTGAAACAGGGAATAAGATACCAAATGAAATCGCTCGAGAAAGCTTCACAAGAATTCGAAAGTAATAAAAAATAGTAAAGTGCATATGGCTGGGAAAATATATTTAAACTGTAACTTCCAAATGAATTTTAGCAATGAATTTATTATCTGCCCCCCGATTTTGAGTCAAGAGCATAAACACTGAAATTTCCAATCCAATTTTTTTAACAATTCTACTCTGGTTATACTAGTTATTGAAAGTTCAATGAGTTCAGTGACCTATTTTAAAAGCTTTATCTATACTGCCATGGATACAGATATTTGTATAATTATCTATCCAGTTTAGGATAATCTATGTACCCATAGGGCCAAGAATTTCTTAGGCTACAGTAAGGTATTTCGGTTGTATGAATTACTAGTATAACCGTGTCATCTTCTAAATTCATAAGGAAGTGTGCATAGGCTGAGGTCATTATTTCCCTCATTCTGAGAATGAATCACAGCTCAGAGCTTTCCCCGGAGTGCACCGTGCATTGTTTACTTGGTGCTTCCCTTCACAGAATTCTGTGCTTCATAAAAAATATACACTTTATATCTGTGTGGTGCTTTAACAATCATTTCCTCATGAAAGACTGATATGGTTTGGCTCTGTGTCCCCACCCAAATCTCATCTCACACTGTAATGCCTACATGTCCAGTGTCCAGAGAGGGACCTGGTGAGAGGTGATTGGATCATGGGCGTGGTTTCCCCCATGCTATTCTCATGATAGTGAGGAAGTTCTCACGGGATCTGGTTGTTGGATAAGTGTCTGGCCTCTCCCCTGCACTTTCATGCTCTCATTCTCTCTTTCTGTCTCTCTCTTACCTGCTGCCACGTAAGACATGCCTGCTTCCCCTTCCACCACTGGGAGGTGATTGGATCATGGGGGCGGGTTTCCCTCATGCTGTCCTCATGACAGTGAGTGAGTTCTCATGAGATCTGATGGTTTTATAAGTGGCAGTTTCCCCTGCTCTCCTATTTCTTTCCTGCTGCTTTGTGAAGAAGATATTTGCCTTCCACCATGATTGTAAGTTTCCTTAGGCCTCCCCAGCCATGCAGAACTGTGAGTCAATTCAACTTCTTTCTTTTATAAATTACCCAGTCTTGGGCAGTATCTTTTTGGCAGACTAATGCAGTGCCTTACTAATCATGCACAATATGCAGAGGAGAAGTTATTGTTTCAATTTAGGGATAATAAAACTGATTGATGTTTAAAGCAGTGAGTCCCCTAACATCTCAGGAATACTTGAAAACACTATTTATTGCCAATAATAGGCCACCTTCTGTTGAGAATATCTAGGTCTAGAACGTGGATTTTGTTAAGCAATCCAAGTGATTCTTCTATTTTCTTTCTTTCTTTTTTTTTTTTTTTTTTTGAGACGGAGTCACGCTCTGTCGCCCAGGCTGGAGTGCAGCGGCGCGATCTTGGCTCACTGCAAGCTCCGCCTCCCGGGTTCGCGCCATTCTCCTGCCTCAGCCTCCTGAGTAGCTGGGACTACAGGCGCCCACCACCACGCCCGGCTAATTTTTTGTATTTTTAGTAGAGACGGGGTTTCACTGTGTTAGCCAGGATGGTCTCGAGCTCCTGACCTCGTGATCCGCACGCCTTGGCCTTCCAAAGTGCTGGGATTACAGGCGTGAGCCGCCGCGCCCGGCTCTATTTTCTTTCATTTACACTTTGTCCTACAGTTTTTCTAGTTCCTCCCTCTTCAATTTGATTTTCATTTATTCTCCCCTTCTTTTCTCATTTTTCTTTAATCCTGTGTCATTTGCCACTTGTTATCTTATACCTGTTTCCCCCTTGCTTTATATTACAAAATTCCAGTTTTAACCATAGCGTCATCTACCCCAAACTGAGAATTTTATACATTCCTATTCATATCATGATGATAATAAGTTAAGTTGAAACTTGACAAGTGGCTAAACTACTGGTGTTTTCTTGTTTAATCTACATAACTGAGGAGTGTGTACTATTTTTTCAGGGGCTATTGGCAGCTTTCAAGAAGTGTCTCACACATTACACCTTACCAAGCATTACTTTTTTCTGTGTTCTTTGAGCTCTGGTTTCTTTCCCCAATAGAACCAAAAACCAAATATTTTATCAAAGTGACAGTGTGGTATTCATTTTTCAGATTTCTAGTTCTTGGAAGGGTGCCTTCAAAAGCCACAAAGTTCTCTAATTGTCCAGAGCACCTGCTTCAAAATACCTCAGTGTTAAACTATTTGTTTTTTCCCCTTAGAAGACCATAGTACAAGTTCTGTTAACATTTTGACACCAGGCCAAAATATACAACATTCATTTAAGATTGAGTATTAAAGGCCCTATTCACCATTTTTTAAGAGAAGGGAAAAAAGGAATAAGGGTCTTTCACACTTTCCCTCTGTAATTATGAATGTAAAACTATTCTTGATTCATTTACCTAGCAGATGGAAACATTGTGAGGCTTTACTGTATAGTTCACTCATATTTTCCAGCAAAAAATATTGATTTTATTCATTTATTTTGGATTTATTTTGCCTCTTTTTTCATGGCCTTTAAGGTGCAAAAATAAGGCAGAGCTTTTTATATTAGTCAAATCAGTCATGCATATAGGTAAGTGCCTAATACCCAGAATAAGTGCCACTGGGCATCTAACCATAGCTCTGGCCAGCTGCACATAGCTGTCCTTGTTCTACCAGGCCCTACCCCTCTACTCCTTAATGCTCCCACAGTTCCTGCATCCTGGACACCTTTGAAAGGAGCATGTTCTTGCTTTGTGTAATTGCTGACTGGCAATTCCTAAGCCCTGCTGGCTCAAAGTGCCCTCTGCTTGTTCTCCTTCCCCTTTGGGTTTTCCAGTGGACAGGTATTGGTGAGTACCTTGGGAAGAAGTTAAAAGTTATTTTCATTGAATTTTGCTTGGATGAATTAAAGTATATACACATGAATGTATAGGGAGAAATGGCATGTGATATAATCCTCCCCAGGTCTGCCCCGACAATGCTTATCACATTCGTTGCACACACAACTTTTTTCTGAAGAGTTTGCACAAGTCTTCATGGTCTTTATAATCTTATCTGACATACTAGACAAGAGATAACTTAAAGACAACCTCTGTAGACTAGCCTGTCACCTAGGCCATGATGGTTCTAAGGCTCACAACAGGGAACCTCAAACTGGATGATGACTGACTGAACCAAACAGTTCCTCTTTAAAAACAATAAGAAACACAGATAATATGTCAACAGTGACAGATTAATTAGAAGTAGAGAAAGGAAAGAGCTATAATTTCTACAGTGAAAGAGAAACCAAATCCTGTCTTCAAGGGGGATGGTTTAGATATGTGCATGAATGGTCCCGGTGTGGTGGCTCACACCTGTAATCCCAGGACTTTGGGAGGCAGAGATGGGAAGATCACTTGAGACCAGGAGTTTGAGCCCAGGCTGGTCAACATAGCGAGACGCTCATCTCTATTTAAAAAAAAAAAGTATGTATTTAAAAAGTAAGATATTTGCGTTAATGTTGCTTCTTACCCAATAGCCTCTTCAAATCCTTGAAGTTCTCACCTCAATGACCTTCTTTTCCACCATACTTTAGCTATCTCCCCCTTTGGCCCCAATTGCTAACTCATGTCATCATTTATAACTGTTCTACTTCTCAAATTACTAATTTAAACCATTACTTCAGTTATTGCAATCATCATTTCTCTATGACTTCGATGAGATCATCAGCCTCATGTATCTTCTGCTTTCTTCTAAGTAATAAGTTCTTCTTTTATTAATTTTGTTCTTATGCAGGTTAGATTCCCTTATACATCATGAAGTAACAATATACCCTAAGATGTGGATTTACTTGCCCCTCTGTGTTTTTGTTGCATCTAGAAACTCCTTAGAAAAGATGAACCTCCTTTCTCTGGACCTGTACCCTGGCAGCTGGAAACTGCTAGAAAAATTCACACAATAGGACAGACAAGTTTCACCAGAAATTCAGGTTCACCAAAAAGGAAACTCCATTGCTTGGCAGTCTTGCAATATTTCTTTAGTTGAACTCACACTTACTCCTTCAAATTATTTTTAAAAACATTATCTGTATTTCTCAACTTTATTTCCCTTATTTCCTGCCACTTATTTCCAGGTGGGAAGGTCCTCATCTTTCTAAAATCAATTTAGATTTTACCAAGTCTGCCTCATCTGTTCCTAATCTTCTTTTAAGGTTCATAATTTCACTATTCTTCCTGCATCCCATTTTTATTTAAATTTTACTTTAAATTCTGGGATACATGTGCTGAACGTGTAGGTTTGTTACATAGGTATACATGTGCCATGGTGGTTTGCTGCACCTATCATCTAGGTTTTAAGCCCCACATGCATTAGGCATTTGTCCTAAGGCTCTCCTTCCCCTTTCCCCCAACCCCTAACAGGCCCTGGTGTGTGATGTTCCCCTCCCTGTGTCCATGTGTTCTCATTGTTCAGAGTGAGAATATGCGGTGTTTGGTTTTCTGTTCCTGTATTACTTTGCTGAGAATGATGGTTTCCAGCTTCATCCATGTCCCTGCAAAGGACATGAACTCATCCTTTTTTATGGCTGCATAGTATTCCATGGTGTATAGGTGCCACATTTTCTTTATCCAGTCTATCACTGATGGGCATTTGGGTTGTTTCCAAGTCGTTGCTCTTGTGAATAGTGTTGCAATAAACATATGTGTTCATGTGTCTTTATAGTAGAATGATTTATAATCCTTTGGGTATATACCCAGTAATGGGATTGCTGGGTCAAATAGTATTTCTGGTTCTAGATCCTTGAGGAATCACCACACAGTCTTCCACAATGGTTGAACTAATTTACATTCCTACCAACAGTGTAAAAGCCTTCCTATTTCTCCACATCCATGCCAGCATCTGTTGTTTCCAGACTTTTTAATGATTGCCATCCTAACTGGCGTGAGATGATATCTCATTTTGGTTTTGATTTCCATTTATCTAATGACCAGTGATGATGGTAAGCTTTTGTTCATATGTTTATTGGCCACATAAAAGTCTTCTTTTGAGAAGTGTCTGTTCATGTCCTTCACCCGCTTTTTGATAGGGTTGTTTTTTTTTTTCTTGTAAATTTGTTTAAGTTCCTTGTAGATTCTGGATATCAGACCTTGTCAGATGGATAGACTGCAAAAATTTTCTCCCATTCTGTAGGTTGCCTGTTCACTCTGATGATAGTTTCTTTTGCTGCCTGCATCCCATTTCTTTCCTGCTTTTGAGAAACCTGCATTTTGTCTTTCTCACTTCTGTCAATTCAATGTCTCACTCTTTCAAATGGGTTCTTTCCATTGACTTTTGGGGATTATTAAATTTTTTGCTTTAAAAATGCAGAATATTAAAAAACAAAACTGATTGTACAAAACCAATTGTACAGTTACCACATCTCAGAGTTAACACATTGTTAATATTTTCTAATGTTTTCTCTGATTTATACCTTAAAAAACAAAATATATAAAAATTGTAAAACAAATACACTTTATTCCCTTTCTCAATCCCAGTTGTCCCCTCTCTTTTCCAACTCCTAGCACTACTTTGTGAGTTTTATTTTTGTAAATAAATAATCTCATGCTGTGTCTGATTTTTAAATTCAATATTATGTTGTGAAATATATTCATGTCGATACACATAGTTCTATAATAGTACATTGTAGTTTTCTTCCATACATTATGTTATTGAATATGCCAATGTATCTTCCCCATATTCTTTTTGTTATTACACGTGGTGCTGCCATGAACATCCTTATTCTTGTGTCCCCCATTGGCTTCTTACCATGCTGAGTCTGGCCCTATTCCTTCCCAGATATCACCCTATGTCTCTTCCTAACCTCAAAATCAGTTTGTCAGGATGTCACTATTTTCTCATCTCTCACTTCTGCAATTCCTTCAGTTTGTCTTGTTGTCCTGTAATTTCACCAAAAACAGTTCTTGCTTAATTAGAAGGCAGTGAGGAAGTTCAGCACATAATAAACATGATGCACAGTACATAGACTCTATTGTTACTGTCCCTTGTTATCCAAATTAGTGAATCTAATATTCATTTCCACTAAGGCCACAAAGTCAATTGCAAGGTGGCAATGAATCGAACAGCAACAGTAACACACTTCTAGGGTTCTGTACTTAAAATTTTAAAGCATTACGACATGTTATGGAAAAAGAGAGGAATTAAGTATGATTAATTAATTGTACAAAGGAGCCTGAAGCTAAAAAGGTAATTCAGTGAATTGTCTAAAGTTCCATGTAAAACTCCAATGCATGAAAAATATCACCTAGCTCTCATTCATATATTGACTTATCCTTGAAAAAATATATGGGGCTATATACTCATAAAGTTCTACCAAGTTCAATGAATGGCACAAAGAAGTCACTACCCTTTTTTCCTGGAACTCACAGTCTAATGAGAACATGTGTGATAAGGTTTGTACTAAGATTGTGAAGTGATCTCTTCTAGCACAAGGAATGGGAAACCCAACTGCCTAGAGGGGTTTGGGAAGCCTTGAGCAAGGAATACTTTTAGATGGCATTAAAGGATGAGAAAGAACCCAATGGAGAAAGAAGGGTGTAGGAAGCGCATTTCAGAAAAAGGGTGACAACATGAGCAGAGCGTATGAGCCTGACAGCACATGGAGTGTGTGAAGATGAGCTGGCAGTTTGACACACAGTAGGTACTCAATAAATATTTGGTAATGGTGTGAATAAGTGAAAGAAAGGGGGCACATGGAGTCTTGCTGCTGAGAATATGATAAGAAAGCCGAGGAGCAACTTTGGTTCAGTTGCACTGTTCTGATCCATCCTGAAAGAAGAAAAAGAGGAGACAAGGAGTGATTTCTGTCTTCCATGTCACATTTCATAACATGGTCAAAAAGTTGTTTACAACCGTTCATTTGCTGTTAAGACTCCTCACAAACACTCTCAGATGAGTAAGTTCTGTAGTGAGAGAGTTTACGTCTGATTTCTTGGTAGCCCTTTGAATGGTTGTCAAACCATCATGGTGATGTGATGGAGGTAAAGGCACTGATGGACAAGGCAAAGGGTAGACTTGCTTTAAAATAGGTAGGGTAGAGGGAGGAACCAAGATGGCCGAATAGGAACAGCTCCAGTCTACAGCTCCCAGCGTGAGCGACACAGAAGATGGATGATTTCTGCATTTCCAACTGAGTTACCAGGTTCATCTCACTGGGGAGTGCCAGACAGTAGTTGCAGGACAGTGGGTGCAGTCCACTGTGTGCGAGCCGAAGGAGGGCGAGGCATCGCCTCACCGGGGAAGCACAAGGGGTCAGGGAATTCCTGTTCCTAGTCAAAGAAAGCGGTGACAGATGGCACCTGGAAAATCGGGTCACTCCCACCCTAATACTGCGCTTTTCCAATGGGCTTAAAAAACGGCACACCAGGAGATTATAATCCGCACCTGGCTCAGAGGGTCCTCCGCCCACGGAGTCTCGCTCATTGCTAGCACAGTAGTCCAAGATGAAACTGCAAGGTGGCAGCGAGGCTGGGGGAGGGGCGCCCGGCATTGCCGAGGTAGTTATTTGATTAGGTAAACAAAGTGGCAGAGAAGCTCGAACTGGGCGGAGCCCACCACAGCTCAAGGAGGCCTGCCTGCCTCTGTAGGCGCCACCTCTGGGGGCAGGGCACAGACAAACAAAAAGACAGCAGTCACCTCTGCAGACTTAAATGTCCCTCTCTGACAGCTTTGAAGAGAGTAGTGGTTCTCCCAGCATGCAGCTTTAGATCTGAGAACGGGCAGACTGCCTCCTCAAGTGGGTCCCTAACCCCTGAGTAGCCTAACTGGGAGGCACCCCCCCAGTAGGGGCAGACTGACACCTCACATGGCTGGCTACTCCTCTGAGACAAAACTTCCAGAGGAAAGATCAGGCAGCAGCATCTGCAGTTCACCAAGATCCGCTGTTCTGCAGCCACCGCTGCTGATACCGGGGCAAACAGGGTCTGGAGTGGACCTCTAGCAAACTCCAACAGACCTGCAGCTGAGGGTCCTGTCTGTTAGAAGGAAAACTAACAAACAGAAAGGACATCCACACCAAAAACCCATCTGTACATCACCATCATCAAAGATCAAAGGTAGATAAAACCACAAAGATGGGAAAAAAGCAGAGCAGAAAAACTGGAAACTCTAAAAATCAGAGCGCCTCTCCTCCTCCAAAGAAATGCAGCTCCTCACCAGCAACAGAACAAAGCTGGACGGAGAATGACTTTGACGAGTTGAGAGAAGAAGGCTTCAGATGATCAAACTACTCCAAGCTACAGGAGGAAATTCAAACCAATGGCAAAGAAGTTAAAAGCTTTGAAAAAAAATAAGATGAATGGATAACTAGAATAACCAATGCAGAGAAGTCCTTAAAGGACCTGATGGAGCTGAAGACCAAGGCATGAGAGCTACGTGACGAATGCAGAAGCCTCAGTAGCCAATGCGATCAACTGGAAGAAAGGATATCAGCGATGGAAGATGAAATGAATGAAATCACGTGAGAAGAGAAGTTTAGAGAAAAAAGAATAAAAAGAAATAAACAAAGCCTTCAAGAAATATGGGACTATGTGAAAAGACCAAATCTATGTCTAATTGGTGTACCTGAAAGTGATGGGGAGAATGGAACCAAGTTGGAAAACACTCTGCAGGATATTATCCAGGAGAACATCCCCAATCTAGCAAGGCAGGCCAACATTCAAATTCAGGAAATACAGAGACCGCCACAAAGATACTCCTCGAGAAGAGCAACTCCAAGACACATAATTGTCAGATTCACCAAAGTGGAAATGAAGGAAAAAATGTTAAGGGCAGCCAGAGAGAAAGGTCGGGTTACCCACAAAGGGAAGCCCATCAGACGAAGAGCTGATCTCTCGGCAGAAACTCTACAAGCCAGAAGAGAGTGGGGACCAATATTCAACATTCTTAAAGAAAAGAATTTTCAATCCAGAATCCCATATCCAGCCAAACTAAGCTTCATAAGTGAAGGAGAAATAAAATACTTTACAGACAAGCAAATGCTGAGAGATTTTGTCACCACCTAGCCTGCCCTAAAAAAGCTCCTGAAGGAAGCACTAAACATGGAAAGGTACAACCGGTACCAGCCACTGCAAAAACATGCCAAATTGTAAAGACCTTCAAGGCTAGGAAGAAACTGCATCAACTAATGAGCAAAATAACCAGCTAACATCATAATGGCAGGATCAAATTCACATATAACAATATTAACTTTAAATGTAAATGGGCTAAATGCTCCAATTAAAAGACACAGACTGGCAAATTGGATAAAGAGTCAAGACCCATCAGTGTGCTGTATTCAGGAAACCCATCTCACATGCAGAGACACAGATAGGCTCAAAATAAAATGATGGAGGAAGATCTACCAAGCAAATGGAAAACAAACAAAAAAAAAGGCAGGGGTTGCAATCCTAGTCTCTGATAAAGCAGACTTTAAATCAACAAAGATCAAAAGAGACAAAGAAGGCCATTACATAATGGTAAAGGGATCAATTCAACAAGAAGAGCTAACTATCCTAAATATATATGCACCCAATACAGGAGCACCCAGATTCATAAAGCAAGTCCTGAGAGACCTACAAAGAGACTTAGACTCCCACAGAATAATAATGGGAGACTTTAACACCCCACTGTCAACATTAGACAGATCAACGAGACAGAAAGTTAACAAGGATACCCAGGAATAGAACTCAGCTCTGCACCAAGTGGACCTAATAGACATCTACAGAACTCTCCACCCCAAATCAACAGAATATACATTATTTTCAGCACCACACCACACTGCTCCAAAATTGACCACATAGTTGGAAGTAAAGCACTCCTCAGCAAATGTAAAAGAATAGAAATTATAACAAACTGTCTCTCAGACCACAGTGCAATCAAACTAGAACTCAGGATTAAGAAACTCACTCAAAACCGCTCAACTACATGGAAACTGAACAACCTGCTCCTGAATGATTACTGGGTACATAACGAAATGAAGGCAGAAATAAAGATGTTCTTTGAAACCAACGAGAACAAAGACACAACATACCAGAATCTCTGGGACACATTCAAAGCAGTGTGTAGAGGGAAATTTATAGCACTAAATGCCCACAAGAGAAAGCAGGAAAGATCCAAAATTGACACCCTAACATCACAATTAAAAAAGCTAGAAAAGCAAGAGCAAACACATTCAAAAGCTAGCAGAAGGCAAGAAATAATTAAAATCAGAGCAGAACTGAAGGAAATAGATACACAAAAAACCCTTCAAAAAATTAATGAATCCAGGAGCTGGTTTTCTGAAAAGATAACAAAATTGATAGACTGCTAGCAAGACTAATAAAGAAGAACAGAGAAGAATCAAATAGACGCAATAAAAAACGATAAAGGGGATATAACCACCGATCCCACAGAAATACAAACTACCATCAGAGAATACTATAAACACCTCTATGCAAATAAACTAGAAAATCTAGAAGAAATGGATAAATTCCTCAACACATACATCTTCCCAAGACTAAACCAGGAAAAAGTTGAATCTCTGAATAGACCAGTAACTGGCTCTGAAATTGAGGCAATACTCAATAGCTTACCAACCAAAAAAAGTCCAAGACCAGATGGATTCACAGCTGAATTCTACCACAGGTACAAGGAGGAGCTGCTACCATTCCTTCTGAAACTATTCCAATCAATAGAAAAAGAGGGAATCCTCCCTAACTCATTTTATGAGGCCAGCATCATCCTGACACCAAAGCCTGGCAGAGACACAACCAAAAAAGAGAATTTTAGACCAATATCCTTGATGAACATCGATGCAAAAATCCTCAATAAAATACTGGCAAACTGAATCCAGCAGCACATCAAATAGCTTATCCACCACGATCAAGTGGGCTTCATCCCTGGGATGCAAGGCTGGTTCAACATACGCATATCAATAAATGTAATCCAACATATAAACAGAACCAAAGACAAAAACCACATGATTATCTCAATAGATGCAGAAAAGGCCTTTGACAAAATTCAACAGTCCTTCATGCTAAAAACTCTCAATAAATTAGGTATTGATGGGACGTATCTCAAAATAATAAGAGCTAGCTATGACAAACCCACAGCCAATATCATACTGAATGGGCAAAAACTGGAAGCATTCCCTTTGAAAACTGGCACAAGACAGGGATGCCCTCTCTCACCACTCCTATTCAACAGAGTGTTGGAAGTTCTGGCCAGGGCAATTAGGCAGGAGAAGGAAATAAAGGGTATTCAATTAGGAAAAGAGGAAGTCAAATTGTTCCTGTTTGCAGATGACATGATTGTATATCTAGAAAACCCCATCGTTTCAGCCCAAAATCTCCTCAAGCTGATAAGCAACTTCAGCAAAGTCTCAGGATACAAAAATCAATGTACAAAAATCACAAACATTCTTATACACCAATAACAGACAAACAGAGAGCCAAATCATGAGTGAACTCCCATTCACAATTGCTTCAAAGAGAATAAAATACCTAGGAATCCAACTTACAAGGGATGTGAAGGACCTCTTCAAGGAGATCTACAAACCACTGCTCAATGAAATAAAAGAGGATACAAAGAAATGAAAGAATATTCCATGCTCATGAATAGGAAGAATCAATATCATGAAAATGGCCATACTGCCCAAGGTAATTTATAGATTCAATGCCATCTCCATCAAGCTACCAATGACTTTCTTCACAGAATTGGAAAAAACTACTTCAAAGTTCATATGGAACCAAAAAAGAGCCCGCATCACCAAGTCAATCCTAAGCCAAAAGAACAAAGCTGGAGGCATCATGCTACCTGACTTCAAACTATGCTACAAGGCTACAGTAACCAAAACAGCATGGTACTGGTACCAAAACAGAGATACGGACCAATGGAACAGAACAGAGTTCTCAGAAATAATGCCACATATCTACAACTATCTGATCTTTGACAAACCTGACAAAAACAAGAAATGGGGAAAGGATTCCCTATTTAATAAATGGTTCTGGGAAAACGGGCTAGCCATATGTAGAAAGCTGAAACTGGATCCCTTCCTTACACCTCATAGAAAAATTAATTCAAGATGGATTAAAGACTTAAATGTTAGACCTAAAACCTTATAAACCCTAGAAGAAAACTTAGGCAATACCATTGAGGACATAGGCATGGGCAAGGACTTCATGTCTAAAACACCAAAAGCAATGGCAACAGAAGCCAAAATTGACAAATGGGATCTAATTAAACTAAAGAGCTTCTGCATAGCAAAAGAAATTACCATCAGAGTGAACAGGGAACCTACAGAATGGGAGAAAATGTTTGCAATCTACTCATCTGACAAAGGGCTAATATCCAGAATCTACAATGAACTCAAACAAATTGACAAGAAAAAAACAAACAACCCCATCAAAAAGTGGGCAAAGGATATGAACAGACACTTCTCAAAAGAAGACATTTATGCAGCCAAAAAACACATGAAAAAATGCACATCATCACTGGCCATCAGAGAAATGCAAATCAAAACCACAATGAGATATCATCTCACACCAGTTAGAATGGCAATCATTAAAAAGTCAGGAAACAACAGGTGCTGGAGAGGATGTGGAGAAATAGGAACACTTTTACACTGTTGGTGGGACTGTAAACTAGTTCAACCATTGTGGAAGTCAGTGTGGCGATTCCTCAGGGATCTAGAACTAGAAATACCATTTGACCCAGCCATCCCATTACTGGATATATACCCAAAGGATTATAAATCATGCTGCTATAAAGACACATGCACACGTATGTTTATAGCAGCACTATTCACAATAGCAGAGACTTGGAACCAACCTAAATGTCCAACAATGATAGACTGGATTAAGAAAATGTGGCACATATACACCATGGAATACTATGCAGCCATAAAAAATAATGAGTTCATGTCCTTTGTAGGGACATGGATGAAACTGGAAACCATCTTTCTCAGCAAACTATTGCAAGGACAAAAAACCAAACACCGCATGTTCTCACTCATAGGTGGGAATTGAACAATGAGAACACATGCACACAGGAAGGGGAATATCACACACCGGGTACTGTTGTGGGGTGGGGGGAGGGGGGAGGGATAGCATTAGGAGATATACCTAATGCCAAATGATGAGTTAATGGGTGCAGCACACCAACATGGAACATGTATACATATGTAACAAACCTGCACGTTGTACACATGTACCCTAAAACTTAAAGTATAATAATAAAATTAAAAAAAATTATACATATATAAAAAAATATATATATTAGATGCCAGAGCTACTTGCCATTTTCTCTAGGAAGATTTTTTAAATAAGGACAGGAAAATGCCTCATAATTTTATGACTTATTTCAAGTAGTTTTACTGAGAATGTTAAAAAATTTTTTCAGGCTAATTATTTTGTTTAATTTGTTTTAGGAATTGCAGGAACAGCAGGATTAATATTTTAATAAAATGGTTTACAATGGCAAAAATAAATAAATAAATAAAATAAAGTAGGTAGGGTAACACAACTTCCTCCCATAGATGGTTGCCCAGTACAAGGATCCAGATCTGACTCCAGGCCAATCAGGCAAAATTCTGTGGCCCTCAGATTCCTCCAGAAGTGCTCAGCTGCCAATGATACCATTTGAAGAGGAGAAGATACTTTCAAGCTCTTTGCAAAAATCTTGTTTGCTGATCTGCCAAGAATTTTTATAACCTCCTAGCCCTCCTGAATGTTCTGAAAGCTCTGCTTATATGCCTGTCTCATCACGAAGCAGAAGTAACTACAAACAGTCCCAGAAAATTGTTGAATACGTCCTATACATATGGGAAAATCAGAAAATCAGAAGGGTACCACTACCCAAGATGTCCAGATCCAGTCCTTCAGGCCTGCTTCAGTTCTATTCTGGCACATCCTAGAATAAATTTGTTCCTCAAGACATATGGTTTTATGACATGGATGCATCAACAAGTAGAACTGAACAAGTAGAAGGGACCTCTAAAAATGTCCTTTAATTTTAAGACTTAGACCACCTCCCTAAACTAGAGGAAATCTTTGATGCATTGCTTATCTCCTGTGTTTAAAAAGTGTACAGTTGAGAACTGGAACCATAAAAATACCATACACTATGAACTAGTAGAAGTTGCTAGATGGACTCAGAGGGAAGAAATGTATTGTCTACATTTGTAAGTTCTCCCTTTTTTGATATTTATCATTTTCTTCATCAGTGAAGAAAAGCTATATTGTTAATTAACTTACTTTCTGTAAAACAACAATAATTTCTGCCTTATGAGGTTGAGCTGAGTATTAAATTTTTAAAAATTATTAAGTTTATACAGTCACATTGTAAAAGCCCTCAAAATGGCAGCTGCCATCATCATCATCATAATCATTTATTCACATCAAATTTGGTTTTATAAAATATTTGAGGTGGCTTTTGTTAAAAGATACATGTATGTTAAAGCTATTAAAATAAGAATAATGAATTTTTAAAAAACAGAAGTATTAAATTTCATTCTGAGTTTTTTCCTGAAGCAAACATGTATGCATAATTACTTACATAATAAATATAAACTGACAAAAGGAAAGATACCTGTTATTCAGAAGGACAGATTTTTTTCTTGGCACTAAAGTATGAATGTAATTTTTTTTTCTTTTTTCTTTTTTTTTTTGAGACAGGGTCTCACAGTGTTGTCCGGGCTGGAGTGCAATAGCACAATCTCATCTCACTGCAACCTCCATCTCCTGGGTTCAAGCAATTCTCCTGCCTCAGCCTCCCAAGTAGTTGGAATTGCAGGCACCCGACATCACACCCGGCTAATGTTAGTATTTTTAGTTGAGACAGGGTTTTGCCATGTTGGCTAGGCTGGTCTTGAACTCCTGTCCTCAGGTAATCCACCTGCCTCAGCCTCCCAAAGTGCTGGGATTACAGGCATGAGCTACCATGCCTGGCCTGAATGTAATTTCTTATAAGATATAGTTTATAAATGATAATGAATAACACAATTGACAGTGTATTCAACAATGATTTCACAGAAAATCCAAAATATTTCTTCATTGCTTCAAAAATAAAGACATGTCATTATGTTATAACTTAGTAAAAATGTTTAAAAGTGAATGGCTTAACTTCTGCTCACAGAACCAAAAACTAGGATATAGCTTACATTTCTTAGATAAAGAAATGTATATTAAGTTAGTGGTTCCCAAAACTGAATATGAATTGAAATCACTCAATGAACTTTTAAAAAAATTCTAGGAATCTGCCCCAGAGCTACTGAAGCTGATTTTCCTTGGGTTGGATTCAAGCATATGTATTGTTTTCCTTTCTTTTATGTTTGGTAGAATACACATAATATAAAATTTACTATCTTAACCACTTTTAATTGTACAATTCAATGTGCAACCATCACCACCAGCCATCTCCATGACTTTTTCCACCTTGTAAAAAAAACTCTACATCCATTAAACACTAACTTCCCATTTCCCCGCCACCCCAACCCTGGAAACCATTATTCTACTTTTTGTCTCTATGATTTTTGATTACTCTTAGTATCTCACATAAGTGGAATCATACAGTATTTATCTTTTTTGTGACTGGCTTATTTCACTTAGCATAATGTTCTCAAGATTCATATATGTAATATATTGCAGAATTTTCTTCTTTTTAAGGCTGAGCAATATTCCATTGTATTACTTTGTCTAATAATATTCCATTGTAATATTCCAATGCTGTCATCCATTTATTCTTTAATGGACACTGGGTTGCTTTCATGTTTTAGATAATGTCAGTAATGCTGCTATGAACGTGGTATACAAATATCTCTTCCAGGCCCTACTTTCCATTATTTTGTAACTAATGGAAGATGGGAATTGTAGAAAATACACCAAACTTATTTACTGTTTGGTAGGACACTTCTGAGATGTATTCCAACAATTCTTAAAGGACTCCCAGTAGGATGTTCCCCAGGAGGAGCCTGAGGATCCTTGCTGTGCTAGTGAATGTGACACAAATATTGTTGACAATCTCAGGTGTGACTGTCCTCTGTAGGCTAGAGTTAATAACAGCAGATGCTGCTCTAGAACTCCACTTCGCTCCACTCCACTCAGGGGATGAGACAGTCTGTGGCTGCTGAGGCCAGGTGGTGGCACTTAACTTTTAGAGGCAAATGGCCATAATTATCATAACAAGTAGGAAAGCCAAAAAGGTAGCCAAGTTGCTTAGGCCCTCTGGGATTTGTGGCAATGGCTAACACACTATTTTGTTCCTGGGGGCAAGATAGAGGGTCACACAATGAGGGAATGGCTTAATATATATAAGCCAAAAAGTAAAAATTAAAAGGCATCTGGGATGACAGCTATCAGCCACCACAATGGAAAATTATGATTTCTCACACATTGTATGACCTAACACTGATACCATGGAGCCCAAAATGGCACCCTGGTGTTGCTGATTAATAGGGTAGATACAGAAACTGAGTGATAAGTAGAATCTGGCCTGAGTGTACCTCATGCTGCTCCATTGGGTCCATGGTCCCATCCTATGATCATTTCCCCAGTCTCCGAGAGCACAATATGTTCACACCCTATATCTTTCCAGCAGAACCCTAACATCATTCCTTGGCTTATGGAATAACAGCTATTATGGTAGGAAAAGCCAAGTGGAGTGGCTCCAGTGGTGCAGTTGGTTAGCGCGTGGTGCTTATGAGGAAGGCCAAGTGGAAGCTCACAGATGGCCCCACTCACCTTCGCCAAGATGATAAATTAGAAGCAATATGACATCCTGGGTGGAATGTCAGAGTTTAATGCCACCTTAAAAGACAAAGGATGTAGTAGTGGTGGTGCCTATCATTTCCTTATTTAATCCACCAGTATGGCTCTGGCAAAAATCTTATAAATCATTGTACATGAAAATGTACTATCATAAACTTAGTCAAATGTAGCTACAATTCTAGCTGCTGGACTAAGGTTGTATCTTTCCTAAGTAGATCTCTTCAGCCTCTGCAGCTTTGTGTGCAGCGACTGATCTGGTGAATGGGTAATTTTTTTTTTTTTTTTTTTGAGACAGAGTCTCACTCTGTTGTCCAGGCTGGAGAGAAGTAGTGTGATCTTGGCTCACTGCAACCTCCACCTCCTGAGTGCAAGCAATTCTCCTGCCACAGCCTCCTGAGTAGCTGGGACTACAAGGCGCCCGCCACCACACCTGGCTAGTTTTTGTATTTTTAGTAGAGATGGGGTTTCACCATATTGGCCAGGCTGGTCTCGAACTCCTGACCTAAAGTTATCTGCCTGCCTTGGCTCCCAAAGTGCTAGGATTACAGGCATGAGCTACCACCCCTGTCCCCTGAATGGGTAATTTCTTTTTTTTTTATTATTATACTTTAAGTTTTAGGGTACACGTGCACAAAGTGCAGGTTAGTTACATATGTTTACATGTGCCATGTTGCTGTGCTGCATCCATTAACTCATCATTTAACATTAGCTATATCTCCTAATGCTATCCCTCCCCCTTCCCCCCACCCCCACAACAGGCCCTGGTGTGTGATGTTCCCCTTCCTGTGTCCATGTGTTCTCATTGTTCAATTCCCACCTATGAGTGAGAACATGGGGTGTTTGTTTTTCTGTCCTTGTGATAGTTTGCTGAGAATGATGGTTTCCAGCTTCATCCATGTCCCTACAAAGAACATGAACTCATCATTTTTTTATGGCTGCATAGTATTCCATGGTGTATATGTGCCACATTTTCTTAATCCAGTCTATCATTGTTGGACATGTGGCTTGGTTCCAAGTCTTTGCTATTGTGAATAGTGCCCCAATAAACATACGTGTGCATGTGTCTTTATAGCAGCATGATTTGTAATCCTTTGGGTATATATCCAGTAATGAGATGGCTGGGTCAAATGGTATTTCTAGTTCTAGATCCCTGAGGAATCGCCACACTGACTTCCACAATGGTTGAACTAGTTTACAGTCCCATCAACAGTGTAAAAATGTTCCTATTTCTCCACATCCTCCCCAGCACCTGTTGTTTCCTGACTTTTTAATGATTGCCATTCTAACTGGTGTGAGATGGTATCTCATTGTGGTTTTGATTTGCATTTCTCTGATGGCCAGTGATGATCAGCATTTTTTATGTGTCTTTTGACTGCATAAATGTCGTCTTTTGAGAATTGTCTGTTCATAAGTTTTGCCCACTTTTTGATGGGGTTGTTTTTTTTCTTGTCAATTTGAGTTCATTGTAGATTCTGGATATTAGCCCTTTGTCAGATGAGTAGATTGCAAAAATTTTCTCCCATTCTGTAGGTTGCCTGTTCACTCTGATGGTAATTTCTTTTGGTGTGCAGAAGCTCTTTAGTTTAATTAGATCCCATTTGTCAATTCTGGCTTTTGTTACCATTGCTTTTGGTGTTTTAGACATGAAGTCCTTGCCCATGCCTATGTCCCGAATGGTATTACCTAGGTTTTCTTCTAGGGTTTTTATGGTTTCAGGTCTAACATTTAAGTCTTTAATCCATCTTGAATTAATTTTTGTGTAAGGTGTAAGGAAGGGATCCAGTTTCAGCTTTCTACATATGGCTAGCCAGTTTTCCCAGTGCCATTTATTAAATACAGAATCCTTGCCTCATTTCTTGTTTTTGTCAGGTTTGTCAAAGATCAGATGGTTGCAGATATGCGGCATTATTTCTGAGGGCTCTGTTCTGTTCCATTGGTCTATATCTCTGTTTTGGTACCAGTACCACACTGTTTTGGTTACTATAGCCTTGTAGTATAGTTTGAAGTCAGGTAGCATGATGCCTCCAGCTTTGTTCTTTTGGCTTAGGATTGACTTGGCAATGCGGGCTCTTTTTTGGTTCCATATGAACTTTAAAGTAGTTTTTTCCAATTCTGTAAAGAAAGTCATTGGTAGCTTGATGGGGATGGCATTGAATGTATAAATTACCTTGGGCAGTATGGCCATTTTCATGATATTGATTCTTCCTACCCATGAGCATAGAATGTTCAACATATTGTTGGAAGTTCTGGCCAGGGCAATCAGGCAGGAGAAGGAAATAAAGGGTTTTCAATTAGGAAAAGAGGAAGTCAAATTATCCCTGTTTGCAGATGACATGATTGTATATCTAGAAAACCCCATCGTCTCAGCCCAATATCTCCTTAAGCTGATAGGCAACTTCAGCAAAGTCTCAGGATACAAAATCAATGTGCAAAAATCACAAGCATTCTTATACACCAATAACAGACAAACAGAGAGCCAAATCATGAGTGAACTCCCATTCACAATTGCTTCAAAGAGAATAAAATACCTAGGAATGCAACTTACAAGGGACGTGAAAGACCTCTTCAAGGAGAACTACAAACCACTGCTCAATGAAATAAAAGAGGATACAAACAAACTGAATGGGTGATTTCTAATGCTCACCACAAAAGCGGATAAAAAATAGTTTGTTTTCTTCTAGGAAAGAAAACAGAGCATATTTGTAGTTTTGACCAAGCGCTGTATTAACTGTATCACCTTTTCACAATATAATCCTCAGGGACTTCAACATCTTGACATTACAGAGAGTATCATGCTAGGCTACTGTATTGATAACATGATGCTAGTCACGTCTAGTGTAGACCATCTCTAGGCTGAACTAACTTTGTTTCACTTCTTTCATGAATACAATCCTGAAATGACCATTGCCCAGTCAATGAGAAAGGTTGTTTTCTAGTTGTTTATTAGGTGAGAAAGCCTGGTACCAGTTACTGTGTTCATGGCTATGATATAACAATTTAATTTTGTATCTGCTTCTGTAAGTAGATTTTAAAAACAAACAAAAATACCTTTATTCATTTTTTTCTAGTTATAGGGTTACCCAAGGTTTCTATTAATTTTTTGAGTCAATTATTATAAATTATAATTTTCTATGCAATTTTCAATTTATTTAATGTTTTTATAAACTTATTCCATAAAGACATTCATCGTATGCTCTTATTATTTTTTAAAATATTGGGAATTTTTCAATCTTTTTAAAATATTTCTTTTCTCGGGACTAATATGTGTATTTTCTTTTTCTTTCTTCCTTTCTTTCTTTCTTTCTTTTTTTTTTTTTTTTTGAGATGGAGTTTCGCTCTTGTTGCCCAGGCTGAAGTGAAATAGCGCAATCTTGGCTCACTGCAACCTCCACCTCCTGGGTTCAAGAGATTCTCTTGCCTCAGCCTCCCAAGTATTTCTTTTTTAAATCAGTTTTGGGAAAAGAGTTCTTATTTTATTAATTATTCCCCCAAAAGCAGCATTTGGATTTTATTTTTTGTTGTTTTATTTGTTTTACTTTTGTTTCTTTGATTTCTACTTCTTTTTTTCCATCCTCACTATTTGTTTCCTTTTTCCTTTCTTTGGGCTTGCAGCCTGTCTAGTTGAATGCTTAGCTCATTAATTTTCAGTCTCTTCTAATATTTTCCTTGAAGGCTATATTTTTTTTATAAATACAGTTAAGCTGTATTCTTTAAGTGAAAACATTGTTGCTTAATTCTAAGCATATTTAAATTTCCATGATTATTTTAATTTGATCCATAAATTATTTTAAATTTTTGAATAATATATAGTTTTCTCATTTTTACAATTTTTAAATTAAGATATAAACATATCATAAAATTCACTCTTTCAAAATGTACTATTCAGTGATTTTTAGTATATTCATGAGGTTGTGCAACTCACCAATATTTAATTCCAGAAAAATTTTATCACTCTAAAAATAAACTGTGTACCCATTAACAGTCATTTTACATTTTTCCCTCCCCCTAGTCCCAGGAAACCACTAACTTTCCATTTCTATAGAATTGCTTATCTTTAATTTTATATAAGTGAAATCATACATTATATGGCATTTTGTGTCTAGCAACTTTCACTTTGCACAATGTTCACAAGGTTCATCCACAGTGTAGCATGTATCAGTATGTCATTCCTTTTTATGGCTGAATAATATTCCATTGTAGGGATATACAGCATTTATTTATTCATCAGTTGATAGGCATCTGTGTTATTTCCACTTTGGGGCTGTATATATAATGCTGCTCTAAACATTTATATATATGTTCTTGTGTGAAAATATGTCTCCAATCTCTTGGGCATTGAATGGAATTGCTGTCATATGGTAATTCCATGTTCATCTTTTTGAAGACCTGTCAAATTATTTTCCAAAGTGACTCAATATTATACATTCTTGCCAGCAATGTATGAAGTTTGCAGTTTCTCCACATGCTTGCTCATATGGTTTGGTTGTGTCCCCACCCAAATCTCATCTTGAATTGTAGCTCCCATAATCCCCACGTGTCATGGGAAGGACCTGGTGAAAAGTAATTGAATCATGAGGGCGGTTTTTCCTGTGCTGTTCTCATGATAGTGAATAAGTCTAATGAGATCCAATGGTTTTACAAAGGGCAATTCCCCTGCACATGCTGTCTTGCCTGCCGTCATGTAAGACATGTCTTTACTCCTCCTTTGCCTTCCACCATGACTGTGAGGCCTCCCCAGCCATGTAGAACTGTGAGTCCATTAAACTTCTTTTTCTGTATAAATTACCCAGTCTGAGATATTTCTTCATGGCAGTATGAAAATGGACTAATACACTTGCTAACACTTTTTATTGTCTATTTTAAAAATTACAGCCACTCCAGTGAGTATGAAGTGGTATTTCATCACAGTTTTAGTTTTCCTAATGACAAATGATGTTGTGTGTCTTTTTGTGTGCTTATCGGCCATTTATATATCTTTTTCTGAAAAATATTTATTCAAATTTCTCAGATTTTAATTTTTTTTTATTTCTTTACATTATCTTAATCTGTCTCATCAGATAATGAGTTTCTTTCATTCCATGGTTGTCTTTTTTATTTTCTTAATGTTGTCTTTTGAAGCACAACATTTGTTGATTTTGATAAAGTCCAACTTACCTATTTTTTTTCCTTTTTGGGTATTTGTGCTTCAGGTGTCATATTTAAGAAACCATTGCCAAATACAAGGTCAAGAAGATTTTTAACTATGTGCTTTTCTATGAGTTTTATAGTTTAGTTCTTACATTGAGGTGTTTGATCCATCTTTTGTTAATTTTTGTATGTGGTGTGAGGTAGGAGTTCAATTTCATTCTTTTGCATATAAATATCTCTTTGTTAAAAAAAAAATTGGTTGGGCGTGATGACTCATGCCTATAATCCTAGCACTTTTGGAGGCCAAAGTGGGCAGATCACAAGGTCATGAGGTTGAGACCATCCTGGCCAACATGGTGAAACCCTGTCTCTACTAAAAATACAAAGAAATTAGCCTGGTGTGGTGGTGCATGCCTGTAGTCCCAGCTGCTCAGGAGGCCGAGGCAGGGGAATTGCTTGAACCCAGGAGGCAGAGGTTGCAGTGAGCCGAGATCGTGCCACTGCACTCCAGCCTGGCAACAGAGCAAGACTCTGTCTCAAAAAAAAAAAAAAAAAATCCTTTCCCCCATTGATTAGTTTCAACACCCTTGTCAAATTCAGTTGACCATATATGCAAGGGTTTCTTTCTAGACTCTGTCCATTTCCATTAGTTTAAATGTCTATTCTAATGCCAGTACCACATTGTCTTGATTATTGCAGCTTTGTAATAACTTTGAAATCAGGAAGTGTGAGCTTTCTAACTGTATTCTTCTTCAAGACTATTTTGGTTATTCTGATTCTCTTGCATGTTAATATAAATTTTAGGTTCACCATGTCAAGTTCTGCAAAAAAAGCAACTAGAATGCTAATAGTGAATGTTTTGAATCAGTTGATCATTTTGAAGCATATTACCATCTTAAAAAAATTTAGTTTCTCAATCCATTAAAATAGAATGTCTTTCGACTTACTTGTCTTCTTTTATTTCTTTCAACAATTTTTTTTAGTGTAAAGGCTTATACTTCTTTTAAAAATTTATTTCTAAGTATCTTATTCTTTTTGATGTTAATTGTCTTAGTCCACTTGTGTTGCTATAAAGGAATACCTGAGGCTGGATAATGTATTGAAGGAAAAAAAAGAGGTTTCTTTGGCTCAGGGCTCATGGTTCTGCAGGCTGTGCAAAAAGCATGGCAGCTCCTGATGAGGGCCCCAGACTGCTTCCACTCCTGGTGGAAGGTAAAGGGAAATCAGAATGTACAGAGATAACATGGCAAGAAACAAAGTAAGAGAGAGAGAAGTGGAGCAGGTGCCAGGTTCTTTTCAATAACCAGTTCTTCTGGGCAGAACTAGAAGTGAGAACTCATTTCTGTGAGAATGGCACCAAGCTATTAGTGAGCAGTCTGCCCCCGTGACCCAAACATCCTGAAACACCCAGGCCCATCTCCAACATTAGGGATCAAATTTCAACATGAGAGTTGGTGAGGCCAAACAGATCATATCCAAACCATGGCACTAATGCAATAGAATTTTTTTTTTATGCAATAGAATTTTTAAAGTTTCATTTTCAGCTTGCTAATTGCTAGTGTATAGAAATAAAATTGATGTATGCATATTGATTTTGTATCTTGCAACCTTGCTAAACTTGACTATTAGTTCTCATATTTTTATTGAACTTTTAGAATTTTCTATATACAAGATTGTGTCATCTGCAAACAGAGATAGTTTAACTTCCTTTCTAATCTGGACACATTTTACTTCCTTTTCTTACCTAATTGCTCTGGCTTAATCCCCAGCATGATAGTAAAGAGGAGTGACACAAGTGGATAACATTGTCTTAATTCCTGATCTTAGAATGCTTTTATCCTTTCATCATTAATTTTTATTAATTGTAGGTTTTTCATAAGTGCTTTGTTGAGGAGCATTTATGTTGCGGAGGTTCCATTCTACCCCTAGTTTTTTTGTTGTTTGTTTGTTTGTTTTTATCATGAAAGGATATTGGATCTTTTCAATTGCTTTTATGCAACTAAAAGCATGATTATTGAGACAATCATGTGGGTTTTTTGTCCTTTATTCTGTTATTATGACACCACAGTATTCAGACAGATTTTTGTATGTTCAACTAACCTTTCATTCCTGTGATAAATCCCACTTGGTGATGTTATATAATTCTTTTTATATGTTGCTGGATTCAGTTTGATAGTATTTTGTTTAGGATTTTTTTAATCTATAATTTTAAAAGATATTGGTCTAAAGTTTTCTTTTTGTAGGTAGTTTTTTTCTGGTTTCTGTAACACGTAAATACTGGCCTCATAGAATAAGGTGGAAAGTGATCGCTTCTCTTCTATTTTTCTAAGAGTTTGTGAAGTATCAGTGTTAATTTTTCTTTGAGTGTTTTTAGAATTCACCAGCAAAGCTATTCTTGGGCTTTTCTTTGAGGGAATTTTGTTTATTATTTAAATCTCTAATCCCTTAACTTGTTTTGTTTTTTGTTTGAGACAGAGCCTCATTCTGTCGCCTAGGCTGGAGTGCAGTGGTACCATCTCGGCTCACTGCAACCTCTGCCTCCGGGGTTCCAGTGATTCGCCTGACTCACTGGGATTACAGGTGCACCACCAAGCTCAGCTAATTTTTGTATTTTTATAGAGACAGGGTTTCACCATGTTGGCCAGGCTCGAACTCCTGGTTTCAAGTGATCCGCCGGCCTCAGCTTTCCAAAGTGCTGGGATTACAGGCATGAGCCACTACGGCTACCCCACCTACTCTCTTCATTTGTTATAGTACTTTTCATATATTTAATTTCTCCATGAGTCAATTTCAATAGTTCATGTCTTTCTAAGAATTTGTCCATCTCATTTAAGCTACCTAATTTGTTGATATATGATTGTGTATGATATTCCATTATAATCTTTTTCTTCCTTGAAAGGTTATTTTTTAGAATACATCTCAATTTATCTTAATTACATTAAAAGAATGAAGTCTATATTTTACCAATTTTGTTACTTCATGGAGTGATTTGGTTTCTGTATCTTTGCATCCAATTTTCATATAGCTCCGTGTATACTTAAAAACAAAGAATAGTCTCTAACTTTAAGTATATTTTAAGTTATATTCTCTAATTTTGTAATAGGATTCTATACGTGTTCTTTAGACTAAAACTGTTAATTGGTGTATTTAATATTCTTAGTACTTTTTTATCTTCTTGATTTATTAATGAGAGAGGTCTGTTAAATTTGAACACTATGTGACTTGTTAATTTTCCCTGTGATTTTTGATATCATTACATTACATATTTTGACATTTCTTTGTAAGGATTATAGAAATTTAGGATTATGTAGTCCTAGGAAATCTTTCCTTGATAATTAGGAAGTAATCTTCTTAATTATCAGTAATTATTTTTCAAAATATGTTTTGTTTTATACAAATGTTGTGACTATTCTAGGCTTTTTAAATATTACTTACTTGTGATTATTTCTGTTCTTTCTTTCAGCCTTGCTGTATTATGATTTAGGTGTGACTCAGTAAAAAAAAAATCAGTTAGGTTTTTAAAACACCTGACTTTCTGGGGACCCTCTTTTATTTTGCCTGGATTGGTTAATCCACCAATAATTACCTTTATTATTATTTCTAACACACCTAAATACAGTTTTACAACTGTATTTACTTTTTCTATTTTCTATGATTTTCCTTGCTATTTTATTGAATTCTCTTCTTGCTTTACATTGAATTGATCAGATTTTATTTTATTACCCTTTCTTCTGTATTGATTTATATGTTAAATATCCATTCTTTTTCTATTCCCACAGCAGTTTTTGAATTTTAATTTCTACACTTGACCTAGAGAGTCTAAGGCTAATCAATAGCTTTCTCCTTCTCCTAATCAATACCAGAATCTTAGAATGTTTTAAGTGCATCACAATCATCGCACATTATACCCACTCCAACTCCATTCCTAGAATCTTAGATTATAATTTTCTATAGAAGTTTAGTTTTATATCTTTTTGTATGTGTTCAATTAATAATTATTATTAATTATATGTGGTTAATTATATTTAACTTGACCTACATGCTTCCTATATTTTTTGCTATGTATTGTTTCTTAGATTCTTCTCTTTTCTTGTTTACCAATTTTTCATTAAAAATGTAGTTAGCATTTCTTTCTATAATTAATTGTTATTTACATACCCTATCATTCTTTTTCTTAGGGAAATAGTTGTATTTTACCCCTACTCTTAGTTTAGCTGGGTATTAAACTCTAGGCTGGAGATTTTGTTATTTGTGGATATTATTCCTTTGTTTGGATTTTTTTTGGAAAAAGTCTGCTCTTAGTCTACTTGTTTCTGTGTAGATAATTTGAAAAATATAATTGTTCACGATGATGTTATCTTTGTCTTTAAAGTTTTGCATTTTTATTACAATGTGTCTAGACTGTATTTAGATTGGGTTTCCCAGAAGCAGATATAGGGGTATGGATTTGTGTAGTAGTATTCTGTCTTTTTTTAAAGGAGTGATCCCAGGAAAAATCAATAGGGAAATAAAATAACAAGACAAGAAGTGGATAGACGCCAAGCAACACTGTGACTTCTAGCAAAGTTCCAGACAGGATAACTTAGTCTCATTAACTCAGGAAATTTTTCCCACTGGAATCAGTTTTGGTCATACTTCAGAGCTGTCTCAATCAGGGTGCATGGTGGATATCCTATTCCTATATGCTGAACCATCAGCAATAAGTTAAAGGCTGCCCTTAAAGGAATAGAATGTGAATTTCCAGGTACTCTGATTCTTCATGAACAAAGGTATTTAGGCTCCCACAACCTGAGGATGGCACTCTGCCAGAAAGTTGCAGGTGCTGGATTTGGGAATGAAGTCACACCTGGAGCTAATATGGGAGTGGGAGATCAGGGGAATACGGGCAGAGCATTCCAGCATCTTGTAGAGATGGGAATTACCATTGTTCTTCTCTTCAATCGTCATGATTGTTGAATCTGAAGATATATGTCATTTAGAAAAGGTCTCAACATTTTTTCTGAAAGTGTTCTGCTACCATTATCTCTAATCTGTCGCAGAAATTATATTTGGTGCCTGTTTATCTTATCTTTCTATTTTAATAATTTTTTGGCTTGTAACTGATCTGCTTTTTAACCTGTCCATTGAGTTTTAAATTTCAAAACTATAAATATATTATTTCTTAGTGTCATTGCTGCTTTTTAATTTGCTTTTTGATAGTGTTTTATTCTTGCTTTATGGTTTTATTCCTTTTGTTATCACTTTAAACATATTTACTTTTATATATTTTTCAGATTTTTTTGTAATCTTAAATTTGGGGATTATGTTTATTTAATCTTGCTGATGCAGGATTGTTCCTGTGTATATTCTTAAAAATATTTGATTGTGAGGTCATCAGAAATAAGGATTTTGTGTGTGTGTGTGTGTGAGAGAGAGAGAGAGAGAGAGAGAGAGAGAGAGAGACAGAGAGACAGAGAGAAAAGGAGAGCGAGAGAGATAGGGAGAGAGAGTTTCTCCAAAGGAGTTTTGAATTTGCATTTATTTACACAAGATGTCTGGGACTGATTTTTTTCCGCATACTTCCTGGTTTGAAGGGGTTTCCATGCCCCTCCAAATTGCGCAGAATCAAGCTCCATTTGCTCATGGCTCCTCTTATCAATTTTTCATGGTAGTAGTATTTTTTTTTTTTTTGGCTCATATTCCTATACAGAGGCAAGGTTCCTTGCCATTTCCCTGGGCCAATGGGTATGCATTTCCAGTATCTATTGTCACTAAGATGAAACCCTTGATTTTTTGGGCTTATAAGATTCTCATTTCTACCTTCCTACTCAAATATGCCCAAAGTGCCATCTCTTTTCATGACATTTACTGAGTTTTAAAGTTAATCCTCTAGGTATTAAACTCCAGGTCACAACAGTATCTTTTTTTTTTTTTTTTTTTGGATTTTTAGTAGAGACAGGGTTTCACCATATTGGCCAGGCTGGTCTCGAGCTCCTGACCTCAGGTGATCAGCCTGACTCGGCCTCCCAAAGTGCTGGGATTACAGGCGTGAGCCACACAACAGTATCTTCTAACACAGGCACTTGCTGGATTTTAGATTCATTTTTACTTCTAACATCCAGGTATTTCTTTGTGTTTGTATGTGTGAGTTTGTGTGTGTGTGTGTGTGTGTCTATGTATTTTTCCTCATATATCTATTTAGAAAGATTGAGGAAGGTTCTGGAATACTTAGCGCATCATGCAGCTAGGATAGATTCCTTCTGAAGGGAAATGACAACTGAAAATCCAATTATTTTGTCCAAAAGATTAGGAGTGCAGTCTTATTGAGTTACTAACTGAAAAATGTCCCTAAGTTTGGGTAAGGAGGTAGGGTTCAAATTCTACTATAATCTTTATCTTTCTCTTTCTCAGGTTGAAGATCATCTCTTCTTTTTTTCATGGTGTTAAGCATGTACGTATGTAACACCTGGTACTCTTTACTCCCAAAGAATACATATAAAAATGTATTTTATTTGATTTTCCAAAAAGTTGAGTATAGCAACCTGAAATCTCAGTGGTTTCAGTTCCCTGTGTAAAACACAGTACAGGTTATCACAAGTCATTGGTTCATTGGCTGCAGATTGACACAGGAATGTGCTTTTAAAACAATAACAATATTGTCCCATAGCTTTTGTCTTCTTCACTGTATGCAATCCTTGATTAGCTTAGTGGGAAATACTATGTCAGAAACTTTCAAATTTAAACAAGGATGCTGACATTTGTTGAGTGTTTAAATCAGTGTTCCAGGCACTTGGCATATCTTATGTTATCCTTGTTATCAACTGAGCATTGAAGTATTATTACTCATTTTGTAAAAATAGAGAACTGAGACTCATATAAGTTCATAAATATATCCTAGGTCATGTATCTAATAATTATATGACTCCAAAGCATCTACTCTTTGCACTATGCCACTGATCATAACGCAAGGGATTTCAGAAAATGTGGAAAGAAATGGCATCAATCAGGATGTATTTTCAGTTTAAAAATCACTTAAATAAGAAGGGGATTTAATACTGGGAATTAGGAGTTTGCAAACCAGTAGACTAACTAGAAGAGCAGGCTCCGTGTTAGAACCCAGGAACAACTCACAGATCAGTAACATAGAACTGGCTCCCCAGGGAGCCACAATCAGAAACAGGGAACCAGGAATCCACCACCTTGACTGTACACTCCAGAGGCACACTTTTTAGGTATGATTCAGGTCAGGGCATTGCATCCACACCTGTTGGCTTCATAATCATGCTTTCTCAGCATGTAGTAATTGTCCCTCACCTTGCCTTAGGACATCAGGAATATCTGCTAGCACTACTACAGCAAAACTCAGTATTTCCAGGACTGTGCTTGCCAACGTGGTAAACAGAAATGGTAAAATAGTGACTTTTGCCTCAATTTCAGTTTCCAAATCTTTCACAAGTATAGCTGATGTGATAAACCCAAAGCATATCTGGAGTCCTAGCTGCAAAGGAGTCAAGCAAAAGTGGTTTTTAACTTCATAGCTTCTGCAGCACAGAAAGGCACACAAGGAGCAGTATGGAATGAAGATTGAGTACAGATTCACTGTATTCACCTCACTGAGGATAATAATGGAAAGACTCATGGGGGATATTCCTTCAAAGATGTGAATTTGGTAAAAATTGGAAAAGTGAATCCACCCAAGGTAACAAGCAAAACCTCACAAGGAAGAAATTGAAAAAACTATTCTCCTCAGAAATGCCTCATGGAAAACCTACACTGGGAGGCCTATTGACCAGAACAAAACCAGGAATACAGACTTTAAGCTACATTATTCTTCATGATTTATGACCACCAAATATTTTATTATTTTTACCAGTTGAAGTAAAAATTTAAAGTTTTTCTAATTAAAAAGTGAAATATATTAAACTTCTATAAATAAGTTTCAGTATTATTGTTAGTAATATGAATTAGTATATGTATCATACTTTGCAGAGAAAGTTAAAAATAGTAAAAACCAATAATCAGCAAAATTATTTTACTTTTTTCTGCTTAATTGACAATAATAGCCTTCCCCAGATAGGCTACAAACGTTTTTCCTCTCTTCAGGATTTCTACATTGCTTTAATATATCTTTCATTAATAACCTAAGGAAATGAATGCATATTCTTTGAGGAGCAACTGGATTCTTAACAAACATTCCCACGAAATCAAACCAAAATGGGAGGTAGGTTGTGAAGTTGTGTTCAGTTTGCTGTCTGATTTTCATTAGACTCATCATTCTACATTCTTTTGAGTCCTAGGCACTTGGTCTCTGGCTATTTTCATGACTGCTGTAATGGAATTACCATTTCAAGTTTGTAGGAGGTAAAGGAGAAACATGATAGGAATAGCAGGAAGGAATGGCTCACTCATAAACAATCTACTGGAATTTTGAATTGATTAGGTTTGAGTGGCTAAAAGGGAAGAGTGGGGAAATGTACTCTAGTTTTCTTTTCCTCCAGTTTCCTGTTGCATTATGTGGCTTCTTGAATGTTGCATAATATAAATCATCTAACCACTGGAAGACAAGTTTTAGCATTGCAAACTCAGCAGATTTACTTAATTTCATTTTTCCAGTTGGATATCTGCATCAATTCAGGCCAAGAGAGTATCTCATGTCACCTAATGCAACAAATAGATCCTGGAGCATTCATGGCGATATCCGCAATGTTGGCAGATGAATGTTTTCTTTCCTCTGCCAAGCACCATCAACATTATTTTTGGGTGGATCTAAATCTGAACAGTCTAGAGTTTCCATTACATCGTCCTAATTGTTAAAAAGAGGGCCTGCTATAATTCTTGAAAACTAGTCTGTTTAGTTGTACTTGTTACCATAACATCAGATTGAAATATTGCTTCTCTGTCCGTTTGGCCACAGTGTAGCAGCCAGCCTGGTAGCATCAAGGCATTAGGAAGGTGAAGCAATCCACAGTCAACAGTATGAATGGAACAATTCACACTGTTGTACATAGATATAGAGGTTAAACCCAAACACATGAAAAAGTGATGCTGGAAGCACTTGTGAACAGCTGGGCCAGATGAATAACTCAATTGGATGCCATGAGGAACAAATTAAACAACTGACTGGAGACCAGGCTGCTCCTGTGACAGACACTTTAATCAGGAAGTCAAAAGCTGATTGACAAGATGAAAAGCTGGATGACATGAAAAATGGAAACAGAAGGAACAACACAAGAAAAGGGCACCCGGGTCAGCATGCTGACAAAAATAATCAAGTACGACAGGCCATAATCCAATCTTCGAATGTTTGGCATGGTGCTAGTTATGAGAATCTGCAGCCAAGAGGAAAGAAAACTATTATTAAGCAAAGAAATTATCTGGCTTTCTAGAATTCACTATTACATGTTCACTAGAGGATTTTCTTTTTCTTTTTTTTTTAAACAAGCATAATAGCTTTTGTTGAGTTTCATAAGATCAATTAAAAAGTGCTAATCTATCTGGATATGAAGCCCTAGGAAAACAATGTATAATAGTGTTTTAGATTCAGAGTTAAATAGGATATACACATTCATTGCCTCAAATTGCAAAGTGTGGGTCCTTCTCATGCTCTCCTATTCAAGGCATAGAAGAGGAAGAGTAGCAATTACTAAGAGGAGGTTTCTGTGGCCCACTTAAAAACTCTTATGCTGGATTATTACTGTTGAATTACTGTTGGAATCCAAGGCTGAGCTTCATGCCAGAGAAAAAATTTGTCTGTGCTACATGAATTATTTTTTAGATGACTCAGAATACCACCTGCATCCCAAAAGATACATTCATAAATGCACTATCTGAAGAAGAATGAAATAATGATCAGGTGTTTTTTTAAAAAAGACAGATAACATAGAAGTTTGTCACTCCTGGGAAAAACGTGTGTATTTATGCATGTTTCAGCTCTCATAGCACTTTAATTTCAATAGCATATAATTTACCAGAGGAGGGCCCAGAAGATTAAGCACCTTGGTGGTGTTTAGACATTGTCACTTCATGCCTTTTCAGTAAACTCATCTGCCTTTGGAAAAACAGAAAACTTGCAGTAAACATTGAAAGGCCAGTTGACACTATCTCCCTTGGATCCCTACACTGGAGCTAAACCTACATCTCAAGAGAAAAGAAGGGATTCATTGTCTTAGTCCACTGGTTTTCAAACCATGTTTCAAATCTCTAGGGTTTTTGAAAGAAAAGTATGGTCACAGAGGACATGTTTCATTTGTATCTGCTCCATTAGCTCCAGATCCCATAGGTTTTGGAGTTCTGGGGCATTAAAAACACCGTCGAAAGGGTTCCTGGCCTCAAAAATGTGTAAAAGAAAAACACCACTTTGATGATATTACTCTTAGGTGAGGACGCCATTGTTTGACAGAATATATTCAGCTCAAACTGGAAGACCAAGCTGGTGTATTTCACTCGGATAAAGTACCTTATAGAAAGCCAAACCGAATGTCTTATCCATACCATTCTAGAGGCACCTGGCTTATAGTTGATTATTTTTCATTTTATAGAATTTGCTAGAGGGCTTCATTGCAGATCTTAAAACTTGAGTCTTACTTCTGCCATATAGTTAAGTTCACTTGAGTCATGACTGTCTAAGGAACTAGCTTCTTCCCACTGCCTTTACGGACATACGTCTAAAGTGTCAAATAAGTAACCACAAAGACATTTAATTTTCCTGTGAGGTCAGGGCTGACCCCGGAGTCTTACTAAGGTAAAAGCATCTTAAAGGGTAACACAGAAATTTTATTATGTCCTCAAAGCCTAGAGCCATACAACGTTAAGCATGGTAGGAGAAAAAATGTATCTACTGAATTTCTATTCTGGGTTCACCTGGAGTGTTTTGAAGGTCTGACCCACCATGCTCTACCCCTCTGCTATAAAAGGGAACTACATATATGAACCAAAAATTACCTGGGCCAACCTCGCTTCTTAAACCTGTTTTACTTTGATCATGCTTCTACCTGCCTGCAAACTCCCAACTCTGTGATCCCAGCGTCATCCCTACTGCAATTCTCAGGACTCAATGTTTATATGTGCTTGCTCCAGATTTTGTTGTTTTCCCAGGTCTTTGCCTTCATTGCTTCCTGACACTGCTATTGCCACCTCCATCTGCCAGGCTCCTCCTAATCCTGATCTTGTAACACTCAATCCCCGCCCGCTGTAACTCAGTCTTTTCTGGCCTCATGGAGGGTTGGTGGCAGAAGGTGATAGAGGCTATTAGTGAAGTGGGGAAATGTGGCAGATTGGGACAATTGCATCATTCACAGCAGTATTTAAAAAAAATTTATTTGGAATTTCCTTCAAATATCAGATGATGAAATAGAATATAAAAGTTTATATATATAGTTTATAAAAGACTTCATGCTAAAATATGAAGAATTCAGAGGAGAGAGAGCTCAACATTCAATACATTGTAAAATAGTGTATGTAAATATGGTTCAAGCTATTTAATTTATTTGACCTATCGTGTGTGATTTGGGTGACATGAAGCTGAATGATGGTTGTAGTGAGATCTTCAACTTTTCCCTTGCCATTAATCTTTATAATATACCAGCCACCGAGACCCATCATTTATTCCTATTATGAAATGTGTTTTATATTTAGTCTCCATTTCATTTTTAGCATCACTATTCTGAGCCTCCAATTTTATGTGGTACATGAGAGAAAGGCTGGATCAGAGGCACAAAGCATCAAGAAGACAATAATACCTTCTGTGTCATATATTTAAAAGTAAAAACAACATAAAATTAAAAAGAAATATATGTAGTAAATTCTGATAAAGTTTTGAATTTTCATTTAGTGACTATTTCAATGTCTTTTTTGAAAATCAAATATCAAAATTTTTAGTTTTTGTTCAATGCCCTAATTTACTGGTGTCCAAAACATATCTTTAAAGGTTAATTGGATAGTCCATCACTGTATGGGGGCTATATTAATATACTTTACAATACCAGAAACTATATATATAAAACATAGAAGAATGTAGAAAAACATACTATAATGTAGAAGTCACATGTTGCTGAGAATTTAATACCCTGACCCCTTATATTATTATAAATTCCTAGTTTACATACTTTCAAAGGCCAGCCATTGCCCACAAATCAATAGTTTAATCTTGTATTGGATATCCTTTACTATCTAGTGACACAGAAGAAAGAAGAAACCTGACATTCATTAACCTACTAACTTTAATACATTATACTATTTAGTCCTACAAATATCATAAGGCAAATATTTAAAATAATTTAAATAACCTGTTCAAGGTCACACGATGACTTAATGGTAAATCCAAGACTCAAAACCAGGACTATCTCTTCATCAGATTGGACTAGGGTATGACATAGAGACCAACAAAAGTGGGACATTCAAGGCTGCATTGTTGACAAGGTTTGAGCAAGTGGGGAAATTAGAGAATAAACGGTCATTGGGAAATCTCATATTTTGAGTTTGATATCAGAGTAGATCACTAATACACTACCATGGAGTTACAGCCAGAGTCAAGCAGTAGAGGTCGAAGACTAAGGTCAAGTTCAAATCCCAGATAAAAATCAAACATGAACGCATCTGATAGATATTTACTCTGGTAGGTTCTTTAATGATTACAAATTCCTTCCATTCCAGTAAGGATATCCTTTTGCATTGTGACTTTGCTGTTCCTCCCATCCAGAATTAGATATGTTCCTTCACTCCCTTGAATAGGGACCGATGTTGTGACTCTCTTTCACCAACAGAATATGGCGTAAGTGACATTTTACAAGTTCCAGAGCCTGGGACTCAAGATGTCTTGGAGATTCTGTCTTTGCAGTCTTATAATGATGCCCTGAGATCATCATTAAAGAAAGCCAGTCTGGCCTACTGAGGATGAGAAGCTACATAAAGGAGAATGAAGATTCCCCAGCCAACAGGCAATATCAGTGGTCAGATATGTGAATAAAGCCATGTTGAACCTCTCGGCTAGACGACCCTCCAGCATATGAAACCAGCAGATGAATATCCCAGCCTGCCTGAAGAACTGTACAGGAAATAAGAAATCATTGTTTTTTAAGCCACTGGGTTGGTGGGTGGTTTGTTACATTGAAATTGTTAACTAAAACAGAAATTGGTGCATAGAGGTCAGGTGCTGTCATAATAAAAATCTAAAACATATACTGTTGGCTTTGGTGATGGGAGTGATTGGTAGCTAAAGAGGCAGTGAAACAATGATTAGTAGATACTGGGAAGTTAATAAGGAAATTTCTATTGGAGGGTGGAGAAAGGGCCACCCTTGTTATATAGTGGCCAAAGAATCAGCAAAATGTTGCCTGCTGCAACCTGGAAAGTAGAAACTTTTCTTAAACTCACGGATCTGGCTGGGAGATTTCCAGGATGCATGCAACAAATGTGAATCAACTTTGTATAGCTGTGTATAATAAAGTGTGCTGTATTTGTCCATTCTGATGCTGCTAATAAAGACATACCTGAGACTGAATAATTTATAAAGGAAAGAGGTTTAATTGACACATGAGGCCTCAGGAAACTTACAATCGTGGTGGAAGGGGAAGCAAACACATCCTTCTTCACATGGCAGCAGGAAGGAGAATGAATGACCAGTGAAGGGGAAAATCCCTTATAAAACCATCAGATCTTGTGAGAACGAAGTCAGTATCATGAGAACAGGATGGGGGAAGCTGCCCCCATCATTCAATTATCTCCACCTGGTCCCTCCCCCATAACACGTGGGGATTATGGAAACTACAATTGAAGATGAGATTTGGGCGGGGACATACCAAAACCATATTATGTGGGAAGAGAGATTAATTAAAAAAGCAACTTTTCAATTTGCAAGCAGAATTTAGAGAAAATATAGAAAACCCAGGATGAGCTGGATTGAAAAAGATTATCAAAGAAAATTTTAATATAGGTAAAAATTTAATTCCAGAAGACAGTCAATAAAATGTGGCCTCAATGGTAAGATCAAATAGAAGGATGTGGCTGTTAGGCCCTAACAAAATAACCCAGAATGATTTCTTATAGAGTATTTAGTAGACCTCTCATCTAAACAAATGATTGTCTATGAATCCAGACCCATCACTCAAATAGGCCCATCATCCAAATTAGAGAGAGGCCTACCTTGACAAGAATAGTAAGCCTGGCTGTCATCTAACAGAGTAGAATTTAATCTGATCCATAGAAATCCCATAAGGAATTTTAAAGGAACTATATTGATTTGGATTAAAAGGGACAGAGACAGTTCAAGAAGACTCCATGCCATCAATTTCCTACAGACAAAAAGTGAGTTGAGAAAACTACTTAGATGCAGTCATGGGCTATTTCTTTCTTACAGAAAAAGAAGGATCTCTCGGAGGCTAAGCAAACCATCCAGAGTGTGGACCCAAAATCCAAAAAACAAAATTAATTAGAGAGCCACTCCAAGAGATAAGAAATAGGCCCTAATCAGGGAACATTCCCTGTCCCTGGACATGTACCTGTTTGGATTTCACAATTGCTTCAGACCATTGATTGCTATGTGCTCCCAGTCCTTTCTCTTTTTAAAAAAGAGGATTATTCATTGTGGTTATTTTTTCTTTGTCTCACCATTTCATCTTAGATATTTGAATAAAAGAGGGTAAAAGCCTTGTAGTTTTGGTTCACAGAACTCTGGATCATGAAAGCCAAGGAGCTCCACAGAGAAACCTCCTTTGTATCTGGACCAGAGGGGAAGCTCAAACTTGTGGATTTCCAGCCTGATGCAATACCTGGGATAAAACTTTTGCAATTATTGTGATAGGAGTAAGCGTACTTTCCATGTGCAAAAATGATTAATTTGTGGCCAGAAAATGGAGTGTGGTAAATTTGTGGTTTGATAGCCACAAATTCCACCCATCCCAATATGCATGCCCTTTGGCTTCTCCTTTCATCCAAAGACAGGATATATGTCTATATCCCTTTCAATCTTGACTGGCATTGTGACTTATTTGACCAGTAGAATGTGGTAGAAGGGACAGGGCATGAGTTTTTAATCCTGGGCCACAAGAGGCCCTGACACTTCCTCTGTTGCTCTCTTGAAACCTTCACGAAAGGAAGCCAACCTAGGCAGCATCCAACACTGACTGCCAGACATGTAAGTGAGACCATCTTGGATTTCCCCGCCCAGACGACCATCTGGCTGAATAAGTGAAATCAAGTGAAGGCAGAAGAGGAGCTGCCCAGCAACCCACAGAATGGTGAAAACAATATATTTTAAGCCACTACATTTGGGGGTGGTGTGTTATTATGTGGCAATAATCAACTGAAACCAGTTATTATACACCAGACACCATGGTGACTAAACTAGATACAGCCCACACCTGTGGGGATTTAATATGGGGCAAGGGTGTGGGGAGAATGGCATTAAACAGAGCAATAAAATACAATTGTGAATGTGATAAATGCTATGAAGGGAAAGGACAAGGTGCTGTGAGAGGCTCAGGAATGCCATAGAGTCAGGTTGGACCCTCTGTAGAAGCTGTTGGAGCTAGTCAGCAATACTAAGGCAGAGGTCCAGAGAAGATTCAGTGACTGTGGTCAGCGAGGAACCAAGAAGAATGTAAGGATGTATTCATGGTAGTTCTACTAGGATGCCAGGGCCTAGGCCCTGTTACATTGTCACTAAGAGAAAACAATTCTAAAGGTTTTAGCACAGGGGTCTAGCATATATTAACCACTTGGTATTATCTACAATAACTTATTTTTTTTATTTTGAATTGGCATGGAAATGTGCGATTACAAGTGAGTTTAAAAGTGGAAACACAACTCTCTGTTTAGAGAGGGTTAATAGAAAGAATAATTACTACAAAATGCTTCTAAACGCAAAACAAGACTGTCTCTATGGGAGAAAAATAAAACACAGGTACACAATCCCTTATCTAAAGCTCCAAAGGCCAGATGGGCTTCAGAACTCAAAAGGTTTAGGGTTTTAGAAAGGCAATTTGGAGCATTTCCCATACACTATGCAATACTTCCAGCATTTCCTGGGGCAGCACCCCACCATTAAATTTGAGCAGCAAAACGTATGGCTATTCGCAATAAGTGAGATAAAAATTGGGAGTGGACATACATCTGTTCAATCACCAAATTTGTTCAAAAAAATTTGTTTTAACGGACTTCAGAAGGTTCTACACTTCAGGATTGTGGATAGAGTTGTGCACCTCATCTAGAAACCCCCACGTTTTATGGGCCCACAGCGAGAAGGGGGATACTTCCCAAGTGGGTTGCTGAAAAACACAGTCCCTGTGATTGGTCATTGACATCTTAATGAGCTCAATGGATCGCAGCTTGTCCAATGCAGCTGCAGAAATCTGTCTCAGCTTTACAAGTTGACAGAAGTAAATCACACACTATATTTTCCATACTGTGGTCCATTTCACTGGCTCTGTGTTGGTACAGCTGGAGTATAGCAGATTCAAATCACTGTGAATGCATGTATAACCCTTGTTTCCCTAAACCATGCCAGCAGTCTCAGAGAGTACCATGAGTATGAGGATAATTACAATTTTCTGAGTCCTCACCCATTATTGCATTGTTATTCCTGGATTCCTACTTTCCTCCCCTTCCCCAAGGCCTCTCCTAACTTGAGGATGCCAATAGCTTACAATGTACCTTGAAAATGTGTTGTGTGGCTTGGCTGATGCCAAAGGCCCTGCTGATTCTGTATCTCCTGGATCTCATCATTTCTGCCAGTCCTTTAGCCACTCCTTAGCTGCCGTTTTCATTCCCAGCCTCATCTTCAGATGCAGCCTCTGCCATCAGTGCTGAGCAATGCTGAAGTAGGATAGAGTTCTATCATTCATCTCAATAAGTAGTATTGAGCCTAAGTAAATTAAATCAATCTCTCTCCATCTGTGTCTGTCTCCCTCTCTATATATACATAGATGCAAATGTATGTATATGTGTAGGTATAGAAAATAAAAATTGCCATACATATTCCAGGTTGCCTATATTTTGAGTTATAGTCCTTTCTGTAGAAAAACAAACACATTTCCCAGGAATTTAGCCAGAGGATATTTGCATGTCAACAACCAACATTATAGGGTCACTCCCTCATTCAACAAACATCTATTTAGTGCCTAAAAGCATCAGGAGCTAGTCTAGGCAATGAGGACCAGTGCACCAGACACACCAACTTCTTACTGTCATGGAGTTTACATTCTAGTCTCCGTCAAAACTGTTTCTTCTCATGGACAATTAATTGGATCACAGGCTGAACCATATGCCTGTGGGGCTCTTAGTCCTTAGGAAGCTTATGTTTTGAAATGTGCTGTAACCTGAAAAGGTAGGAAGAGACTTAGTTTCACCTTCTTTGCTCAAAGTAGTAATTTTGGGAACCAGTGCCTGATTGTTAGACCTAAATATTCTCTTCCATTCTGGCCAGAGGCCTCTTTACAAAAATCAGTCCTCCTCTGACATTCCAGGGTCTCTGTGTCTCTAAGCTAAGCCTTGCCACACGTGAGTTCTGTTCAATAGAATGCCATGAAGGGAACTCAAGAGTGACTCCTTTGAGAGGTAGTTGAGATTGACACTCTCTTTTTTATGGGCTACTCCAGTAGGCTCTGAGGTCAGCTTTCAGTCTCCAAGAACTCCTGCCACCACGTTCCTGTTTAATATTTTTCAGGGGGTTCCCTATTGCTTAGAATATGTACTCCGTAGCTTGGTATGCCAATGATTCACAACCCATTCCACCTCATGACAGGTATAGAAAATGATGATATTTTTATAATGTACCTTGGAAAATGAAAGAGACTGTCTTTGACCAGAGATGATGGACCTGAAGTTCAGCAGAGGTGACAACCCAGGCTTTCCTGGCTGACCCAAGGAGGGGTGAGGAGATTAACATCTCAGCATATCTATCTATAGCCCATCTACCCACCTTACAAGGAGTGAAAAGCTCTGTGATGTGCAGTAGTCTTTATAATGAAGCATCAAATTACATCTTGCTATCAACTTTTAAATTACTCTATACCAATTGGGTCCAAAAACATTTAAGTAGTTCATTTCTAATTCTATGTTATTTACCTTTATCCCTAGGCACCGTTTGCTAATTGTTCTCCTCATTCTATTTTCTTTCAAACTTTCATGTTTCTGCTGTTTCTCCACCTATAATGCCCTTCTTTTACCTTTCTTTGGTGAACTCCTACTCATCATAAATCTCATTTCAAATGCCACTACTCAGGCCATTCCAAGCTCTTTCAGGCAAATTTAGGTTGTTCCTTCCTCTGGCTGTCCAAACGTGCACACACACATACACACACACACATCACAGTACTTACTGCATGGTTGCTTGCACTAGTTGTGGAAAGCTGTAGTGTAGAGACTTTGTTTTCTATATCATTGTACCCTTCACTTGGTTCACTGTAGTTCCTGCCTGCCTAGCTCAGAGCTCAATATATGTTTTTCTTAATGGGTGAATGAAAGAATCAATAAGTGGGGAACTGGAGAAATTGCCCACGTGTTAGATTTGCATGAGACTTTGGATAAGGCTTGGAATCTTATTGTTTCATGTTCTCCATATGCTGAAATAACAATATTTGTCTTCTCTGAAATATAATGCCTTAAAACTCAAAATATCAAGCTGTCAGAACTTAGTTGTTATTATGTCCATGGTCACCCTGCCATTAAACTTTAGTTGTCCTGGAAACATATATTGGATCTATAAATTTAGATTAAAGAATCTTACCAACAGAGTTTTTGTGCATACTGTGTTGTCAGTTTCCTCTAATAGCTACTTGTTTATCACAGTAATGTAACCGTAACAGAACTAAGAACAAAATCATGGAACCTACTCATTCAGCAAGACCAGGAATGGGTTTTCTGAGTTTGTGCTGGGTGAGAAAATCTTGTCAATAACCCAATGTCATTTAAGTTCTAACTTTGGGATGCTCTTTGGTCTAAAAGTTTGAGGAAAAAATGGGTTCAACCACATAAATGATAGGCCATACACCAATTTTATGTAGCATGGTCATTAAGATAGCCAAAAATACGGCAAACTATTAGAAGTGCTATGCGTTGCATTTATACTAGCTCTTATTTTCCTTTTGGTGGCTAATAGGATTCTCATTTCATTATTATTTCTCACATTTTCCCCTTCTAGTGTTTCAAGAAATTACCACTGTAGAATTTATTGTAGCCTACAGTATAGTCATGGGTGTGTGACAATATGTAAATGCCCAAGCATGCTACATGTGAATTACGCTGCCATGTTCACATTTCTAATCAGGACGATGTTTTTTAGAAAATCATTTAATTATACTTGAAAACTATCAGTCATGAGGGTCAAAGTATTTGATCTCTCTTCTCTGGTGTTCCAGGAGTGACACAAAGTCACACAAAAGGTTGAATTTTTCTCTGATTGTTACACCATGGCATTCAAGCAATTTTAGAGGTCAAACTGATAACAGAACATGAAAAATCTGCATTATTTTTAATCTATAGGGAGACATTTTAATTAAAGTTATGGGTGGTATTTTTTTGCCTGATGAATGTGTTTCTTAAAAGCCTGTGTACATTTATGCATACTGTATATAGAATATCTATATCTATTTATCTGTAATATCTATTTATCTATGTATGTATGTATATATCTATATCTATCAACCTATCTACCTAATCTATTCATCTATCCATACTTCCTTCCATCTGTCTGTAGACACACACACACAAACACATATAAACTCATATACCTATACATATATATGTAATATTAGAAATATATCTAGAGGTAACTTTACGGTCATTTGGGCTATTTATGTCTGGTTGTTGTCCACAGGCTTTTATAACAGAGGAGATGATTATAATCACCTTTGCCACAGAGACATTTAAGAGATTGATAGTAAGCATACAAAGACTTAACTTCCTTGGGAGGTGATATCTTTTAAAAGCACCATCTTTTCAAACATAGAAATGCCGACATTTTGTGTAAATATGTTGCAACATTTCCTAGCAGTATATTATTCCTTCTGCCCAGAGCCAACCCACTCCGTTCAACAGCCTATACACCTACAGACTAATTAAGTGAATTAATTTGTTTTGGAATTAAATAAAAATTCTTATTTTGGACATATGGATCATGTAGATGCCAAATGGAAATTATACTGGTTAATGCTCGAACTTCTGCTTTTAAAATACTCTACTCTCTGGGAGGAGCAGTTCAAATTCCAGTAGACCTTTTGAGAAACATAAATTGAACACCATGTTTATTCTGCAAAGGTCTTTCAGATGAAGCCTTAAAAACTGTGAAGACTCCCTGCGATTTTCTCTGAGGACATGTCTTCATTAGCATTTCAATAATTCAACCTTCTGGTTGTGCCTTTGAAATTTCTTTAATCTTTGGCATTGAAACACCTAGGATGTATATTACGGGACTGTGAATCTCTGAGCAGGAATATTATTACGATTATACTAAGCAGATCTGAAGCAAGCCAGGACACTTTCTAGCAAGGATGACTACAAATTTGCTGCAAAAATGATCAATTAAAGGCCACTTGTAAGCGAAAAGTAACTTTATATTTTTCCTTAAAAGAAATATGAGATAATTTTATATTTTAGTAAAAATAAACTTTAAAATTATGCAAATAATACATGTTCATTATAGAATAATATAAAATTTATTGATAATAAGCAGAGAAGACAAATTCATTCATTAATTTCATAACCCAGTTATAGTAACCATTAAAATTTTTTATATATTCTTTCAGAATTTTCATATGTATAGGTATACATATAAAAATACATAAATAAATTTTCTTTTAAATTAAGAAGTAAGAATATGCAAATAGTAAATTTTTATGCAATGTAAATGTCCCTTGGACATTAGCAGCTGGTGCAACTTAGGAAGGTCACCTTAACAGCTTATATCACTAGGTGTCCCTGATCATCTTTCAAATAGAGGAAGGAAACCCTTAAGTCTCTTCAAGAGTCTGTGCTGAGGTCCAAAATGTGAGTAAGAGAAAGAGAGGAGAATGCTCTCATATATAAATCAAACCAATCTCTGCAACTCTGGAATATTTTCGTCTAGCTGTTTTCATCATCCACTGCTGTCTCTTGTTCCACAATGATGTCACCAGCAAACATCCTGGACCACACTGTTGGTGGTAGTGACCTCCTTTCTCTCTCTGTAATATCTTGTAGCTTTGTTATTACCAAACTCATAGTGTTCTCCTGATAGGTTTTCCATTTTCTATCCAGCTTTCAGGGGGTGGTTTGGGAGCAGAGGGGCTCAAATGGCCGGTGCCATAGTGTTCTTTTAACTGATTTGGTAAAGAGTCCCCAAATATGGTCACCAATTATTACTGCCATTCTTGTTCATGCAAGCTGCTCATAACAGAGATGAACTGTATTTTCCTCCTCTTGAATATGCTCTGGACTTGTGATGTGTTTTGACCAATAGAACGTGATAAAATTGATGTTCTGGGACTTCCGAACACAGGCTTAAGAAACTTAGCAGCTCTCTTTTGCTTCTTCTTGGGACTCAGTGAACATACTGGAAGGAAGTTCAGCAAAAACTAGTAAATGCTTAGAGTTCACGTGGGCAGAGTTTTCTGAGATCTAAAGGCCATCACGGATGTCTCAACCCTAGCCAAGCTCTCAGATACATGCATCTACACAATGACTCCAGCCGCCATCTGTGAAGCCAAAGAACTATCCAGCTGTGTCTTGCCCAAATTCCTGATCCAAGGAATCATGAAAAGTAATAAATTATGGTCCTTGCGCTGTGGCTCACACCTGTAATCCCAGCACTTTGGGAGGCCGAGGCAGGCGGCTCACGAAGTCAGGAGATAGAGACCATCTTGGCTAACACGGTGAAACACCGTCTCTACTAAAAATACAAAAATCAGCCGGGCGTGGTGACACGTGCCTGTAGTCCCAGCTACTCAAGAGGCTGAGGCACGGGAATCACTTGAACCCGGGAGGCGGTGGTTGCAATGAGCTGAGATCACGGTATTGCACTCCAGCCTGGGTGATAGAGCAAGACTCAGTCTCAGAAAAATAAATAAATAAATAACAATAACAACAATAATAATAAATTATGGTTGTTCACATAGGTAACTGAAACAAACATACGATTTTTGAGTCAAGTTACGTTTGGCTGCACATTTTAGAAACTATGCTTCATGCATAAAACAAACCACATCACACATTATCTTCTGTAACATGGAAGTATATTTTTTGTTCATATAAAAGAAATCTCAAAATAGGTAGCAAAGGTGTACTATAGAGGTTTTATTATCTGGCTCAAAGCTTCTTCCTTCTATTCCACTTTCTTGACATGGAATTTTTATTCCAAAGTCACCTCATGACCTAACATAACTGCTAGAACTCCAGCTATCATAGCTACATTCCAGGCAGCAAGAAAGAAGCTGAGGAAAGGGCAAAAGAGACAGGCTCCCTGGCTAAGTCAATTTCCTGAAGGATTATTCAGGAAAGTTTGTGTAACATTTCCATTTGGCCAGAATTTAGTCACATTGTCACATCCAGCTGCAAAAGAAGCTGGGAAATTTAGTCTTGTACAAGACCACTCCAAGCAAAATTGGGGTTTTATACAAAGGCAGACAGAGAGGGTAGGAAACTAGCAATTTCTGAAACGGACTCTGTATTCCCAGGGCAATGAGGCATTGCAGACACTGATTTAAAGCAATTTCTCATAGAGATTAATACTTTACATAAACAACAATTGTCTCTAGTATTCAGGTTCTGCATTTCAGTGTCCAGTTCATCTCTCTCTCCTTTTGTTTCCATTGATCTCTTTGCAACACGGCTTCTATGGAGACTCTCTGTTCATCAAATGTATCAGTAGATCTCTGTGTTCATGAATGAATGGGTTCTTTTCCTGTGAGGTTCTGAAATAAACTTGCAATCACAGGATTACCCTCTCCTTCATTGGCCCTATATCATACAGATGACCTCCAAGAAGTGTTGCCTAGCTTCTAAATAGCAAACACAAGTTGGATCTGACCCCAGTTCCCTAAAAATGTTTGTGTTTTATACAATCCTTAATTTATGGGGAAATATCAGTAACAAAGAAACTAGATAGAAAAAATGTAATATTTAGGTAATAAGGGAAAATAGAAATAATGAAGGGTGAGAGAGAGAGCCAGTCACTGAGTTATTTGCACTTAGCAGCATCTCTTTCCCTCCTCAGGTTCTTTGCACCTTCTATTCCCTCTGTCAGTAAAGTCTTTCCCCCTCAACCTCTTACCCAACTAGTTTTCATTAATTTTGGGGGTTCCAGTGTAAACCTACTTCTTCAGAGAGGTTTTCTCTGACCAATTGATCTCAAGTAGGTATACCTTGGATATCTCTCTTACCCATCCCCTTTGTTATCTTTCAAGGCACTTGTCATAATTTCTAATTCTGTATCCAGCTGTTTATCTGTTCAATATCTGCCACCCCCTCTGGATTACGAGCTCAATAAGGCAGGGATTTTGCTGCCTTTTTCACTGCTGTGTTCCAAACACATGGTGCAATACCTGGTATACCATAGATGCTCAATGTTATTTAACAATTCATTTGTTAAATGAGTAAACAAGGAGGGGAAGTTCAGAGAAAGCAAAGTGAAGAGAGAGAGAGAGAGAGACATGTTAGTCTGAGATCTCAGCTGCCCAGCCTGTTTATTTTGTAGCCAGGTTATTCAAGTCTGTATGTAGGCCATGCAGAGCTGGGGTACAGTCGAAATCTCAAGGTGGGACTGTCCTGAGGCCAAAAGTTTTCTCACCCCAGGCTAGGCTCAGTGGTTCATGCCTAGAAGCCCAGCCCTTTGGGAGGTTGAGGCCGGAGGATCACTTGAGGCCAGGAGTTGGAAAGCAGCCAGGTCAACATAGTGAGACCTCTTATCTCTACAAAAAAAAAAAAAAAAAAAAAAGCTTCCTCACCCCTGATTTTAGACAGATAGACAGAAACATCTCCATGCTATACAATAAGGAATAAAATCATGGATTTTTTTTTTTTTTTTTTTTTTTTTTTGAGACGGAGTCTCGCTCTGTCACCCAGGCTGGAGTGCAGTAGCATGATCTCGGCTCACTGCAAGCTCCACCTCCCGGGTTCATGGCATTCTCCTGCCTCAGCCTCTCGAGTAGCTGGGATTACAGGCATCCACCACCACGCATGGCTAATTTTTTGTATTTTTTAGTAGAGACGGGGTTTCACCGTGTTAGCCAGGCTGGTCTCGATCTCCTGACCTTGAGATCGTCCCATCTCAGCCTCCCAAAGTGCTGGGATTACAGGCGTGAGTGACCACCCCCGGCCAAAATCATGGAATTTTTAATGTGGAATCATTTCCATGTTCTATTGAATTTTCTGAAACAATAGAAAATTATTACTCAAATAATAAGAATAGTAATAATAATTAATATTACAGCAAATAATAAGGAAATATTATTATCCAAACTTGCTAGGAAAATGTTTTGAATTAGTGATTTGTCCACTATTGTGCATTATGACATTGCGGAAAATGGCTTATCTTATGTCTTGAGATATAAGTAGTGGATTATTTTGAGAAATGCCTGCCTACACAGTCAGCAATAGGTAGAATAGACACCTGCCCAGGCTGTACCAGTGTATAAAGCTATCAAAACTTCCCAGAGGGCTGGGCATCTGCCGCAGAGGGTACAGAAAAAGGGTTGAAACTAGAAAAAATTAGAGCAACTCAGGGAAACAGGAAATGAGAATAGTCCAAGGATCCAGAAAAAAGGTCATCAATGAAGTCAGACTTACACTGCCTCACTAGTCCTCCTTCATGCCAATTCCTGTAACCCACAGGTGTGCCTCTGACCATATCATGGTTTCCTTCCCCTTCTTTCTCCCCAGGCCTCCAAAGAAGTCTACAAATTCCATCAGTCAGTAACGGCTTGGAGTTCCAAAGCTTATGACTCAAAGGTGATCAGAGCATGGACCTGGGGCTAGTCTGGATTGGTAACTGCTAAACTTGGTATGTTCTTCAGACGCTGACATGAGTTAATTCACAGTTTTCTGTCCACACGTCCATTTTCTTGTCACCACATGATGGAGAACATTCTACACATCACTGCCAGATTAACCTTCCCCAAACATTTCTTTGATCACTTCACTCACTTTGTTCAAAACGCCTTAAATGATCCCTGTTATCTGTAAGGGTTCAAATGCTTTTAGTCTGGCTTTCAAGACCCACCACAATCTGACCCTACTGTGAATTTCTCCTGCTGCTGAATCCTGTACTGTAAATAAGAAAGATTAAGGAGACAGTTTCCTCAAAAGTGATCAATTTTCTAATTGGGCCTTCAATGGTTCGGTATAAAAATTATAATTCATTTCAATAACTGATCTTGCTGGACGTGCTACACATATTAAATGTTCCATGCATTTAGAGCATCAATAATGTTCAGCTGCAGGAATTATGCAGAAATACCTTCTATCTTGGCAAGTACATGAAGTAGTAAATCCCGTGGGCAGTTGAGACTCCTTGGTAAATTTAAACATAGTACTACATCCAGAATAATATAGTGATCTCTCACCATGCTGGGTACGATCATCAGCAGCAATGATTTAGAAAATGAGAATGATTTATATTTTTATTTTTGAACAGTAAATCTTTTCTTAAATTTATGGAGGGATTTAGATTTATATAGTAGGCTGTAGTTTCCATCATGCAGTAGTAGTCTTAATGGCCACTTTTGAATTCCATTCATCTTTACACTCGCCACAAAAACATTTGGAGACTAAAATAAAGATTAAGATGGTGACTTGGTTAAAAATGCTTAAAGTTTTGAGTTTTAGCATGAAATATCAGACCCAGATGGCTGGCATTTTTAAAGTAGTGAAATTCACCTTTCACGACACATGGACAATATTTCATGTTGAAAATGAGCTACATTAGGACATGAATGCTCTACTATCCTGCTCTTTCAAATATAAACCTATAGATAGATTTTATAAATTTGAAAATATAATGACTACTCTAGCAAATTAGATCCACCCAAATTTATTATTACCGCATTTTGTCTATCTAGACTTTCTTCAGCAGAGTGGTTGACATTATGAGCTCTGTTGTAAAGGTGCTTGGAATCAAATTCCAGCTCTCAGTCTTTACCACATGTTAGAATGTAGACAAATTACTTAACCACTCTGTGTCTCGGTTTACTCATCTTTAGAATGGGGATAAAAGTAGAGATGTTGTGAGTATTAAGTGAGTTAGTACATATAAGTTGTTAGTACATATAAATATGTTAGTACATATAAAAGTTTGTACAGAGCATGTAGAGGATCAACAAGAGCCATCTATTTCTATTGAGTAAAATTATTCCCTTTAGGAAGATGTAAAGGGGATGGGGAGGGGGGATGCCTTCAAATGCCTTCAGAGGCCACACAGGTAGTGAAATATGAGAAGGGATTTGGTGGTAGATTAGTGGAGTCTGCAGATAACTGTCAAGTGTGTGCCCTACTTACTTAAAAACAAAACAAAACAAAACACTGTGTGCCAGCCAAATACACAGTGCTTCTTGTTTATTGACCAGCCTTGTACAGGCCTTTAGGCTACTCACCCATGTTGACCCCTAGGGAACAGAAAGAGCTCCAAACCACAAGTCAGGAGGTGCAGGCTGTGACCCTCTCCTCCAGCTTCTAGCTATGGAAGCCTGGACAGGCTCCTTACCTATCTTGGCTTCTGTTTCCCCACTCAAAAGGAGAAAATAGAGGTTCCTTCTGTATCAGAAACTCTATTTAAATAGAGAGGCAAGAGGAATAATAATTGTTAAAACCTTTTCACAGTTTAAAAAAGGCATATAAATAGGAAAAGGCCTGTTACTGTGCTTAAGAAGTCTGTACAGTATGTGGTGGTCCCTAAAGGAGCGTTCCAACAGAAGCTGAAAAGGCTGCCTAAAGGACGATGTGTCCCAAAGTCTGAAGGCAGAAAGGAGCATAGATGGAATAAAAGGAGCAAGAGCAGCCCAGATCAGAGGAGCCAGGCAGAACCTTCAAGACCAGCTATGCACAAGAGACAGTAAGGCCACTTGTTTAGTTGAAGTGGAAAACTAGGTAATAGCAAATGAAACTGTCCAGGGTGGGCAGGTGAAAGTTTCAGAACCTGGTGATGCTAAGTGGCCTGAGTATGCCCAAGTTAACCTTTGGGCTATGGTCAAGTGGACAACAAAGCCAACACATGCAAGCAGATATTCCAGTCTCCAGACATTATCTTCTATTCTTGTTCTTCTCAGGAAACCAAAATTTTTATTTGCTTTTACATCATTCAGAATTTCTTAGTTCCTGACCCTATCTCTCATTTCTGTTTGTGGCAAACTGCATTTTCCGAAGACGGACATGCTAGCATACAACTCTCGTCCTACAGGCTCTATTTACAGTGTGACTGCTGCCCCTCCCACCAAGAGGTGGGGGCCATGTTCCCTCCAAATCTGAGTGGGGGCTTCTGTCTGCTCCAACCCGTAAGGTAGGGCAACAGTAACTTCTTCCGTTTGTGTCTCTCCCTTAGGATACATGGCTTCTGATGGCCCTGCTGGGGAGACCATGTGGAGAGATGGCATAGAGCCAGAGATTCACGTTCCAGGAGCCCTGACTGTCTCATCTCAGGGAATTGAATCTCCTTGTGCTCCAGACCCTATGAGAGGATGCCATCCCCTGCTACCATCTGACTGCAACCTCAGGAGACACCCCAAGCCAGAACTGAGCAGCCAAGCCACTCTCATATTCTTGACCCATAGACATTGGGAGATAAAAACTGATTGTTGTCAATTTTAGTCAGTACATTTTAGGGCAATTTGATGTCCTAGCAATAGACTAGTATATTTATCCATTGCTGCATCTTCTTCTGCTTAGATTATGATGCATGTTTTTTAGCTCCAACTAGTATCTAAACTTGTCATGGTCTTTGCTTGAAAGTTTGATTTTTTGCTGCCCTTGAACTTTACCCCTGATTCCAATTTACCCATTTGTTTTGGTTTAGTTTAAGGAGATTGTAAACAAGTATGCCTACAAGGGCCATGCAACAAATGCTAAAAAGAGAAGTAGACCTGGGCAGGGAGGCAAGGGAGCGGAAAGATGTGTAGTACGTTCAGCTCAGGTCACGTTCATCATCCAGCTCTGGAAGATGGATCCAGTGGGCATGTGTGCCTAATGATGCCACATTATCTGATTTTTTTCTCCAAAAGAAAAATCAAGATTTTTATTAAAAATCTTCTGGTTTAAAAAAATTTAAATGCTATTCAAATTTCAATAACAACCATGCCAGATAAAAAATAGCTACTGACTGAACTTAGCCATGATCTGCCAACTTGCAACCTCCAAATTAGAAGTTTTTAGCCACTATGGATGTTAGGAAGACCTGAAACACAGAATAGAGAGATTCCAATTTTTCTAGTGACAATGAGTCCTGAGAAAGGTGACAAAATCAGAATAACCTTTGGAGAAAGATAAATGCTACTATCAGTGGAATGGGATTCAGTCTTCAGCCTGTTGTAGTAATTCAGTAAGCACATGTGGTCATTGAGTGAACTCGCATGGCCAATACAAGGTAAGCTTGGCGGTTCCTTCTATGTCAAACGTTCTATTTAAATAGAGAGAAAAGAGGAGTAATAATTGTTAAAACCCTTTTGCAGTTTTAAAAAGGCATATAAATAGTAAAGGACCAGTTACCTTGCTTGAGAAATTTGTACAGTACCTAGTTGTTCCTGAAAGAGTGTACTGACAGGAGCTGAAAAGCCTACCTGGAAGAGAATATGGTCCCAAATTCCAAAGGCAGAAAGGAACACAGGTTAAATAGAAGGAGCAGTAACAACCCAGACCAGAGAAGCCAGGCAAAGCCTTGGAGACTAGGTATACATAGGAGATAGCAGTTCTCAATTCCCATTCCCTTTGTGCCAAGCACAGGCACCGTGATCCTTCACTGAAGCTCAGTGAACACTGTTCTCAGAGAGAGGTCCTGTCAGCATCCACCTACCGAACCATCAAATGTGTATCTGTCTCAGTTCTGCTTGGGAGCCTGATACAGATCTTTCCATCACTCATGAAGGCCCTAGAATGCATCCTCTTTTTTTTTTTTTCCTTCTGGAAAATATCAACCAGTTTTGGTAGATTTTACCTTTCCATTCTCTGTGTCCCTCCATTATTTTGGTCAACTCACCTCTGAAAACAGCAAAGCCTCTCAGGTCTACCGTGGGACACGCAGAATTACAAGCTGAGCTACCCTCTGGGATGGAAGCAGGGGTCTGGGAGGGTGGCACTAACGCTTAATATTATTGAGTTAAAATCTCAATAAATTATCCCAGTAAATCATACAATCAGAAAGACAAAGTCCTTGCCAATAAATATGCACAACTCTCTGCCTAGAGACAAACCCACCTTGAGTTCACTCACGCAACCCAATACCCATAAACTACTCTCCATAAAGCAATGGAAAAGAGGAGCTGAGGTTAACAAAGTTCTTTCAGCCTACCCACGTAGGCTGACATTTATCTGCATGCATAGAACTCACAACATTTATTGTAGCAGAGTACATATTTCAGAAAACTGATTTTGCTTTTTCCTATAGCTGATAACCTGGAAAATACAGTCATCTGTACTCTGTCTCCCAGGCGATAGTGCAAATCAGTAAAGAGTTTCCATTGATGGTTCTTTTGCAGACTCTAACCACAATTGAACTCTCTGCTTTCCATCAGTCGCCCACCCTGTTGTGTACAAAGAAGCAGATATGCAATATAGCAGGAGCCCCAAGAAAAGGTCTGGCTGTTCTGTCAAAACTATTTAGTTCAATATTGTTCTCAATGTGGCACCATAGCCCTGGACATGACACCCAGCACGTCCAAACAGACATGATTATATATGAGACAGAAAGGCACTTACATCACTGCGGGTTGTTATGCTTTAAAGGGCTTTTTCCCCCCTCTTCAAATTAAAAGTTTTCAAAAATGAAATAAAAATAAACCTTTGAAGAAACCAGATTGAGACTGAATTTGGAAGGCCCTCCTGCCTAGTGTATACTAAAGAAACATTTTCTGGGTTTGTCCCTGATGATTTTCCTTGTAGTTGAGAAACACAATCCACTGGAAGCTTTTGTGGCAGAACAAGAATTTTATGAACACGAACTTTACAAAGACTTCCCTAGGAGATTTAAGGTCTGGAAATCAATAGATCAATCAGCAGCTTTTATCAATCTATAATGGTTCTCTCTCTTTGGATGTTTGGATGAAAATGGGATCAACGTAAATTGAACATGGAATCACTTATTCTTACAAGTTAAATTTGTCAAACTGTAAGGCACATAAATGACATGAAATGTAATCATTTTTGAATTTGGGACCCTACAGGGTGCACGTTGATTGAAGAAAAAACAAGCAGATGTTGCTTCAGCATAACTCATAGAGGCAATCTAAATGTTCTTCAATCCCTGACACTTCTGATCGTTTCCCAAATAAACCAGTTCATTAGTTAATTATTGGGTATGCTTATCGTGTAATATATAATTGGCCCAGGGCAAATAGCCTTCAAAGATGGCTGGCTGAGTTTGTAGAATCTGTTTTTGCCAAATTCTTCCCAAGGAAATAAGGAAAGATTAATGAGCACTACCTCATGTTGCTTCCACTTTATCTTTAATGATAAAGGCCTCAGTGCCTGGAACCTCTTCTTCGTTATAAAGTTAGCTTGGCAGGTAGCTTATGGGCAAAAGAGTTAGGAGAAAATATGAAAATTATGTTGGGAAATAAGAGCTATTTACCCAGTTTCTCCTAAAGAAAAGCAGATAGAAAAATCAAGTTGTATTTATATTTCTATTTTTTCAGATGCATGAAGATATATGGGATGGAACGTACCTCGTTTCCAATGGTAAAGCTTTTAAAAATGTTGTTGAAAGCATCAGTGCTGAAAGATTACCTCATACTTTACCAGCTTATCATAATCCCTGTACAGTATAAAAATAACAACAATGAATACATATTGAGCATTTCCTATGCACTTAACACACATTATCTCATTTAATTTTTACAGCAAATCTCAATCATAGTTATTATTTTATCTTTTCTTAGCCTTATATGTTATAGGTGAGAAAATGGAGGCACCAAAAAATTAAATTCCTTATAAGGTTTCCAGATAAATTGCAAAATGCCCAGTTAAATTTGAATTCCAGATAAACAATGGATAATTTTTTTAGGAAAGTCTGTCCCAGGAAATATACTAAATATAGTCATCTCTTCATATCTGTGGGGATTGGTTCCAGGAGCCCTGCAGATATCAAAATCCAGGGATGCTTAAGTCCCTGATATAAAAGGGCATAGTATTTGCATATAACCTATGCACATCCTCCTGTATACTTTATGTAATCTCTAGGTTACTGTAATACCAAATCCAATGAAAATGCAATGTAAATAGTTGCTACACTGTCTTTTTGTTTGTCTTTTTTATTGTTGTATTCATATTTTATAATTTTTAATTTTTTTCCTAATGTTTTTAATCCATGGTTGGTTGAATCTAAGGATGTGGACTGACAGTATATTGATATACTAAAAAAAAAGTACCCATTATTTATTTGAAAAATCAAATTTAACTGAGTGTCTGACACTTATTTGCTAAATTTGACTAGTTGTTAGCAAAGCCAAACAGATCTTTCTGATACCCAAGCTAAACATTTTTAACCGTTACACTAAACTGCCTTTTTCCATAAAAATAGTTTGAAAACTCCAAATTTAGCAAAGGATTTTATTTATGTAGACAGAGAAAACAGCACTGAAAGTGGGACATATTAAGCTCATTTATAGCCGTGGTCTGATGGGCATTTCTTTTGTCTGGGCAGTGGTAGAAAAAGGTGTGGGAAAGTAGGAATCAGCCAAATGGTTGAAGATAGGAGCACTGGTGATATTTGTCTCCTGCCTGAGAAGGAATGAGTGCCTGTCATGAAATCAGCAAGGTGACATGCTGGTTATGGTGGCAGCGCTTCCAGCAGTGTGTCAAGCTCAGGCATCGCTTTGATTAAAATGCCAAGTGCTGGGACCTCCTTCCCCTACCACTCCCACTTCTCCCTGCCTCTTCCTCCTTCCCCTACCACTCATACCTCTCCCCGCCTCTACCTCCTTCGCCTACCACTAACACCTCTCCCTGCCTCTTCTTCCTTCCCCCACCACTCATAACTTTCCCTGCTTCTACCTTGTAGTTAGTGCATGTCCTTGAGCTTGACTCCCAAAACAGTATACAGAGAACTATGGTGAAGAAGTTAACAGTAAAAGCACCTGAGTCTGGCTGCTTGGTTTGATCTCCTAGTGCTACCATTTCTTTGTGCCCCAATTTCCTTCTTTGAAAAATAGAGATAACAGTACCTATGTCTATAGGTTTTTTGAGGTTTAAATTAGCTAATACACGTGATAACAATAATAATAATCATGTTCAATGAAAAATTGTCTTCCTGCCAATCACTCATCTAAGTGAAATATTTAAATTATTCAGTCCTTACCACCACATTAGGAAGTTGGTGTTATTATCATCTCACTTTGTGGAGGAGGAAACTGAGGTATGGATGGGTCAAGTAACTTGCCCAAAGTCATATAGTCAGCAAGTGGCAAATGTAGAATGTGAATTCAGACAATCTGGATCCTGAGTCTGTGTTGTCAATCCTTACCCTGCACACACAAAATACACTAAGGCAAGTGCCTGTACCCCAGCCAGCCCACACTGCCTTTTGGTGATTACTGTAAACTGGCAAGGAGGAGTTTGGGCATTTTCCTCTGATTACCTTCTTTGGCCATAACACAGATCGCACCCGTGAAAAATTGCTCCATGCTCTTCTACATCCAAGGCCACTCCCTATCTTCTGGGAGGCACCTTGGGTTCCTCTGACTCCCTCTATTCCACATCCAGCCAGTCACCAGATCCCACAGATCCCAAAGCACTTTTTCTCTCCGTTCCCGGTGTCCTGGCCTTGGCTCCAGCCTGAAACACTTCCCTCCAGCCTAGCTCAATATGTGCCTGAAAAATGTCGGTGTCTTATTGACCTGCTCCAATCCCTCCTCCACATTGCCACCAGAACATCCTCCTAACATAGAACTCTGACCATATTGTTCTTCCACCTGAAGTCCTTTTATGACTCTTCAGTGGCTTCAAAGAAATCCCCAAGCTTCTTAGCCGAGTCATGCAAATGCCATGACCTGCCCACTTATCTCTAGCTATTTCCCCATACAGACTCCATCCTTCATTTCCACTCTACTCTTTCATTTGCTTAAACCTGCCATGTTCTTTTATTCCTCCATGCCTTTATGATGCTATTTGTTCCCCTTGGAAAGACCTTCCCTCTTTTTTGGTTCTGCCTGTTAAATCCCTATTCATCCATTGGAACTCTGGCCAAGGACCATGCAGTCTGGGAAACTTTCTCTGTTACCCTCCATTTCACTCACAGAATCTGAGCTTCATCGCCTCCCTTCCCACTAGTCATAAGTGTGTTAAGGGAAGGGTCTATGCGTTATTTATCTTGGTAACTCCAGCTTTGAGTGGACAAGCTAGTTAAATAGAGAGTGATTGCTTTGCCATTATTGACACAGCCTTAATAACTACCTGCCTACAAAACAAAGCTAAATATAAAAACCCTCAATGGCAAAAACAAACAAACAAACAAGCAAATATAATGGAACTAGAAGATCATCAGATTAAACTCTTTTCTTTCAGGGGATTCTAGGAATGATGTACATGAAGAATAAGACTGTGTATCCTTTTCCCATAGTTAGAAAATGAACAACCATCTAAAAAATACAAATCTTTTGTACTGATAAGGCCCTCATATCAATCATTCAGGACCTAAAACTGAGACATTAAAGCATATAAATATTTACAAGAATTCTGCATAAAGGCAGAAATAGCTGGTTATTTCTAAGCCTTAGAAGGCATAACTATAAATATTTTTCACAAAGGAACCATATACAAGGGAAAGAATTCAGCCAACTCTTGTGGATGGGTGAGGTCACTAACTAGCTTGGCTACCCTCTTTTGAGAAACACTTTAGTACTTTTGGGGTGTGGTCAATAAAAAAAAGAACTTAACTGAGATCAGAAGATTGAACAAGGGTGATTTCTTAAAGATTTTTCTCCTTCCTTCTTTGGTGCCAACTTTTTAAACACGCGTTACAATTAAGTTGTAATTGCTTATTTCCCATGTCTGAACAAGGCAGGTGGTTCCCTAATATTGCATATTAATCCTAATTCAATTTATTGCCTTACAAGTAAAATTTGGCCCTAAAATGAGGATGGCAAGTAAAAATTCAAAGTTGATCACTAATGTTATTTTTAATTATTGCTTTAATATTATTAAAAATTAAATTCCAGAGTTGTATGAAGTGTTTTCCCATAACAGTTTTAAGTAAGTGTTTCTTTTCAGCACTTCTATCCTAGAAATCCTAGCCTAGGTAACTGAAGCAAGTTTACAAAAAATAATGCATTGGCAAGAGAGGTAGAAGTTCAAAAATCTAATTTCATTCCCTCATTTGGCTGAAAACCCAAGCTCATCCTTATCACAATTTCATCTTTTGTTCTCTTCATCTTACCTGTGAACCCCATATACTCGCAGCTTTGGGGCATAGTCCCAATGTTCCTTGAGCCTCCCTCATCAACTTCTTCACCACTGTCCTGCCTGAGTTTGGCCTTGTTTTCGCCCTGGTTACCAATGCAATTTCAATGAGAAGGTAAATGAATTGAGAACATGCACTCCGGGTGAACAAGGGGGTGCTGGGCATGGAAACTTCATGACTCCTACAACTTGCAAAGGGCACCTATGCCTTTTGAAATTATGAGAAGACTTAGAAATGATGAGAAAACATAGCACCCCACAAGCATGGACTTGGGAGGCCATATGGTTGGGACAGTGGGGAAGGTATCTAGTGCTAGTTGGAACACTTAGCTTGTCTTTTCCCCAAGGCCCGGGTGCTGGTGGGAGAGATGAGGAAGAGAATGAGTCATAGCAAGGCTGAGGTAAGAGGCCCCACAGTTGTCCTTGGAGAAGCCAAAGAGGTTCAGGTCAGAAGATGGATAACACATTTTTCTTTTATTTATTTATTTATTATATTTTAAGTTCTGTGATACATGTGCAGAATGTGCAGGTTTGTTACATAGGTATACACGTGCCATGGTGGTGGTTTGCTGCACCCATCAACCCATCATCTACATTAGATATTTCTCCTAATGCTATCCCTCCCCTAGCCCCCCACCCCCCAACAGGCCCCTCCCTGTGTCCATGTGTTCTCATTGTTCAACGCACAATTATGAGTGAGAAGATGCCATGTTTGGTTATCTGTTCCTATGTTAGTTTGCTGAGAATGATGGTTTCTAGCTTCATCCATGTCCCTGCAAAGGACATGAACTCATTCCTTTTTATGGCTGCATAGTATTCCATGGTGTATAGGTGCCACATTTTCTTTATCCAGTCTATCATTGATGGGCATTTGGGTTGGTTCCAAGTCTTTGCTATTGTAAATGGTACTGCAATAAACATATGTGTGCATGTGTCTTTAGAGCAGAATGATTTGTAATCCTCTCGGTTATAAGTAATGGAATTGCTGTGTCAAATGCCGTTTCTGGTTCTAGATCCTTGAGGAATCGCCACACTGTCTTCCACAATGGTTGAACTAATTTACACTCCCACCAACAGTGCAAAAGCGTTCCTATTTCTCCACATCCTCTCCAGCATCTGTTGCTTCCTGACTTTTTAATGATCGCCATTCTAACTGGCATGAGATGGTATCTCCTTGTGGTTTTGATTTCCATTTCTCTAATGATCAGTGATGATGAGCTTTTTTTCATATGTTTGTTGGCTGCATAAATGTCTACTTTTGAGAAATGTCTGTTCATAGCCTTTGCCCACTTTTTGATGGGGTTGTTTGTTTTTTTCTTGTAACTTTGTTTCAGTTCCTTGTAGATTCTGGGTATCGGCCCTTTGTCAGGTGGATAGATTGCAATAAAATACCTAGGGATTGCTAGAACAACATTCTTGCTGTTCCTCTTGTCAATGGACTGAAGGCAGATCTGGCTGTTCACACACTATGGCTATAGCACATGCTTTTTTGGAGCGCTGGTCCTCTGTTCTTTGAGTGGATTCAGATTGCACATTGAAAAGCAATTGGATTTTCCTGATTCTTCCTCTTAGTTTCCATCCTATTCCTTTCTTTTTCAGCATTTCTATAAATTTGTGATTTCATTTTTGTCCATTAACCCACTTATTGTCTGTATTCTGTCAGGATACCGTAAGCTCCATAAAGACAGAGATCACCGAGTATCTATAGCATGGTATAGTCCACGGCATATTGTCAAAAGTCAATACATTTTTGATGATGAAACATGTAAATCATTTATTTCATCAAAAATAGCTAGGGAGTCATTATTCTAATCTAACAGGCCCCAGTTTCTGGTACCTAGGACTGGCTTCCCCACAAATGCTGTATGGTGACTAGAACCTACCGGAGGTGCTACGTAGGACACGTTACAGACACAGGCCCCGTCTTCAGCATGTTAATGATCTAAAAAACCTAGTGCAAACAAATTTCACATCAATGCATGCTTAGTATGGATTAAATCCATTGTGCTTCTGGGACTGTTTTGGAAAAGTGTGAGAGCTCAGTCTTATTGATCTCCATGATCTTGAAATCCCTTATGACCAAGAGCTGCTGCTGCAGATTATTCTCTTCCCTGGAGTCTCTCACATTTCTCGATGTGAGTGTGTGAAAAGGTTCAAGCATCAAACAAAGTCCCAGTTTTACAATGTCTTGCAGATTAAAAAAATAAATAGATTAGGCCTATTCTATTACAACCAGGAATGGGAAGTAGCTATTAAATCATTCCCTGAAGGTATTTTTATTTTGTTGACTCATGAGAGTTGGCTCTCGCTCCTCCAAAGCATGCTGGAGCCATATTTGGAGAACTTGGAGCTGGTGAGTTTACTTATGTGCGGAAAATATTGAGATATTTTTTACATTCTTTGCTAAATCATTTTGGTTTTTTTAAAACAATCGGTACTCCTCCTACTTTTTCTTGCATTTATTCATATAACTAAATAAAGACTTAGCTCCGTTTGTCAGTGAACTGAAACCAACATCATGTTTGCTTTTTAAGCAAAATCATAACTTTCCATCTCAACACTGATCTCTTAATGAGACCTTTTGAGAGCAAATAATTGCCATAGTCATGTTATCTGAAGATGTCAGAATTCCCACATAAAAGTTGTTACTTAAATTAAAATAGTGCGTTGACATTAAACATTAATAACACAATGACAATAAAGATAAATAATTCATTTTTGTGACACAAAACCCCTAATAGGTTTCAAAACCTGGGTATTCCCAAGTCACATCCAGTAATACCTATGCAAACTTAACATATTAAATTAGCCTGGAAATCTTGTAGGCAGAAAAGAAAAGCTGCCCTTCTGAGCTTTCTGCTATTTCCTGCCTCTCGTCAGGCTGGAAATGTTTGAGGACTGCCTTTCTCCTGGTATTTCAACGTGCTGGCTTCTGGTCCCAGATGGAACCAAGAAAAGCAGAGGAGTGTGAAAAATAAAAATATTTTCAGTGTTGTTAACCCAACCTTTTAAAGTCTTAAGAGATTTCCTTTGGATTGGTAAAAGAAACTATTAGAATTTAGGGGTGCTGCTTTCCCCCCAGGCCAGATAACACATGTTCTCTTGTTTCTAATGTCATAAAATATACCTGAAAGTAACTAAAAGTCAGATCATCTGCAGGTTCAGCTGAGCGATTTGGCTCTTTAAAAAATTATTATTCTTTAAGTGCAGATCCTTCCCTGTTCATGGAAGTTTCTAAAAATGTCTAGTCCTGCTGTGCAAGCGCAAGGGTGAGCTCTGTTTAGGGCCTGTAAGGCTCATGGTCTTCTAACATCTTGTAGCAGGCTCATTGCACATCAGAAAAAAACAATGAAGGTAATAGTCCTATCTACACTATAAGAAAACAGAAAGGAGACTTGAGCTAGGTCTTCGCCACAAAATAGACTAAGGCAAGAAATGCGGATTTCTCAAAAAATAACCAACCAACATTTTTTAAAATCTCAATTATCTTCAGAATTTTTATACCAACACAGATACGCCAGCTATCTTTATTTGCTTTTTTAATTCTTTTGAATTAAAGTTTCTGGATAATAGTTATTTTGATTCTTCTTATTTTATCTAGGGGAGCCAAGATGGTCACTTTGAGCACCAGAGGTTATAAATTTTTTTTAAGAGATGAAGAATCTAAGCCCTATCGAGTTCTTACTGAGTACTAGAGATTGTCCTAGTCACATGTATGTATTATTCTCTTTTAATTTGGAATCACTTCTGATTATACGAATAGTACTGCTAACAGTATGGTAGACTGAATAATGGACCTCAAGGATATCTACATCCTAATCCCCAGAACCTTTGAATATGTAACCTTACATGGCAAAAGTGACTTTGCACCTGTGATTAAAGAATCTGAGACAGGGAAGTTACCCTGCATTCTATGGATGGGCCTAATTCAATCACAATATTCCTTATAAGATGGAGGCAAGAAAGTAACAGTTAGCGAGAGAAGATGAGACAACAGAAGCAGAGGTCAGAGATGAGAGAAGTATGCTGATGACTTTGAAGAGGGAAGAAGGGACCACAAGCCAAGGAATGCAGGCTGCCTTTAGAACCTGGAAAAGGCAAGGAAACAGATTTTCCCCTAAACCTCCAGAAGGAATCAGCTGCTGATATTCTGACCTTAGCCCAGTGAGATTGACCTTGGACTTTTGACCCCTGGAACTGTGAGAGAATAAATTCACTTCATTTTCAGTCACTAAATCTATGGTAATTTGTTAAAGCAGAAAGAGAAAACTTACACAAACACTTGTTAAATGTTTTCTATGTTGCACTCACTGAGCTAATCACTTTATATATTAAGCCATTTAGTGTTAAGAGCCATCGTTTAATTTTGACTGGTGAGAAGGATTAAGAATCCCTGGGTGAATAAGTAGTGGTACTGGGATTCAGTACTGGGGTTCAGTGCTGGGATTCAGTGAGGGTTTACCTAATATTTGCATCACTTGTACTTAGTGAAATAGCAAGATCAGAACTCTATTAGTATTACTGGGATTCAGTGAGGGTTTGCCTACTATTTGCATCACTTGTACTTAGAGAAGTACCAAGATCAGAACTCTATTACCATTTAAAAAAAAATTTAAAACTCTGCAAGGCCAGCATTTTTTGCATTTATAGATGGGAACATTGTAGCTTAAAAAGGTGAAGTAACTTGCCAAAGGTCATGGAACTAAAAAGTTGGAGCCAAGGTTTGAATAATAGACAGTCCACCCTAAATTCATGCATGTAATCACTACCGGAATGTAGAAGTATCGCAGGCCTCAAAATACCATTATGAATCACCATAGGGAGGAAAGCTGCCCATCGGTCAAAAGCAGTTACATGGGTTGTTTCATGAGAAAGAAATAAACTTATTTTGTAAACCACTGAAAATTTTGTGTTTGCTATAGCCATTGATGTTAGCCTAGGTAATAAACATCAACACAGTCTGTTCTTTCTTCAATCCTTTGACTTTCCTGAGGCCTGTTCTACCCAATCTTTGTGTATCACTGAACATTAATACAACTATACTATAGAATCCACAGTTCACACTGAAATTTAACTGGTGGTTCCAACGTTATCCTTCATAGTGTTTCCCCTGCTCCGGGATCCAATCAAGGAGCATGCATTGCATTTAGATTTCATCTCTTTTCAGCATTCTTAAATTAGAAATGGCCCCTCAGCCTTTCTTTATCTTCCTTGGCCTAATATTTCTGAAGAGTGTATTTGGTTACATTTTAGAATATGTCCCTTCTTTTGGGCTTTTCTGTTTCTTCTCGTGATCATGTTCATACAAGGTATGGTTAAAACTATAAACAAAAGCAAAGATCTCATAACATTCCAAATGTGAATATTAAATACAATCAGGCACTAGATAATTTACGTTAGGACCCTCACCTATCAATGGGAGTATTCATTCAAACTCTGAAACTCATAAATACAAGGTAAGTGTGCCATTGGAGATTTCTCAGTAATTTTTACAGACTCTCAACTTGACAAAGATAAATAAGTCTCTTGCTTGTGTTGGATTTGCTTTTGCCTAGGCTCCCTAAAAAGCAGAGCCTGAGTCAAGGGTTAAGTGCTGATGCCTTATTGGGAGCCACAAATCCAAGGAAGCAAGGGTGAGACCGAGGCAAGGATGCAGAAAGAATGGGAAGCAATGTGATGTGGTGCATTATGCTCAGCCTCCACTTCTAGATGAAACTCAGAGACCCAGAAGATTACTTAGCGGGAACGTCTGCTCAGCAGCACACATGATACTTCTCTGGACAGACTATATGTCAAAGCCTCAGGGCAGTTCACAAACTGGATAAACAACAGAGAATCACTACCCAGCTCCCCAGCTCCTGACCCATAGGTCAGAGTTCACACATGAAACATTAATTCTCCTGAATTTCTGGATAGCAGCATCATCTGGACCATTCGGTGATGACTTGGGAGACAGATTCCAAAAACTCTGAGCATGAGTTTTGTTGACTTGCTGAGGGACAGAGATTTAAGAGACAGAGAGAAAGAAAGAGAGAGAGAGAGTGCCAAGCACTCCTAGGGTAAGTAACTGGCTGGCCTCAGGCAGTAAAAAACACATGGACAGACAGACTGGCTGGCTAGACCTGATGGAAATCAAAAGGGACACATATCTTATCTTGTCAGATGCAGTACATTTCTTCTCTGAGTCTGTTTTCTTAATTTTTTGGCAATGCATGGCTGAGTATTTTAAAGCATCTTCATTTCAAACTTCTAAAATAGACAACTGACGCAAGTAGACCTACCAAATATTGTAGCTGTTTTACAGTTTACAGTATATGAAGATTTGGCCCCTTATATAATGATTCAGCAAAGATAAAGAACATTGCATAAGCTGAGCATGCGATTTTGTGCCTTTAAGTATTTTAAAGGACAGTGTGGGGGAAGTGGCAAGAGATAGCTCTTCTATTCCAGTGACAAAAAGAGAATCATTGTGGAGGATTTTAATGTCCTAATTAAGGTTCATAATGACTTGCACAAATACAGAAACTCAATGAAGAAAAAAATAATAGAGTGGGTCAGGAGATTAGAAATATGCTCAAGAAATTTTGTCTTTTAATGAAATGGCTGAATTGGATATAGCAGCTCAAGGTGAAAGATTCAGTGAGTTGGCCTGTTGTATGAGAAGTGAGCAAGGGTGTTTTAGAATCTATTGATTGAAGAATGTTTCCATTGTATAAAACTGGGAATTAGATGAGACGAAAAGGCGACTTCATCAAATGGAGTCTTGAAAGATTTACAGAATCCAAGAAGCAATCCAAAGACACTCTTACTTTGATCTAGTTTTCCAGAATATAAAAAGTGTGTTTTGTGATGTTACCAGGTCAGTGCCAGCTCCCTGTAACTTTCTATTATGGAAGGAAGAGAATGATGTGAGAAAGAGGGAAAGACACATATATGCAGATATTATATTTATTCTTTTTCCAGAAAACTAGCCTCAAAACCTCAACTTCATGTCCTCTATGAAGAGAATCAATTAATTCAGTAGCTAGTAAAGAATGAATGAAACGATCATCTTTTTTTTCAGTAGAATGGTTTAATTAAGTAGTTAAGTAAAAAAGAAGCATATGGAATACTTTGGCTTGCTTTTCAATAACTTCTGGAACAGAAACAAAGGTCCACTTGTTTAAGATCTCAAACAAAATAATTCTAAATATGGCATTTAAAAACAAACACAATAAAATTCAATCCTTAACCAAAGATCCATAAAAGACAAACAACTAAAGTAATTGTTTTTACTGCTGTTATTATAAGTAATAATTTCATTTATTTCATGATGAGTTTTGCTTAGCTACAGTGGTTTTCCATAAAAGAAAAACATTGAGGTTTTTTTGGTGGTAATGAAGAGGAAAGAATATATAACATTTTTTAAGTGTGGAATTAATTATTTTGAAAAAAGTGTCAGAAGTATAAATTATCTGAAAGAAATATATCTGCTATAAAATTCCCAACTTATGTAATTGTATGTCTATAAATATTATTTTAATAATCATTTTGCTTATATTGCCAGTTGTGTTGAACCAAAGCTCAGAAATAGAAAAGTCACTCAATAAGAGTGACATCATGGGGCTTCCATATTCTCCCTCAATGACTTCCAGATCAAATTTTCTCAGTGTATAAATGAAAAGATGATGTTTCTAACAGCCAGCCCTGCAGACTCGACCTGGGATCTGAAGATCCAGCTGTGTTCACTTTGCTTCTTCTACCGTCACTGTAATGAACATGCTACATGGCTGACAACTGTGTTGATGGTGCGTGAGGTTGAATATAATCTAGCTTGTCTCTTCTGTGAAGGATTTTCTGACTCTGCTAGCCTAAGAAGAATAAAGAAAAATGAGTATATTTTGGTCTTTTAAAAATGTTTGTTTGTATCTCTTGAGCGGGATTAGAAAGAAACTGGAAAACACACAGAGCGCAAAATTACTGACTAAGACAATTATTTTACAGAGACACTTTGAATCCTTCTCCACATAATCCATTCTCTATCAAGGGATGATAATTGAGACTCTATGCACCTCACCAAAGAACAACCCACACACTTGTCACTGCTGTGATGAAGGATGATATCTGTGGGCAACAAAATATTTAAAAGTTTAATTCTCATCTGATGTCACAAAATGCAAGTAATTTAAAGTCACCCATGTGCTAAGAGAACAGCAAGTTTTTTATCATTCAAAATTCTTATTCTCTGGAGCATTTTACTTCCCATTATTGTGATCATAGAACTCATATCTGCCCTGAGCCATCTATATTCATATCCATTGTCTATCCACAATCGTTTTTTCAGATATTTTTGCCCCCTTTCTGTTTCCTTTCTCTCACCACAAAAATCTGCCTGCTGCTTTCCTCTTAATCTATCCCCACCACACTGAGGCTGTCAAGAGAGGAGTAAATAGGAAGAACTTAGAAAATAGGGGTTTAAGGAGCTTACATGGAAGCATGATGCACAAAACCCAAGGGTCAGGGATGTGTAAATCTTTGTAAGGATGTGTTCTCATGGACTACAAAGTAAATCTGAGCTGGGCTCAAGGAGCCAATCCCACTTGTTGTGCTTCACCCTACTTCCCTTCCTCTTTATGCATTCAGGTTTCAGCTCAAATGCCCAGAAATACAGGTTCTTCCCTGCACTATTAACTCTTCATCACATCAGCTGTTTATTTCCTTCTTGTGACTTAGCACAATCTATAATTATCTTGTCTATTAATTAATTAATTTTTAGAGATGGGGATTTCGTTATGTTCCTCAGGCTGGTCTTGAGCACTTCAGCTCAAGCGATCTTCCTGCCTCAGTCTCTTGAGTAGCTGGGGTTATAGGTGAGTGTCAATGCACCTGGCATTGTCTATTAATTTCATTTTTATATATCATTCTACTAGATTGCAACCTTCCTGAGGTTAGGGACTCCATAATTGGATCTTAATAAATATTTTAAAGAAGGAATAAGATGTATTGAAAAGACAATGGATGGGAAAGTGAAGTGTGGCCAAAATGAACAGAGAAAGCATTTCAATGAAGGGAAAGAACAGATCCTATAACTAGAAGCTGAGATTTGTGTTCTAAAGTGACATAGTGTCCTGATCTGAGCATCAATAGGCACAGGAGCTACTCAGCTTCTTCACTGACTGACCATACCATTGTGTAAGTAGATTTTCAAAGAGGATTGGAACATTGGGAAGAAGTGGTAATCAGTGATTTGGTGGTTCTCAAGAAAACTAAAACATCATATTTTAAACTGGATAAGTGAGCCAAGCTGAGAGAGCGAGAGGCTGCTCTTTGGGTCTGGAATCTGGTGCTGGTTGTTCGATTTGTGGTGAGATGGAGTGTTCTGGCAGATAGGGGGCTTAGCACAGCAGAGGGGAGATAAGAGAATTTGTGACTCAGTGCTGTTTGTGCTTTGCTAGTCCCCGGCTCTTCTTCAAGCCCCAGATTTACTTAGCCTTCAGGAGACTGGAGCACCGAACACTTGAATAATAAAAATGTATTTAAATAAAAAAAGCTTATGAAAACATTTTGTAATATTTTTCAATCACTATATGTGAAAAGTAATGTAGCAGATACAATATGGAGTTTAGATTAAAACTCAAGTTTGAATCCACTTGATCTATCAATTACTGGCTTGGAGACTTTAAACAATTATTTCATTTATCTTAAGAGAGTTCCTCCATCTGTAACATAAGGATACTGATAATGGAGCTGTTGTAAAGGTATAAGACATTGTGAACATATTTTTCCAACTCTAAAATTGTAAACACATTTTAATAATTACTACATCTTTTAACACAGAAATTGATGTTCTTGAAGAGTTCAGCTCAGTTGACCACCACATATTATAATTCAGTTTTTAAGGATGTGGGTTCTGATGTCAGGCTAGCTGGATCAGAAGCCTTAACTTTCCAGTGCCTCAAACTTTTTATCTCTAAAATGGGTATAAAGATAGGGTGTACTTCACATGATTGTCTTGAATATGAAATAATATAGTCCGTATCAAACCCTTAACACAGTGTCTAGAACACAGTAGGAGGCCCATCCATGTTCACAGGTATTTATTACTTTTATTAGCATTAGTTTTACAGGTATTAGTTTTACTTTCTGTTCACTATGGGATGTCCCTTGAGACTTCTTTTGCTCAAGTCCAGGTGCATTTACACGTGATGACCACTAGATGGCAGATGCACCATTTTTATTGCTCAGATTGGTACCCAGCAGCACTTTGTCCTTGGACTCTTCCTGGCATTCAAGGATCTTGGAGAACCCCAGAAACAGCACCTTGAGTGAAGTAATCAGATTATTTTTTTCTAGGAATAAGTCATTTGTAAGTGACGTCTATTAATATGCTTTGTGTTGTAATCATTCAGGATAACAGTTAAAAGAAAAAGGAAAAAAATATATATATATCAATAGGTTATACTTTCTCTTCTAACAATCTCCAAAAGGAAGGTAGGTGAAGGAGCATTTTCTTCTGAGAGTTTATGATGTGTATTCAATGTTAGAACTGATCTGTGGGTTTGAGGAAGAGAGAAAGATACTGAGCTAGACAATATGGAGTTTCTATCTTCATGCAGCTTACAGTCTAGGAAAAGAGAAACATAAAATGATATAATATGATATGATGTAACACATGATGATAATGATATGACAAAGGGATAATGCTGTCAATGATAACACAACATGGTCAATTCTGGTGCTGAACTAGTAACTGGTTACCGTGAGAGCTCGATTAACTCTGGGAGTTAGGGAAATGTTCACAAGAAGGTAACATTGGAGTTGGGCCTTGGAAGTGATGAAGGTAGTAGAAAATAAATAGGGAGAAGTAGTCTTCTAGTTCCCCATACCCCAAATGCACATATAAAGGCTTGAAGTTGTGAACGACCGTGGTGCATTTAGGGGAACAAGAGGAATGCCTGGGCTACGTCACGCAAAGCCTCAAATGATACAGAAGGACTAGCAGACAGTCTTAAAAGACGGAAGTTACAAGATCCAAATGAGTTGTTGGAAAATTACTTTGAGAAAATGGCTAAAGTTTTTGGAGGCATGAGACCTAAATTAATGCTAATCCATTTTGTCACAACCATGTCTTTATCTCCTCCTACTTCCCCCATCCTCGGTTTTGGAAATAGGTATTGGTAGATACCAAATAGCTCTTTGCCAAACATTCTGTTTTGAACCTAGAGTTAAGTCCTCCAACAGCCAGCTAAACTGCAGACAAATTTGCCCTACGAGTCCATTTGGGACCTTGGGGTAGGTTAAATGGGACGATCTTCCTGCCTCTCATTCCTATCATCTGATTACATAGGGCCTTTGGGACCATATTCAGTATTTTGCACTGTATTTGGAGTGCAATGGGAACTTTTGAATGAGTTCTGAGAGATGAGTGAAGAGAACTTGGGCTGAAATGAGGCCCGTGGATTAGAGGGTAGCCAGAGTGAGTGCCACTGCCTCAACAAGGCAAGGTGACTTTAACCCAATGCTAGTAGAATTGGAAAGAAGGGACAGATTTCTGATATGTTGAGTAATTAAAATACCAAACTTGGCAACCAATCAGATGTTGTGAGTCTCCCAGAAGGCACTGCTAATGAACATATCATTTCAGCTTGTCTCTTCATTGCTGAGTACTTTACATCAGGAGCAGCAACAGAAAAGGCCAAACCTCAAATCCGCTACTATAGATGTATTTTTATAGGCTCCTAATAAAAATGGGTCTTCATTACAAAATTTAATTGCTTTAAGAATCTTACTGACGTTTTAGCTCTCCTGTTGTGTTAGCTAAGAAAGTCAAGGGTACGCTGAGGTAACAGTGTTAAAATCATAGCGATTTAACACTGCATAGACTTATTCCCCCTTATGGGACATATTCAGTGTGAGTTAGTAAGAGGCTCAGCTCCACGTGGTCATTCAGGGAACCAGCCTGACGGAGGTTTAACCATCCTGTAGATGTACCTCTGAAACACAGGCCTTCCTCAGCTGCCATTGCAGGGGAAGGGAACTGAGAATCCCACCTGAAGCTTTTCATGCTGCAGCCAGAAGTGACATATTTCTACACACACATTCCACTGGATCAGTCACATGACCCCACCTAACTGCAAGAGAGCAAATAGAATATCTAGAGCATTACAGGCTCTACCTCCACGCCCCCACCCACCCCCAACACACACACACACACACACACACACACACACACACACGTGTCATTTTTCACAAAGAGAGATTTTTTTTTTTTCTAATTCTTCCTCTGAGATACTATCCCTGGGTGAGGAGGAGAGAGAAACTAAACCATAGTGAAAGGTGGCTCCTGGGTTGTCAGCAAGGCTCATTTACTGACTAAGGAACTTTTTCCTCCAAATAAGCAAGACTTAAAATTGGGCTTTAACAATTTTACAAAGACCTCAAGTCATGGGTTCTCAGGTTTGTAGGAAATGAGTGCATTAGAAACGAGAATGTTAAGGGTTGGCTGCAATGATTCGTCCTCCCTGGAGCACTGGGCTCGCCTTTTCTGGGTGTCTGAAGGTCGTTGGCTTCCTCTTTCCTCCACTCCTGGATCATCACCGAACAGAAGCTTTTCTAATTGAGATGTCAACTCTCAGTCAGATTGGCAGCTAAAGCCCCTTCTCAAGGCTCAGCTATTGAGTGAAAAAGGATTTAAACTGACATGAACGCCAACCTGGGCTGAGAACAAGTCTGTGAGGTAAATTTCTTCATCCTGACGGCTCCAAGCCTCTTTCAGATTCTCTATTATCTAACAGAGTCCTGCTTTGACTCCTTGAGTCATTGCTAGCTGCATACCCAGAGTCACTGCAGAGACATTGTTCTCATCCCATTTAGTTTGGTTCTAAATGAAAAGTAACACAAATGGAGTCAAGGGGTCTTTCTACCTGTGCGATTGGCTTCTACCCCCAAATGAAACCTTTTAAGGCTACCAGGCTGCTGTTTAGATTCACAGTGGCCTCAGCTTGGGAGGCCACCATGCTGCTGTTCCCTTTGGCCATCCCTATCCTCAGAGAACTTCCTTGTTTTACCACCCCCAGAAGCTCTTAAATTACATAATATGGAAAAAAAAGTGATTGCTTTGGAGATCAAATCTACATAACTGGGAATTTTAAAGATAATTTTTGGAAGATGTGTGTGTGTGTGTGTGTGTGTGTGTGTGTGTGTGTATTCCCCTTTGCTTCAAAATGCTATTGCTTGTCATATAGTAAAATGCCAAAAACATATTAGATAAAAATACTTCTGTCTGTGTGGTCACAGTTGAAGTGACTATGGCAAGTTATTTCTATGATTTATTTTCTCCCTTTGTAAAATGGAGTTTTTCCAAATGCAAATTGCCAATACTAAACACTGCCTAGATCATCAAGCTGTTTCATAATAAAATAATGTATGTGGAAGCTCTTTAAAAATCTTTTAATCACCATGCACACATCAAGTATTTCTATCATTAATACTCTCTTTTTTTTTTCTGTTGGGAAGATGACTGAAACAAGGGACTTCCGAAAATAATTTGCACCTTCAGGAAGTTCTACTACACACAGTTCATTGAAAATATGAATGCAATGACAATAAACAATGGCTATGGAGCAGGATTTTCAAAGTAGAAGTAATGACTACTGCCTTAAAATCACGCACATATGCAGAACTACAATTATCCCCGCCTCCTTTGCAATTCTTTTTTGAATTAGTTCTGTCTGCTCTTCACTTTAACATCCCTCCAAAATAAATTAAAACAAATCTTTTCATTTCTGAATGAGATATGATACCCTGTTTTGGATATTGTTATATCACTGATGGAGTGGTAACAAGGTCTATTTCAGTGCAACAAATGAACAGACCAAAATTCAGGGGGCCGCTTGTTCACTGGGTTAGGAGACAGTTTCTCTGGAAATCTACAGTGTTCATCATCCCTGAAATGTAAACTATCTATTTATATCTCAAATAATGATAAGTGGAAGTGTGATCAGGAAAGGAGAGACACAGATTTTCTATAAATGTGTTTTTCTTGTGATAATATGTGAAATTATATTCCATGTTAAATTGCTCGAGGCAAGCAAGGTTTAATATGTATCTAAATAATTAAGCTAATTGTGTAAAAATATATTTGCAGAATTCGCCAAATGTGTTAATACATTTCATACCCTGTTTACCCATTTTACATGACTAAAATTTGCTTTGTGAAATATTCTCCAAAATACTGAAAGACCTCACAGTCTTCACAATTGTTATCAATACTCAGTACTTCCTGGGAAGGGAAAAAAGGTGCTAAGAGTCACATCTCGAGAAATGGCATGCTGTCTTTCCCTTTCCTCTACCTGTTTCTCCCTCTTCTTCTCTATTGAATTTCAAATTCACTTTCCTAAATGTGTACTTTGGGATATTCGTGTCATACCCCTAAATGGCATTGTAAAAACAAAAGGACATCTTCTCACAGGAGAGTGTTCCCATCTCAATTAGTTTTGCAGGATCAACAGTCTGCAATTTGCCAGCAGATTCCCCTTGCAACGTGTGGGCCAGACTGATGTCACATGACCTTTCCAATCTTTCCCACATATAAATTGCACAGAGTGTTGGGTGAGGAGCCAGAGTGCTGCCATTGAAAGAAGAAAGAGAAGGAGAAGGAGAAGAAGAAAAAAAAAACTTTACCGCTCTTTATTGCTTCTTAGAGCGAATATACATTATATTTTGGTGTGCAAAAGAGTAATGCTGGTCAGGCATGTTTTGGCACATAAACATGTTGTGAATGCCAAATGACTCAGTTTTTGACTGGATGTGTGTTTGTGTTGCTCAGTTAAAAAGTGCTGGTGTGCTGTCAGCACAATTTATAAGATGAGTAAGGAGGACAACATCTCTGGGCCACCTCTCCCACTTTGCCTCAGGGAGAACTTCACAATTTCCTTGGGATTACTGCTCCTTGTTAACCCCTGCCTTGTTTGTTCCCCAGCACAGCTCCTCTCCCACCCCAGCTTTCTCCCAGTCTTCCTCTTCTCTACTGCTATGGGTCTTAGATATACTTCTGTCGCATTGTGTTAAAATTAGATGGCATAAATTCTATCTACCCTCTGCATGGGGCCACTTGAGGTCTTTGCCGTACTCATTTTGGGTAATCTTTATTTTCCTAGACTAGAGCAGCCTGAAGATGAGCACATATATTGTTATAATATCACTGATTGAGCGGTACCAATGTAGTGTTGTTAAGGGCACAAACCCAGGAGCCATAATGCATATCAAAGGTTTGTGGGGGAAAGTTGCCCACCAGTAGCCTTGACACAGATTGTCACAGAATGTTTATACTCCAGACTAAGGATGGAGGATGTTACCTCCAAATATAGTTTTCGTTTGTAGAAACTTGTTCTCAAAACTTTTTATCTTCAGTTTCTCTTCCAACTTACCTTTTTGGCTGAAGGTTAGTTGCCTAGGGAAATGCATTAATTTCACAATGGCTCAGGGGCCATGTAGTAGAGCAGAGCTAATGCAATGGACCCAACTTTCCAACCAACTCAACACCATGCACACATGAAAACACAGAACCATCCGCTGCTCACATGAGTTTAGATAGTCCCCCTGTTCACCTGTCGCCGCCACCTGCTGCCCCTCGCTGTCATCTGCAAGGTTCTTCCACACTCTTTCAGTATCTATGTCTGTGCCTCAGCTTCTCCATTTTTAAAAGGAAATAATAACATTGCCTACTTTTAGTGTTTTTTGAGAATTGAATAAATGCATGTAAAATAAATAACCCACAAAGGTAAGTGTAATAGAAGTAGTAAATTGAAAAAAAAAAGTAACATAAATAGTAACTGTCAGCTATCATCATCATCGCAGTCCCTGATATTTGCCTTTTGTCCTGTAAAATAATATTCATTCGGATAGAATTCTCTGGCTCACTCTTAGTATCCTCCATAGAACTGTGCTATGCAATACAGTAGCCACTAGTCATGTGTGGCCACTGAGAACGTCAAATGTAGCTAGTCCATAGCAGGATGTGCTATAGGAATAAAATACATGCTGGATTTAGAAGACCAAAAAAGCATGTAAAATATCTCAATAATTTTTACAGATTACATGTTAAAATTATATTAATATTGTGGATTGCATAAAATGTATTATTAAAATTAATTTTCCTTGTTTCTTTCTGCTTTTTAAAAAATATGGCTACTAGAAAATTCCAGGCTACATATGCAGCTTCCATTTGGGGTTCACATTATAGTTCTATTGGATAATGCTATCCCAGGTTCTAATTCCTTTGGATTTCCCTTCAGGAGCCCCACCTCTAGGACTGTGAGTAAGAGATGCTTCTGCTTTCTATTATGAATTTGCAGGGTCTGGGTTGCCTAGGGCAGTTAAGTCTAGCCTGCTCTGCCAAGAGAGAGTGAAGGGAGAAAAACTGATGGGCGTGCAAGTTACAAGTTGGTTACTAAGGGCCTAAGTGGAGCCCTTAGGAAAGAGTTATTGCCTCTTAAATAGCACCTTTCTCTCTGGGAGTGAATGAAAGGAAGAGCTCTTTCTGTTAAAGTCATTTAAGATCCTTTGCTGAAAGGAACCATATGCTACACAATGAAATATATTCCAGGCAAGATGCATATGCTTTGCACAATAAATACATATGCAAATCTTACAAAGATTTTTAAAAAGAAAATGTGCTGATATTATTCACATCAATATCGTTTAATGCATTCTTTTCCTTCTGATCTGAAGCCAAATCTAAAACTTTTCCTTTCTCCTCTGCCCCAACCCCTGACAATGAATATGTTATACAAAAGCAATCTAAGATTTTTGGTTTTGGTCAAGAGGAATTTGTTTCTAGTCACTGAAATTTAAGTCTCAATAAATCATAAGCTCCAAACAGACTGCCAAATATCCAGTGGGCCTGGCAACATCTGCAAATGACCCTCTGGGACAATCTGGGTGGGAACAGCACTGAACAAAAATCCCAAGACCTGACGCCGCGGCCTGCCCTTTTCAAGTCTAAGAATCACAAAGCATTTTCTCTTTAGGACCGTTCTCAGACTCAAACTATTTTGAACGCAGATCTGCAATCCATAATTGGAGCTGGTATTGAAAGGAAATTAGAATGCTCCTTGAATCACATCCTTGCAAGGTTTCTCTCTGCCTAAATGAGTCTCCATTGCAGGCGATAGAGTAGGAGAGGCCTTGTGGGGTCCCAATAAAGTTATGCTAGCTGGTAAATAAAGAAGAAAATTCAGAAATCAGTGCAGTCCTGGGAAACTCCATTCAGGGAGTAAAAGGTCTCGCGGAGCATGGTGCTGTCTCTTTAATTGTCCCCTGCTCCGTCTGTTGCTTCCCATCATACATTCTTCTGAAAAGCCGTATTGCTACAAATACACATTTAGGATTTGATTACAGAGTCTCATCCATTTACATGTACAAGATAGAGCCTACTGTGACAGATTAATGCTCCTAAAGTTTGTACAGGAAGGTTAAATAAAGTGTTACTTTTATGACACCGAATATCTTTATGATGCTTTTGCTAAATCAGAGACCTCTTGGTGATGCCGCAGATGTACCAGATACTTATCGCGAGCTGGCAAAATGCCACTAGTGCTTTTCTCATCTATCACACTTCCTACCTTTCTGCACAAGCCATCCTCACTGCTGTGTGTAATACAATAGTCTCCAGGCAGCCTTCTCTTCTGCACATTTAGTCAAAGTGAAACAATTCAAGTCCTGTCATCCTGAGATGTTACAATGTTACTAGAAAGAGTGCTTCACACACAATTCTGCCATTTCCAACATGGATATAACACGCCCGCACACAGATAGTCTTTGGGGATTGTGAAGCCATCATCAAAGCTGCCACCACAGTTCATATTCTTCTCCTTCCACCCTTCTTTTGATGTTCATTCACTTCCTTTGTCTGGCCCTTCTTCCCATGTGAAAGGCCTAGAATGTTCTCTGAGCATTTTTGACCGCACAAAATTTCCTGCCTTCCTCCTTTTTTTAAACTTTTATTTTAGGTTGAGGGGTACATATGCAGTTTTGTTATATAGGTAAATTGTGTGTCACAGGGGTTTGGTGTACAGATTATTTTGTCACCCAGATAATAAGCATTGTACCCATTAGGTAGTTTTTTTATCCTAATGCTCCTCCAACCCTCTACCCTCAAGTAGGCCCCCGTGTCTATTGTTCCTTTCTTTTTGTCCACGTGTATTCAATGTTTAGCTCCCACTTATAAATGAGAATATGCAATATTTGGTTTTCTGTTACCATGATAATTCCCTTAGGATAGTGGCCTCCAGCTCCATCCATGTCCCTGCAAAGGACATGATCTTGTTCTTTTTTATGGCTGCATAGTATTCCATGCGGTGTACGTACCACATCCTCTTTATCCAGTCTACCATTGAGGGGCGTTTAGGTTGGTTGCAGTTCTTTGCTATTGTGAATAGTGCTGCAATGAACCCATGCATGCATATGTCTTTATGGCAGAATGATTTATATTCCTTTGGGTATACACCAAATAATGAGATTGCTGAGTGGAATGGTAGTTCTGTTTTAAGTTCTTTGAGAAATCACCAAACTTCTTTCCGCAACAGCTGAACTAATTTTTATTCCCACAAGCAGTGTACAAGCATTGCCTTTTCGCCACAACCTCACAAGCATCGTTATTTTCTGACTTTTTAGCAATAGCCACTCTTAACTGGTATGAGATGGTATCTCATTTTGGTTTTCATTTGCATTTCTCTAATGATTAGTGATGTTGAGCATTTTTTCATTTGCTTGTTGGCAGTATGTATGTTTTCTTTTGAAAAGTGTCTGTTCATGTCCTTGCCCACTTTTTAATTGGGTTGTTTGGTTCTTGCTTTTTAATTTGTTTAATTTCCTTATAGATCCTGGATATCAGGTCTTTGTGGGATACATAGCTCACAAATATTTTTCTGCCATTCTATAGGTTGTCTGTTTACTCTGTTGATAGTTTCTTTTGCTGTGCAGAAGCTCTTTAGTTTAATTAGGTCTCATTTATCAATGTTTGTTTTTGTTGCAATTGCATTTGGCATCTTCATCATAAAATCTTTGCCATGGCTATGTCCAGAATGGTATTTCCTAGGTTATCATCCAGAGTTTTATAATTTTAGGTTTTACATTTAAGTCTTTTTTTTTTTTCTTTTTTTTTAGACGGAGTTTCACTCTTTTGCCCAGGCTGGAGTGAATGGCGCAATCTCGGCTCGCTGCAACCTCTGCCCCCTCAGTTCAAGTGATTCTCCTGACCCAGCCTCCCGAGTAGCTGGGATTATAGGCACTTGCCACCATGCCTGGTTAATTTTTTTTTGTATTTTTAGTAGAGACGGGGTTTCTCTATGTCAGCCAGGCTGGTCTTGAACTCCTGACCTCAGGTAATCCACCTGCCTTGGCCTCCCAAAGTGCTGGGATTACAGGTGTGAGCCACCATGCCTGGCTACATTTAAGTCTTTAATCTACCTGGAGTTGATTTTTGTATATGATATAAGGTAGGGACTCCAGTTTCAATCTTCTGCATATAGCTAGCCAGGTATCCCAGGACCATTTATTGAATAGGGAGCCCTTTCCCCATTGTTGATAAAGTTTGTATATTTGTTCCCACCCAAATTTCATGTTCAATTATAATCTCCAGTATTGGAGGAGGAACCCGGTGGGAGGCGATTGAATTATCGGAGTGATTTCTCAACAGTTTGGCACCATCCTCTTGGTACTAATCCTCACAATAGTGAGTGACTTCTTACAAGATCTGACTGTTAATAAGTATATGGCACCTTGCTCTCCCCTTTTCTGGCTCCTGTTCTAATGTGACATGCCTGTTCCCCCTTCACCTTGTATCGTGATTGTAAGCTTCCTGAGGCCTCCCCAGAAGCTGAGCAGATGCCAGCACCATGCATCTTGTAATGCCCACAGAACTGTGAGGTAATTAAATCTCTTTTCTTACAAATTACCCATTGTCAGGTGTTCTGTGCAATGCAGGAACAGCATAATACAGAAAATTGGTAATGAGAAGTGGGGCATTGCTATAAAGATACCTGAAAATGTGGAAGTGCCTTTGGAACTGAGTAATAGGCAGAGGTTGGAGGAGTTTGGAGCGCTCAGAAGATGACAAGAACACAAGGAAAAGTTTGGAACTTCTTAGAGACTTGTTAAGTGGTTGTGACCAAAATGCTGATAGAAATAAGGAGAGTGAAGGCCAGACTGATGGGGCCTCAAATAGAAATGAGGAATTTATTGGGAGCTAGAGCAAAGGTCACGCTTGTTATGCCTTAGCAAAAGAAGTTGGCTGCATTGTGTTCCTGCTCTAGGGATTTGCAGAAGGTTGAACTTCATAGTGATGATTTAAGGTATCTGGTGGAATCAATTTCTAAGCAGTAAAGCATTCAAGATGTGGCCTGGCTGCTTCTAACAACCTAGCCTCAGATGCTGGAGCAAAGAAATGACTTAATGTTGGAATTTATATTTAAAAGGAAAGCAGAGCATAAAAGTTTGGACAATTTGCACCCTGGTCATGTGGCAGAGAAAGATAAAGCTTTTTTTGGGAGAGGAATTCAAGCTGGCTATGGAGCAACCATTTGCTAGAGATATTTGCATAACTGAAAGGAAGCCAGGTGCTAATATACAATACACCTGGAAAAAGACTTCAAAGGCATTTCAGAGAACTTCACTGCAGCCCCTCCCATCACAAGCCCAGAGACCTAGGAGGGAAAAATGGTTTTGTGGGCCAGGCCCAGGGCCCTGCTGCCCTGCCCTGCCCAGCCTCACACACTACTCCCCACATCCTGGCCACTTCAGCTCCAGCCTCAGCTCAAAGGAGACAAGATACAGCTCAGGCGACTGCTCCAGAGGGCTCCAGCCATAGCCTTGGTGATTTCCATGTGGTGTTAAGCCTGTGAGTGTGCAGAGTTCGAGAGTGAAGAATGCTTGGTAGCTTCTGCTTAGATTTCAGAGGCTATATGAGAAAGCGTGAGTGCCCAGGCAATAGCCCGCTACAAGGGCAGAGTCCTCCCAGAGAACTTCTACTAAGGCAGTGCCAAGGGGAAATGTGTAATTGGAGCCCCCACACAGAGTTCCCAATGGGACACTGCCTAGTGGAGCTGTGAGATAGTGCCACCATCCTCCAGACCCCGGAATGGTAGATCCACCTGTAGCTTTTACCTGGTGCCTGGAAAAGTTGCAGGCATTCAACTCCAACACACAGGAGCAGCCATGGGGCTGATACCTGCAAAGCCACAAGAGCAGAGCTGCCCAGGGCCTTGGGAGCCCACCCCTTGCAGCAGTGTGCCCTGGGTATGGGACATTGAGTCAAAGGAGATTATTTCAGAGCTTTAAGATTTAGTGGATGCTCTGCTGGGTTTTGAACTTGTATGGGTCTTGTAGCCCCTTTCTTTTTTCTGATTTCTCCCTCTAGGAATAAGAATGTTTACCCAATGGCTATACCCCCATTTTATTTCAGAAATAACTAACTTGTTTTTAATTTTGCAGATTCATAGGTAGAAGGAGAAGAGTCTCAGATGAGGTTTTGGACTCAGCCTTTAGATTTTTGAATTAACACTGCAATGAATCAAGACTTTGGATGGCCATTGGGAAGTCATGATTGTATTTTTCAATGCTGTTACCAGAAAAGGGTCCCAATACAGACCCCAACAGGGGGTTCTTGGATCTCATGTGAGAAATAATTCAAGACGAGTCCACAGAGTAAAGTAAAAGCAAGTTTTTAAGAAAGTAAAGGAATAAAAGAACGGCTACTCCACAGGCAAAGCAGCCCCAAAGGCTACTGGTTGGCTATTTTTATGGTTATTTCTTGATCATATGTTAAATAAGGAGTGGATTATTCACGAGTTTTCTGGGAAAGGGGTGGGTAATTCCCAGAACTGAGGGTTCTTCCCCTTTTCAGACCTCATAGGGTAACTTCTGGACATAGCGTTTGTAAACTGTCATGGCCCTGGTGCAAGTGTCTTCTAGCATGCTAATGCATTATAATTAATAAATAATGAGCAGTGAGGATGACCAGAGGTTGCTTTCATCACCATGTTGGATTTGGAGGGTTTTGGCTGGCTTCTTTATTGCATCCTGTTTTATCAGTGGGTTCTTTGTGACTTGTGTCTTGTGCTAATCTCCTATCTCATCCCTTAGGCACCAAGAATACCTCACCTCCTGAGAATGCAGCCCAGTAGGTGTCAGCATCATTTCACCCAGACCCTATTCAAGATGGAGTTGCTCTAGTTTAAATGCCTCTGACAATATGAGAAAGACATGAGGTTTGGGAGGGTCAGAGTTGTGTATCACTACTGCTTGCTATTGGGCCAATGAGAGAAAGCAAGAGAAGACAGAAGATAGAGAGGGCCCCTTCAGGTATTCTGTGTGTGTTTTTCAAGTGTGACAAAGACCTTTTAGGACTTTTGCCTCCTCTTATGTTGCATTTCAAGCCATGATGAATGGCTTGAAACTAAACACCAGGGTATCTGAGAGATGGTCAAATGGTACTGAATAGACAACTCTGCATTTTGCATCCGGAAGGATCTTAAGAATCTCTAGTAAAGGGTATAGCAATACAAAGAATATTCTTTTCTAAAGGAGTTGAGTCTTCCTAGTGTAAAAAATCATTTGCTGCTTAAGTAGCACAAAAAGAGGCTGGGACCTTGAGCATTCCACTAGAGCACTGAGTAGGAGAGGTGTTAAAATAACATTCCCCTCCCCCATATAGCTGCCTCATAAAGTAGATTTACTCTCAGCAAACACTGAGCCAGCTTTTCAACTCACTCTCAGTCTCCAAGGAGTTCCCTATGAAATCGGGGAAAGTGTCACAGCTCAGATGAAGTCACCAAGGGAAATTTAGTCTTCTGGTCAAACTTAGGCTGCCTAATTCAATCTACCCTTCAACACTGGTGCTCAGGAACTCAATGGGATCACAGCAGAAGAAGAAACAAATTGAAACCTTATTTCCATTTGCTCTCTTGCTGATTGAGTCACTCAAAAAAATGTTTTAAAATACCAACAAATCCAGACCACGCCAGTAAGTCCCCTCTGGGTTCTTAGGTCATATGTATATAGAGGACTAATGTGAAAAGTGATTGTTGAGTCCTTCTTTTTTATTGCATTGAGCACAGATTCGTTTGACCAAAGCTTTCAGCCATGACATGATGAATATGAAGATGCTTTGCAAACTGTGAATTATAATACAAAAATGAGAAACTGAATGTAAAACACCACACAGAATGGAATACTACACTGCCCTTAAAATATACACGGAAAGAAATAGAGGTCATATGCAGTGAAGTGGAAAATACAATTGTCAATGTCATGTTTATAATATGATCCTGTTTGGGGGCGGAAGTACTGTCTGTGTGTGTGTGTGTGTGTGTGTGTTGGGGGCAGGGTTGTGTGTGTGTGTGTATTTGTAGTACATTTCCATAATAAGGTTTGAAAGCTGGAAGCCAGTTATGCACCATGGTTACCTCAGGGATGTGGACTTCAGTTGGGGAGGTCCTTAAGGATAAATTTTTGTATTGTTTGAGTATTTTCTCCACTTAGAATGCATTACTTTTGTTAGTAAACTATTTTTAAATATAAAGAATCAAATTGAAGTTAGATGTTCTCTCAAATTCACTGGTTCACAATTAAATCTGCAAAAGATTATGGCACTTATTCACTGATTTGATCAAAATAGTCTTTACTTTGCGTTTGAACGCATAGTCACCAGCTTGGTGACGACAAGAAGCTCCTATAGCAGTAACTTCCTCACTGCTAGACTGCAACTAAAATGGTGTGACCTTACAATCCATAACTGAGAGGCAACCTCCTGATCTTCCAGCTCTTCTGACTATTTCCCTGAATTGAATCCATTTCTGCTGAAAGTATCTGGGATGGTCTCTGCTTCCTAGGCTGAACTCTGATACAAGGAGAGAAAATAACTGTCCTTAGTCCCTGGAGAAACTGAGGCATTCTGGTTGAGTTCAGAGGGGAGGATATTCCTGCAGGAGGCATGGGAATAAGCAAAATTCTGGAATCATGGACTTAGATTTCTTTTCTATGATATGGTTGGAAGATATTTGGCCAGAGTAGAAAATAAGATGTTCCCAGAGGTGGTAAAAATTGAAGTTGAAAAGAAAGGTTTCAATGAGATTTTTCAGAGTACTGAATATAAAGCTAAAAATTGTGGACTATCCTTTACACGATGGGAGTGAAAAAGTTTTTTGAGGAATTCTATGATCAGGATAAACATAAGCAAGAGAAAGAGAGAGATGCTCTTTGTAAAAATGTGGCCCTGTGCTAACTTTTCCGTGGGAATTTTAAGTTCAATTTAATGGCAGTTAATGAAAGAGTACCATGTGCATGGCACTAAAGAAGTGACAATTGATTTGTTTCTTTGCCTGCTGACAGAGAGACCCAAGAAGCAGGTCTAGCAGCCTCCATAGAAGTAAGAATTAAGACTGGCAAATGTGAGCAGATCTAATGCTAATAGTGTGGTCTGGGGCAGGCTGATATCCCAATTCCGGAGACATTTCTGGATGTTACGAGGCATCATGCATTCTGGACAATGAGACAAGTTTGTGCTGCAAAGTTTGATATCAGGAGATACAAGTGCAGGGGAAGGCCTGGAGCCATAATCCCCTTCCTGAAACCTTGGGTTGGTAACTTAACCACTCCAAGCCTCACTTTCATTTTAGTGCAAATAGAAATAACACTAACTATGTTATAGTGTTGGAAGATTAATTGAAATTATATGTGTAAAGCACTTTAAACTGAAAAACATATAAAAATATAAAGTACGCAAATGTGTTTCCAAGTGGACAGACTTGCTATGTGCAAAAATTTTTCAAGAATTTCCTTTTCACAGGGTGTCAGAAGTGTTTCAGCTAGCAGAAATAAATATGCTAATTGGAAGTAGATGAATCATAATCTGTGTCTTTTTTGTGAGAGGTTAGATGTGACATGAACTATGTGAAACTAACAAAAGAGAAGCATGATTAAAACAATTAGTTGGTCAAATCAATGTATCTCAAAGAAGGCCCTGTCTGTAAACTCTCAGCTTCTCTATTTGAACACCTAACTTCACACCATATTTTCATCACATAGTCAATTCTGGAATGCTACATCTGTTTTTCCTTTTTAATTCATGTTTCTTTACATTTTATATTTAGACAATCTCTTTATTCTAAGATTAATCTATAATATTTTTCAGAATTAAAAGTAGAATTGCCACGCACACCATCATGCATGATTCCTCCAAAAGAGGAATCATATAAGATTCCTCTTTTCTGCTTCCCGTATGCCCTCATAGAGCAAGATATTGTGAGAGAAGCAAGAGGAGGAAGAAAACAGAACGGCAGCCACCAAGGAGTAATCACTCCTACCAAGAGACTGGAAGAAAGCAAGAGAAGTTAAGTGGCTTGTTCCCCTGGTTCCCTACTGGCAAGGCTGTCTTAGGCTGGATGTCCATCATTCCTAAGGGCCAACACTTCTTGCAGAATGAGCTTCTCTACAAGAGACTCTTTTTTTCTGGATTCTGCTAATCACTCTCTTCTCTCATACTCTAGGATCTAGGGATGTCAAAAACTCAACAGTTACTAAGCATGGGTTATCCTTGTTGCTTCCCTTCCCCTTCCCACCCCTCTTGTACATAGTCCTGTTATAAGTAAATCCCCCTTAAATTATCCTAATTTGAGCATACCATCTGTTTTCCAGTGAGATACTGACTGGTGGTACATCCTCACAAATAGGATGCTTCTCAATCCCCTCTTTAGACGAGACCATGGAGGATGACAGACAAGGAACAACTTCAGGGAAGGTGAATCAGAGGCCAGGGGAAAGAAATTGACAAGGAAGTTCTTCTCAAAGAGCAGAATCAGGGTCTAATCAAATAAATTTCTCTAATGTGTGCCCAGTAGAATTTAAAAATGCTTTCCATTTTTTCACTCCCTGAATAGGACTTTTTATTGTTGCTTTCTTGCCCCCCTTCCCATCTTATAAATAAGGTTTGTGTGGAAAAAGAGAAGCTAGATTACATGTCTTTTTAATTCACAGGTAATCAAATCAAAGCAGCCAAGTCGTATTCAGGCTTGACAGAGGTAAGGCAGCACCACCAGGAGGCCCCAGACAGAATGACATGGCTGTGTCCTTTTACAGAGGGATGAGTGTGGTTAGTGTATGAGCAGAAGGGAGCTAAAAGATATTTTGTGACCGGGAGTTTAGACTGTGGCAGGTACTGTGAGTGCCCATGAATATCTGTCTTTTTTCATTTCCTGGTACGTAACTGGATTGTATTTCCTAGACGTTCCTGCAGTTTGATGGGACTGAGTTCTAATCTCTGAGTATGAGAGAAAGTGAAATGCAACACTCCCAGGCCTGGCCCATAAAAATTTTCCACAGTCAAATCTTCTTTATCTTCTTTATCCATCTACTACCTACATGGAGGAAACTACAAGAACCTGGAAGAGGTCAAGACATTAAAAAAAAAAAAAAAAAAGCCCAGTCTTTTAAGGACTACCTGGAGCTGAGCCCTCCCAACAACTGGCATCAGACTGAGATATGAATGAGAAAACAAACATTTACCGTAAAGCCAGTGAATTTGGGAAAGTTGTCTCTTAAAGTAGCTGGCATTATTTACCATAAGGAATACAATGAGTCAGAACATGTTCAGCTGCAAGTGTCAAACAACTCAACCTAAACTGGTTTAAAGCAAAATAGAATTTATGAGCTAACATAATGGGGAGTCCAGTGGTAGGGAACCCTTTTAGATACTACTTGAGGCAGAATCTCACTGTCAGCCAGACATGATTCTCTCTGTATCTCAGCTTGATGTGGTTCTGTTCTCTGCATTGTGCTGTTTTCTGTCTTTGGCTCTCCTTCTCCATTACATGATGGCTGCAACAGCTGCAGAATTCACAATCTCACTGCTTGGTTTTCATGCTCAGCCTCCTTTCACTGGCCTGAAATGGTCCAACTTTGGCTCAGCCACCTTTATTGGTCATGGGTGGGAACAGGCTGATTTATGAGGTCCCTTCGGGGCTCCCAGAAAGTAAATGTGATGCCCTCTAAAACCACATAATGGGAGTTCAGATTGGAGGAAAAGATAATTCTCAAAGGAAAGTCAGGGTAGTTCTTTCCTGGTAAGAGGTATGTGACAAAAACTATAAATGCCCACTGCATTCTCTTTCTTCCAATTCTTCCCTTTTGTCTCTCATTGTTATTAAGCAACAATAAAAACATTTTCTTTTATCTCTCTGCTTATTTTTAATACACAGCCCTTTTATACCCCTAATTATGGTTGATATGAGTTTGAGAAAAACCATAAATTTTGTAGTTAGATTCAGCCTAATGAAGGGAGATGCCATTAATTTATAGACATCTTAAAAGATACCTGTCAAAAGGAAATTATCTCTTATAATTAAATTCTTTTCCCTTCAAATACATACATTTAATGTAAAATGTTTTCAAACTGCTTCTAATTTTTCTCATATTTTTAATCTGTTTAGTTTAATTCCTAGTCTTGTATTAATAACAATATTGTTTGTTACTATTTTCATTGCCAATTTAAGCTACATTGTGAGCTAAATAGACTTTTGTGAACTGGTCTAGGAACCTTACAACTATTCATAACATTGTTACAATGGGGAGATGTATTCTGAGTTTCAGTCAATTTTTAAATATTCTTTTAACATAAAATTCATTTATAAACACAAGACTCTTTCATTTATCTTTTGCTATGTAATAAACCACCCTAATACTTTGTGGCACCAAACAGATATTTTTATCTCTCATGGTTGCTTGAGTTGTCTGCTCAGTTTGGTGTCTCTTGCTTGAGGGCATGTCATGTGGTTACAGCCAGGACCGCAGGCATCTGAAGGCTCAGCTAAGTTATTAATAGATGTTTCACGTAGCTCACTCAAATGTCTCACACTAGCCATCATCTGGTAGATGAGCTGGGGATGTTGCAGGAGTACCTTCCGATGGCCACTCCATGTGATTTGGGCTTCTCAAAGTGTGGCAGTAGGCTCTGGGAGACAGAATCCAGACAGTGAGAGCTCCAAGTGACCCAGGTACAAACTACATGGCTTTCTATCACCTGGCCTCAGAAGTCCCTGAATGCATTTCCACCACATTCTATTGGTAAAGAAAGTTAACAAGGCCCACCTAGATTGTAGAGGAGGAAAATTAGACTCCACCTCACAATTTGCAATATAGCAAAGAGTTTTCAGGCATTTTTGTTGCACCAGAGAGCCTATCAGGATCTCTTCAGATGTAGCATAGATGAAATAGCTAAAAGTTGGACTACCTCTGTTCATATTTAGACTTTATTCCTTGTTGATGTTGAGTAAATTTCTTAACCTTCCATGCCTTGGCATCTTCATCTATAAACTGGGGATAATACAGACCTATATGGTAGGATGGTTTGAAAATAATAAGTAAGGTTTTAAAAAATACTTGGTTCAGTTCTTGGCAAATGTTGTCTATCATTATTAACATTATCTGGGTTTAAAGATGATGTTTTAAGGCAAGTGTATCAGGGGGTCTTCAGGAATCCATGGAAAAGGTGTATTATGAAAAAACTGTGTGAATCTCAAAATGTTTTGGCACAAAAATAAACTCATAGTAATTTGTTATAACATGTCTAAACAGTAGCTAGTTTCAGGCACTAAAAAGGATAAGACATAGTTTGAAAAGGCTCCATATCAAAGCAACATGATTTATCTTGAAGCAAGAACAAACATCACATTTATGATGATACTTGGGTGGAAGAATGGTGAAATCATTGATGCTTTAGAAAAAGCTTATCAGAACAATACTTCAAAGAAAACAGCAGTTTACAAATGGATAACTCATTTTAAGAAGGGACCAGATGATGTTGAAGATGAAGCCCACACCAGAAGACCATGTATATCAATTTGGAAGCAAAATATTAATCTTGTCCAAGCCCTAATTGAAGAGGACTGGTGATTAATGGCAGAAATAATAGTCAACACCATAGACATCTCAGTTGGCTCAGCATTCACTATTCTAACTGAAAAAGTAAAGTTGAGCCAACTTTCCCCTGGATGTGTGTCAAAATGGTTGCACCCAGATGAGCTGCAGACAAGAGCAGGGCTTTCAACAGAAACTGCAAACAAGTGGGATCAATGTCCTGAAGCATTTCTTCAAAGATTTAACAGGAGATGAAACTTGGCTTTACCAGTACAATCCTGGAGACAAAGCAGAATCAAAGCAATGGCTACCAAGAGGTGGAAATGGTCCAGTCAAAGCAAAGGCAAACCATTCAAGAGCAAAGTCCATGGCAAGAGGTTTTTGGGGATGCTCAAGGCATGTCACCTATTGATGTTCTGCCGGACCAAAGAACAGTAACATCTGCTTATTATGAGAATGTTTTGAGAAAGTTAACCAAAGTTTTAGCAGTAAAGCCCCTGGAAAGCTTCACCAGAGTCCTTCTGCACCATGACAGGGTGCCTGCTCGTGCTTCCCATCAAACAAGGGCAATTTTGTGAGTTTCTATGGGAAATTATTAGGCATCCACCTTCCAGTCCTGATTTAGCTCCCTCTGGCTATTTTTTGTTTCCTAATTTTGAAAAATCTTTAAAAGGCATAAATTGTTCTTCAGTAAATACTATAGTGAAAAGACTACATTGGCATAGTTAAATTCCTAGCACCCTCAGTTCTTTAGAGATGGACTAAATTATAACTTGCAAAAGTGTCTTGACCTTGATGAAGCTTATGTTAAGAAATAAAGTTTATATTTTTTATTTTTATCTTTTAATTCTATTTTCCATAAATATTTTCAAGTCCCCTCTTATTTGAGTGTGGCGTCATTTCTACGGAGCTCACCCAAGAACGTAAGATCTTTTTTATTTAAGACTGTGAGCAGAGCATGACACAATTTTTGACTGCCTTTTAAAAACAAAACAAAACAAAACAAATCTTAGGGACTGGGCATCAATTCTTCTACTTCCGTCTCGTGATGGAGCTACTTCGATTGCTATTAGTCACATTTGAAGTGAGATACACAAATGCTTTTTGCATAAGCCGGGCTGTTACTATCTTGCTTTTGGTTGGTTACTGGAATGCCATTCATATATCTTCCCTGTCTCCTAGCAGGGAAACTAAATTTGTTTATCATGCAGGCCAGTGGATCTCTTCTACTACTAAATTTGGTGAGTGATAACAGAGGAACTAATTTTTTAGAGGCAAATTAATTTACATGTTCTATTCCACATCACATCTTCTAGGATAACTGCTGTTTAAAATAAAGATTTATTTTCAAGTGAGAACGAAGAAAATATGTTTATGGCATGATGAATTATTTTAATACATATTTTTAAATAGAAAGTAGTGTATAGATTGTTTTTCAATAAGTGAATAATTAGAATTAGCTTCTTTATAAAAAGATACAAGATTTCTATCATAACCTTTTTATCAGTTCTTAAATGGGGCATCCCATGAAAATTATCAGGCTAATACAAACACGTTAGATTTTTATTTTGGCCAAAAGAACTCCGAATAGCAGTTCTACAAACCAAAAAAAAATTTGGCAGAACAGATTGTAGAAATTATAACTAAGCTACAGGACATTTTCTATTTCTAGAAGAAAATGTTACTTGTATCCAAGGAGCATTGTTGTTTCGGGTTTAGGCTCCCTTTCCAAAGAAGTCTGGAGTTTTTTTCATCTCAGCCTACAGAAGAGAGTAGTTAGGTGCTGGGACAGCTTAAAAGACTGCCTTTTTGGATCAAGTATAAAGGGAATGTGAGCCTTCTGGGACTTGGGCAGAGTACATTGCTCAGGTCATCTTGACCTCCAGGGATGACTAGTACTGTTTCTCCCATAAAAGCTGTTTTCCCTGAGCTCTCAAGGGACAGAATGTCAGAGCAAGTAGGGTCCAGAGAGCCCATAGATGATCCCTGTTATTTTACAACTGGGGAAACTGAAATCAAAACTGGAAAGTTAATTATTTGTTGCCTATTTGTAGCAGTGTCCAGGTATTAGACTTCAGCGTTATTCTCTTTCCAGTAGACTAGGAAGCCCTCAGGTAGTCTGTACCCACTGCCATAATGCCACGAGAGTATCTTAGGTTGAATATCTATTGTGACCCAGGGCATCAATAAAAGATTATTGGGGAGACAGACTTCACTCAACTGGAACTTGTACATTAGCTCTAGGGACTGGTTTTCATTTCGGCCAACTCTCGCATTGCTATTAAGTCACATTCAGAGTCCCGTTCTCGCTAAGATTGAACTTTCTCTTAACCTTAGGAAAAGCAAACAGTGCATTAGAGGGTGTTCTTCTATATACCTTTAAATAAGGTCATCCCCTTTATTCATTTACTCACACATCCATGCATTTATTCACAGATATTCATTCAACATATACTCTATGCCAAGCACCACGTGCAGCACTGGGAAAGTAGCACACACAGTCCTGTCTTTATCACCCATGGAAAGTGAAAACATGTTTAACCCTAATCAAATTTCAAATATACACAGTTCTTATCTTATCTGACTCACCTTTTCACACTCTTAACATTGTCTTTAATGAAGAAAGTTCATAATTTTAATAGAAGTATGTTATCAATCTTTTCTTTTACGGTCAGTGTTTTTGTTGTTGTTTTGTCCATTTTAAAAATTGAGCAAAAGATGTGAACAGAAACTTTGCAAATGAAAATATCGAATGGAAAATGAGCACATGTAAAGATGTTCAGCATTATTAGCTAGCAGAGAAACGCAAAGTAAAATTTTAGTACAATACCAATGCGCCTCAACCTGAAGGGCTAAAATTTAAAAATTACAACTGACAATACCAAGTACTGGTGAGAATGTGAAACAACTGGGACCTTCATACATTACTTGGTGTCAGTGTAAGTTGGTATAGCTACTTTGGAAAACCATTTGACAGTCTACTAAAACTAAATATATGTGACTTTATATCCCAGAATTCCACTCCTACATATGTATCCCAGAAAAATAAACATTTATGTTTACCAAAAGATACACAGAAGATTGCTTATGGCAGCATTACTAAGGATATCAAAAATCTGGCAACAACGCAAATGTTCATTAAAAATACAACATGTAAATACATTATGCTATATTTATACAAAGTAATACTGTACAATGGTGAAAATTAGTGAATCCATGCACCAACAAGATGAATCTCTTAGGATTTATGTTGAGTGAAAAACTCAAAACACTGAACAGTATATCATGCATTGTTTCATTTACATAAAGTTCCAAAGCAGATTAAACAAATCTACAGTGCCAGATATCAGAATAATGGTGTTATCAACTGGGAATCCTAGAAGTTGGCATAGATTCTGAATATGTTCTATGTTTCAGTTTGGATGGTGGGCATATGGATATATACAAATGTAAAAAATTCTTTGAATTGCACAAGTAAGGTTTATATACTTTACGTAAGCTATATCTCACTAAGAAAGAAAAACAAAATACATGTTCTTAAGAAATTACAGAAAGTGAACAAAGGAATTCGCAGATGCTACATAACTTATAGAGGTTTGCTGAGTTGTTACACACTTTAGTATCTTTCTCCCAATTCATCCATGGACAAATGGTCAATTGACCTCTGTTTATGGTGCAGACACCTGAGTCTCACCTACCCTTCTATTAAGTCATTTGTGTTACCATCATAAACATCAGTAAATGTCTACTAACCATCTCACTCATAATGTCCTATTTATGGGGTTTGGAGTTTTCCAATGTTGCAATGAAAGTGTCAAGGAAATAGTCTCTCATTACATATTTTCCCTGAATGTATTGTGGGTCTGAGTGAAATATAAAAGATGCCAGTTAAACCACTTTCTAGAGCCGCTGAAGGGGGCTTCCTCAGAATTGTGCCGTATTTGCTGAACTGTCATTTCCTACTACATTTAGACAAACTCGTGTTAATGCTTAGTTCAAGGATTCATAGGTTTTTGTGATTGTAATAGCAAATCATAATTTAGTTTGTGTATAATTCTTACCAATCTTGTAAAATTGCCTCATCTTAATTTAATGTCTCAAATTAATTATAATTGAATCAATCAGCATCTGAGAATTTCGAGAGTTTTTGTAACATCTCTTGGAAGAATTAATGTCTCCTGCAGGGTGTTGTGAAACAAGGGATTTTAATCATTAACAGCCTTTTCTCACCTTTAAGTGTGCTGCAGATTCAAAGTATATATCTCCAAAGTAAAATCTAGACTTCGGCTCACTATAAAAAAAAAAAATGTGTGTGTCCCATCCCACCAGCTGACAGTGTTTCAAGCTATTAATAGGCTGATCCTTGTATACTTGTTTCTCTGATATTTTTAGAGTCTGCATTGGAGTGCATTAAACTGTTTTTTTCCCTCTTCTTAAAGAAGTAATTATTGAGACTAGATTCTGCCAACAACATCATGCAAAATAAAATAATAGCTTGGAATTGTTTAGGACTACAATATTACTACTTTCACATTGTTACCATGAAGAGTATTTTTAGTGGTTTCTTTCATGTAAACAGAGCATTCTATGTAGCCCATCATTACATTAGTTTATGTTTACTGTACTTCCCTTAAAATTGCCTTTGTAGGGGGTACACAATGCATATTTTCTTTCAACAAGGGAATACAATGCACTGGAAAGTCAAATCAAGAGAAAACCACTTTAGGAAATGATCACAGCCAAACGTATGAAATTACACCCACTTCACTAATTACCGCTAATCTAATTTTATTTTTAGCTTCTAAGACAACACCCTGAAAATACACTTCTCCTAGATGACCTATATAAAGTTATTTTACAATCCCAATGAAAGTAACCTAGTAATAGTGTCAAAGACAAGGAGAATCTACCTTTGGAATAAGGGCTTTTTTTTTTTTTTTTTTTTTTTGAGACAGAGTCTTGCTCTATCCCCTACCCCAGGCTGGAGTGCAGTGGCACCATCTCGGCTCACTGCAACCTCTGCCTCCCAGGTTCAAGTGATTCTCATGCCTCAGCCTCCCAAGTAGCTGGGATTACAGGTGCATGCCACCACACCCAGCTTATTTTTGTATTTTTAGTAGAGACGGGGTTTCTCTGTGATGGTCAGGCTGGTCTCGAACTCCTGACCTCAGGTGATCTGCCTGCCTCAGCCTCCCAAAGTGCTGGGATTCCAGGCATGCGCCACCACAGCCAGCCGAATAAGGGTTTTTAATCTGAGGCTGGACACCATGGCTCATGCCTGGAATCCCAGCACTTTGGGAGGCTAAGACAGGAGGATTGCTTGAGCCCAGGAGTTCAAGACCCACCTGGGCAACATAGTGAGATCTTATCTCCATAAAAAATTTAAAAATTTCTCAGACATGTTGGCACACACCTGTGGTCCCAGGTACTCAGGAGGCCAGCAGGCCGAGGTGGGAGGATCACTTGATCCCAGGAGGTTGAAGCTGCAGTGTACCATGTTCATACCACTGCACTCCAGCCTAAGCAACAGAGCGAGACCTTGTCTCAAAAAAGAAAAAAAAGAAAAAGAAAAGAAAAAAAGTGTATTTAATCTGACTCTCTACTTACAACACATCACCTCTGCTGCAGTCCTTGATAAGATGTTACCTATAAGTCTATGCCAAGGATACATGGTGTTAATAGGCCCATATGCCAGTCCTGCAGACCGACTCCCAGAGAGTAGTTTGGTCATATAAAGAAGGACTCAAATTTTAAGAAGGATAAAGTTCTGACCCATGAGATAACTTTTGAGTTAGGCTTCTTGGGATTCAGAAACTGACTTAGCATTTCTGAATCGTAGCATTTCTAGGTCTTCAAAAAATTCTTGTCAAAGAAAATATATTTTTATGGCACTTAATAGCATATTTACTATCAGGTTGGTACACAAGTAATTGTGGGTTTTGCTATTGCAGTAATGGCAAAAATTACTTTCTTTCAAAACTCAACTAAAATGCAAACAACTTCTTCATGTTCCTCCCCTCCTTAATCTCAAAAGGATTAGATGTTCTGTGTTGGATTCTGATAGGAACCTAAGAAACTCTGCATTTAGTAGTAATAGAATTAATTATAATCGTGTGTGTGTTTGTGAATATGTGTCTCTGTATGTGTTAGTATCCCCCTAGAACTGCTCAAAGTCCAGTGTGGTTGCCACTTGCAATACTCAGCATTTATGTGAATTTGAATTTGAATTTGAATTTATTAAAATCGAAAACATAGTTTCTCAGTTATACTATTCTCTTATGGATAGTGGCTACTCTTTCTGACACTGAAGAACGTTCTGTGTGATAGCACTGCTCTCCAGAGTGAGCATTGTGGGGCAGACAGTATTTCTCATGTGTATCACAATGCTTAGCACATAAGAGGTTAGTAAGTGATTGATGATTGAATAAACAAGTAAATGCTTTTTATGTAGCAGGCAATAAATAATATTTATTAATAAAGGAATTCAATGAATAATTACCTAAAGCATTGCTGACTTTGATCTCCTGATTTTCAACCTTTCTCTGTTTTTGATGCCTTAGATCACATCTCTTTTCTTGATTAATGACATTTCTTAATTAATGTTCCTTCTTTATTCTAACCTCTTTGAATCTACAGTCTAAGTGTCTCAGATAGTGATCTTTGCCAATAATGTTACTGTACTTAGTCATGTTTTTCCTTTGCTAAAATATCTTACGGTGGGACTTGTGCTTCAGGCCACATTGGAATAGATGACACCAGACAATCTCTCATCATATACAACTGGAAAATGAAACAATATTTAGAAAACATTCATTTGCCAAAATTAGACAAAGGACAGAATGAGATTCTGATCCTGGAGAGTAAGAAAACAAATAAGGTGATCAAGTTTTTCCTGGAAGAACTCCAAGACCATGGTGAAAGGAGATGGATCCCAAGCAGAGAATGGCAGCCTGTATTCTGACAAGCCAAGGTGATGAGATCTTGTTGAAAACCCAAGGCCTTGAACAGAGGCACCAGAATGTCACACCTTCGTTGCATGGATAAACTATCTCTAGAGTGAAGGCTACTCTGGACTCATCCTGGCAAAGCTTACACCTAAGCCTCAGATGCGTAAGTGGATCTAAAAATAACTTGTTTGCCAAAATAAATGCCAATGCCTTTAAAAAAAAATTTAGACACCAAACAAAAATTTAAAATTTCTAGACACATGAGGAAGCAGGAAACTGTGACCCTAGATTAAAATAAATAAATAAACAGAAACAGGCATGGAAATGTCAGGGATGAGACACAATGGGATTAAGAGATAAGAATTTTAAAACAGCTATAAAAATGCTAAGGATTTAAAAAAAAACTATTAATGAGAGGCCAAATTAAAGCAATAAAAATTACCAAATGGGAATTCTCTAGTTTAAATATACAACATTGAGAATTAAAAATTCACTGAATGGACTTAAGAGTGCATTGACTACTACAGAAGAAAAGAACAATGAACTCGAACACATATATTAGAAACTATCCTGTTGAAGCATAGAGAAACAGAGAAAGGGTAGGTGCATGCACACACACACACACACACACACACACACACACAAAATGAACAGAAATCAGTGACCCTGACACAACAGTAGATAGCCTAATATATATGTTACTATGTAACCGTATCTTTAAAAGGGGTGGTTAGAGGCTGTAACATATTTGAAAAAATAATCGCTGAAAAGTTTCCAATTTTGATGAAAACTATAAAGCAACAGATTCTGGATACCCAGCAAATATGTAGCAGGATAAACAAAGAAAACCACCTCAAGGTATGTCAGAATCAAATTGATGTAAACCAATGATATTGAGAAAATTATAAAAGAAGACAGAGGGGAAAAAAGGCAACATTGCATACAAAGCAATGAAGATAAGAATGACTCCTTAAAGCTGGGTGCGCTGGCTCACGCCTGTAATCCCAGAACTATGGGAGGCAGAGGCGGGTGGATCACGAGGTCAGGAGATCGAGACCATCCTGGCTAACACGGTGAAACCCCATCTCTACTGAAAATACAAAACAAAATTAGCAGGGTGTGGTGCCGGGCGCCTGCAGTCCCAGCTAATCGGGAGGCTGAGGCAGGAGAATGGCGTGAACTCGGGAGGCGGAGATTGCAGTGAGCTGAGATTGCGCCACTGCACTCCAGCATGGGCGACAGAGGGAGACTCCGTCTCAAAAAAAAAGAATGACACCTTGAAAACAATGCAGGCCAGAGGACAATAGACTGAGAAGTTTCGTGTGTAGGAAAAAGGTAATCATCAACCTCAAATTATATGAAAGTAAAATACATAGCTGTTCACTTAAAAAAAGTTGAGAGAGTCAATGGCCAGTAGATCTGCACTGAGAGAAATATTAAAGAAAATTCTTCATGCTGAAGGAAAATGAAACCAGATGGAAATTTAAATCAACAGAAAGATATGTACAGGGAAATAGAATTAATAAATACACGAGTAAATATAAAAGAGATTTTTCTCAATTTAAATGTCTTTCAAAGATAATTGACTACATAAAGCAATAATAATAATGTGTTTTAGGGTTTGTAACACTCACAGATGTCAACTATATGACCACAATAGCACAAAAGATGAGAGGGAAGAAAAATGAAAGCAAGGCTTTTCGGTAAAACAGTATTAATATTCTTCAAAGATAGATTGTGATGTTAAAGATACATATTATAAACTCAGAAGAGACCACTGGAAATAAACTAAAATGATATAGCAATCAAAACCATGGAGAAGATAGAATGGAACACTAAAAATAATTAAGTAAAAAGAGAGGGGCTAGGAAAGGATGTAAAAAGCAACAAAGAATAGGTAGAAAACTAGAAAATAAATAGCAGAATGGTAGATTTTAAAACCAGGCAATTTGATGTTATTTTAAATATAAATCATGTAAAAAGAAGAATGGTTAAAAAGAAGAAGCTGTCTTAATGGATAATAAAGCAAAACTAAACTAAATACTGCTTGTCAGAAATGCAGTTTAAAAATAAAGATATAGATATGTTAAAAGAAAATACCATAACCCAAGTCAAGACTATTTTTAGGAATGCAGGATCCTCTTGTAGATTTTATTTCTGGCCAAGGTGCATTCCTGAGGCCCAGACACATCCCTCCTATCCCTTTGGCTTGGCAGTTTAAAATTTCCATAGATTTCACCATTCTTTAAATGCTCGCTTTGCCCAAGTTATTAAGATTTGGTTTCTTTTCCATGAGACCAAAATCCAAGTAATATAGAACGTTAGGAATGTCTACCCACACAGATTTAGGCCCTAACAAAAAGAGTGTTGCCCTGGCTCAAGTCCACCACTTCTACTGTGAGATGTGTAGAGAATCACTTTCCTAGATGACTGTGCTCTTAAATCATCACAAATAAACCATATTCATTAACACATGAGTGGTTCGATTTCACTTGTAGGCCTTTCTGCCTTTTGGTCCTATGGAAGGGGTAAAGAGCCGTAGAGATTATGGTTAAGAAAATGGTCTGTGATGAGCTTTGACAAATGATGATTGGGTAAGTAAACATGTTATGACAATGCAATTATTTTCTAACAACACTTAATGCAAGTGTGACATTAAGACCAGAGTGATTCATCATTAACTTAAATAAATTAATTTGGACATTTTGAAGAAAAATCAGAAGAATACGTAAAAAGATAATATTTTAAACTAAAGTGGCTTTGAAAGATTAAATTAGGCTGAATGAAAACTCTCAGATAATAAAGCCAATTTCAGAGGCAATAGCAGAAATCCAGCTGAACCCTTACATTTTTGTTCACTTCCACAAGGGAATTTATTAACAGAGATTTATAGCCATCCTTGGTGATGATGTAATCAACTTACCATTTGTTGATGGGCAGATAATTGCATTCAAATATAAGAGTAGTAATGCTCTAAAGCTACCCAAAGTGTATCACAGGTGCAGCTACTAAACCCAGCACTCCAGAAAGTGAGTGTTCATGGGCCCTATGCTTATAAAGGTAGAAATTTGGAAAGGACATAGAAACATAAGGGAGAAAAAGAAAATGCACACAGTCTTATATTCTTCTATACTAGTAGGATAATAATAGTAATTACCTCAAAATGTTGCTGTGAAAATTAAGAGAGATAATTTATGTTAAAATCTGAAACATAAGAGGCCCTCCATAAATGTAAGCTATGCTTATTATTAATGTGTCATCTAGTGTCATATAATAGTCTTAGTTTAACTTCCCAGAAGCAAAGGTAGGATAGCGAACAAGGTTGTACAGAGGGTAACGTTGGCTCAATCCACAGGACAGAGAGCGATGTCCCAGTCTGGACAAGGGAGATGGAATATTTACACCATGTTTCCATCAGTCATTGGTTAAAAGCTACCCCTGAGGCACCTACATTCCCAGGCACTTCTGGCAAAGCAGGGTCTGCAGCCAGCCTGGCAGAAGACTTTCAACAGAGACACAGGTGCTGGCTTTGGGAGGGAAAGCACACTGGGGATGGTGTGCACAGAAATGGTGAAGAGATCTGAGGGATACGGATGGAGCGTCTACTACAATTTCCTTTCAGTTTCTTTTCTCTGCTTGCTTATTTTGTTTGTTTATATAGTTGAAAGAACATTATAAAATACATTATATTCCTCATGGAATGTAATATCCACAACGGAAGAGCTTTTTGGTTTTTGGGTTTTGGTTTCGTCCCCGGTAGTACTCCTTGACCTGGAACAACGACATGGCTGGCATTCAATAAATATTTGTTGAATAAATACAACTTTGTGATCTGCATTTATGGTTCAACATTATATGGTGAAAATCTCTTTCTGAAAATACAGTTCTTATTTTTGTAAAACTTTCCTCAATACAGCACTCCTAGTTTGTATAACCATTTAGATTTTATATCACTTTTAGCTATCATAAATGCTGTTTTCACAAACTTTCTCGATACAGTCACAGATATAGAATTACTGGGTGAGACCATACTCATGATTTTATAAAATGTGGCTTTTCTTCTCTCAGATATTTTGACAAGCATGATCAACAGTATTGACTCTGAGGTGACCCTGAACTAAATCATTGGCAGCTGAAAATATTAGGCAGATCATATTCTTAACTCAGCCAATTCACTGTAAAGCAATAAAGTTGTCAAAACTTCTGGTCAGAAGAGGGTCTTGAACTTTCAGTGTATTATATATTTGGAACAAATATGACACATGTCTTAATGACCATCAAGTGTCAAGTCCAAATGCTAGGTAGGACTATTTTGATAGTCCTCTGTCCACAGGCATCAAAGCCACACAGGCCAGCAGCTCAGTGTGCCTGAACTGGTTATGTGAAGACACCCACTGACACCAGGATTCCCAAGTATTTCTTGTTTGATGAGCAGAGAAGGACAGTATTGCATACTGAAAATGCTGGAGCTTCGTGTCCCTGAAGACAGTGGTGTGTGATTGGCGGTTTCAGGTCACTCTGATTGTATATTGACTCTGTCCTTTTGATAGCAGCTGCCAGATACCACTTGCAGAGTTTACATCCTGGCATCTTCTCCGCCAGGTCAGCATGACATTTTTGTTCAAAGGGAGTCATCCCATCTCGGCCTGCTGCATACCACTGGGCTCTGGTGGCTTCGACTCTTTCCCTACCTATTGGAACCTCTGAGCTGTTCCATTTCTTTCCCGATATGTGCGTGGCTCCATTCATTCAACAATGCAGACACATTTCTGTGAGTTGCATGTCAGATATCCAACCCCCAGCAAAATCAGGAATGCTACCTTAAAAGAAAAAAAAAAAAGCTATCTATTCTAAGAATGCCTTTCAATTAAAATGTAGGCTAGATTTTCTGGCAGCAGTAGAGAAATTAACCAAACTAATTTCATTTTCAGACATCTTATTTTTCAGACTTATGTTTCAGAATCTAGCAATTTATATTTTGAAGTCCTTGAAAATAGGAACTGTCATATACCATTTTTATGCATATATGCAAACATAGCGTCTATAGTGTTTTGCATATGAGAAGCTCCTTGTAAATACGTTTCAAGTGAAACAGCTTAATTAAAGTTTTTTATTTGTTAAAAAAAACTGGATTCCTTTGTGAAATGTGGGCAAAACAGACAGCTGGATGACTGATATTTTTCACTTTTCAGAAAGTACTGGCTTTGTGTCGAAAGGACTTTGGTCTTTTAGGTCTAATTCCATCTGCGGCACTCTAAGCACTATTTCAATTGCCCCTTTCAACCGGCCTCGAAAAATTCCATGAAGTTGAGTCCTGGCTAAGCTTTTAGATTGCTTTATGGCATTCTTTCCTTTCTTTGCACAGGTTGTCAGCATGTACTTTTTCTAAGCTTAAATAAACTACTTCTTTGCTTATAAGAAGTCATGTACAGTATATTGTACTTCTCAAGGGTAATATTCATCCTTCTGGATATATTCCCCAAATGAGAGAACTGTAAACATCTGTTTCTGGCAAGCTAAGAAAGAGAAGCGATGTCAGAGCCAGCAACTTGCTTCCTATGGGAATAATTTCGGGTTTGTACACCTCCTTGACTGTTAATTTATAAACATGCTAACTATATTATTCTCCCCATCAAAAATTCATGCCAGCTTTGAGCAGTCTTATGGAAACAAAAACAACATATAATAATCTAGAATCAAATTCTCAAGTTTCCATTAAGTGGAGTAGAGGTCAAGGAAAATTTAGCAAATGTTATATTGTCTCATGCATTGCAAATCTAAATTATGTACAAATAGCATAAATAGAGTTTATACTACAGAAGTAAATTATCTTGCTCATATCATCTCCAGATAGAATAAGAAAACCCAGACAGAAGTGGCCAGCAACTAGTGATACTGGTTAGAAAGGGGCTGGAAAGCTGAGTGTGCAAGATGAAGTCTGATTATTGAGGACCAGATCACTACTAAATTGTGAGAGCAGCCAGGATTTGAAACCCTGGGTCTGGGCCAGGTGTGTGGAGCTTGCAGGTCTTGGTAACCAAAGAAAGACAAAGGAAATAAAGGCCAGAAACCAGTCAAGGAAAGTCTGAGCAGACAGTTTTCTTAGAAATGAAGCAATAGAGAAGGCGAGGGAGTTTGAGGCCATATAAGTTTTTTAATTAGTTAATTTATTTTTTAATTGACAACCAAATATATATATATTTATAACCTACAACATGATATTTTGATATATGTACACATTATGTAATGGCTAAATAGAGCTAATTACCATCAAGTTTCTAACTGAAACAGCAAAGTCGGTTTGATTCTAACACTATGATTTTTTTTTTCTAATGGGGCATGATCATAGGAGCGAAAAGGAAGAGGCAATGGCAGCTAGAGCGAAAGTGAGATGCTCTTTGGGACACATCAGAACTAGAAACTAGACACAGTGGGAGAGAGGGCCAGACTTGGAGTATCAACAGTCTCTTGGAGGAGGTCCCAGCAGCTGGGGAAGTCCAAAAAGATGGCAGAACCTGCCGTCCAGGGGACTTGGCGACAGGTAGAAGCTGGAGGTCCAGGTGGGCAGGTGGTGCATATAGGAGGGCCAGAGGTGAGCAGTACCTGGCTCCCTGGCAGGTGGGCAGAGCACAGGAAAAGGGCATGTTGACAGTAGCAGATAGAGTCCCAGGCGTGAAGAAAAGGGATCAAATGGACACTTCCGTCTTTAAAACAATTGCAGCTGGCAGGAAGGAACACAGGGAAAAAATGAGAGAGAAGACAAGTACCTGTTTCTTGTAGCCAAGGCACGAAGCTGGGCCTAGACACGTGGAAACAAGGAAAATAAATATTCAGGATCAGAGAGGGGCAAGAAAGAAGGCAAACTTGACGTAAATCCTTAGCACTAGAGATGCTTTGCTTTCTCTTATCCAAGGACCAAGGGAATCACAGAAACTACAGCAAGAGGTACCTTTTGATTGTGAGGGTAGAAAAATTGTTAAGAGGCCCCAGACACAGAGTTGGGAGATGCAGGATGCAGCGAGACAGATAGTACACAGACCTAAAGTGGAACAGGGATAGGAAATAGAGCCAAGAGGAAGTCTTACAGTGTCCCCCTAATGCAATGGTGTCCTCAGTTCTAATCTGGATCCCAGATTTGTAGCAACAGATGCAGTGGAGTACTCAGGAATTTGCAGGAGCATATGTGCAATCTCTGGGTTCCTGTTGTTTTTCTGTTGGTATCTTTCTAATTTATGCTGAAAAGTGGTTGATTTAAAACATGTCCTCAAACTCTTTCACACTCCTTCTATCAAGAGGTGGAGCCGAATTCCTCTCCCTTTGAATATAAGTGGCCATAAGAGACCTGCTTCTAAAGAATGGAATGTAGAAAGGAGTGACACTGCACGATTTCCCAGGCTATGGTAGAAAAGTTGATACAGATTCCTTCTGGCTCACTCTTGGAGCTTTTGTGTTTGAAAACTACTCTCTGTGCTGTGAAGGCCAAGTCGCATGGAGAGGTCAGCTGTGGTTGTTTGATTACAGTCCCCACTGAGGTCCCAGCTAACAGCTAGCATCAACAACTAGACATAAGTGAAGAAGTCTCTGAGATGACTCCAGATTCAGCCACCATCTGATTTCAGTTACATGTGAGATCCTGGTAAGATCTGTCTAGCTTAGTTCGGTCAACCCTTAAAACCATAAAATCACAATGATGATGATGATGATGAATAACTTGTTTTACACCATGAAATTTGGAATAACTTATTACACAGCAGTAGATAACTAGAATGATTTGGATACCTTAAACGGGGGTGCTAATGTAACAATAACTGAAACATGGGCATTGGCTTTGGGACTAAACCATAGGCAGATGCTAGAAGGGCCTTGAGGAGGCTGCTGGTGAGGGAATAAAGGAAAGTGAGGAGATTGATTATTGGATGCTGATGGAAAGATACTTGCTACATAGCAGCAAAACTTTTAACAGCACTGTTGCTTACAGTAATATAAAAAATAGAAATGTACCCAATGAGTTAGATAATTTAGCTAAAGAGGTTTCCAGAGTGTGAAAGTTGCCTCCCAGCTTCTCTAGCTGCCCATAATAAAATGAAACAGGAGAGAGATGAACTAAAAGCAAAACCAAAACCAAGAACAACACCCCCAAAACTGTTAAGTATATCACAAATGAGCCACAACTTGCTGGGTTCAAAAATAAAGCTGTTGTCTCATTTCCAGCTTCTCCAGGTGGTAAATGTTTTCTCTTGCCATTTTGTTCAATTTCAAAGAGATCATATCCAATCTTCCTAATTAAATATAACAATAGCTGGCTTTCTTAGATGACCTTTATTAGGTCAAGGAAATTTCCTTCTATTCCTAGTATGCAGAGAATTTCTAATGTGATTGAGTACAATGTTTTGTCTAATATATTTTTTTTCATCCATTGAGGGACTTGTTTCATATTGTTAAAAACTAAAAGTTTGCTAATAGGTGGGCTGTATTCAGTGATTTCCAGATGTTAAATCAGCCTTCCATTCTTGAGTTAAACCCAATTCAATAATGTTGTATTATCCTTTAATATATATATTGTTGCATTCAATTGGGTAAAATTATGTTATGAATTTTGGAGTCTATGTTAATAAGGGCTATTGTTCTATGGTTTTCTTGAGATTGTTCTGCCTGGTTATTTTATCGAGGTAATCCTAGCATCATAAAATGTACTAGGAAATGACCCCTGCTCTTCTATTTTCTGAAAGAGTTTGTATATAACTGGTATTACTTCCTTAAACATTTAGTAGGATTCATTAGGAAAGCCATCTGAGCCTGTAAACATTTGTGAAATTTATAATTACAAATTCAATAGATGTGGGACTATTTAGGTGATCTAATTCTTCTTGAGTGTTCTTGAAAGACAGATATCTTTCAAGATGTCTGTCCTAGGTGGTCTAACTTGGTGGTACAACATTATTCATTATATTTCCTTATTACTTGCAATGTCTGCAGGTCTTCCAGTTATGTCCCCACAGTCATTTCTGTAACTGGTAATTTATGCCTTTACACTTCTCTTCCTGATCAGTATGGCTAGAGGTTCATCCATGTTATTGGTCTTTTTAAAAACCTGGCTTATTTAATTTTTTCTATTGCTTTTCTATATTTCTTTGACTTCCGTTGTTGCCTATATTATTTCCTTAATTCTGATAACTTTATATTTGTTTCTTTCTTGTTTCTAATTTATATAATTATTTTTAATATAAACATTTAATGTTATGAAATGACTTCTATGCTACATATTAGAAGTTTGAGAGATCGTATTTTCATTTAGTATTAGTATTTCTAATTTTACTTGTTATTTTACCTTTGAGTTCTTTAAAATGCTTTTTTAAAATTTCTAAGTATTTGAGGATTGTACAGATTTTTTTTGTTATTGATTTCTGGTATAATTCTATGGTGGTCACTGAACATACTTTAAATTTATCGGGGCATATTACATTGCCCACAATGTTATCTACTTTAATTAATAGTCCATGAGTACTTGAAAAGAATGTGTATTTTGCTGCTGTTGAATTGGATTGGTCTATAACTATAAATCAGTTTAGAGTGCTTTAAAGTGTTGCTCAAGTTGTCTTATCATTCCTGATATACTGTATAATTGTTCTATCAAATACTGAGAAAGCATGTTGAAATGCCCAACTCTTATTTTGGATTTATTTTTTCTTTTTATCCTGTTAGTTTTATCTTCTATATGTTTCAGCTCTGTTATTTGGTGAGTAAATATTTAGGATAATTTTGTTCTCTTGATGAATGGCTTCTTTATCATAATGGAATGTTCCTCCTTAACTCTGGACATAATCTTTGTCCTGAAACCTACTTTGTGATTAATATAGCTGCTCTACATTTCTTTCTATTAGGGGTAGTATAGTATATCTTTCTCTATTATTTTACTTCTTGCCTATCTGTGGTTTGATATTTAAAACCAGTTTCTTGTATACAGCATATAGCTGGGTCTTGCTTTTTTTTTTTTTTCTTTTTCAAATCCAATCTAATCATCTATGCTGTTTTGGTAGAGTGTTTAGATGGTTAAAATGTAATTTAATTAATATTGTTTCTAGGTTTAAACTTGTCATCTTGTTGTTTTCTATTTGTACTATCTGTTCTTTATTTTCCTTTTCCTCTATTGATATTTGAGTACTTTTTTGACTTCATTTTATCTCCATAATTGGTTTACTAAATAAATGCTTTGTTTACTTACTTTTTAGTTATTGCTGCAGGGTTTAGAATATGTATTTTTAATATGTCACAATCTCCTTTCAGATGTTATACCATTTCATTTGTATTTTCATTTTCTCCCTTGTGTGTGTGTGTGTGTGTGTGTGTGTGTGTGTGTGTGTGTATGTGTGTGTGTGTGTGTGTGGCAAAGCAGGAGTGGAGGGGATTGTCCTACATTAATTTCTATAGATAGATAGATACATTATCAGGGCCACACACATTGTTATTCGTTTTGGTTTAAACAATAAATTATCTTTTTAAAAACTTTTTTAAGTACTCAATATTATTCTGTTCAATTTTCCTACATATTTACTATTATGGTGCTTAGAATTTCTTTGTGAAACCCTAGTTTCTATCTGCTAATATTTTCTTTTGCATGAAGAACTTTCCTTAAAATACCTCTAATTCAAATTATCTCAGTTTCTCTTTTTCCCTAGATGAGTGATTATTTACTCTTAAATTATAAAGATTATTTTACTGGGTGTAGATAGAATTGTAGACTATTTTTTCTTTCTTTTGGCTATTTCTGACTTTTGACTTCTTTAAAAAGATGTTGCCTTATTTTCTTTATTTTGCATAGATGCTGTCAGAAAAAACTACTGTCATTTTTATCTTTCATCATTTGAATGTATTATGTTCTTTGTCTGCTTTAAGGTGTTTTACTCAATCCCTGGTTTTCTGAAATGTTATGATGATGTGTATTTGTGTGGTTTTCTTTACTTTGGTTTTATTAATTTTCTTTATCTAAAATTTAGTTTTTATCAAGTTTGAAAACATTTCAAATATGATTTTTCTTTTCTGTTTCTCTCCGTCCTCCCCTTTTCACCTCACATTCTGGGTCTCTCTTTCCCATACTTACGTTGCACTGTTTGATGCTGTCCTACATGTCACTTATTCTCTTTTCATTTACTGAGTACTTGTCTGTCTGTGCTTCATTTTGACAAGTTTTTATTCTTATGCTTACAAGTTCACAGGTATTTTCTTCTGTGGTGCCTAATCTGTTAATTCCATCTGGTCTATTTTTTATTTGAAATACATTATTTTAATTCTAGACATTCCATTTGGTTTTTAAATCTATTTTACATGTCCACCCCCATCATGTTCATTTATTTTCTCTACCATCTTGAGTATATTTAGCATATTTATAATCAGTGTTTTAATGTTTTTTTCTGCTAAATCCTTTTATCTGTGTCATTTCTGAGTTTCTATTTATTGATTTTTCTGCCTGATAATAGTTTATAATTTCTGGCCTCTTGTCCTGTCTAGCAATTTTTATTGGATGCCAGACATTGTATTTTATTTATTAGGTGGTGGGTTTGAATGTTGTTCTTTATAGAGATTGAAATTTTTTATGGTATTCAATTAATTTGTTTGGAATAAGTTTAATACTTTTGAGGTTTGTTTTCAAGCTTTGTTAAAGTGATTCCAAAGCAGCCTTTATCTTGGACTAACTTAAGTGCTTTAACTAAGAGGCTGTCCTTCAGAAGACTCTATAATATTGTCTGTGCATTATGAGTTCTTTTAAGCCTGGCACAAATTCATCCCATCCTGTGTGAGCTGCATAAATTGTCTGATCTATTCCCTTCTGGCAGTTCTTTCCTTGATTTAAGACAGTTTTTCCTTGCTATACAGAGATTAGCACACAACCAAAGATTTGAGGAAGTCTCTCTCTTCCAGTCTATGCTGGTTTCTCTTAGTGTAGCCATCTCCTTTGTGATACTCTGTGCCAAAAATACTCCACCCAGTTGGTCTCCCCAAACTAATTTCTGTCTCCTTCTCGGGAAGACTGACAGTGTCTGTTTAGTTTCTGCTTCTTGTAGTGGAAACTGCTTCTAGGCAATAAGCTTGGAAAATCATACAGCTCACCTCCTTTTTTTCTACTTTTTTTCCAGGAAATGCAGTCTTATATTGCATATTATCTAATGTTGAAACCTATTGTTTCATACTTGCTTCTTGGTTGAATAGCTGTTTAATTTAAGAAAGCAAATCTGGTGCTTACCATTCTATGAGAAACAGAAGTGCTGGCCATGTTGATTAAATCTACACTATTTATTATGGCCCCAAAGGCCCGGTGACTCTGATACCTACCTAGATCTCCATAAGCCCATACAACTTTCTCTTTATCTCAATATTTTGCTGATACATTAACCTCTCTTCTGTTTTTGAAATGAGCCAAGCACTTTAGGGCCGCTGCCTAGAATGTCCTTCATTCAGCACATCCCATGGATTGCTCCTTGACGTTCTTCAGAACTCAGCTCACTTGTTACCTTACCAGGCAACATTTCCCAGGTGCTCATTATATCAAAATAAATACTACTCATCATCCCAGTTATATATGCCAGTAATTGTATTTATTAATGTCCAGTAGCTATATTTTTATTTGTTGTTTTCCTTTACCAAACCAAGGATCTCTTTTACTGTCTTTAATGGTGTTTCTCCAGCAGCACTTAGAACAGTGCATTTCACATAGTAGGCAATTAATAGTCATTTTTAAATTGATGCATAAATTACATATAATGAATACTAACATCTGCTATGGTTTGACTGTGTCCCCAAAAAGCATGTGTTGGAAACTTAGTACAGTAATGCTAAGGGATGGGACCTTTAAGAAGTGATTAGGTCATGAAGGCTTCACCCTCATGAATGAACACTGTTACCACTTTGATATAAAAGGCTGAGTTTGACCTTCTTCTCTCTCTCTTACCTTCTCTTTGTCCTTCCTCCATGGGATAACATAGCAAGATCGTCCTTACTAGATACCGGTCCCTTGATCTTGGACTTACCAGCCTCCAGAACCATAGCCAACAAATCTTTACTAATTATAAAGTACTCAGTATGTGGTATTCTGTTACAGCAACACAAAACAAACTAAGACAGAAAATTGGTACTGGAGAGTGGGTGTAGCTATAAAAAAAAATACTTAAAAATGTGGACATGGCTTTGGGACTGGGTAATGGCCAGAGACTGGAAGAGTTTGGAGGAGTTGGCTGGAAAAAGACTGTATTACTATGAATAGAGAATTAAGGGAAATTCTGGTGAGGGCTTGGAAGAAAAGGAAAGCTGCAGGGAAAGTCTGAAACTTCTTAGAGATTATTTATCATGATCAGAATTATGGTAGAAATATGGATGGTAAAGGCAATTAACAAAATTTCCATGGAAATGAGGAACAAGGTGTTGAAAACTGGAGGAAAGACTATTCTTCTTATAAAGTAGCAAAGAACCTGGCTGAACTGTGTTCTTGACCAAGGGCTTTGTGGAAGGTATAATTTAAGGGGGTATCTTTTGGAAGAAATATCTAAGCAGCAAAGCATCCAGTGTGCTACATTGCTTCTTTTAACTGTATATAGTAAAACATGAGAAGAAATTATTTAAAGATGGAATTTATAATTAAAAGAGAAACAGAACTCAGGGATTTGAAGGATTTTCAGCCTGGAAGAATGGTAGAGAATGACGAAGCATTTTAAGAAGAGGAAACCAAGGGATTGGCACAACCATTCGATAAGGAAATTAGTATGCATAGAAGGAAGCCAGAGGTTATTCGGCAGGACAATGGAAGAATAACCCTGAAGGCACTTCAAAGATTACCTATGCCACCCTTACCATCACAGTCCCAGAATGCTAAGGCATGGGGAAGGAAATATGTCTAAAGAAAGGTCTAGGGCACCCTCAGAAGCTTGGGGCTCACGACCCAGGGCCACTGACAATCTCTGTTGCCACATTCTGGTACAGTGCTCTTTAGCTGCCCAGTCATGACTCAAGAGGGCCCAGGTACAGCTCAACTACTCCTCCAGAAGGTACAAGCCATGGCATCAATTTGGTGCTAATTCTGCAGGTGTACAGAATGCAAGAGTTGTGGGAGCATGACTTCCTCCACCTAGATTTCAAAGGATGTTGCTGACAACCTGGGGACCCAGGCAGAGACTTGTCACAGGTAGAGGCACAACAGAGAGCCCCTACTAGGGAAATGCCAAGCAGACCTGTGGGGTAAGGACTACCACAAGGTAATGCTTAATGGAACCCCAGAGATGGGCCCTCTTCCAAGACCCCCAAACTGTAAAGGTACCAGTGTGTAAAATCAGGTTAGGAGGGTTGCAGGCCTGAGATTCCAACCCATGAGAGCTGTTGCATGGGCTGAGCCCAACAACACCATAAGGGTGGGGCTATCTGGGGACATAGGGGCCAAACTGTCCCCTCAGTGTGTCCAGGAGGTGGTAATGGAGTGAAATATTATTTCGAAGTCTTAAGATTTAATGTTGTCTGCACTGCTGGTTACGGAATTACTTGGGGCCTGCTACTCCTTTCTCCCTCCTATTTCTCACTTTGGAATGGCAATATTGATCTGACGCGTGTCCCACAATTGTATTTTGGAAGTAAATAACTCATTTTGATTTCACATGCTCACAGAGGAAGGGAATTTACTTCAGAGTGAATTGTGCCTTGAGTCTCACCCACATCTGATTTAGATGATACTATGGACTTTGGACTTTTGAGTTGCTGATAAAATAAGTTAATTGGGGCTATTGGGATGCAATAAATGTATTTTGAATGTGAAAAGGACATGAATTTGGGGGGTCAGGGTGGAATGCTGTTGTTTGAATGTGCTACCCTGAAAGGATGTGTTGAAAACTTAATCCCCAGTTCAATGATGCTAAGGGGTGGGAGCTTCAAGAGGTGATTAGCCATGAGGGTTCCACCCTCATAAATGGATTAAGGCTGTTATTGAGGGAGTGAATTCATTATAAAAAGCCAAGTCCAGACCCCATCTCTCTCTCTCCCTCTTTCTCTTTCTCTCTCCTTCTCTGCCTGTCTCTTTGCCCTTTCACCACAAGATAATATAGCAAGAAGATGCTCATCAGACTCCAGCCCCTTGATCTTGGACTTCCCAGCTTCCAGAAACATAAGCCAGTAGATTTCTGTTTATTATAGATCACCCCATCTTAGGTATTCTGTTACAGCAGAAAAAACAGATAAAGACACGACATATATCAATATAAAAACATTTTTATAACCCCCAAAAGTTCTCTGGTTCTCCTGTGCATGAATTCCCTATGACAAAGCAACTATTATTGTGATTTTTATCACTATGGGTTAGTTTTATCTATTCCAGAATTTCATATAAGTGCAGTAATACAGGATGCATATTTTGTGTTTGATTTCTATCACTGAGCATAGTACTTTTGAGTTTTACCCACGTTGTTGCATGTATTAGTAGATTATTTCTTTTTATTACTGAGTATCTTATTGTATACATAAAAGAATTTATCCATTATCCTATTGAAGGAAATCAAGATTGTTTCTAGTTTTGGGTTTATGATAAATAAAACTGATGTGAACTTTTTTTGTATGAAGCTTATGGTAGATAAATGTTTTCATTTCCCTTGAATCTATACATAGGAGTAAAATTGCTGAACCATAGGATAGATGTGAATTTAACTTTTTTAGAAACTGACAGTTTTTTAAATGGTGGTATTATTTTACATTTCCACAACCAACTTATAAGAGTTTCAGCTGTTCTACATCCTCTGCAAAATTTGGTGTTTTCACTCTGTGATTAAATAAGTTGCCATTCTGGTAGATACATGGGTAGGTATCTCATGTTACCTTAATTTAATTTGCATTGTCTTAATGAGTAAATATATCGAGCACTTTTTCATGTACTTATTAGCAATTTGCATATATTCTTTTCCCAGGTATCTTTTTGAGTCTTTTACCAAGTTGTATTGGGTTTGTTTGCCTTTTTTGTTATTTAATTGAGTATTCTTAACATTCTGAGTACAATAAAGTTTATCTTCTATTCTCAATTTGCTGATAATTTTATGCATATAGTAGATTGTTAAATGTTAGCTTCTGTCTCTATTAGAATAATCATTTTTTTCTTTTTTATTTGCTAACGTGGTTAAATGTACTGTTTGTCAGATGTTGAATTAATCCTGGATTCCTGAGAAAAACTCAAATTGATCGTAATACATTATCTTTGTGTATTTTGATTGGATTCATTCGCTAAAATTTCTTCTTCATTGATAAAAATAACCAAGGAAACCATATGGACCTGAAATTTTATATGTGGAAAATTATTTAATTACAAATTTCATTTTTTTAAAGTAATAAAATGCTATTTAGATTTTCTATTTTATCTTAGTCAGTTTTGGTAACTTATATCTTTCAAGGAATTTGTCTATTTTTCCTAAACAATAACACTTCTTGGCATTAAGTTGTTTACAGTGTCTCATCATTATCCTTTCAACATCTTTAGGATCTGTGGTAATATTCCATATTTTATTTCTGATATTTTCTTAGTTTTCTTGATCAGTCCTGCTAGGGTTTATTATTTTGATTAACTTTGTCAAAGAATCACATTCTTGCCTTGTTTATATTCTCTATTGTTTTTTCTCTTCAATTTCATTGAATTCCACTTTTTTATTATTCTCTTTCTTATATTTACCTTATGTTTAATGTGTTCTTTGCTTTCTAAATTATTCAGGTGAAAGTAAGGTCATTAGTTTTACCTTTTTCCTCTTTTCTAACACAAATTTCTAATACATATCTATGACATTTATTTGTAAATAATATTTAAATAAAATATATAATTTTAATGTAGATTTTCTTCTAATGATTGCTTCTTCTGCATGCCACATATATTTATATTTTTGTTTTCAGTATTTTAGAGTTTATAATTTTTTTCTAATTTCCCTTAAGATTTTTTCTTTGATTCATAGGTTAATTAAAAGTATTACTTGACCAAGTGCAGTGGCTCATGCCTATAATCTTAGTGCTTTGAGAGACTGAAGCAGGAGAATCAATTGAGGCCAGGAGTTCAAGACCAGCCTGAGTAACAAAGCTAAGTCCCTGTCTCTACAGGGAAAAAAAAAATTAGCTGGGCTCAGTTATGCACATTTGTAGTCCTAGCTACTCTAGAGGCTAAAGTTGGAGAATTGCTCACATCCAGGAATTCAAGGCTGCAGTGAGCCATGATCATGCCACTGCATTCCAGCCTGGACAGCAGAGCAAGAACCCCATTTCTTAAAATACAAAAAAATATACTAATCTTATAACTACTGGTTTCTTGTTTAGCATCATGTGGTTCACAAACATATTCTGTATAATTTTAGTCCTTTGAAATATATTAAGACTTGTTTTATGACACAGCATGTAGTCTATCTGAGCCAATATTTCATTTGCACTTTAGAAAAATATGTATTCTGCTTGTGTTGGGTGTATGGTTCCATAAATATCAATCAGGTCAACTTGGGTGAGAGTGTAGTTTAAATCTTTTGTGTCTTTCTAAATTTTGTCTATTTGCTTGTTTTATTACAGAGAGAGCTAGCTAAAGTTTCCAATTATTGTTGAAGTTTCACCTAAATTCCCTAAAAATGTTCCCCTTATATATGCAGGAACCTTGTCTTTGGATGCATATGCATTTCACTTGCTTTCTTATTCAGACAATGTTTTTCTTTTAAATGTTTGGTCCATTTACATTTGCTGTAATTAATATATCATTTTTCAAGTTTATTGTATTTATGTTTCATTTTTCTTTGTCTTCTCTGCTCTCTTTTTCCCTTTTTCTCTGTCTCTGTCTTTTTTTTTTTTTTTTTTGCTAGGGGTGAATTAAATATATTTTATTATTCATGTAACCTCTTCCAATAGATTTCTATTTATGTCTCTTTGTGCTAATTTTTTAGTTGTCAGCTTATTTATTGCAATATACATCTTCAACTTACCACATTCTATACTCAAAAAATATTTTGTGTCATAAAAAGTGAGAACATTATAACAATATACACATATGTATATTACTGTGCTCCCATTTTTTGTTCTTGTCATTTTAGTTCTATGTTTACCGCAAAACTCATGCTCACATTTTATTATTTTTACTTTAAATAACCAACAGATTTTAAAGGAGATTTAATTATGTTTATGTATAAAAGAAAGGGTAACTTTTTAAAAGATATTTTGGCCGGGCACGGTGGCTCATGCCTGTAATCCCAGCACTTTGGGAGGCCGAGGCAGGTGGATCACCTGAGGTCAGGAGTTCGAGAACAGCCTGGCCAACCTAGTGAAACCCTGTCTCTACTAAAAACACAAAAATTAGCCGGGCATGGTGGCGGGCGCCTGTAATCCCAGCTACTCGGGAGGCTGAGGCAGGAGAATCACTTGAACCTGGGAGGCAGAGGTTGCAGTGAGCCTAGATTGCACCATTGTACTCCAGCCTGGGTGACGGAGTGAGACTCCGTCTCAAAAAAAAAAAAAAAAAAAAAAAAAAAAAAAAGATGTTTTATGCTTACTGGCTGATCACTTTTGTTTGGGTTTCTCCATTCCTTTCTTTAGAATCAAGTTTCTATCTGATAGTATGTCCTTTTTGGATATAAAACTCCTTTATGAATTTATTATAGTATAGGTTTGCTGGGGATAAATTGTCAGTTTTTGTCTGCCTGAAATGCATTTATTTCTTTTTTAATATTGAAGGGTACTTTAAAGAATAGAATTCTAGCAGCCAGGTGTGGTGGCTCACCCCTGTAATCCCAGCACTTTGGGAGGCCAAGTTGGGGGGATCACCTGAGGTCAGAAGTTCAAGACCAGCCTGACCGAGATGGAGAAACCCCATCTCTACTAAAAATACAAAGTTAGTTAGCCAGGCGTGGTGGTGCATGCCTGTAATCCCAGCTGCTCAGAAGGCTGAGACAGGAGGATCACTTGAACTCGGGAGGCGGAGGTTGCAGCGAACCAAGATCGCACCGTTGCACTTCAGCCTGGGCAACAAGAGCGAAACTCCACCAAAAAAAAAAAAAAAGAGGCCGGGCGCAGTGGCTCACACCTGTAATCCCAGCACTTTGGGAGGCCGAGGCGGGCGGATCACGAGGTCAGGAGATCGAGACCATCCTGGCTAACACGGTGAAACCCCGTCTCTACTAAAAATACAAAAAATTAGCCGGGCGTGGTAGCGGGCGCCTGTAGTCCCAGCTACTCGGGAGGCTGAGGCAGGAGAATGGCGTGAACCCGGGAGGCGGAGCTTGCAGCGAGCCGAGATCGCGCCACGCACTCCAGCCTGGGCGACAGAGCGAGACTCCGTCTCAAAAAAAAAAAAAAATAAAATAAAAAAAAATAAAATTCTAGGTGACATGTTATTTGTTGTTGTTGGTGGTGGTGGTAATGGTGGGGGTGCTGCGTGTGTGTTTGTGTGTGTGTGTATTTCAGCCATTTAACACACTGTTTATATTGTCTTCTGGCTTTTATTGCATGTTGAAGACAATTCAGTTGTAATTTTATGATTGACTCATACAAGTAACATTTCTTTCTTTGTTACCCTCAAGATTTTTTTTTTATCTTCAAATCTTAGCTATTTAACTGGGAAGTGTATGTGTGTGTGTGTGTGTTCCTTGGTATTTTTCCTGCTTTGGGTTATCTGAGATTCTTAGATCTATGACTTATTGTCTTTCATTAATTTTGGAAATTTTTGGTCATTATCTCTTCACATATTTTTTCTGCCCCATTTCCTCTCTTCTATTTCTGGCTTTCCAATTAGATACGAGTTAAACTATATAATTTTTTTCCACAGACTTTGAATGCTATGGGCTGTTTTTCCCTTTACTCTTTTGCTTCCTTGTATTTCAGTTTAGATAATTTCTATTAAGCTAACTTCCAGTCCACTGATTCTTTTTTCTGCTGTGTCCAGTCTGCTGATCTACCCATAGAGGAATTTTTTCCCCTCTGATATTGTTTTTATTCCTAGCCTTTTCATTTGTTTCCTTTTTTACAATTCCTTTCTGCCTAAATCATTCCTCTGTCATGCATGCTTTCCATTTCTTTCAACTATATACATTATAGTTGATGTATGAAATGAGAATTAAGATGTCAAGTACAGGAAAAACAAAATAAGAAGAGTTCCCAGAGGGAAAAGAAAAATGATATTCAAGCTGAAAATGGTCTATAGATAAACTGAAATAGAGGATGGTCAGTTTTGAGACCCAAATAAGTACAAGAAATATCTCAAATACAAGTAAAAATAGAGTTAAAAGCCATTTGAGAAAAAAAACTAAGGTAAATACAAGATACATTTAGGAAACTTAACATGAAAATGATTGAATTCTTTAAAAGAAAAAAGATAAAGGACAATAGTTGTATTAGTCCGTTTTCATGCTGCTGATAAAGACATACCTGAGACAGGGAAATTTACAAAAGGAAGAGGTTTATTGGACTTACAGTTCCACATCGCTGGGGAGGCCTCACGATCATGGCGGGAGGTGAAAGGCACGTCTCACATGGCAGCAGGCAAGAGAGAGAGAGCTTGTGCAGGAAAACTCCTATTTTTAAAACCATTGGATCTCATGAGACCCATTCACAAACCCAAGAACAGCACGGGAAAGCTCTGCCCTCACAATTCAATCCTCTCTCACTGGGTCCCTCCCACAACACATGGGAATTATGGGAGCTACAAGATGAGATTTGGATGGGGACACAGAGTGAAACCATATCAGTAGTTAATAAACATATAAAAGAAAATTATCTAAAGGACATGAAAAGCATGTTTGCAGACAAGGCTCTTTATATTCCAGGAGGAGTAGATAATAAAATATATTCAACTGTAAAAGTCTTAGAGTCTGAACACTACGAGAAAATTGTTACGAGCTTCTGGAAAAAAATAAAGAAATTACTTACAAAGGAAAGAAACATTGCACTGGCATTGTACTTCTCATCTGAAACACTGAATGTTAGAAGGTGGTGGAATAATGTCTACCGGTCAGAGGTGGAGGGGTCAGGGAGGAATGCAACCCAAAAATATCAAACACAGCCCCAACAGCTTTCACTTTCAAAGTGCAATAAGATATCTGCATGCATGAAAGTTTGAGGCTTAGGGTGTTAGAGTACGTGTTTTGATGCTATACCTCAAAGTACAATAGCCCCAAAGAGAGAAATTTATTTCTCTCTTGTAATACTCCAGAGGAGAGAAGACAATGAAGGGCATTCTAAGGAATAATCCCAGAATCTAAGTTCCTCTCAACCTGCTGCTCTGCCATTCTGTAAGGCAGGGAATTGTTAACTTTGTTTGTGCCACGGAAACTTCTGGCAGATTGGTGAATCCTACAAAGCTCATCTCAAAATAAATGTAGATACATAAAATAAATTACAAAGAATTATAAAAAATTGAATTATGATTATCAGCATATGTATAAAATAAATTTGTAATAACATAATATACATGCTTTATAATGATGGCATTAACAATTTCTGGTGGTGGGTTCTAATAATTATTATAATTTCAAAGTAGCCATGAGTGTCAACTTGATGAGGTAAGTTTATCATTGTTTCTGTTTCATAGGTGAGGAAACTGAGTCATGAGGGATTAAACAACTCATCCAAGATTACATGCCTAGTAATCAGCAGAGCCAAGTTTATAGCCTGGGCAGTCAGTCTGGTTACAAAGTCTATGTTCTAAATAACTAAGAGAAATAGGAAGTTACTAAATAACTGAGAAAAAGGAAGATAAAATTAACAACAAAATTAATGAAATTAATTTATTATCATAACAGATAAGTATATACTGATATACAGATAAGTATATACTGATATACAGATAAGTATATATAAGAAAAAAACAGGTAAGTAAATACCACAACACGTTATTTAAAAGACCAGTAAAAGAGATAAACAAGTACTTAACCTAAATAAGGAAAATGCAGAGAAAAATGGAACTAGAGATGCGGGATGGCACTACAGATTTAAATGAGAATATAAGTGTGACTTCTCGTGATAAATGATATGTTTCATTGGCTGTCCATGGACCTCAGTGAAGTTATGAAGTTACCAGGCAAAGCTATCCTGTGAGTTCTTTTGTCCCCAAGCAACCAGCCAGCCATTGACACTGGTGACTTGCATTTGTCCCATTCTTTAGCACTTGAACGCTAACTTAAAATGTTTTTGAAGAAATCTGTTGGAGTCAGGTAGAAGTTTAAGGCAGAGCCAGACAGGCTGCTGGTTAAACATCCAGATCTGCCAGAGGTCAGTGCCTGGAAACCTGGCCGGGCGCTAAGGATTTTGCAGCTAGAAGTGAGTCAGGGGAAGTGGAGGGTCTAGAAGCCAAGGAGTCGTGCAAGGCAGGAGTGAGCAAGGAGGTTCTTGAGGTCAAGTGAACTGGGGCCAGCAATCTACAAGGTCAGGCTGAGTCAGACTCACCATGGAGAAGAACACCAAAGTGAGTCTAATGGCCGGGCAGGAAGTGTTTGTCTACTGGCAACTGCAGCCAGGGAGACAGTGAGGAACTGGCCAGCAATGCCAGATTCCAGACAGAGCAGGTGAAGCAAATGAGACTTTAGAGAGGTTCTCACACCAAGGATGCACAGCTATTTCCTTTCCATGAATATATTTTCAAGAATAAAATTATTAGTAGTGATCTGATAATTTTATTTAGACTAAGTGGTTACACCTTCCCATTCAAAATCTAATACAATGGTGACTTTATAAAATGGAGAAACTAAGCACAGCCAACCTGAGTTCCTTCAACAACCATTAGAAAAATATAATATCTAATTATTAGATATTATATCTAATAATTAGATGTGGCCACAATATTTTCTTTCTTTTTCTTTCTTGTTTTCTTTTCTCTTTCTTTCTTTCTTTTTTTTTTGAGACAGTCTCACTCTGTTACCCAGGCTGGAGTGCAGTGGCGCAATCTTGGCTCCCTGCAACCTCTGCCTCCTGGGTTCAAGCGATTTTCCTGCCTCAGCCTCCAGAATAGCTGGGATTACAGATGCGCACCACCACGCCCGGCTAATTTTTGTATTTTCAGTAGAGACGGGGTTTCATCATGTTGGCCACAGTATTTTCTAGAACTAGTTTTGTTTACTTTAACTTCTTTCCCTCTAGTAGGAATTCTGATCTTTGCCCCTGGTTAAAATATAAAAAAGGGATTCAGTTTTCTGAGGGAATTTATAACTACATGGACTTGTCCCTGAAAAGGAATGAAATGATGCAAGGGAACACTCATCCTCCAGATGTGCTTGACTGCTTGTATTTATTTGCTCTGTATTAAAGGATGAGTGTTAATTTTAAGTTGTTTAAATATACACATGTACTGGATAGACTTCATGAAATATTAAGAAACCATTGCATAATTATGCCTTGAAATCTCTTGTGCCTAGTGAATGTGTGTGCGATGAGGACAAAGACATTCTAAATGTCATGTGGAGACACTCAGGAGTCCTGTGGTGGCTGGAAATGAAGACGCTCACACACATGTACAGGTACACAAAGATTTAAGTTAGGAAAGGGAAGAAAGATGAAAGGTGGAGGGATTGCTCCAATGAGCAAATTCATTAATGTGATGTTTCCCATCCCACACATGACTGACAAGGAACAGACCAATCAGAAGTCATTGCTCCTCTTAGATGAGAAGCAGAGTTTTGAAGGCCTGAAGCCCTCAGGTAAGGGAGGTGGAGAGGACCAATATGGTGCATATCTGATAGTTCCAAAGATACTGTCTGAAATCTGACCTTGCTCTGCTAGGTCTTCCTTAAGCAACTCTACAAATCCAACCTGGACAAGAAGCTAAAATTGATTGAAAACACATATTTCATCATACTGATTCCTGCATTGGAGATACATCCAATCTGTGGACTAGGTATTTTGTGGTAAGCATTCTACATGCATACACTCATTTAATTTACACAACTTTGTAATGCTGGAGCTAAAAATGCAAAAACTGCATTTCCAGGTTCCTTTGCTAGTGCACTGTCTCCTAGGTTTTACTAATAGAAGCCACTCATGGAAAATCAGCAGTTGTGAGAAGAGGAGCAATTGTTCTTATTTTTTACCTCTCTTGTTTTTCTTTCTTCTGGTGATCCCTGGAAGTGGCTATATCCCTGGTCTTTTCCACCATTCCAGTTCCTGATGCTTCTCTCCCATTTCCCCAGCCCTGTCATAGTAGCCCCTCATCAGGGTCCCCGTGCCAGAAGCATCAGCCCCTTTTCCACACTCCCAGGTTTTGGTAACCTCATGTCTTCCTTTGTGTTTCCCTATCTAAAAGTGGTTACTAATTTCTAGATTACTCCATCTTCCATGTTTTGCTCCTCCAATGTTACAACATCTACATAACCAAGATCATGTACTAAATTTCTTCATTTAACATACTAGCAATTTTCTATTTTTTTTCCAAGCCCAGGCTGATTCTGTGTGTCCTCCTGATTCAACTTTATCCCTGCTGACACAGTTCTTGCTCTTCCTCAGAACACGTTCTTTCTCCATGATTAGAGAAAAAACACAGAGGGCAAATAAAGCAAAAAGAGTCTTCTGTGTACCAGATCACAAAACCCTATTATACTAAATATATATATATTTGCTACTTTATAATATTGGCATTCCTAGTTTGAAAGGGCACTCCCTCCAGAATGAACATCAATCTAGTAATATATACTGGGAGAGAAAGCAAAGGTCAACCCATAGGTTCAGCCCAGATATTAGAGTCTGTTATCTGGCCAAGGTGCTCCCAGATCCTAGCATGATACTTAGGGACAATATAAAACACCCACACATTTCTAGAAATCAATGGCAGCCTAGGACTTTTCATCACAAGAGAGATACAGCATGAACTCTGGGTTAGGATATAGAGAATACAACTTATTTCTCTACAAATATGGATTTTCCACTTGGAGAGCAATAGAATATTAGAGTTGAAAGGCAATCTAGAGACCACAAGTTCCAATTATATTTATAAAGGGGAAGAGGCCAAATGTATGGACTATGAAAAGTAAAAGGCATATTCAAGGGTCATTGTAGAACTACTGTCTTGGCAAACATCAATAACAAAAACTTCAGACTGATGAAGAAATTAGAAACAGACACACAAACAATGAGATGAATCTAAAAAGATTCTCCTCCTTAACGACTATAAAAAGAAGTCAGCACAGTTATGATACACAGAGAGATCAGCAATAGCATCCAATGACTGGGGAAGGTATAACATTTGGGTTCCTTCCAGACAATCCTCAGCAGTAGGCCACCTTGAGGATGATAGGTCTGCCTGCGTGGAAATCTCATCAGACCTCTGGAACCTGAAATTTACCCTCCAAGCCCAGCTTCATATTCGTAGGACTCTAGTACTCCTGTACTTAGAGTCATCTGAAGATGTGCTAGAGACCCCTCATCCTAGCCAGGTGTACCTCATTACCTTTGAATCGCCCAGCATACAAGAAGCCAGTAGAGAACAGCACAGTATAGAGCACTCAGGCGTGAAAACATTCCTCGTTTGGACCTTGCTCTTCCAGCCCCACAGGGCCTAACAAGCTCTTTACCAGCTATAGGGCCCAACCTGAAGTCACAGAATTATAGAATCTGGTCAAGATTCCAGCATTTCTGATGCCAAGCCAAATGCTTTCTCCACTAAAGCACAAAAGAGTGACAACATTTTATAAGTGTACTAGAATTTTGTTGCACCAAGTCCTATTTAAAATAAGTAAATTGGGAATTATGAATCTATTAAATATATTGAAATAGTACTTATAACAATAACAGTGTTGTTCTTGGATTCCAAGATGTGAATATACAGCCTTTTACTTAATTAAGACAAAGGAATGCAAAATATTTTTAAAAGTTCTAAAATGAACCATTTATAAACTACTATACAGTAGTATGCACTCAATGGTTGCCTGTGGAATTGAGCTGAAATAAATCATGATGCATTTTTAGAATGTAAACTGAAACTGGTTTCAATGTGTTCAAACTGTTGTGTGTGTGTGTGTTTTAATTCTGGATTTCAGCCTAATTCAAATCTATTTTTAAGTAAATTCTCTAGTAGTTTTTCAGATAATTCTTCAGAATATTCTACTTACATAGTTCACAAAAAAGTTAAAGTGAAATTGATTTCAATAGAACTCAATCTGAAACCTGAGAATTGCCTGTTTCTAAATAACATTTTTATTATTACTTCTGTTAATGTCTAATTCAAAGAAGAATACATTAGTTATATATTGTTAAGACTTTTTTTTTTCAGAGAGCAGTCTAGTTTCTTTTTAAAAATAGTACTTTTATTTCAAAAAAATTAATACGTTCAATTATAGTAGACTGCTACATTTTAAATCATATGCCTATTTGTTTCATGAAAAGTAACATTCATCCATTTAAAAAACAATGAAGACTTAATAAGATTCTGATAAACATTTGGAATATAAAAATTTTAAATAACATGTCTATTGAAACAACTTTAGCTGAATTTCTGTTGGCTCAGTTTTTAAAAACCCAAGTAAAGTCTAAAGTCTTGAGAGTGAATGCTTATTTCACAGTCAAATTGATGGAGTAAGCATATTTCTTAGTCAGAATGCAATAATGTTTTGTTAATACCAAAGCAAACAATTAGATCTGCAAGTTTGTCCATTCATAGCTAGCAGGCAAATTATTCTATCCGACATGTCTAAGTGATAAGATATTCAATGAAACATTGCTTAATAGACATATAAAAACAACTAGGAAGTAGATGATAAACCTTAAATAAAGGTCAGGCTTGACTTAATTTAAATGTTTGAGGCTTTCAAAATTTCCACTTATATTTGTTTACTCTATTAATTGAGTCTGCTTTCTTCCTAGGAGCGCACACATAACATACACTCAAGTGCTTAACAAACCACTATAATTACAAAATGCTATATTCTGAGAAAAAGAAAAACAGACTATGAAATGTGTTTTTAGCTAAGACTCACTCTGTTTTTCAAACTTATTAAGATCTCTACCTACACCAGCCTCTGTCACTAGATGCTCATGCAATTCATCTCATTCTCTGAATTAATTAGAGTAACTATTCCAGATCCTTGCACATAGTAGGCCCCCAACAATTATTTGCCACCTTATTGACGGGAAAATAAGTCTTGCACCTGTGATACTGCTCCTTGAAAGGCAGCTGCAGTTACACACCATTGAATCTTCATTTCTACAAAGGTAACTCTATCAACCAATGTATTTCAAAACACTAAAGAAAATTTTTGTTTTCATTCTTTCTTCATGCTTTTGCAATTAAATTAGAATTGATACCATTCAAGAACAATTTTGACCTTAAAAATCCAACCACTCTAACCATTCTGCCCTGAAACCTGAGGGCAGCCCTCCGTGTCACTCTCCAGTTAGTTGATTTTAGATATTATATAATGCAGTACTTGACAAAACAATTTATCTGTTTCAATCTTTAATAATTTACATTACAGGATCACAGAAAAATGATCAATACTACTAATCTATTAACAATCTTGCACATAGGCTAAGGAAAATTTATAAATGCTAGTTTTCTACAGACTTGCTTTTCTCCGTTACACCATTAACCTGGGAGAATATAAGACTTGTAATTCCAAAGACCACTGCAAACAACAGCTGTCAATATTAAAGAGAAATACACAAACACAGAAAGAGGCAATAGAGAAAAGAAGGGAAAATTACATAGAAAGTATAGGCCCAGCAACATAATGAAGATGAAAATTTCAACCTATGAAATTGGGACTAGTACCAAGTAAAACTGGGATGTGGGCAACATTATGTTTGTAAATCTCTGCCCTGTCTTCCCTTCCTCTCACTCCACCCCGAACACCCAGAACTCCTAAATGAGAATTTTCACTGGAGCACATCAGTATTTGGTAGTGAAAACGTAGCAAAAGTTCTGAGTTACAGGCATTTATTTTTGCTGGGTGTATGGCCACTGCCCTTTATGGGAAACTCCATACATGTTTAATTATAATTTATGTGAACACTATTTTTTTTGGTACCTTATCCTAGTCTAACCCCTTTCAGTTTGTTTAATCTAATATGATCAAGTAGACTTAACTTGCAATTAACTAAAATATTTATTTTTTATTTTAAAAATTTAGGATTTGGAGGGAATGAAAATATGAGTTATAATTTTGTCATTCTTGAGTCTGAATTTACATGAAATACTGTAGCCAGCACAGATTTCTCGGTGGAGAAAAACTTAGCAGAAATAAACATAAAATTCATTCCAAAAATTTTGTTAGAATAAGAGAAACAAGAGACCTTGTACATCTTTCTTATCTCTTGACTTTTCTGTATGTATTTTGTACGTATGCATACTCATGATTGTCTCCCCACTTGCAGGAAATCTCAAAGCTAAATCAGAGTAAACACACTTCCCTTCTTTTCCTGTAATGACTTTTCTGTCTAGAAAATGCATTTATCTGTAAAATGGAAGTAACCTTTGGCTCTTTCTGAAAAGGAGGTCATCTGAAAAGGGGTCATCTGAAAAGTAATGAATTTACATTTTTAAAAATCTTCTATGAGATAGTATTATGCATAGATTGTTTACAAATTATTATTAGTTTATATCAGACATCTCATCATTGACACAGGGCCTCACCAAAATCTCCTCTCAGCTGAGGCTCAATAATTCCTACAGACAAGGATCACTGCAGACATCTGATTTCTAAATTTTTGAACTGCAGAGAAGCATATACTAGGGCCATGTTTCTCTGGGCACTTGTTTATCTTGGGTTCAGTTGGCGTGTTACAGAAATATATTAGGCCCCCAATCCCAGGAGGAAACTGAAACTGTGAGAAAGACAAAATCTGGCTGACCTTCTGTAAAAACAGCCAGCCAACCCTGCTGATAGGCTACAGCAGCAAAAACAGAGGGCAGAATTACTGAGTTTTTGTCTCAGAGGATGTCAATTTATTTTAAAATGTTTAATTCTGAAAGAAGTAACTCAGCTACACCCTCTCGTTTCATCTGCATTAAGCAGGTAACAAATGGCAATGTGTAATCTATATGGGTAATAGTGTCAATGAGAGATCAAGATTATACACGATACTTGCTAAATTTGTTATGCCTCGTTAGTGTTGTGGCTTATTACAGAGAGCTCCACAGTTTCCAGGCATTTCCTCATGGGCTGTCCTGATGGATAATGCGAATAAAGAAAGGAAAGGCACCAATGACACAGTGCTCACACTGCATCTGTCAGGGGCATAGTTAGCTGGATTAGGTATGCTCTGCATTTTCTATCACCGTCACATATTGATCTGAATGTATAGTCACGCTCACTTAGCACTGCTATAATTTCCACAGTACTGTTCTCTGAGAGTACTAATGACACCCAAACCAAACTTTCTGAAAGAATATCAAGATTTTCCCATATGAAAATGCCATTTTGGCTAAATAGTGGCCCTTAAGATCTTCAACTGAAAGACAAATTTACATGTAGATTAGATTTTGGAAGTTATTTAAAAAGGAAAAACAGGCATTCTTATTCTAAAGGCCATTCACAACATGGAAAAGCATTGAAAATGTATATATTTAAGTTCCTTTACTGGTTAATTAAAAGTAAGAAACAGTTTGACTAACCTATTCCTAAAGAAATAATGCTAGTTTAGGATGTGGGTGTCTCTCACGTCCTGCTCACTAGGTTCTCAGCCACTGATGTTTTCATGGGAAGTCATGCTCACCATGTCTTCTTGAATGTGTCACCTGGATATAGAGTATGTCCAAGATTAACGCATTAGCTCTTCTCTAAATGCCACCAAAGAAGGTCCTGTTTTTCACTTAAACAATATGGCACATGCTGACATTGAGATAGAGCAGAAAAGGAGATGGAAGGTTCGCAATTGCCATCATCAAGAGCTGTTTGAAAATTTCTAGGGACAACCATGTAGCAAATCGAAAAGAGGATGGCACACTGAAATGAAGAAGATTATTACCTGCAATTAGGTGCTTGGCAACTTATTTTTTACCTTTGATTGGTTCTACCTAATCCTTTAGTTATTTTACCCAATAACCAGGAGATACTTTACTTCTGTTTATCCCAGGAAAAATTGGGATAACCGTTTTCTCTCATATTCACATATTTATCATGGGTACTTTTCATAAAAATACACTATGGCTGAGATACTGTAAATCTGTTTTCCCATTAAACATTTTCTTAACCTATAGCTCACACACTGTACTTTTAGCTAAAGTTGTTAGAAAAATAATATATATTTAGAAAGGTTGATAAGTAATCCTGTGAGTTTCTAAAGAGACCAATATATATTAGTGTAAAGTTTTCAACCTCAACCAAAATTAGAATCATCTGTGGAATTCATACTCATGCCCAAGTCTGACCTCTAGTCTCAAATAATTGTCTTTGAATGGGGTTTAGCCACCAATATTTTAGAAAATTCCTCAGTCGTTTCTAAGGTTTGGTCACACTGGTAGCCAGTGGTGTAAACCAAATGCTTAATAGAAGAATGAATACTTAAAGATAATTTTATTTTTTAAAAAAGATGGAAAGGTTATCAGGTGAAGAAAAACACATTATTGAGGAAGAAATACGGAGATATTCAATGCTAGCAATCACTATATTTTTGCACATGAGTAGGAAAAAGAAAATTTAAAAATACATTAGGAAAACGAACAAACAAACAATGTCTTATTGGAAACTCCAATTAGAGAAAGATGTTTTCCACTAGAGATTAAAACAAAAGCAGGATTTTTAAATGCAAGATAGAAGGCACCTCAGAAATTGTCTTGCCTGATTCCCACAACATCAGAGCTTGAGTTGGAACTGGGGAGCACCTTTCATTTGAAGAAACTAATATGCTAGGAGATTAACCACATATAATCAGGTTAATAAGCCAGTTAGATTAAGAGCAGAGCCTAGAGACCTGCATGCTCCACATATGATAGTGGGCTCTTTCCCGCACATTTCACTGTTCCATAAGCATAGGAATCCAGAAGCATCCACATGCCACAGAAAGGTCTAAGGATGAAATTCAGAGTGTGTTGAAATTAACTTTCCACCTAGGCCTGGAGTTAACAGGGTTATGATAATTACATTGAAATAGCAATTAAATGTTAGCAAGAACAGCACTGAACTGTACTTTGTGTGTGTATATGGGGAAGGGAGGTGCAAAATCACTGATGCTAAGCATAACTCTTAATAAAATACTTGTGCTAATTTTTAGACAAGAGCCTTTGAGTGGAAAAAATATATTAATCTTTCTGAGTTATCAATTTCCATGATGTTTGACCAAAAATTGATAACTAAGGCATCTCTTTCCTAAATATAGGAAAGATGTGTTAGAGAAAATTTAAAGTTTCAAGAGATGAACATGCAAGCATTAATCTTAAGCACTATAATGATTTCAAAAACACTACATTGTAATTATAATTTAATAATAACTTCTTTTTAAAATACTAGAATTTAGTAAATGAAAGAAAACTTTTCTAACTTAATTAACTTGGAAGGTTTTATACTTAGTCATTCAACAAACATCTCATTGTTTACAACATGCTAGCAGTGTTGCTGCGGACTGAGGAGACAAGATAGAGAAGCGCTTATAATCTGGTGCTGTGGCTTTCAAGCTTTTTTGACAATAACTCCCAGAAAGAAGTACATCTTATGTAGCAAACAAATATTTGTGTTTAACCCAAACAAAAGTTTCAAAAAAACCATACTTCTCCTAACTATATGTGAGGCATTTGCATATTTTCTTTTTTATTGTACTCTTTTCCTTTACATACCATAATCCTTTTTCATTTTCCAGCTTATCACATTGATCTTGAGTCATAGCAATTGATCACACTTAGCATTCAGAAAATCACCTGAGGCCATGACTGATAGCAACAAGTGAGTCCTTGCTTACACTACACAGTAAAGATTATGACGCACTATAGACCATAGAGGAGGCGTAAAGAATTCAGATTAATGGATGTGTTTTTGGATAAGATGATGTTAGAAGCAAGGACTGAAGGAGAAACAGGTGTTAGGTACGTGATTAGGGGTAGAAGAAGCTTCCCGGGGAGAAAGCAGTGAGTGTAAATGCAAGGATGCAAAACATATATAATACAATTAGAGACTACAACAATTTTTGCATGTTTGAATCTAATGATACTGTGTGCATGAAGAAGCAATACTAGACAGTACCCCCAAATACTATACAATTGTACCCAAACTCACAGCCCAAAGACAGGAACTAAACCAGCTTCCCCAGCTCTGATTTGGGAACTATTTATTACCAGTCTGTGAAAAGTACAGAAATTCTAATGCTCAGAAACTTTTATGGAAATGTGATGTTGTCCTGACATTAAAGCACCTGATTAGTGGGCTTGTTTCATTGTATGGGAAATAGACAATGTTGTATGTATATTGTTGAACTCATGTGGTAAGCCACATGTGGAAAAAGATGTGTGTGTCATGCACAGTAGTACCACGTTAAAACACTAATACATAGACTTTAAACCAACAAAGATCAAAAGAGACAAAGAAGGCCATTACATAATGGTAAAGGGATCAATTCAACAAGAAGAGCTAACTATCCTAAATATATATGCACCCAATACAGAAGCACCCAGATTCATAAAGCAACCCTTTAGAGACCTACAAAGAGACTTAGACTCCCACACAATAATAATGGGAGACTTTAACACCCCACTATCAACATTAGACAGATCAACGAGACAGAAAGTTAACAAGGATATCCAGGAACTGAACTCGGCTCTGCACCAAGTGGAACTAATAGACATCTACAGAACTCTCCACCCCAAATCAACAGAATATACATTCTTCTCGGCACCACACCGCACTTACTCCAAAACTGACCACATAGTTGGAAGTAAAGCACTCCTCAGCAAATTTAAAAGAACAGAAATTATAACAAACTGTCTCTCAGACCACAGTGCAATCAAACTAGAACTCAGGATTAAGAAATTCACACAAAACCACTAAACTACATGGAAACTGAACTACCTGCTCCTGAATGACTACTGGGTATATAATGAAATGAAAGCAGAAATAAAGATGTTCTTTGAAACCAACGAGAACAAAGACACAACATACCAGAATCTCTGGGACACATTTAAAGCAGCGTGTAGAGGGAAATTTATGGCACTAAATGCCCACAAGAGAAAGCAGGAAAGATCTAAAATTGACACCATACCGTCACAATCAAAAGAACTAGAGAAGCAAGAGCAAACACATTCAGAAGCTAGCAGAAGGCAAGAAATAACTAAGATCAGAACAGAACTGGTGGAGATAGAGACACAAAAAACCCTTCAAAAAAATCACTGAATCCAGGAGCTGGTTTTTTGAAAAGATCAACAAAATTGATAGACTGCTAGCAAGACTAATAAAGAAGAAAAGAGAGAAGAATCAAATAGACACAATAAAAAATGATAAAGGGGATATCACCACCGATCCCACAGAAATACAAACTACCATCAGAGAATACTATAAACAACTCTACACAAATAAACTAGAAAATCTAGAAGAAATGGATAAATTCCTGGAAACATACACCCTCCCAAGACTAAACCAGGAAGAAGCTGAATCTCTGAATAGACCAATAACAGGCTCTGAAATTGAGGCAATAATTAATAGCTTACCAACCAAAAAAAAGTCCAGGACCAGACAGATTCACAGCCAAATTCTACCAGAGGTACAAGTAGGAGCTGCTACCATTCCTTCTGAAACTATTCCAATCAATAGAAAAAGAGGGAATCCTCCTTAACTCAGTTTATGAGGCCAGCATCATCCTGATACCAAAGCCTGGCAGAGACACAACGAGAAGAGAATTTTAGACCAATATCCCTGATGAATATCGATGCAAAAATCCTCAATAAAATACTGGCAAACTGAATCCAGCAACACATCAAAAAGCTTATCCACCATGATTATCTCAATAGATGCAGAAAAGGCCTTCGACAAAATTCAGCAGCCCTTCATACTAAAAACTCTCAATAAACTAGGTATTGATGGAACATATCTCAACATAGTAAGAGCTATTTATGACAAACCCACAGCCGATATCATACTGAATGGGCAAAAACTGAAAGCATTCCCTTTGAAAACTGGCACAAGACAGGGATGCCCTCTCTCACCACTCCTATTCAACATAATGTTGGAAGTTCTGGCCAGGGCAATCAGGCAGGAGAAGGAAATAAAGGGTATTCAATTAGGAAAAGAGGCAGTCAAATCGTCCCTGTTTGCAGATGACATGATTGTATATCTAGAAAACCTCATCATCTCACCCCAAAATCTCCTTAAGCTGATAAGCAACTTCAGCAAAGTCTCAGGATACAGATTCAATGTGCAAAAATCACAAGCATTCTTATACACCAATAACAGACAAACAGAGAGCCAAATCATGAGTGAACTCCCATTCACAATTGCTTCAAAGAGAATAAAATACCTAGGAATCCAACTTACAAGGATGTGAAGGACCTCTTCAAGGAGAACTACAAACCACTGCTCAACTAAATAAAAGAGGATACAAACAAATGGAAGAACATTCCATGCTCATGGGTAGGAAGAAAGAAAGAATCAACATCGTGAAAATGGCCATAATGCCCAAGGTAATTTACAGATTCAATGCCATCCCCATCAAGCTACCAATGACTTTCTTCACAGAATTGGAAAAAACTACTTTAAAGTTCATATGGAACAAAAAGAGCCTGCATTGCCGAGTCAATCCTAAGCCAAAAGAACAAAGCTGGAGGCATCACGCTACCTGACTTCAAACTATACTACAAGGCTACAGTAACCAAAACAGCATGGTACTGGTACCAAAACAGAGATATAGACCAATGGAACAGAACAGAGCCCTCAGAAATAATACCACACATCTACAACCATCTGATCTTTGACAAACCTGACAAAAACAAGCAATGGGGAAAGGATTCCCTATTTAATAAATGGTGCTGGGAAAACTGGCTAGCCATATGTAGAAAGCTGAAACTGGATCCCTTCCTTACACCTCATACAAAAATTAATTCAAGATGGATTAAAGACTTAAATGTTAGACCTAAAACCATAAAAACCCTAGAAGAAAACCTAGGCAATACCATTCAGGTCATAGGCATGGACAAGGACTTCATGTCTAAAACACCAAAAGCAGTGGCAACAAAAGCCAAAACTGACAGATGGGATCTAATTAAACAGCTTCTGCACAGCAAAAGAAACTACCATCAGAGTGAACAGGCAACCTACAGAATGGGAGAAAATTTTTGCAATCTACTCATCTGACAAAGGGCTAATATCCAGAATCTACAATGAACTCAAACAAATTGACAAGAAAAAAAAACAAACAACCCCATCAAAAAGTGGGCAAAGGAGATGAACAGACACTTCTCAAAAGAAGACATTTATGCAGCCAACAGACACATGAAAAAATGCTCATTATCACTGGCCATGAGAGAAATGCAAATCAAAACCACAATGAGATACCATCTCACACCAGTTAGAATGGCAATCATTAAAAAGTCAGGAAACAACAGGTGCTGGAGAGGATGTGGAGAAATAGGAACACTTTTACACTGTTGGTGGGAATGTAAACTAGTTCAACCATTGTGGAAGTCAGTGTGGCGATTCCTCAGGGATCTAGAACTAGCAATACCATTTGACCCAGCCATCCCATTACTGGGTATATACCCAAAGGATTATAAATCATGCTCCTATAAAGACACATGCATATATATGTTTACTGTGGCAATATTCACAATAGCAGACTTGGAACCAACCCAAATGTCCAACAATGATAGACTGGATTAAGAAAATGTGGCACATATACACCATGGAATACTATGCAGCCATAAAAAAGGATGAGTTCATGTCCTTTGTAGGGACATGGATGAAGATGGAAACCATCATTCTCAGTGAACTATCACAAGGACAAAAAACCAAACCCCACATGTTCTCACTCATAGGTGGGAATTGAACAATGAGAACACTTGGACACAGGAAGGGGAACATCACACACTGGGGCCTGTTGTCGAGTGGGGGGAAGGGGGAGGGGTAGCATTAGGAGATATACCTGATGTAAATGATGAGTTAATGGGTGCAGCACACCAACATGGCACATGTATACATATGTAACAAACCTGCATGTTGTGCACATGTACCCTAAAACTTAAAGTATAATTTAAAAAAAACCACTAATACATTAAGATCACCTTCACAATTAACTATTAAGCGTAAAAGTCTTTAAAATGCATTCATTTGTTTTTGTAACTTTTAGCATTCATTTAAAAATTTTTAGCAAAAATTGCTTTTCAATTTGTAGTTTTATTTGCAAAATTAATAAAGTATAACTTTATATTATTTATTTTTAATTTGCAGATGGCAAAACATGCTTCACTGGAAATTTCTTTCTTTCTTCTTCTTCTTATTTTTTTTTGAGATATGGTCTCACTCTGTTGTCTAGGCTGGAGGTGCAGTGGTACCATCATAGCACAGCCTCCTGGGCTCAAGTGATCCTCCTGCCTCAGCCTCCCAAGGAGCTGGGACTACAGGTGTGCACCACCATGCCAGGCTAATTTTTTTTTTATTTTCTTATCATCTCTTTGTAGGGATGTGGTCTCCCTGTGTTGGCCAGGCTTGGAAATTCCTTGTTTAAAAAACAAAGATACATTTTTGACAGTTGTATTACTAGTGATAAATCACATGATAATTGTGAACACGATTTTAAATACATAAAGACCCAAAGAGTTCATATTTATTTCATTTGGAAGTATAAATCATATGTTGAGTTCAATTTTGCAACCACAATTGATGTTGAAGGGTTAAAACCTACTGCAAAGATACAGTGGCTACTGAAACAATGGAACCATTATAATATAAGCAGTATTTGCATTTTAAGAATACATAAAAAGATAAGTCCAAAGCCAAAAGAATTCTTCAAAGGAAAGATTATTGATTTCAAAAGCCAGAGGAATCAGATGTCACTGTTGCATAGAATATATTATATTTCTTGTAAAGGAAGACTTTAGGTAACTAAAAGTAACAAAAAAATCACAGATAAATGTCAAGACATTAACGAAAGTCTGCATTAAACGTGTTTACTTAGAATTGTTGGGCAGATCTGTCGCATATGAGGTAGCTCAAATATCACTCCCCCATGATATAGTCTCAGCAAATTCAGGAATTAGCTAACGAATTGGAAAACCAACTCATAGAAAAAATAAGCTACCCAAGTATTTTTTTCTTGCAATTTGATGAATACATACGTATTTCTAACATGACAATTCTTTTAGTATATGTGTAGTCTGAACATGATGATAATATGAAGGATGAATTTTGTTCACATTTATTGTGGATAAACAACAATATTTGAATTGTCTAATACTAGGAAGGATTGCATTATCAACAAATGAAGTTTGGAGTTTGATTTTTGTGTAGAATTATGTTCTAATGGCACCGTTGTAATAGCAGGAAAACAGTCTGGAGTTATCAATCAGATTAAGAGCTTGTATCACAAAGCGAATTGACACACTGCTTCCTTCATCGAGAAAGTCTTGGTACCAAAAAACAAAATAAAACAAAAGTTTGACTAAACTAAACAGTTTGCTTAGTGGGACAGTAAAAATTATAAATTACATAAAAACTAATGTGTTTATATTTGATATTATTTCCTTTTTGATAATATTGAAGCTGATCATAAGTAATTGTTATGTATATTGAGGTAAGATATTCAGGGGAAAATATCTATGAAAAATGCTTGAATTGTGGAATGAATTGCTAATATTTCTGTAAGATAAATTTATTTTGCCTCAAGCTTTAAAGGTTTAAATTGTTCAGTTTGACTCACCTAATTTTCTCATAATTTTATACATTTAATGCTCTTGATACATCCATGCAATGATGTAATACAACATAAAGTATGAAACTGATGACAAAATCATATAGTGAGATAAACACAAAGAAAGAATGTATAATGTATGAGCAAGAAAGAGTTTAGAAACTAGGAGTTCACTTTCAAGACTTCTTAATCATTGTTGATAGTTAGAAGTTATTAAAAATATTTTTTGCAAAATCTTAAAATTAAAATCTAGTATGGTAGAGGTAGATTTATGGAAATCAACTCTTTCAGATTTTAGTCTTTCTAATGAAATATAGCTATATCTCACAAGAATATTGTTGGGTTAAACTATGGATTTAGAAACTGTTTCTAAATCATATGCCACAATTTAAAATGGGATGTTTTGGTATTAGGAGATATTCTCATTCTCTTGTACATTGGACATAGCAGCAAATCTTTAAGGCTGAAAAAAATCCACTTATTCCTTTTCAAAAATCTGGGAATAGATAATGCTTTTTTTTTTTTTAACCAGGAACTGCCAACCATAAGGCCAATAACTTCTTGATTTTCTTCATTCCCTGAGAGACCGAATTCTTATTTTACTTTGTCTTCTGTGATGCATATTCAAGTGTGGAGTTCTCTTTGAAGTGAATTTTTCAAGTGACTTCACTTAGATAATCTCCAGGGCTGAGAAATATAATAAATACAACAGTAAAATACATCAATCCTTTGAACTTGGTCAGTTTTTTAACAAGAACATTACCCTCAGGCAAACATCAGACTAAAAAATAGGGTAAGCACTTTATCCAAAAGGTTAACAGCCTACAATTCACTTAAGATCACAGAATGTTATGGAGTAATTTTCTGTATGCCAGACAATGTGATAGAACTGCAAAATTAAAAAGATAAGAAAGTGTAAGCCACTACTAAATAAAGTTTATTATTTTGGGACAGGATAATTTGCTCAAGTATTTAGAACATTAAAAATATTATAAGTGCAGTAAGAACACAGAGGAAATAATAACTAATTTGTAAGATGTTTCTGATGACTAACGTAGATAAAAAAGAGTGGACTTGGGAGTCAAATCCAGCTTGGCTACTTACTATCTGAAAGTAGAGAAGGCAATAAACTCATCTGAACCTTGTTTTTATCTGAAAATGGGACAATAATATATAATATAAATGGGATATTCATACATAAAAGTAGCTATAAGGATAAAGTTAAATAATAATCTATCGACAGCGTTTAGTATTTTTCTTAATACAGAGTAAATGCTTAATAATTCTGATCTACTCTTCTCTTTAGATCTTGCAAAGTTTTTTCACAACAATCTTGTGAAGTATTTGTAGCTGGCATCATTATGCAGCAGGTCTACAATTCAGTATTCAACTAATATTTCCTGAGTACATGTTGTGTGCTAGGCACTGCTAAAACAATGTCCCTGCTCTCAAGGAAAATACATCCAAGTGGGAGCAGGAGATAAGGAGCAGGAAATGAAAATGAAGGTGCATCTAGAAATAGGTTCTGTGAAGGAAATAAATGGACAACTGTGATAGAAAATAACGATGCAGGTGGAGATTCACACAGATGGGTGATGGAGGGGAGCCCATCCTGAGGACCTACAGATTAGAGTCCTGGCAAGGAGGCAGCTATGTGAAGTTCTGGGGAAGAGGAAAATGTGCAGAGGATCATTAATTGTATACAGTTGCTAAGGCAGAAAAGAGCTCTTCCAAGTAAAGAAAGTCCCGTATCTAAAGAATAGTGACTGTGGAAGACCATTGTAGAAGATGGAGTAGAAAGATGACATTAGGTCAGCTTATATATGACGCTACAAGCCATGTTAAGAGGGTCGATCTAAGGAAACTGCATGATACAGTTGTATAATTTTGTGTTGTATAAACCACCATGAGTACTACGTTAAGAATGGATTTGGAGAAACAATGATAGAAGAAATGACATCAGTTCAGAGCTTATCTGTTGCAGCAAGAAAGGCATGCAATAATACTGGGGCCTGGGATGGCAGTACTGATGACAGATTGAAATTGTATGGATTTGAGGTGGTTTTCATATGTAAAATCAACAGCACTTTCTGAAAAACTGGATATGAAGAATGGAAAAAAAATGAAGAAATTAAGGAAAACTCTGGATTTGGGTTTGAGTAAAGAAGTAGATAATGACTTGAAAAATACAGTTGGTGGAATTGTGGAGATGGGAGCCTGACTTGAATAAGCTAAAGTGGAAATCACAGGGGGTAAAGTGTAACCAACTTGTATAGACCAGATTTTGAAGACATTTTGCTGTATAGAAGAGTAGACAAAAATGGAGAAATAGCTGCAGAGAGATTTGTGGGGTCAAGGAAAATTTTTAAAAGATGGGAAGTAGAGGTAGCTTTGTCTTCTCTTCACATGTATGAACCAATAAGATGGAGACACTAATAATATGGGAAAGAGTGAAAACATAGTCAAAGTTTTTGTAAAGGCAAGAGGGGATGAGATTTGCTGAAAAGGCCAGCCTTTTAAAGATAAGGAACCTATCATCACTTGTTACGGGGGTGAAAAATGAATAAGAATGTAGGTTGAATTTTAGCTTTAGTGATGAAAAACTGAGGGGGTGTCTGTCAGACTGTTTCTAATTTATTAATATGTAGGAAAACTATAAGATGAGGAGATCAACTAAAATGGATTTGGAAGGGATATTGGAGGGCATAGGAGTTTTTAAAGGTAGAGGAGAATTATAAAATGGTCATCTGATTGAATAAGGAGGACAAAATTGAGGGCAGCAGTAAAATTTCTGGGTGGAGTTAGATGGCCACTTAAGACTTGTAATTATAAATTTAATATAATATTAGTTTACCAAGTTGTATAACATTCTTCAGAAACATTAATCTAATTAGGTGAAGACATAAAAGAGATGGTGAGTAGGTAGAGCTGAGACAGAAGCCAGGTGATTATAGGAGATAAAGAGAGATTTTACAAGAAGTGACTATAATGATGTACTATGGTCCATGAAGTCTGAGTTGAATAGGAAGGAAAGTAAACACAGAGAGAAGAGATTTCTACTTCTAGCCATATGGTATAAAGTGTTTGGGATTTAACATCCCTCCCATAAAAATTAGGAAACAGAAGAATATCTGATACAATTCTTTTCAAACATTGAAGAGCAGTCAGAGACTATGATTACTTAGGAAAAAGGAAATAAATGAGGTGAACAATTGTTTCAACTCACTTCCTGAAGGTAGTTTCCAGGTTGCAGAGGAGGGAGAAAACCCAATCAAGAGTTTTGTAGTCTCTGTCAATTAGAAAGACAGAGATCAAAGTTCAGGGAGGTTGATGTGGTTTGAATGAGTGAAACAGATCAGAGAAAAGAAAGCTATACAAATATAGAGCTCTGGAGATCCAGACAGATGTCTCTTTTATTTTTGTGCTTAATAATGATCTGAGTGTATAAGGGGAGAAACTTCACAAAACTCAAGGATGAACTACTGTAAGTCAGTAGACAACACCTAGGCTGGGATATGGTTGGAATAATTGATTCTCCTGCCACCCAATGTAGATATAACTCATGTGCCAGAACATTGTCCACCACTCTTTAAAATAATAACTATATATAGTACCTACAAATGTAAATTTTACAATAAAAATTGTTAGGTAGGCAAATAAGCAGAAATATATGACTGACAGGCAGGGGAAAAAATCTCCATAAATAGAAACTGACACTGATAATGGAGTAGTATACAAAGTCACTGAGACAACTATCATTAGTATGTTCCATATGCTTAAGAAAGCATAAATATGAAAGGATAAAGATGAAAGATCTGTAATGTAAAAACTGTGTAATAGAATGAGATTGACAACAGAGCAGAGAAAGCAGAAAAAGATGTCAGTGAACTTGAAGATGTAGCAATAGAAACTATCCAAAATAAAGCACGCAGTGAAAAGGAGCCTAAAAATATAACCAGTGACCTGCAGGACAAAATCAAGCAAACACAAGAAAATTAATACACTTGCAATTGAGATCCCAGAAAGAAATGATGCAGAAGAAAAGAGAAAAAAATAATTGAAACATAATACTAAAAAATTATAAATTTGAGAGTTATAAACAACAGATCCAAGAAGTCAATGAACCATAAATAAAATAAACATTAAAATACACAAACTTGGCATGCACACATACACACACAAAAGTCATATTTTAATCAAATTGCTTAAAATAATAATAAAAAGATATTAGTAAGCAGCCAGAGATAGGGGAAAAAAAGGCACATTATGTAGAGAGGGAAAAACTTTTTACCAAAAAACAACATGATTGTACAAAATCTACAGAAGATCTACTAAAACTAACAAGTGAATTTAGCAGAGTTGCAGAATAAAATATTAATTTATTAAAATTGATTGTAGCTCTAAATTCAAGCAATCATAAATTGAAACAAAAACATACCATTTACAATAGCATAAAACATCTGAAATACTCAGGGGTAAGTTTGGCAAAAATGTACCTGATCTATGTGTTAAAAACTACAAAATGTTACTAAGAGAAATTAATATCTAAATAAATGCAGAAATATACCATATTCATGGAATGGAGCACTCAAGATTGCTAAGATGTCAAATCTTACAAAATTGATTAATAATTCAGCATAATATCAAACAAAATCCCAGCAGGTATTTTATTTGTAGGAATTAACAAACTGTTTCTAAAATGTATATGGAAATAAAAAGTACCTGGAATGGCCAAAAGAATTTTGCAAAGAATAATAAAGTTGGAAGACTATTCCTTGATTTTAGACCTTGAATAATATTTCTCCAAAGAAGAAATACAATTGACCAGCAAGAACATGACAAGATGCTCAATATCATCAGTCTTTAGAAAAATATAAATTGAAACCACAGAAAGATATCACTTCATACCCACTTAATAGCTATAATGAAGACAGATAATAACAAGTGTTAAGGGAAAAAACTTGTGAGCCTCATACATTACTGATGGGAGTGTAAAATGGTGCAGCTTCTTTGTAAAACAATTTGGCTGTTCTTCAGAAAAACTAAACACAGAGTTAATTGTGATACAGCAATTCTACTCCTAAGTATATACCCAAGAGAATTGAAAACATATATTCACACAAAACTTACACATAAATGTTCATAGCAACATGATTCATCAGAGCCAAAAAGTGGAAACGAACCAAGTGTTCATCAATTGATGAATGAATAAACCCATAACATGATATATCTGTATGGTAGAATATTATTTACCATAGAAAGGAATGATATAGATACACCCTACAACATTAATGAAACTTGAAAACATTATGCTAAACCAAAGAAACCAACCACAAAATGCCAAATAATTAGTGATCCATTTATATTAAATGTCCAGAATTGGGAAATCCATAGACAGAAAGTACATTAGAGGTTGCCAGAGGCTTAGGGGAGAAAGAATGAGCATGAATGCTAATTGGTGTTGGGTTTCTTTTCGGGGTGATAAAAATGTTATGGAATTACATATTGACGATTGTGCACAACATTGTGAATATACTAAAATCCATGGAATTGTACACTTTAAAAGGACAGATCTTATGGTATGTGAATTATAAATGAATTTTAAAATACATTAAATCTAATTATAAGTGCTAAGACTATATAAATCCTGGAAGAAAACATAGGAGAATATCTCAGCAAACTTGAATTTGGCAAAGAATTATGAAATTTAATTTTTAAAATACACTAACTATAAAAGAAACACATTACTAAGTTGGCTTTTATATATTTCTTGGTTATCCCAAGTGCATGAGGATGCTTCAATATCACATAATGTATCAACATAATACAGCATAACCACCACATAGTTATTTCAATAATTATTAAACAGACATTGAATAAGTTGCATTACCTATTTATGATTTGAAAATATCAAACTAAGGATAGAAAATAACATCTTTACCTTGATAAAGTTCATGTACAAAAACCTTGAGTGAATAATGTTAATCGAAAATTTTAAGCATATTTCCTTTAGGACAGGAAATAGATAGGATGCTAACATTACCCCTAGTATTTAATACGATCCAAGAGGGCTGGCCAATAATATAAGACATAAAAATGTAGTAAGAAGTATAAGAATTTGAAAAGAAGAGGTTAAACCTTCCATTTTTATTATGTGATTATCTACATAAGAAAAAGAAAATTTGGACACCAACTATTATTATATAAATATCTTTCTACACCAGCAAGGATCATCCAAATATGTGATAAACTGAAAATAATATTCAAAATAGCAAAAAAGTACAATCTTAGGAATTTAATATCAGAAAGAATAAATTAGATCTCTATGTTTGGGATTTAAAACTCTATTAAGGAAGACTGAACACAATGAGATACTCTATTCTTTTGTATGGAAAGCTTTAATATTATGAAAACTTCAATTTTCTCCAAATTGATTAATAAACTGAATATAATGTCAATCAAAATCCCAGACGGCATTTTATAAAAATGTGATCAATGTATTTTTAACTCGTAAGAAATATTAAGGGCCACATAAGCTTATAAAAGCTGTATTATGCCATTCTTGCATTGCTATAAAGAAATACCTGAGGTTGGGCAATTTATAAGAAAAGTTTAATTGACTCATGGTTGTACAGGCTGTTCTGGAAGCATAGTGGCATCTGCTTCCGGGGAGACCTCAGGAAGCTTCCAATCATGGCAGAAGGCAAAGGGGAGGTAGACACATCACATGGTGAAAGTAGGAGCAGGAGAGAGAGAATTGGAGGTGGGGGAGGTGCCACACATTTTTAAACGACCAGATCTCACAAGAACTTACTATGGTGAAGATAGAACCCAAGCCATGACAGATCTACCCCCATGACAAAAAAAACCTCCCACCAGGCCCCGCCTCCTGCACTGGGGATTACAGTTCAACATGAGATTTGGGCAGGGACAAATATCCTAACCATTTCAAATGTTAAAAATGGGATCAAAGAGGGGATACCTGTCTCTCCAGATTAGTTAGAGTATGCTATAGGCTATAATAATGAGAAATATACTTGTATTAAATATATAATGGAAGAAAATAGAGACAAAGAACAATTTATATGTAGACAATATAACAGATACACATATATTTACAGGCACATACAATTGGCACCAAAACTCAGTAGAGAAAGAATATTTAGCAGGTGGTGTTGAGAAACTAGCTCACAATATACACATCCCTATCCCATACCACATTTAAAAATAATGAATTCCAGATAAAATTAAAAGTAAATGAGAAACATACAAGGACAAAGAAAAAAGTTTAGAAATTGAGAGTTTCTTATACCACAATTAAAATCCTTTATGTATTGAAAAGCAGTATAGATAAAGCTTACAGGCAAGTCAAATATTGGGAGAGATATTTTTAGTTTATAAAATGGAAAAGTTAGTGATATCTAGGATATATAAGGAACTCTTAAAATTCAATAGGAAAAAAGAAAATCTAATGTCAAAATTGACAAGTTGATGAACGGTTGATTTATGAAAAGATAAATAGCTAACACACATGAGCTATTAAATACCATTAGTAATCAGAAAAAGGTAAAGTAAATCAAAGTAACAATTTATAACCACCAACCACCATTAATTTCAAGCCTAATAAGTTTCATAATTCCGTATGTTGGTGAAGATGTGGGAAAACAGCCACACTCATCATTTCTTAGGAAGAATGTAGATGGTGCAGTTATCACAGAGGACAATCTAGCAGTCCTTAGTCAAACTAAGAATGTGTAAACTCTTGACCTAGCAATCCTCCCTCATAGGTCTATATAAAGGCTTGTTCAAATCTATTCACCAAAGATTTGTTTTCATTAGCAGAGAATTGGAGGCACATTAGTAGTTCACCATTGGTAGAAGATACAGCTAAAATGGAGTGGATGCACACAATCAAATGTCATCAATCAGTTAGAAGCAATTAACAAGAACAGACCAACACAGACAAACACATAGACATAAGCTGAACGAGAACAATAATAAATGGAACACAGTATAAAATACAGTTCTAGGCACATAAACTAAAATACAGTGATGCACCACATAACAACTTCTCAGTCAACTATGGACCATATATATCATGGTGTTCCCTTGAGATTACAGTGGAATTGAAAAAATCCTATTGCCTAGTGATGTCACAGCCATCATAGCATTGTAGCACCACACATTACTCACATGTTTGCAGTGATGCTGGTGTAAACAAACCTACTGCACTGCCAGTCATATAAAAGAATAGCACATGTAATTATGTACAGTACATAATACTTGATAATGGTAATAAAATACTTCATTACTAGTTTGTATATTTACTATACTATACTTTTGATCACTATTTTGGAGTGTACTCCTTCTACTTACAAAGAAAAAGTTAACTGTAAAACAGCCTCAAGCAGGTTCTTCGGGAGGTGGGTTCCAGAAGCAGGCGTTGTTATCATAGGAGATGACAGCTCCATGCATGTTATTGCTCCTGAAGATCATCCAGTGAGACCAGATGTGGAGGTGGAAGACAGTGATATTGATGATCCTGACCCTGTGTAGGCCTCTTAGGCTAATGTGTGTGATTGTGTCTTTGTTTTTAACAAAAAAGTTTAAAAAGTAATAACAAAAATTAAAAATAGAAGAAAGTTTATAGAATATGAATATAAAGAAACTGTGTACTGTTGTACAATGTGTTTATGTTTTAAGCTAAGTGTTACTACAAAAGAGTCAAAAAGTTTAAAAAAACTGAAAAGGTTATAAAGTAAAAAAGTTACAGTAAGTGAAGGTTTATTTATTGCTAAGAAAATAAAAATATTTTTTATAAATTTAGTGTAGCCTAAATGTACAGTGTTTATAAAGTCTACAGTAGGTGTGTCCTAGGCCTTCATATTCATTCACTCACCACTCACTCACTGAGTCACCCAGAGCAGCTTCCAGTCCTGCAAGCTCCATTCATGGCAAGTGCCCTATATAGGTGTACCATTGTTTATCTTCTATACCTTTTTGGCCCCAGGGAACCATTTTGTGGAAGACCATTGAAATGGTTTGGCTGTGTCCCCACCCAAATATCATCCTGAATTGTAGCCTCCATAATTTCCATGTGTTGTGGGAGGGATCCAGTGGGAGAAAACTGAATCATGGGAATGGTTTCCCCCATACTGTTCTCACAGTAGTGAATAAATCTCATGAGATCTGATGGTTTTATATGAAGTTTCCCCTTTTGCTTGGTTTTCATTCTCACTTAAGAATCAGACATGCCTTGTAAGACATGCCTTTCCCCTTCCATCACGATTGTGAGGTCTCCCCAGCCACATGGAACTGTGAGTCCATTAAACCTCTTTTTTTTTTTAAAATAAATTACCCAGTCTTAGGTATGACTTTATCAGCAGCATGAAAACAGATGAATACAAACATTTTTCCATGGATTGAGTGGGAGGCCCATGGGGAGCATGGTTTCAGGATGATTCAAGCTCATTACATTTATTGTGGGCTTTATTTCTATTATTATTATTACATACTCACCATAATGTAGAATCAGTGTGACCCCTGAGCTTATTTTCCTGCAACTAGACGGTCCCATCTGGGGGTGATGTGAGACAGTGACAGATCATCAGGCCTTAGATTCTCATAAGGAGCATGCAACCTAGATCCCTTGCATGAGCAGTTCACAATAGAGTTCCTGCTCCTATGAAAAATTTAATGCCACTGCTGATGTGACAGGTGGCAGAGCTCAGCTTCCCTCCTTGCCTGCCACTCACCTCTTGTTGTGTGGCCAGGTCCCTCCTAACAACTCACAGACTGGTACTGGTCCATAGTCCAGGGGTTGCGGACCCATTTTATAGCGCATTTTTGCTGTACCTTTTCTATTTTTAGATGTGTTTAGATATACAAATAGTTACAATTACTTACAGTATTCAGTACTGTAATATGCTGTACAGGTATATAGCCTAGAAGCAATAGGCTATACCATTTAGCCTAGGTGTGTGGTAAGCTATACTTTCTTAGTTTGTGTAAGTACAAGCTATGATGTTCACACAATGACAAAATCACCTAATGACACATTTCTTAGGATGTATTCCAGTTGTTACTACAATGTGTGACTGTGTATATAGTCAAAGATAAATAGGAAATTCATTACAGAAATTGCCTAGGAGGAGATGAGAAAATGGAACTGGAACTAACATAAATGAAATTAAATGAAGCAAAAGAAGAAACTTTTGCAGAACAATGATGATAAGAAACCAAAAATATGATTAATACGATTAATTTAATACTCTAGTTCTGTATAGAGTACAACACAGGAAGCAGCCGACACCCAGACAAAAAGCAGTGAGCTCAATGGATTAGGGTATATTGAAAATATTTAAAGGGCAGGATAAAGCTAAGGCTCAGATGAGAGAGAGAACCGCACAGGACTGAGAGTGCCAGGGTTATGATAATTAACACATTTGGGCTACCAGAGGAGACAGAGACAGGTGAATTAGGGGAATAGCTCCTGATAGTGTTTTAAGTGAGTGAGACTTCATTCTAGCTTTTCTCCAATATAGTATTTCTCAAATTTTTCTTGCATCAGAATCACCTAGAAGGTTTGTTAATGCCTATATTGCTAGTTCTAACTTCCAGAATGTCTGAATCAGCCAGTCTTGTGTGAGGTCTGAGGATTTTCATTTCTGACAAATTCCCAGGTGATGTTACTACTGCTCTTCCCGTCCGCACTTTGAGAAACGCTGCTTCAACTGTTCAAAGCCAGGGAGCTTCAGACTCTCTGGTGCTCCCTGACAGCACATAGTATGGTGGAGGTTGAAAATAGTCATTTATAGAACTTTGGTTCTTTAAAAAGTGGTTAACATATAAAAATAGTCAATAAAACCTTTCTGAATGAATGAATGGCCCATTTTACAGATGAGAAAATGGAGTTTTCTGGAAAGTTAGGAGGCTTGCCCAAATTATGCAAATAGCTTCCAGTTTCCAAATCCAGTTACCTTCCCAGCGTATTATCCATGTGGAATCAAAGGTTAAAAATAATCCTTCTCAGCTTTGGCAAGAAAGACTTCAATAAATAATAAGAATTAAGGCCGAGTCTTGAAGAAAGAAAATAGAATAATGTGAACTAAGTAAAGTTTGGAGGTGAAACAGAATTTAAATGATAATCAAGTTGTCTACTAAGTTTTATTTTGACAGAGTCATTCTCAAAATGTGAACCATGAATATTTTATGAAACCCTGGGGTTTATGGGCTAAAAGAATATAAAACTAGAAAACAGCTTGACCTTATTGTGTAGCTTCTTAAATGCTGGACCAACGAGTTTGTGCCTCATTCTGTAGACAGTAGAGAGCCACTAAAATTTTTGTGCAATAAAATTACATGATTGGAGCTGGTCTTTAGGGTGATGGTTTAGGCAGTAACCTAACTGAAATTATTCCCTAATTGGGAGGAAATCAGGTTCTGGGCTTGCTATCTAGACATCCAACACAGAGATGGCAATGCTTCGCTCACTGGTTTAGGTATAGTAAATTGCCAACTCAGGGACACAAATCATATGTACTTTTACATTTAAAAAATTTTAAAAGCTTGTAATAGCCACTGCTACATTGTGGTAATAAATGTCATTTTATAAGCAAGTGATTTTATTATTCTATTTTCTGGTTGTCCATATGGAAGAAAATCTAGAGATTAGTGTCCAGAAGAGAGGGCATCTCTCATCTCATTGAGGAAAGAGTTATCATAAATTATAATGATTGTCTGAAAAGGAATCATAAAATGTAAGGAGTCCAAAAGGTAAAAACAGAATTACCTAGTAAATGTCTTTAGTTTATGGTGTTATATAATACATATATGATGATAAGGGAGCCAGAGATAACCTATGAGGTCATAACAGTTGATAGTAAGAAGATGGAAATCACTGTATAGGAAAGTACTTTAGTCTTCTATGTCTTGCAAGGGACTTAGAGATGTCTAAACTTGAGATAGATTTTATATGGGAATAGGCTTTTCTAATATGTTTCCAGAAGCTCAAATCTACCATCTGGTTGAAGCAGCTGTGAGGAAAACCTTTGTTGTGTTGTTTTGCAATTTGTTTCTGCTAGTGTCAGACAGAACCTCAATGCAAGAGGAAAGAGATGCATTACAAACAAAATAATATTATTTAAAATAATTGGAATTAGGGTATCAGAAGTGCCTCCAAAATACCTGGCATGCTGGTAAATTTCACTGGCACACATAAGGAGGATATTTCTAGAAATAGTGGACTACAGAAATGCCCCTTTTTAGAATTTTAATTAGATAACCACAATTAAAATGATGCTTCTAGTTTTAATTTTGGATCATGAACACAAGGTACATTTTCAACATCATAAAAACAGTTTAATAGTATATTAACATTAAAAAGTTCTATTGAAATACATCTTTAATAAGAAATCTGATTTAGAAATAATTTTAATGTTTTTAGTATGATAGTAATATATGTTTATGAGAGAGAACTAAAATGTAAAAATATTTTTGAAAACTATCCATAATCTCACCATCCAGAAATGACTTAATATTTGCCTATATTGCCTTCTAGTATTATGCATTGTATCAAATTGAACACATAATTGTTCCGCGAGGCCAGGAATTTTTGTCTTGTTGGGTTTTGCTTATTGTTGTATCTTCAGTGTCTAAATCACTATCTACTTCATTGTAGGTACTCAACAAATATTTGCTGAATTAGCTAATAGTAACATAACTACACAATAAAAATAAAGCATCTATGATATATGCAATTTAACATTACATAAGGATGACCTATATTATTTTTTCATATAATATTCTGTCATCTACGAATAAATATTTTTAATGAGTGCATTAAATTCATCTTACGAGTATATGATGATTTATTTAATCAATACATTACTCCTAGTCTAACTTCCTTGTATACATACTTCAGGAAAATTCCTCATTGTTTAATTGGGATATATTCTTAGAAGTGGAATGTTAGTCAGTGGGTATGAATAGTTTTATATATCTTGATATATATTTTACAGCAGTCCTAATGGTTATATCAATTTATATCAGTAGTCTAATATAATTTGTACTCTCTAATCCTGAGGGCTTTTAATTTTAAAAAATTATTAATTGAATAGACAAAATGTCTGTCTTATAAGTTAAAAATATTTACCTTGCTTGTAAATTTGAACATTTTTATTATTTGTGTTAGCTACTTGTGAGTAATTTCTTCATATTTGTTACTCATTTATGGGCAGTTGTTTTCCTTTTCTTTATTAATTTTGAGAACCCTTTCAATATTACCAATATTCACTCTTGGTTCTCATACATGATAGACATTGCGTTCCAGCTTTTAATTTGACTTTTAAAATTTATGATTTTAAAATAAACTATGTTTATATTTGATGTAACAATACATACAATATTTTCATTCCCTAGCAACATTTCCTTTGATTCTGTTTATTTCCTTGTTTTTATGCTTAATAAGATCTTTCCTTTGCTATAATTAGATCCATTTTCATCTAATATGTTTTTTGACTTTATTCTTTAACAATAATTAATCTGGGATTTATTTTTGTTTGTGGTAAGTGATGAATCCAAAATATGTTTTTTTTCCAAACACCTAATTATTTTAGAGAAATTTGTCAAATAATTCATTTATTATCTGCTGACTTAAAATGTTATTTTATTTCATATATATTATGACATATATTTATGGAATTTTTGATGGATTTCTATTCATTTCCACTGATCTGCATATTGTTTTATTCCTTTTTTCAACTTTTATTATAGATACCAGGGTACATGTACAGGATTGTTACATGGGTATATTGCACCCAGGTAGTGAGCATAGTACCCAACAGGTAGTTTTTCAACCCATGCCACCCTTCCTCCCCACTTTAGTAGTTTGCAGTGCCTGTTTTTCCCATGTTTTTGTCCATGTGTGCTCAGAATTTAACTCCCACTTATAAGTGAGAAGATGTGGTATTGATTTTTCTGTTCCTATGTTAATTCACTTAGGATAATGGCCTCCAGCTGCATCCATGTTTCTGCTGCAAATGACATGACTTCATTCTTTTTTATGGCTGTATAGTATTCCATGGTGTGTATGTACCACATTTTCTTCATCCAATCCACCACTGTTAAGCACCTAGATTGATTCCATGTCTTTGCTATTGTGAATAGCATGGCAATGAATGCACAACTGCAGGTGTCTTTTTGGTATAATGATCAATTTTCCTTTGGGTATATACACAGTACTGAGATTGCTGGGTTGAATGGTAGCTCTGTTTTAAGTTCTATGAGAAATCCCCAACTGCTTTCCACAGTGGCTGAATTAATGTACATCCCCACCAACAGTATATAAGTGTTCCCTTTTCTCTGTATCCTCACTGGCTTCTGTTTTCTTTTTGTTTGTTTGTTTGTTTTGACTTTTTAGTAATAGTCATTTGACTGGTATGAGATGTTATCTCATTATGGTTTTGGTTTACATTTCTCTGATGATTAGTGACAAGCGTTTTTTATGTTTACTTGCCGCTTATATGTCTTCTTTTGAGAAATGTCTCTTTATGTTCTTTGCCCATTTTTTGATGGGGTTACTTGCTTTTCCATGTTGTTTTGTTTAAGTTCTTTATAGATTGTTGTTATTAGACCTTTGTTGGATGCATAGGTTGTGAATATTTTCTCCCATTCTGTATCTTATCTGTTTACTCTGTTGATGGCTTCTTTTGATGGCAGAAGCTCTTTAATTTAAACTAAAGTAGGTCCTATTTGTCAATTTCTGTTTTTGTTGCAATTGTTATTACAGGCTTAGTCAAAAATTCATTGCCAAGGCCAATGTCAAAGAGTGATTTTCTTGGTTTTCTTCTAGTATTTTTATAGTTTGAGGTCTTATGTTTAAATTTTCAATCCATCTTGAGTTAATTTTTGTGTATCATGAAAAGCAAGGGTCTTGCTTCATTCTGCATATGGCTAGTCAGTTATCCCAGCACCACTTATTGAATAGAGAGTCCTTTTGTCATTGTTTGTTTCTTTTGGCCTTGTTGAAGATCAGATGGTTGTAGATGTGAGACTTTATTTCTGAGTTTTCTATTCTGGTCCATTGGTCTATGTGTCTGTTTTTGTATCAGTACCATGCTGTTTTGATTGCTTTTGCCTTACAACATAGTTTGAAGCCAGATAGTGTGATGCCTCTAGCTTTGTTCTTTTTGCTTAGGATTGCTTTGGCTATGTAGGCTGGACCAGATTGACTCACAGCCAAATTCTATCAGACATACAAAGAAGAACTGGTATCAATCCTGCTGAAGCTATTTCAAAAAATCGAGGAAGAGCTACTTCTCCTCCTATAAACCAGCATCAGCCTACTACCAAAATCTGGTGGAGACACAACAAATAAGAAACCTTCAGGTCAACGTCCATGATGAACATAGAGGCAAAAATTCTCAACAAAATACTAGCAAACCAAATCCAGCAGCATATCAAAAACTTAATTCACCCCACAATCAAGTAGATTTTATTCCTGGGATGCAAGTTTTGTTCAACACGTGCAAATTAATAAGTGTGATTCACCACAAAAACAGACATAAAAGCAAAAACCATATGATCACCTCAAGAGATGCAGAAACAGCTTTTGATAAATTCCAACATCCCTTCATGATACAAATTATCAACAGAGTAGGAATCAAAGGAACATACCTCAAAATAATAAGAGCCATCTGTGACAAACCCATAGCCAACATCACATTAAACAGGCAAAGGCCAAAAGCATTCCCTTTGAGAACTGGGAACAAGGCAAGGATGCTCACTCTTACCACTCCTATTCAACATAGTATGAGTCATCCTAGCCAGAGCAATCAAATAGTAGGCACTGAAATAGGAAAAGAAGAAGTCAAACTATCTCTCTTCACTGATGATTATTCTGTACTTAGGAAACCCTAAAGATTCTACCAAAAGGCTGCTAGAGCTGACAAACAATTTTAGCAAGATTTCAGAATACAAAATCTGTGTACAAAAATCAGCAGCATTTCTAGACACCAATAACAACCAGGCTGAGAGTCAAATCAAGAACACAATCCCATTTACAATAGCCACAAATAAAATGAAATGCCTAGGAATATAGCTAACCAAATAGGTGGAAGGTCTCTACAAGGAGAACTACAAAACGCTCCTGAAATAAATCAGAGATGACTCAAATAAACGGGAAAACATTCCATGCTCATGGATAGGAAGAATCAATATTGTTAAAATAACCACATTGTCCAAAGCAATTTACAGATTTGACGCTATTCCTATCAAGCTACCAACACCATTCTTCACAGAATTAGAAAAAAGCTAGTCTAACATTCAGGTGTTTTATCTTCATTCTATTTTCATTATAATTGCTTGTAGTATATAGTATATTTTAGTATTTGGTAGAGTAAATCTTGTTCCATTAGTCATCTTTTCTGAAAAATGTTTTTATATTCATCTGCTTAATGAGGAATGATGGAGCATTTTAAGTTTTGAAAATTAAGGATTTGGCCAGGCATGGTGGCTCATGCCAGCACTTTGGGATACCGAGATGGGAGAATTTCTTGAGCCCAGGAGTTCAAGGCGTTTGGACAACATAGGCAGACTCTGTGTCTACAAAAAATAAAACATAGTTAGCCAGGTGTGGTGGTGCATGCCTGTGGTCCCAACTACTCAGGAGGCTGAGGTGGGAGGATCACTTGGGCATGGGAGGTTGAGACTGATTGAGTTGTGATTGTGCCACTGCACTCCAGCCTGGGTGACAGAGTAAGACATCGTCTCATAAATAAATAAATAAATATTAAGAATTTAAGTTGTTATTTTTATAAAATACATAATGTTGAGAGATTTTATATTTTATACATTAGTGAGTCTTTTTTTTTTATCGGGAATGTGGTAGAACTGTCTAATAAAGTCTTGTTTCATGGCCTTTAGTAATTTTATATTATCTTCATATAACTAAAAGTTTCTTGCTGAGTTTAGTAATGAGAGGTGACAGCGTGCTGGCAGTCCTCACAGCCCTCGCTCGCTCTCGGCGCCTCCTCTGCCTGGGCTCCTACTTTGGTGGCACTTGAGGAGCCCTTCAGCCCTACGCTGCACTGTGGGAGCCCCTTTCTGGGCTGGCCAAGGCCGGAGCCGGCCCCCTCAGCTTGCGGGGAGGTGTGGAGGGAGAGGCGCCGGCGGGAACCGGGGCTGCGCGCGGTGCTTGTAGGCCAGCGCGAGTTCCGGGTGGGCGTGGGCTTGGCGGGCCTTGCACTCAGAACAGCCGGCCGGCAGGGGCTTAGCACCCGGGCCAGCGGCTGCTGAGGGTATACTGGGTCCCCCAGCAGTGCCGGCCCACCGGCGCTGCGCTCGATTTCTCGCCGGGCCTTAGCTGCCTTCCCGCGGGGCAGGGCTCGGTACCTGCAGCCCGCCATGCCTGAGCCTCCCCCGCCCCCGCCGTGGGCTCCTGTGCGGCCGGAGCCTCCTCGACGAGCGCCGCCCCCTGCTCCAGGGCGCCCAGTCCCATCGACCACCCAAGGGCTGAGGAGTGCAGACCCACGGCGCGGGACTGGCAGGCAGCTCCACCTGCAGCCCCGGTGCGGGATCCACTGGGTGACGACGCCAGCTGGTCTCCTGAGTCTGGTGGGGACGTGGAGAACCTTTGTGTCTAGCTCAGGGATTGTAAATGCACCAATCAGCGCCCTGTCAAAACAGACAACTCGGCTCTACCAATCAGCAGGATGTGGGTGGGGCCAGATAAGAGAATAAAAGCAGGTTGCAGTGGCAACCCGCTCTGGTCTTCTTCCACGCTGTGGAAATTTTGTTCTTTCTTTCTTTGCAGTAAATCTTATTGCTGCTCACTCTTTGGGTCCACACTGCCTTTTTGAGCTGTAACACTCACTGCGAAGGTCTGCAGCTTCACTCCTGAAGCCAGCGAGACCAGGAACCCACCGGGAGGAAGGAACAACTCCAGATGTGCCGCCTTAAGAGCTGTAACACTCACCGCGAAGGTCTGCAGCTTCACTCCTGAGCCAGCGAGACCACGAACCCACCAGAAGGAAGAAACTCCGAACACATCCAAAAATCAGAAGGAACAAACTCCAGACACCCCACCTTTAAGAACTGTAACACCACGAGGGTCCGCAGCTTCATTCTTGAAGTCAGTGAGACCAAGAACCCACCAATTCCGAACACAGTCCTATATGTCAGTTTTGTTTTCACTGTGCACTTTAATCAATATGAAATAATCTTTGATTCAATACATTTTAAAAATTATTCTTTATGACCTCCTTTTACTTTATATTTGTATAAGTCTTTCAATCTTTTCACTTTTAATCTTTATTTCACTAGATATTGGTGAATTGCTTATAAACACAATGCATATCATCTTAGTCAATGAGTTTAAGAATCTATTTTACCTTCATAAAGAAATATGGGTTATGTGTATTTATTATTATTGACATATTTATTTTGCTGTGTCATATATATTTTTATTTTTGTTTGCTACTTCTATAGTCATTAAATGCATTATTTTCTCTGTATCTTTTAAAAGTCTTATTTTAAGATTTATAAATTTTATGTCATTTGCAGGTTATCTTGTTTCTCAAGAAAACATTAACTAGAATTCTCCATTCAGCTGAACATAAACTGAATTCATAACTTTTTATTTCTCTTTATTTAAAATACATAATCAAACATAATTCTGCTGCCATCTGAGCTTAGAGTCATGCACTTCTCTTTGTTCATGTACACGAATATTAGAATAAGATTATCATTTATTAAAATGTACATATTACACTCATTGCTTTCAGAATGATTTTGACATAACATTTAATTTTAAAGCTATATGTGAAATAATCATTTAAAATGAGTATTTTTAATGTGTTTCTTATTGCATGTCCTTGAATTTTTTTATTTAACCTTAATTCTGGATTTTTAGGCCTTCAATTTCAAATATATGAAAGGCAGTTTATTTTCAATGTCGTTACATATCTAAGAATATATTTTCTTCATATGTGAAAGAGAAACTTTATGTCCTCTTATACTACAGAAGTATCTACTCAGATGTCTTCATTACCCTTGGTTAGTACTATGAAGGGAAAGTCACATGCCCTGTGATATATTCACAGGGCTTGAGGAGATTTTCATAATCTTCATATTTCAAATATTTCTTCTTCTTCTAGTTATTTAGCATAGAAAGTGGGAAACCTATACATTTGCTAACATGAGTATTTTTTAGTTCAGAATATTTTCTCAAGTTATGTCATTGATTTTGACCAACACTTCTTACTCCTTCTTCAAATGCTTCTCTTAAACTTACATTTTTATTTTATTATCTGTTGTCCAAATCTCTCTTGGATTTTATTATATGTAATAATAAAATTAAATTAAAATTAAACCATAAATAAAAACATAATAAAAGATAATAAATACAAAAATAAAGGCATAAGTGTAAAAGATGTGTTTGAAGCTCCTAAGCTGTAGGGTAATTTGCAAGTCTGCACACTAAATGACTAATTAAATTTTCTGCTTTGTCAGTTTTGTATTTTACTACCTCGAGAAGCTGCATATTTGTTTCTTAGAGGTATTTCTTATTTGTATCTGTTTATAGTCTATTCTATTGACTTATTTTAGATTTTTTCTCTTAATGGTTTAAAAGCATTATAGTAGCCTTATCTTTAAATTTTATTGAATGTTCCAATTTGTCTTCTGAAATATCTTTTCTGATTTCCAAAGTAGATCCATTTTTAGAGATTTCTTTTGAGGGTTTCTTACTCCATTGTTTATAAACACCATTTTCTAAAGCTAATTTTTTTTTTTTACTGTGATCTTATTCAAATTAGGTGAGATATCTTCAGACTTAATATTCACTAATGAATATGAATCTGGACTACTACTTGAAGTTGGTAGATGATCAATTTTCTCCTATGATTTTTCTTAGCTAGATTCAAGTTGACTTGCACAGAACCTATATAATTCTCTGCTTTTGGTAGGCATTAACATACTGTTTAATAACCAGTGGAGCATATAAAATGCTACACTACTAAGCTGGCAGTGCTTCAGCCTCCATTTTATCTCTGTTTGACCTAATGCACTTTACTTGTAAGAACTATACCTCTTAAGCGGCAAAGAAAGCTTATTTTCAACTTACTGCCTTTTTGGCTTTTGTAATTTGCTAAACCTGAGTGGATGTGAATAGCTAGGCTTGAATAATATGGACAGGAACAGTCTTCAGGCTTCCCTCAAAAGCAGCACCTTATGAGCAGAGTTGATTTGGCATAGGCTGTGGGTCTCTCTCAGATAATGTGAAATACAGCATACTTTCTTAGTTTTTTTATAGGCAGGATCCATTGAAAAGCAAAGCTTGGGTAAGATATTTTTCCAAATCAAACTCGTCTGCCTTCCACTGGTGGGATTCTGGCATATATTGTCTTTCTTCTACATCAGTGTTGGTTTGTGAGTTTTTATTTTTTTTAATGGTCTCTGTAGGTTTTCTTAAATTGGAATTTGTGAGGATCTGCATTTAGAGCTAGGGCTGAGGTCAATTTTTATATGTCCATGTTTTCAGGTTTTTAGAAAAATGTAGTGCTTATGAATTATGCACTTAAGCTATGTAAAATTACATGACTAATAAAAAAATTACATGACTGTATTGTTGACAATTTCTAAATCTATTTACAACTATCAACTAATGGTTTGGTAATAGGCAATAGCCAAAATGATAATAATTTATACCTTAAAAGATTTTCAATTTATTAATCAAAATTTATATTTCGTAACTTGGTATCAATGTCATCAGAAGTACTATAATAATATCCAAAATGGCATCAACGATTCTCTCCCAAACTAAAGCACTCAAGAGATGCCTAGAAGATCAAATACCATTCCAATGCTTCCCTATGCTCTACCTCCTGCCAAACCATGCTTGACATTCCAAATTTACAAGTAGTCGGTTTTAAATTCTGCTAGGGATTTATTCATCTTAATGCTCTGGTTTCTGGTAAATCACTTGGGTTAGAGCACTTAAAACTCTCATCATATATTTATATCTCCCTCTGAAGAGGATGTAGGCTTGAGACATAGAAGAGAGGGAAAGATTGAGGAGTGAAGCTGCATTCCCAGGGTAAAGAGATGCTTCTACTATTTGAGGAAAAAATCAGAGAACACAGAAGACAAAGGATAAACACAAAAAGCAGTCTTTGCTCACATTACAGTTTTGCTTCAAGCTAACATTAACCAGACTCCATGTTCGTCTACAAATAATTTCTTATCCACTACAAATCAGAATGTGATTCCATAGATAATGTCCTATGTGGGGGTGGAGTATTTGATCAAATAATATTCAGGAGGTAGACTTCATTGGCCATGCCCAAATTGTTGAGGTTTTGAGATGTTCTACTTGCCACAGCTTTTAACATGGCTTAAGCATTCTTAACTTTTTAAAATTTCTCTTAACCTGAATCTGCATGTGAAGAACATTTTTTTTTTTTTTTTTTTTTTTTAAGCCACTGGGTGCGGTAGCTCACGCCTGTAATCCCAGCACTTTGGGAGGCCGAGGCGGGCGGATCACGAGGTCGGGAGATTGAGACCATCCTGGCTAACACGGCGAATCCCTGTCTTTACTAAAAATACAAAAAATTAGCCGGGCGTGGTGGCGGGCGCCTGTAGTCCCAGCTACTAGGGAGGCTGACGCAGGAGAATGGCGTGAACCCGGGAGGCGGAGTTTGCAGTTAGCCGAGATCGCACCACTGCACTCCAGCCTGGCTGACAGAGCAAGACTCCATCTCAAACAAACAAAAAATAATAAAATAAAAAGCTCATTAAAAACAAAGCTCTATAGGGACAGGGAAATTATATTTTTGCCAACTGTATTCCTGGCATTTAGGAGAGGTTTGAAACATAATAGTTCCTCAGCAAATATTTGTTGATTAGATAAGTGGATAAATAAGAGATGAAGGAAGTCAGCAATCATCAAAGGGAAGTATCAAGATTGTTAAATATTAGGAAATGTCTTTTGTAATGAATAGAGCACTGGAAGAGACATCAGAACTGGATTCTTATTTGTGGCATGGGGCCATGGGGCTAAACTGCTGTGTAATATTTGATCAATAATTATCCCAAACTATTGAGTTTCTCCCAGCCTAAGGTTTCCTTTGTGTAATATAAGTGCTGAGAGAGTGTTTAATGAATATAATTAGTATAAACTTCTCCACAAACCCAAGTAAGCAAATATAGCCATAGCCATAGGTATTTTTTTTTCCAATAAATTGCTCTAATATCACATGTAGCATGTTAGCCAGAATATCTGTTTCTCTCTTCCCCTGAATCTTCTGTTGACCTTAGGGCTTATGCAATACAAAGAGAGAGACAGAACATGGAGTCTCACCTGTGTGCTCCTGCTATTGCTTTGTGCTGCCACGTGGTATCTGTCACATTTGACAGATGGCACTAGGCCACCCACCAATGATGTTCCTTTGGTCCACATATCTGGCCCTCCTGCCATGGCTCTAAAGCAGGGAGAATAATTGTAATTATCTGAGTCAGCTTGGGTAGCTCTTAGGTTGCAACAATTAGTGTTCAACTCTTTGAATCCTAAACCCGACTGGCTCCCAGAGTGCTTAGCTAGCATGGGGACATGATTTGTTCCAGTATTTGATGTCTTTCTGAAGCAGAATTATCACCCTCTTCCCTTTGCAGTGTTCACACCTACAGAGAGTGGGCTGATTTTCTTTAAACCCACAGAGCATAGGTTGTCTGGTCATCATATCTATTTAATATAAGACACACCTGATTTGACATATTTCAATTTAAATTTTAATATTTTTAAGGACTGCGCTCCTGCTGTCATCCAGGCTGGCTCTTTTTACACACTCTTTCACCACCCCAGGGGAATGTCAGAAAGCCAAGAAGCCCTTTCCTAAAAGCCCCATGGCTTCATCAAGGCTTGATAGTCTCTTTTATCTGAGAAGGAGAGGGGCGGAATAGTAACTGAAATCAACTCTGACCAGCTGTCTGGGAGCAGCTTGAAGCATACTGGTACAGAGGGGGTAATTGTATTTTATACTCTGGCAGATATGATAACAAACCCTTTCCCCTGGCAGTGGGACACTTTGCCAACCTTCTAAGAAAAATATCTCTAGGTGATTCCAGAGATTCCAAAACCCAACTTTTGGAAGGAAGGCAGCCTCTTTCCAAAGGTGATTTCCCATTTGAGGAATTAGAACAATAACACACAATTGTTATTCATCTCTGAGCAATGAAAATAAAGAAAAACAAAACATTGTCCATGGAATTGGCAAGCTGTAACATGTCTAAATTTAATTTGGAGTCTCATTGTCAAAGCCAATTTCAGGGAAAATTATGAAACAGATAGATCCCTACCCTAAACACTTTGCCCTAGCTCAGCATCTCCCTTTTCTATTCTATCATTCTGTTCCCTAAAATTCCAACGCTCAGGCACCCAGGACTTCGCACATGTATGTTTCTCTCTTTCTGTCAGTATGCTACCAACTAATTCCTGCTAAGACTTGAGGTAATAACTATGGTATTGCTCACTGTTAGATATTAAGAAAAAAGATAGTATAAAGAGAATTTGCATTGCTGAGTCTTTTGATAGCTGACAGGTTTAATATGTTTGAGGGGAACATTGGCCTAATATTTCAAGTTGACCTGGGTGCACTTCTACTGAAAAGGCTTTTGAAAAATGTCAGGACTCCAGCTCAGCCTCCCAGGCTTGTGGCTAGGGACTCTCTGAACATCTGGACATAGCCTGTTTGGCTTCACTGAAAACCTTTTCTGATCCTCATTCTTCCTACATTATATGAAACGTTATACTGAAAACCCACTCATAAGGCCTCGTGTGTGTGTGTGTGTGTGTGTGTGTGTGTATGGTGTATGTGTGTGTGTGTATAGTGTATGTGTATGGGAAGTTTGACACTCTAGTAGCCACCTTCACTTCCTACCTTTATTGATAGACTTGCTCTGTGTGTTTCTACTGAGGTATTGAGGTATTGCTATATTACAGCCATTGAGGTAGTGAATAAAATGAAGAATTGGGAGCCTCTTCAGAAAGGTTATTTCACTATAAAGCAAAATATTATTATCTACATTTTCCTGTTTTTCTTTGCCAATGCACTTGCCTTTTGCTGCTTTGCCTACTAGCCATTCTAAAATTAAAAACATAAGCATATTTAATTGCAACCCACTCACACAGTCAACACCATGTCAATAGCTAGACCATCGTGACAAGATCCTCACGGGTGGGTAGTAAGCCTCTTTCCATAGCCAGATTCTGGTAGTTATTGCCAGAATACAATCCTACACATGGTATTAAATGCAAGTGCTTTGATCAACTCATCAAATGTAGCGTGAAGGGAGGGGAAAAGAGGTTTTAATACAATATTGCATTTGAAGGGACATTCCCAGCATTAACTGATACAACAAAATTTGTAAAGGGTGAAAGTCATGGATCTAATTTTAAATAGGATCACCCACATAAGTTCAAGTTCTACATGCTTTAGTTGCCAGTTTTGAAATTGCTTACTTTGTGGTCAGGTTAGAGGTAAGAGGGCACAAAGAGGAAACAATACCTACCCAAACTGCAACCTAGTTGGACAATGTTTCATTCTTATTTCCACTTAAACTTAGAGGATATTTTGGTAGGCTATATTTAAAATCTGTATCTCTAGCACACACCCTAAGTCCCGACTCGTTTTTATTAATAATGCAGAACTGTTTTCTTTTTTAGGAGGGGTGAAATAATTGCATAGACTTTCTTCAATTATATTGTACCATATGTTGTAAGATAAGTTATATGAGCATATGTGTTTCATTATGAATATGAGCATATCAAGAAGAGAACACAAGATATTTGGACACTTATGCTGTATGCCATCTCTTCTCCAACCCCATCAAAACCCCTGAAGTCTCAGAAAATTTGGATGATAATCACCTGTGAATCTTCTCACATAAAATTTCCAGTAGTTCCTGAAGTTAATACAACCAAAAATGCCAATAGAACAGACTTTGCTATATTACAGAACATCTGGTTCTGATCCTGGCAAGAGAAAATGAAAAGTAATGGAAACCAATATTTTGCCAGGATATGTTTTTTTCAAGGCTCTTTTTTAGAAATGGGCAGAGATTCAATGGGCATCAATTCCCGGAATCGTTTGTTCCCTCCCCATTTTCGGTTCTATAGCTCTTTCAATTATGCACACACCCAGATTTATATGCAGCCATATCTTCTTTTATTTGTAGAGCAAATCTTTACTTCACTCGAAATTTCTGATCTATAAGGTGGTACACTTGCAACAGAGTCAACATGATAAATCTTTCAAGTAAGAGGATTATAGCTATTAATTAGAATGTGTTTTTGCATTTACTATTTTAAAAACAAGCGGTGGGTGTTCATGAGATGTCAGGGACACGGGCCTCTTATTATATTCATATTTCTCAAAGCTTATAAATCCTCAAGAGATCTCATGTTTCATAGAAACAACACAGTTCTAAAGACAAAATATGTTATTATGTTTGCCGTTGAAAAAAGGAATTTTTTAATTCAACATTTAAAAATAGCAAAATAATATGTGTGTGTATGTGAGTGTGTATATGTCTCCACATGTAACAAATATATTTAATTTTACATAGAAGAAAAGATCACTTTCTCTTAGATACATTAATGAAAAGGAATACATTTGTTTATGGATTTAATATTACAGGAATATTTATCAATAAGTCACATTCCTAGAGAAGTCTGAAGAGGGTGTAGCCAGGTATAACAAGATGTCTGGGGATGCTTTACATTTCATTTTATATGAAATTAAAGCCAAAGAATGGTCAGATGTTTGTGACTTTGCTAGGAAAAGAGAATATTTTCATTTTCCCATCTCTGTATACCCCTCCTTCCCTGTAATCAAAGTAGATTTTTTTTTGTGAAAAATGAAATTTTAGCTACTTTGAACAGAGAAAGATGGCTTTGTGGAAACAAAGGGACAATATGAAAGAAATCACACAGGACACGTGGAAGAAATAGGAATGAGGAAAAGCCAGGAATTCAGAAAATTGGAGCTACATCCTTCTAAAGCAATCTGTGGCATTCCAAAAGTTTTGTTTTTAAACTGATATCATGTTCCTATCATATTTATATCATTTTACTGTTTCATGATTCATGTTACTAAAGATTTCCGGTATAGAGATTTAATCCTAATTAACTCAAAAAACATTTCTCTTAAGTATTTTTATTCAACTTCCTAATTTTAGAAGATCAGATCTGCTGGAATCAGGGTAAAATATTGGGAAATAAAAGATTTAGGGTCTTCCCAAGCTTTTCTAGAAGACTAGTCTAATTCTGTGAAATGTGCCCTCCTCTCTGCCCCCAGCAGCCTATGAGTCAAATGGAGCTCCCGTCCACAATGTGCCTTTCTCCTCAAAGCTTGTGTTTGTTCAAGGACTCACACAATTCTCCTTTTCTCATATCAGCAAATTTCCTAGGAATGGAGAAAAATTTGCACTAAATCCTTCAAAACATTAAGTCCTGTGTAACCAAAATGAAACCTACACAAAATATTTTTCAAAGTTTTCAGCAGTCCCTGTTTTCCTTCCATATGCTCAGTGTTTGTTTTTTATACTAAACAAATAAAAAGGGGAAACTTGTGTTAAGAGAAGTATGCTAGAGTTACTTTAGTGAAGTACTGCATATCTATCAAAGCCATTCTCAGTTTTGGTGCAGAAATAGATGCAAAATTTAATTAATATGTATATTCAATATCATGGCACGAAAAACGTATGCATCACAAAGGCTTAGGCAGGCCACGATCTGTCAGGTAAATACATGTTTTGATGCGTGTCCAATCCCCAAATAAAATTTTGAAACCATGTGGGAAGGTCTCAAGTAAATGTTCTTGATATTTAAAATATGCTCTGCCTTACCATATGTTTGAAGAATTATGAATATTGGCCAGTTTCTCTTTGCGAACAGTTGCAGTGCTAGGACTGACTTTTAGAAATTCCTCACTACAGGATAGTGTCTCAAGGATCATTTGAATTCTGTGTGTATGAACTATACGAAATTTTAAGTTTGGAAGGATTTGTGGCAGGGCAGTTGTGTTGGTTTAAATGCAAGGACTTGGAGGCAAAATTGGTTGCAAAGAAGCAAGGTGTATTCTTCGGAAATGGCAACATAATAGGCGCTCTGCAGCAACGCAGTGCCTCTGTTTTTTGTGAGCAACTTCAACAATTCCCCGGACCACCAGAAAAGGGGTGAAGGCAAAGTGCTGTGAGACACATGCAGTGAGGAGACGAGCACACCAAAGGGGTAGCTGAAGACCACCCACTCTATGTCTTAAAGACAGCGATGAACAGTAGAACAGGACCCTTACAACCACATGAACTGGCTTTCCGTTCCAATTCAGACTTTCTCTTTTGTAGTTTTGGGTAAGCTGCTTAACTTCTCAGACCTTTAGATTCCTCATCTGTAAAATGGGACTAATCATCAAATCAATCTATACAGAGTTATATTAAGGATAAATGAGCTAACAAGTGAATGTATCAAGCACATATTATTCTTTCAATGAGGAATTCTCTTTATTGAAGAGAATAAAATCATGTAAGGAGGGTATTCTCTCTCAGCATACCCTCCTTGTATGATTTTATCCAAGCTTGAGATTTAAACTAAAATATATAACGATAACTCCCAAATCTCTAATTCCAACCTTGCCTTCTCTCCAGAGTTTCAGACTCACACAGCCAGGCACCCTTTTATCTCTCAACTGTGCTAACACAACAGTTCCCTAAATGGTCTCCCTGCCATATCGCCTCAAATGCATCCTCCACACATTAGGCAAAGTGATCTATCTGAAATGCAAACCTAAATGGTTTCTTCCTTTAAAAATAATTCAGTCATGCCCCGTCACTTACAAAAAGAACCTGCAATCTACAGCCCAAAGGCCACAGAAAAGAGTGTCCAACAAGATTATATGTGGTTCATAATGCCTAAAATATTTACTATCTGAACCTTTACAGAAAAAAAATTTGCCAACATGGCACACTTTAAGTCTTGATGCCCACACAGCTCTCCTAATCTTTCTCATTCTCTTCCTTACTTTCAGCCAGACTGAACCACTGATATGTTGTTTAGTCAAATAGAATCTATAATTCCAGGCCTCTATGCCATGGTACATTCTGTGGTCTCTGTCACAAATGCCTTTTCTCTTACCTTCGCCTGACTAACACCTACTCATTCTGCAATTTTTACATTAACTCTCATCTCCTCCAGGAAGCCTTTGAGTATCTGCCTCACCCATACTCACCAAGCAGAGTTAACTGTCTTTTCTGCTGCATTCCCATAATTTCTTATGAATATTACTATTTTAGTCCCTTTAGGCTGCTGTAACAAATGCACCATTGACTGGGTAGTATATAAGCAACAGAAATTTATTGCTCACAGTTCTGGAGGCTAGGAAGTCCAAGATCAAGGTGCTAGCAGATTTGATGTCTACTGAGGGCCTGATCCTCATAGATGGTAACTTCTAGCTGTGTCCTCACATGCCAGAAGGAGCAAACAGGCTTCCCTGAGCCTCTTTTATAAGGTCACTAATCCAATTCATGAGGGCCCCACCCTCATGATCTAATCAATTCTCAAAGGCACCACTACCTAATACCATCACTTTGGGGGGTGGAGGGACACAGACAGAGGGAGTGATTAGCTCATAGTGGTGAAGCCCTCATGAATGAGATCAGACCATAGCAATATCTAACATTATAGTAATTCATATTATAGGATTTTTCTCACTGTGGGTCCTACTTTCTAGCTTCTTTGTATGCCTGATGATACCTGATTGGATGCTGGACATTGTGAATTTAATCTTGTTGGGTATGGGTATTTCTGTATTCTTATAAATAGTTTGAGCTTTGTTCTGAGGCACCCCTAAGTTACTTAGAAAGAGTTTGATCTATTTGGGTCTTGGTTATAAGTTTTGTTATCCTGGATTAGAGCAGCCTTTTGGACTAATTTTGAGCCACTACTGAGTAGTCTACCTAATGTTCTGTGAATGATGAAGTTCTTCACTCTGGCTGGTGGGAAAACAAATCATTCTCAATCCTGTGTGAACTCCAAATATTATTTCTTCTAATACTTTCAAGTGGTTCTTTTCTTGACCTTGAATGGTTCCCTCAGATACATATGCTAATCAGTACTGGGTTGAAGACTGGAAGAGAACTCTCTTAAATCTCCAGGGCCCTTTCTCTGTGCAGTAATTTTCTTTCTTATAGTCTACCATGAGAACTCCAGCTGTTTGGTCTCCCTGAACCCTCAGCACTAACCTAAACTCAAGGGATCCACTGGGCTCTGACTGGGTTCCTCCTCCCTGCACCATGGCCTGGAAACTTCCTCCAGGCAGTAAGCTGGGGCTGTCACATATGGCTCGTCTTACATATTCCTTATGTCTCAGAGATCTTCTCACGTCTCAGAGACTTTTGTTGTCTGATGTTAGATGTCTTTTTAAAAAGTGTCTTTTATATATTTCGACCTTTTTGGAAAGTTGTTTCAGCAGAAGGGTAAATTCCTGTTACTTCGCCTTGATCAGAGATGAAAGTGTCTTATAATTATTGAATTTTGATTATACTATGGTCTGAATGTGTGTATCTTCTCAAAATACATATGTTGAAATTGTAACCTCCAAGGTGATGGTATTAGAAGGAGGGACCTTTGGGGAGTGATTAGCTCATAGTGGTGAAGCCCTCATGAATGAGATCAGTGCCCTATAAAAGAAAGCTCCTTATTCCCTTCTGCCATGTTAGAACATAGCAACAAAAAAGCCATCTGTGAACAAGAAAGGAGGCCCTCACCAATGAATTTTGCCAGCACCTTGATCTTATACTTCCCAGCCTCCATAGCTGTGAGAAATAAATTTACTGTAAGCCACCCAGCCTATGGTATTTTGTTATAGCAGCCCAAGCCGACTAAGGCAAACTGTGTTACTAAACCCTGTTATCTTTAATAGCAGGGCTTTGCATGCGTAGTGCCTGGCACTGTATTGTGTTTCACACACAGTAGTTTCTCAACAACTTTTTTAAACAAATGACTGTAATGACAGAAAAGTGAAGAAGAGAGAGTCAGAAAATTAAATGGATTCTACATCTTGTATAGGGGTCTCCAGAACACTGTTATTGCCAGTACTCTCTTCAAACACAAGGTTGAATGCTTTCTAATACTAACTTTAAAGTAAGGCTGCCTACAAAGCCACATAACAAATGGAAATCAATACATAGCACATGTATTATTTATCACTATTAATCAGAGCCCACAAAAATATGCTATAATAATGTGAAAATCAAACAACATAGTTTGAGTTAGTCTGATAATAAGAAGTACTGAAGCTCCCTGAATTACAGAGATTCTTTCATTGATAACGATTTGACCTCTTCTGGCTATACTGCTATGTTGTGGGAAGAGAATTAAATGATGTTTAACTAAAGAAATATTTCAGTAATTGCTTTCATTAAATATCTCATGTAGATTGTTATACAAGAAATTACTACCTGACAACCTGACAAACCTGCACTCTTTAGTGGAAGAAAATGATATCAGATTAACCAATATTAGCATTAAATCCCTAATTTTACAAAAAGCTGTCACTAGCAGAGATGGCTTAAAATACTTTTATGGGTTGAATCGTGTTCTCTCAAAATTCATACCTTCGAGTACTAACCCTGGAATGTGAGTACCTCAGAATGTGACTTTATTTGGAAATGCGGTTGTTGCAGATGGAATTAGTTATACGAAGTCTTACTGAAATAGGCTGGACCCTAATCCAGTATGACTGACCTTCTTATAAAAAAGGGAAATTTAGACACAGACATGCACACAGAGAGAACGCCATGTGAAGATGAAAGCAGAGATCAGAGTGATGCTTTTATAAACCAAGAAACACTAAAGATTGTCTGCAAACCAGTATAAGATAAGCAAGAAGTATGGAACAAATTTCTCCCTCACAGTATTCAAAAGAAACTAACCTTGCTGCCATCTTGATCTCAGACTTCTAGCCTCTAGAACTGTATGAGATAATAAATTTCTTTTGTTAAGCCACTCAGTTTGCGTTACTTTATTGTCATCTTTGCAAATTAATGCAAATACTAAGTTATTCAAGTTCAAATATACATTAAAGATTATCTAGTTCAAGGGCAGGAAGTTGGAAATTAGCATCTCTTGAGCTTCCACCCTGGTAATAGTATCTAAGTATTACATTTCCGTGATGTAAGTCTTCTCATCCTTGCTCTAAATTGAGACTCAGATTAAATATCTTGTTCAAATCAGAATTCAAACCCTTGTTTGTTCTATCCAAAGTCCGTATTTCTCCAATAATACTACAGTGCCCTTCAAATGTCAGACATGGAAAAGGAAGGAAATGGAAGTGTAGAAGTCAGCTGATGAACAACCTTAATTCTATCCACAACCTTAATTTCCCTTGGCCATGTAAGGTTATATATTTGAAGGCTCCAGGGATTATGACATGGGCATGTTTGTTTGAGGGGCGGGGCACTATTCTGCCTCCCACAGGTCTAAGGCAGGTTATATGGGGCTTATAACAAGCCCATGTCGAATTACAGCAGAATTCTTTAAGGTTTTGGAACAAAGCCTTCATCTTTATTCTCCTTTTGGGAAACAGCTAATAGTTTGGCTTGCTACTGGACTCTCATGGAGACTGAATCCATAACTATGGAATATCAGGTGAAAACGTTTTGGAAGACAATTCTCCACGGGTCTCTCATGTTTCTGCACATCTCATTTTCAGGTCTATGTTTTGAACTCTCTCTAAGGATGTTTTCAGGGGAAACAGTCTTGGAAGATAGAGATTATGTGGCCCTCTGATGCAAAGTTTGTGCAAGTTTGCTAGCGGCCCCTTTTAAAGATTGGGGTTTCAGCTGGGTGTGGTAGCTCACACCTGTAATCCCAGCACTTTTTGGGGCACAGGTGGGAAGATTGCTTGAGGCCAGGAGTTCAAGACCAGCCTGACCAACATAGCAAGACTCTGCCTCTATAAGAAGTAAATTAGCTGGCAGGTGGTGTGCACTTGTAGTCCTAGCTGCTTGGGAGGCTGAGGCAGGGGTATCTCTTGAGCCCAGAAGTTGGAGATTACAGTGAACTATGATAAATCATGCCACTGTACTCCAGCTTGGGTGACAGAGCAAGACCCTGTCTCTGGAAAAAAAAAAAAAATTTGTGTTTCCTAAGTGCAGGCTTCCTCGGCTATTATACAAACCCATTGTGTGTGATCCATCTGGGCCCTCTGGGACTTTGAAGGAAAAGGGAACCAATACAGATATGCAGTTTTGTCTACCTACTCTGCCCTGAGTAATAGAGTTCTTTGTCTCTAACACAGGAATTTTGTGTCTTCTGGCAACATCTATGAAAATGATGGCAGGCTACTTTGTTAGCTTGTCAGAAGGGTAAAATCTCAGACCCTTGAAAGTTCTTGAAAGTTTTGGTGACAAGGATGGGATGCTGACAGAGACCTGGCTTTCCACAAGAGAAAACGACAAGGGGCTTTTGTGAGCAGGGTTAGGGAGTATGGGATGTCTTCCCAGCATCCAATAGTGAATGCTTTCACTCAAGCGGTGAGTTAGATGGGACACAGAGGATCTGCTGCTCTGCCTTACTATTCAGCAAGACTGAGGGCCAGGATGTAGGATAGTAACAAGCTGCCTGAATGGTACGTTTGCTGTTCATTCTCCTCCAGGTATCAAGAGAAAGAGTAAGGGGTTTCTAAAGCTTAAAGCTCAAAGTTTTAGGTGGAACAGAAGCATTAGCATTTCACTGGGTTGAGCCATGATACAGTCACTCAAAACCAGAGTGCCTTGCTTGCTTACTCTTTTGGAGGATCTCTCTTTCTCTGTCTCTCTCTCTCTCTCTCTCTCTCTCTCTCTCGCTCTCTCTCTTTCTGTGATCCCATTCCTTCACTCTCACGTGACCCCAACTATAGCTACTTCCTGAATGTGCTGGGGAACATCCTACACAGACCCAGGGGAGAAAGTGTACCTGTGATATTGTTTGGATTTGCGTCCCTGCCCAAATCTCATGTTGAATTGTAATCCCCAATGTTGGAGGAGGGACCTGGTGGGAGGTGATTGGATTATGTGGCCGGTGTCCCCCATGCTTTTCTCATGATAGTGAGTGAGTTTTCATGAGATCTGTTTGTTTAAAAAAAGTGTGTAGCTCCTCCCTCTTCATTCTTTTCCTCCTGCTCCAGCCATGTAAGACACACTTGCCTCCTCTCCAGCTTCCGCCATGATTGAAAGTTTCCTGAGGCCTCCCCAGCCATGCTTCCTGTACAGCCTGTGGAACTGTGAGTTAATTAAACCTCTTTTCTTTATAAATTACCCAGTCTCTGGTAGTTCTTTATAGCAGTGTGAGAACAGAGTAATGGAGCCTGGACCCTACTGATGCGGTTTGAGCAGGGATCCTGATGAGGGAGAGAAGCTAACAAGACCTGCTGAGTGGGCCCTTCAGCCACTTCAAAGTATTGGTTTTGTTTTTGTTTCCACTAATTGATGTGTTCCTTGCTGTACTTCCTTGTCACATTAGTGCCAAGGCAGATTATCCCAGTCTGGGAAAAGCTGCAGATAGAGAACTGGTAGTGGGGACAAATTCCATTGCCATTTGTCACCGGAAGGCTTCAGGATTGAATATGAATATTATCTCTTCCTTCGGATATCCAAAATGTTCACTATAGAGATGGAGACCTTTTGTCAAATCAGAAGTCCCAGTCTCAGTAACCCTGACTAAGATGTGCACCACACCTCTACCAAAAGTGATGGCTGATAAACTCTGAGAAAACTTGGCATTGCCAAGTAAAGCCTTTTGGAGCTATGAGGATGGATTCATAAAGCTCAATTCAATCATTGGTCAAGGAACAACTGTTGTTTCTTTGGTGTCTCACCACCAAAAAGGAGGTGCAGCACCTTGTTGGACCAACTAGGTACTGGAGAGGGTACAAGTCTCTGGAACTGATGATTTTACCAAATACAGCCTTTAGCAAAGGGAGGAAGACTCCCCCTGGAGGCAGCTCTTGTCGCTTTAAATTTGTGGCTTTAGATTCCAGATAAGTCTACAAGGTGCACACATTGTGAAAAGCAGCTACTAGCTTGCTACTGAGCTTGTGTTAAAACTTTATTCCTGGCCACGAAAGCCTTGCGATTCTCTGGCTTGACGTTCCATTTGGAGTGGGTTAATTTGGAGTCAATAACTAATGAGGTAGACAGGGCTGAGAAGAACTTGTCAAATGGGAATGGTATATTTAAGAATGTACCCTGCCTGGCTGTAGCAGCAACTCAGTTTTACATGAAAACGTGACAGCTATCCTTCTGGGAGAAACTTTATCTCCTGTTCCTCAACGTGAAACTAAGCTACTGGTTCAATAAGGCCCTGATTTTCAAAGATTCTCCTAAATTCCTGGGTCTGGTTTACCAATGTTGACATTTTTTTCAGGCTACTGATTAGCTGACTCCAGATGCACCACTGTAGGCCCTGAAATAAATCTGTGACATATCTTCGGCTTTCCAAACCATTTGCCATCAAATAATAATGCAGCTTTTTATCACAAAAGCTACCTCCCTTAGTTCCGGTTCCCCTAATCCATGCACCTTAGCAATGCAGTTTGGTCATTGGATGCAGCTGTTCCCAGAAACAGCTAATCTCTTTTCAGCTGCTTGCAGGGTGATAACCAGAATGAGAGAGGCGGGAGGTCTTACAGATGTATTTTGAAAATTCAGAATTCCATCTTGAGCATGACTGCAAATGATGCATTCTTTATATTTCCCAACAAGAAATCCAGGTGAGCCTGGTGGGCCCATCCTCCAGGTAGAAATTTATCCAGAAGAGAGCCTATGGAAATCAAGCTTAATTCTGGGTAATTTGATTTTAAAAAATGCCCTGGTACGTCTGGGACCTGACCCTTCCAGATGAGGAGTCTGGGTAAAGCATGACTGGGGAAAAGGAGAACTTATAGCTACTGAAATGGGACACACTGATTTTGTGGTAAGGGAGGGATAACAATATGCTGGCACCTGAAGATGGGCCTCCTTACACACTGGAAAGTGTGAGAAAGGGAGGGACATTAATGCTTTCAGCATCTTCCTCCAAAGGGACAACACCAGTGCCTTAAAATGAACTGCATGCTGGCATGCCACTCCCAGCCAGATGGCTTTAACCATGACTTGAATGTCACTGCCTGTACCTGGACCATGAAGTTTATCAGACGCAGCAGGGAATGGCCTGGGTTCCATCACCTCCCACACAAAGCATGAGTCAACAGCTCTGGATGTCTTCTCCACTCCTTATTTACTGTGGTAGGTAAATGACACCTAGCTGATGGCATGGATGAATAGGATTCCTCCTCAGGCAGCTCCTCCAACAAGTACTAGACCCAATTATTCACAATGAACTAAGAACCATAAGGCTCACCAGCCAGAAAAGAGGCCACGTACAACGCACTGTGAGCCTGTGTCATTGATTAATCTCTCTCTGAGTGTCCCAACACCTGTAAGCACTTTCCTTCCAGAAACACTGTGAGTACCCTTAGGATTGTACTTCTTTAGTGGAATCCAGACATTAATTTGTTTACCTCCTTAAAACACAAACCCACTGTGCATGCAGGAACCATCTGGGTCTACTTCCATATTGATCCCCTGGGACTTCGGGGCAAAAGAAATTGATACAAACATGAAGTTTACGCTCCCTGCTTGCCATGAGTCATAAAGTCCTTTGTCTCTGATCCAGGAGTCTCGTGTCTCCCTCCTGTGAAACTGTGGCAGTCTAACCTCTTAGCTTGCAGTTAGGATAAAGTCTTAGATCCTTCATAGGTATTGACAAGCTGCAATCATGAACTGGGTGTTATCACTACTTTCGACTGTAAAGTTGGACACACACAGTAGCAGTCAAATGGAAATAGCATCCACAGAAACAGTTATAAGCTGGCTGGCCAGAAGGCCAAAGTTAGTTACATGAGCCTTTGGTTTTTCTAGTGCTACGTTGCTTCCCCTTTCTTAATTCCTATGGCTTTATGGAGAATTTCCTATGATCAGTTGACTGGGCATGAAGAAAATCTCAAGCCTAGTATAATGGCTTTTCTTGATAAGTTAGCACAAGCTGAAGTGGACTGCTGTGGTATTACAGCCCCATTCAGTATGACCCTAGAATCTTCTCAGTAGGTCTACAGTGATTTCTGGCTAGTGACTAATAATCTGGCTGGGTCTTCAGTTTATATGTAGAAATACTCTAAAAATGGGACCAGAACATGAGAATATTCACATCTCAGATGATTACTCAACAAAAATTTTTCCCAAAATTATGCCATCTGCATGTAATTTATCATAATTTTTTCTTTATATATCTGAACTTTGCTGCATTCAAGAATCTGCATTTCTTTCTTTCTCTTTCCCTCCATCCCTCCATCCCTCCCTTCCTCCCTTCCTTCCTTCCTTCCTTTTTTTTTCTTTCTTCTTTAGAGACAGGGTCACTATGTTGCCCAGACTGGCCACTGCACCTGACTAAGAATCTACATTTCACTAGTCAGTCATTTTCATAGCAAATTTGTGGTAAAAATAGCTATTCATAGGTGCCAATGGTCTATATATTTTATAGAAGCTATCAACAGCCCTAAATTCTCACTAACTTTCAAGATCTAATCTCATTTTGTCTGGCTTATCCTAATTTTATTTAGAAAACTTACCAAACTTTTCGTTTCTGTTCTGACATGTCATAATACACTAAAAACTACTCCAAATAATTATATCTCAGCATATTTAATTGCTTCACCAAGTAGTTTTTGTGGTCTTACAATTTATACAATATTGTCTTAGGGTTTAGGGAATGGGAAGATACAGGAGACAGAATCCTATCCTTAGAACATTAGCAATTATAGAAAGTTTCACCATTCACTCAGTAAAAGATTCTCTTAAAATTCTAAAATGTTTGAATCTGAAGAAAATGCTAAAAGACTCATAGCAGGAATAACATTCTCTAGGGTACAAAAAGACAATATTAGCCTAAAGATCAACTAATGCTCATAGACTGCCTCCCCCACTAAACCACCTACATTCTGTTAAATATAGATACAAAGCCAGAAAGTCATATTTAGATTAATTCAGAGTTCTTTATGTTTCTTACTGACAGCCTTATGAGCTGTTCAATTTCTGCTCTAAGAAATTTGAATGGTGGTGTCTCAAAATTTTTAACTTTTTATTTCTATTTTGTTTAATAAGCACTTTTCATAAACCATCATTTCAACTATTAGTTGTTCTGTTACAACATTTCACCTAATTTTGGAAGACTTAAAAAAAAAAAAACTAGTCTCCAACAGGCAAGGGAATTATCATCTACTGCAACATTAACTAGAATGAAGTTAAAATTAGTAAAACTTATTTCAAAAGTTGGCATTTTCTTTACAATTCTTCCCAATGTTTTTCTTTCCTAACAATTTGTTATAATTTTTTAAATCTTCACAAAAATGATATACCTGCTGCACAGCTAGGTTATAATGACTGCACAGCTAAGATTTCCAAGTATCTTGCTCTTTGCTCAGTATATTTCTTTGCTCCTTGAGAAAAGGTTATTGTACAATAATTACACACCTTGTCATACCTTATTACTTTAGTATTTTACATTCTTCCCTGTTACCTTATTAGTAAAAAGGAAGGGGTGTGACACAGGACTAACAGCTGTATGGACAAAAACAAGCCCTTAATAATTCCTGGCTCCAATCAGAAGCACCAATTATGATGAACATAATTAGATTAAATGAATAAAAAATATAGCTAATATATCCAACTACCTTCAGATTTCTTTCCTCTTCTTCTCCAGAATATAGACTTTTAATAAGAAAGAGTTGAGAAGATTAGTGTTAAGCAGCGGGAAATGAAGAGGAAGGACTTCATTCCTTATTCCATATCTAACTTCCTCACTATCTAAATTCTGGTTGTCATTTAAGCAGAAGATCATAGAATCAGCCTATGCTATTCCTTGTTTCCTTCTCTATCTCCCAATTTTTAGTTATTTTTCTCTTCCTTAACTCATTAAGACCAACAGCTAAAGGATATCATCTCAACTTCCACTATAATTGTTCAGGAATTATTCAGTATTATTATGTCAGTCTCAGATGAGCCCTGGCACACTATTTCAGGTAATCAATAAGAGGACAAAACCTGCTCAGATAGCAACTCACTCATTCAAATACTTATTGAATTCACATTATGAACCAGGCCCTGGTCAAGTACTACAAATTAACTGATGAGAAAGACAGACATAATCCATGCACTCATGAAGCTTATGGTCGAGAACAGATAAATGCTGAACAAGAAATTAAGGTGCAAAGGTCATGAAGGAGAAGTATAGGCTAGAAGCATGTACTGAGGAACTAAACTATTCTAGGGGGGGACAAATTGACTTGGAGAAAGTGAGGAAAGGCATCCTAGTAGGAAATAAAACTTTAAATTAATCACTGAAGCCCTGCGAAGTTAGGGAAAATGTTTGAAAATGGGAAAAGGAAGTTGATGAAGATTAAAAACAATTCAGGAAGAGAAAACCTTTGCAAAAGCCTAGAAAAGGGAAACTGTATGCCACAGTCCATGAACTGAAAGAGAGTTAATACGACAGGAGTGTTGAGAACACATGGGACTTTCCTTAAAGGATTTCCTTAAATCTCTGTCCTAAGCCCACTTTTCTTCTCATTTTATACTGTTTTTTATGACTTCAATGGACCATTGCTTTTATTATGACCTATAAGGTCATACTTTTACAATTTTATTTCTGAATGTCTCACATTTCCTTTGAACTCTAGATTATTATATGCTACAGTCTACTCAAGGTTTCCAATTGACTTCTTCAAAGGCACCCCAATCCCATGTGTATAAAATCAGACTCATCCTCCTCCTTTGAAAATCAGTCCTCTTTCACTGGCCCCTGTCTTTCCATTATTTTGGCTTATAGAAAAGAAACAGGAGTAATTTTGAACAATTGTCTCCATCCTCCTCCTGGTGATGGACTGCATGCTTGTGATCCCCACCCCCAATTCTTATGTTGAAACCCTAATCCCTCCTCATTATGGTGGTATTTAGAGCAGGGACTTTTGGGAAGTAATTAGACTTAGATTAGGTCATGAGGGCAGGGCCCTCATGATGGGATTAAGGCCCTTATACAAAGAGAAAAAGGACAGGGGATCCATCTCTCTTGGCTCTGCCATATAAGGATACAGCAAGAAAGCAATAATTAACTTTTGTACACGAGAAAACAGGCCCTTACCAGATTCAAATATGTTGGCACCTTAATCTTGAACTTTCCACATTCACCCAACCTCTGGAACTGTGTGAAATAAATGCTTGTTGTTTAAACTGCCCAGTCTATGGTTTTGTTATAGCAAGATGAGCAAAGATACTCCTTTACACATCCAATCTGTAATCAAACATCTTTGTCTTAATCATCACCACCTTAGCCTACATAATTATCAAATTACCACTGGAGTATTAAAGACATACTGCCTAGTTTCTCTCCATTCATTCTAGCTATGCAATATTTATTCTCCACACTGCAACATTAAAATAATTCACTACAGGCCGGCACAGTGGCTCCCACCCGTGGTCCCAGCTCTTTGGGAGGCCAAGGCAGGTGGATCACTTGAGATCAAGAGTTCAAGACCAGCTTGGCCAACATGGTGAAACCCCATCTCTACTAAACATACAAAAATTAGCTGGGCATGGTGAAGCATGCTTATAGTCCCAGCTACTCTGGAGGCTGAGGCACGAGAGTCGCTTGAACCCGGGGGACGGAGGTTGCAGTAAGCCAAGGTCGTGCCACTGCACTCCAACCTGGGTGACAGCAGCACTCTATCTCAAAAAAAAAAAAAAATTATGCGCTACAATATACATTTTCTGCTTCTGTTTAGGATGGAAAATGCTAGAAAGAAAATATCTTCTAATCTTAAAAAAACAGGATAATCTGCAAAATCACATGATTTTTTTTAACCACATATTGAGCAAAAATCACAGAGTAAACCACTAGCCTGAATCTAAGGAATACAGGTGCTTGCAAAGAGAGCATGTGCCAACACAGAGCACTGGTAAGAATAATTCAGCTAAAAATGTTAAGACATAGGAGAAAGCTCAGCCACCATCATACTGAATGGGCAATACTGAATGGGCAAAAGCTGAAAGCATTCCCCTTCAGAACCAGAACAAGACAATGATGCCTACTCTCACCACTCCTATTTAACATAGTACTGGAAGTCCTGGCCAGAGCAATCAAGCAAGAGAAAGAAATAAAAGACAAATAAGAAGAGAGGAAATCAAACTATCTCTGTTGGCAAAAGACATGATTCTATACCTAGAAAACCCCATAGTCTCTGTGCAACTGCTCCTAGATCTGATAAACTACTTCAGCAAAGTTTCAGAATACAAAATTAATGTACAAAATCAGTGGCATTTCTGTATACCAATAATGTCCAAGCTGAAATCCAAATTAAGAATGCAATTTCATTCACAACAGTCAAAAAAGAATAAAATATCTAGGCATACAGCTACTCAGGGAGGTAAAAAATCTCTACAATGAGAATTATAAACTGTCTATGAAAGAAATCAGAGATGACACAAACAAATGGAAAAACATTCCATGCTCATGGATAGGAAGAATCAGTATTGTTATAATGGCCATATAGCCCCCCAAAATTTATAGATTCAATGCTATTCCTATTAAACTACCAAAGACATTCTTGACAGAAATAGAAAAAACTATTATAAAATACATATGAAACCAAAAAGAACACAAATAGCCCAAGCAATCTTAAGCAAAAGAACAAAGCTGGAGGCATCACGTTACCTGAGTTCAAACTAGACTAGAAAGCTACAGTAACTAAAACAATATGGCACTCATACAAAAACAGACACATAGACCAATGGAACAGAATAGAAAGCTCAGAAATAATGCCACACTCCTAAACTATCTGATCTCTGACAAAGTTGAGAAAAACAAGCAACGGGGAAAAGGACTGCCTATTCAGTAAAAGTGCTGGGATAACTAGTGGCCAACCAGCATATGAAAAAATGCTCAGCATCACTAATCGTTAGAGAAATGCAAATCAAAACTGCAATGAGATACCATCTCATTATGACAGTCAGAATAGCTATTATTAAAAAGTCAAAAATTAACAGATGCTGGTGAAGTCGCAGAGAAAAGGAAAGGTTTATGCGCTGCTGGTGGTAATGTAAATTATGCAGCTGGGAGAGAGTAACAGAAGCAAACCCTCTACCTGGGATAGGGGCAGGAATATATACTGTGCCAAGAAGTAAGGCTGCAAAAGGGCAGGAGCACTGAGAAGGCCACAAACCTTAAGCCCAGGGACAGAGAGCACTTGCCATGAGGCTTACTGAGAAAAACAGTGAATAACACCACACTGTCTCTTACCACCAGATTAATGGGTTTAGAGTAAGAAGTAACTACAGGGTAGTGGTTTAAGAGGGGCAAGAACACAAAGAGAGATCCTCTCAGAGTAATAGAACAAAGTAGAGAGCTACAACTCAGGTTGGAACAGATACTGAGAAAAACTCTCTAGCAAATCAGCTCCCACTTAAATACAAAGTAATGTTGGAGGTATTTGAAGTCTGTGGTGCACTTAAAATAACTGTAGTAGCAATGTATCTACATCCGGCTCAACTCAAAAAGTAGACTCAAAATCTCACACTAAAGACCTAGAACAAGGAAACGCATACCTAGTCCCAGCCATGAAACCTCAGACTCTGCTGTCCTAAATATGATGTATGTACATGTTTCAACTAAACACTGAGAGCCCTACAAAAAATTAAGGAAAGGCAACACAACAACAACAGACAAAGCAATATCTGATTTGAATCATACTCAGGTATGACAAATGTTGAAACTATCATGACAGGTAACTTGAAATAACTATAGTTAATATTTGAAATGCCCTAATGAAAAAGGTAGAAAACAAACAAGATGAGATAAATTATTTTACCATAGAGGTATAAACTATAAGAAAGGATCCAATGAAATGCTATAATTCTGTTTTTATACAATAAGACAGATGAAGAATGCTCCCAATGAGTCCACAGGTAGATTCAATACAGACAAAGAAAGATCAGAGGTCTGAAGATAAATCAATTGAATTTATCTGAAGTTAAACACAAGGAAGTCAAATTATCTGAGAATAAAATCACTCAGGTATAGAGAATCATGTTGTTTGCAAATAGAGAGGAGTGAAGGGAAAAGGAACAAAACATTCCATAACTTCAGCACAATATCAAATTGGAATCACAGAAAAACTACAGAGATTAAGACAACAGAATTCCTTGAGAAAATAATGCCTGAGAATTTCTCAAAATCAATGGCAGACACCAAACTACAGACACAAAAACCCCAGGGAACAACACAAACAAAAAAATCTAGGCATATTGTATTTAAACTGTTGAAAACTAAAGACAGAATAAAATCTTGACAGCGGCAAGGATTGGGGTGGGGAAGATACATTATGTACAGAGAAACAAAAATAAGAAAATAGAAGACTTCTCATCAGAAATTATACAAACTGGTAGATAACAGAATGACAGCTTTAAAGTACTGAATGAAATATCATGCCAACTAAAAATTCTATAGCCAATGAAAATATTAAAAAAAATGAACAATTAAGACATCATTAGCTAAAAAACAAAAACTGGGAGAATTGTTTGCCATCAGACCTCTTAATGAAGTTCTCTAGGCAAGATACATATAATAATTTTTTTCTACACAAAGAAATAAAGAGTGTTGGAAGTAAAATAAATATAGGTAAATATAAAATTTAATTTTTATTGTTTTAATTCCCCTAATATATCATAGACCATCTAAAGCAAAAATAATGGCAGTGTATTATGTGTTTATTGCATATGTAGAGGTAAAATGCATGACAAAAATAGCACAAAGAATGGGGGGGATAAATTGGTAATATAAAGTTGTAAGGTCCTTAATCTACTTATGAATCAGTATAATATTATTTTAAGGTAGAATGATAAAGATGTAGATTATAAAATCTAAAGAAATGACTAAAAAAGTAGTTTGAGGAGTGTAAATAGTAAGCCAATAGTGGAGAGAAATGGAATCACAAAAAATACCCAAGTAATCTAAAAGAAGGCAAATAATAAGGGACAAAGCAAAGAACAGATGGAACAAGAAAGCTTGCTATATGGCAGATTATAACAAACGTAAATGGTATAAACACACTAAGTAAATAACAGAGATAGATCAGATTTGACAAAAAAAAGTTCAACCCACTTTAAAGGCATAGTTATATTAAAAATAAAAGGATGAAAAAGATATACCATGCAAACTCTACATAGCTGTGATAATATTAGACAAAGTGAACTTTCGAATAATAAATATTACCTGGAATTAATAGGGCCAGTTGATAATAATAAAGGAGTCAATTCTCTAGGAAGGTATAACAATTGAAATGTGTAATCATACAAAAACATAGTTTCAAAATATATGAAGCAAAAATGGATTAAGCTGAAAAAACTACAGACAAACCCACAACTATGTTTGGAATCTTCAACATTTCTCTCTCAGTGATTGATGGAAAAAGAAGACAATGAGTGAATAAGGATACAGAAGACCTGAAATGCACTATCAACCATTATTAACTATTTGACATTTGTAGAGCACTCTACCCAACAATAGCAGCATATGTGTTCAAAGACAGAATAGACTCTAGGTCATAAAACAAATTTAAACAGAGTATATTCTCTGATAGTAACAGAAATTGAAATAAAAGACAGATATCAATAAAAGATATTAATAGAAATCAATAAAAGAAAGATATCTAGAAAATTCAAAGTAAAAGAAAATTGAACAACATACTTCTAAATAATCAATGGGTCAAGGAGGAATGCTCAAGTCAAATAAAAAACCATTATCAACTGAAAGAAAATGAAAATAGAACATACCAACTTTGTGTGATGCAGCAAAAGCAACGCTTAGAGAAAAACACAATCTTAAATTAAATCTTAAATTCTTATATTAGAAAAGAAGATAAGTCTCAAAATAGTAATCTAAGATTTACCTTAAGAAATTAGACAACGAAGAGCAAATTAAGCCAAAACAATCAGAAAGAAGTAAATTAAATCACTGAGAAGAGAAATCAGTGAAACTGAAAATAGAATCACAGGAAAAAAATCAATAAAACCAAGAGCTAGCTCTTTGAAAAAAAAAAACCTACTAAATTAATAAACCACTCACCAGCTTAACTAAGCAAAAATAGAGAAGACACAAACTACCACTATGAGAAATTAAAAAAGAGAAGATCACTGCAGACCCAACCGACATCAGAAAATAATAAAAGAATACTATGAATAATTGTATACCCATAAGTTTGACAACATAGACAAAATGGATCCATTTCTTAAATACACAAACTACAAAAACCTAGTGGAAAAGAAATACATAGACTAAGTTGATAATAATAAAGGTTTGATTCTCTAGGAAGGTGTAACAATTCGAAAGTGTAATCACATAAAAACAGTTTTAGAATATATGAAGCAAAAATGGATAAAGCTGAAAAAAATATCAACAGATCCACAATTATGTTTGGAATCTGTGTATTTAAAGCAAACCTATGTATATTAAAGCAATTAAGTTCTTAGTCAAGTACATTCCAAAAAGTAAAACTCCTGGTCCTGATGGTTTTTCTGGTAAAACTACCGATATTTCAAAAAGAAATTGTACCAAATATACACAGCCACTTCCAGAAACTAGGAGGTGGGAACAGTTCATACATCATTTTAAGAGACAAGCATCCCAAACAGGGCTTGGAGACCAAACAGGGCAAAAATATTTCAAAAAACCAAAAGCGTAGAACAATAAATTTCATGAACATCAATGCAAAAATCTTTAACAAAACATTAGCAAACCGAGACCAGCAATATATTAAAAAGATAATATGTTGTACATATGTGCATTACCAAATGACTGTATTCAGGAAATTCATGGTCAGCTTGGTATTCAAAAATAAACCAACTCAATTTGCTTTATTAAAAGACTGAATAATGAAAACAATACTGGCATCTCAATTGTAAAGGTATTTGACACAATTTGGCGTCCATTATAAAATATCTTTTAAAATCTACAATAGAAAAGAATATCCTTACTATGATTAGGAGCCTCTACAAAATTCCTACAGCTAGCATAGTATTTAACAGTGAAATATAATGAAATGAAATACTCCCCTCCACTCCAAATCTGGAAGATAGCAACAATACCTCTGTCACTACTTCTTTTCACCATTGTATTTGAAGCCTTAACTAGTGCAATAAGGCAAGAAAAAGAAATAAAAGGCATATTTATTGGAAGAATAAATAAAACCATTTCTTATAGAAGAGGCATAATTGTCTCATAGAAAAATTCCAATTCCAGTAAATGTTTTTAGAACAAATAAGTGAATTTAGTAAGGTCACTGCCTACAAGGTCAATATACAAAAGTCAATCATATTCCTACACACTAGAAATGAACACTTGGAATTTAATTGGAACTCTCTTATTGCTGGTGGGCACACAAAATGGCATGGAAATTTGAAAATTAATTTGTTTTAAGGCTAAACACACACTTAACTTATAACCCCAATGCTACTACCAGTAGGTATTTATCCAAGAGAAATAAAGACATTTTTCACATACAAACCTATACGTGAATGTGTATAGCAGCTTTATTAATAATAATAGGAAACTAGAAGCAATCTAAAATATCCTTCAACGACTGAATGGATAAACTTTGGTATATTTATACAATGAAATACACCTCATCGATAAAAATGAACAGACTGTTGAAACATGCTACAACTTTAATAGATCTCAAGGGCATGATGCTGAGTGAAAGAAGCCAGATCCTAAAAGTTACATGCTGCATCAGATAATTTATACGACATTTGGAAAAAGACAAAACTATAAAGACAAAGAGCAAGCTAGTGGTTGCCAGACTGTGGGAGTGGAGGGTGTGTTTAACACAAAAGGGGGAAAAAAAAGAAATTTGGGATGTGATAAAAAGGTTAATGTTTTGTTTCTTGAGTGTGGTGGTGGATACATAACTGCACTGCTCAAAACTCATGGAATTGTACACCACAGAGTGCATTCTACTCTATGTAAATTTAAAATGTCTTGAAATATTTTTATAGCTTCCTCCTATTTTTACAAGAACAAAAATTCTTTAACATTATTTCAATGGCTCTATATGGTCTGATTCCTCCTTACATCTCCATCCTAATTGTCTATCAGGGTACCCCTACTCTCAAAGCCCTTAATACATCCTTCTTTCACTCTTTGAATACACCATGCTCTCTCTTATTTGGAGATTTTGAGATATGGTTTACATTGTATCGAAATCTCTTCCCCCACCTAGCTTGCGTGCTATTATCTTAGTTGTTTCCTATTCTTCCTTCAGATTCCTGTGGAATTATTATTTTTTCAGAGAAGATTTCTCTCATCTTCCTCTATTACAAGTTTTGTATTTTCCAATCTCTTGTTCATAGAATTTACTCTCAATAGCATTAATTATTTTATTAATATTTTTCTTACCCACTGGTCCCAAGTATAGTGCATGGCATATAGCAGGTGCTAAATCAATGTTTTACTTGATGGAATAGACATATAAACACATTTTTCTCTAATTTACAAATAAAAACTGTGTATATTTATGTTATACAACATGTTTTGATACGTGAATATATGTATACATTGTGGAATGGCTAAATCAAACTAATTAGCATATCCATTACCTCACATACGTATCATTATTTTGTGGTAAGAATATTTAAAATCAATTCTTTTAGCAGTTTATAAGTATGTAGTACACTATTATTAGCTATAGTCACCATTGTGTACAAAAGATCTCTTGACCTTATTCCTCCTAACAGAAATTTTACATCCTTTGATCAACATTTCCCCAATTCCACCCCTCACTCCAGCCTCTGGTAATCACCATTCTACTCTCTGCTTCTACAGGTTCAACTTATTTAGATTCATATATAAGTGAGATCATGATGTATTTGTCTTTCTGTGCCCAGATTATTTCACTTAACCTAATGTCCTTTTGTTTCATTCATGTTGTTGCAAGTGAAAGGATTTTCTTCTTTTTTTAAGGGTATACAGTACTTCATTGTGTATATGTACCACATTTTCTTCATCCATTCATCTGTTGATGGACACTAAGGTTGAGTCCATATCTTGGCTATTGTGAATAGTGTTGCAATAAGCATGGAAATGCAGGTATCTTTTTAACATACTAATTTAATTTCCTTTGGATATATACCTAATAGTAGGATTTCTGAATAATATAGTCATATTATTTTTAATTTTTTGAGAAACCTCCATGTTTTTCATAATGGGTGTATTAGTTACCATTCCCACCAACAATGTCCAAGGGTTCCTTTTTCTCCACACTCTTGCCAACACTTGTTATTGTTAGTCTTTTTGATAAAAGCCATTCTAACTAGTGTGAGATAATATCTCATTGTGGTTTTCACCTGCAATATCTACTTAAAGAGATAGGAAATACTGGAGAAGGCAGGATTTCTAATATGAGAATACAAAGGTCCTCAGAGCCTCTATCCAGAATGACCATTTAACTGCTGAAAATTACAAAAAAATAAGTGTGTAACAGCCCCTGGAGATTGTCATAAGAACATAAAATGAATAGAGAAAAAGTTATTCAAGAAAATCTACTTCTCAACGAGAAAAGCAAAAATCTTGGCATCTGAGCCATAGTTGCTGTTTTGACACCCCTCTTCCAGTTCTGTGCTAAGAAAGCTCTACCCCAGGCATTCGACTTCAGCAGGTTGTAATCATGAAGATAGGACTCCCCGCCCTTTCATCTGTCATTCTGGAGCTACGGTTTTACCCTGGGAGTGTCAGGCCAACAGTATTTCTCACGCTTCAGACCCTCAGCTCTGTGTTACAAAAGGTCTGTTCCAGGTAAGTATAGTAGAGGACTAGGTCTCCTTTTCCCCACTCAGTCTCCACTTGTAGGGTGGAAGTCCTTTTCCAGATGTGACAGGCCGAGAATACTGGATTCACATCTGCCCCTACCTAGCTTGCTTAGGTTTCATGCCACAAGGGGCAACCAGGAAAACTAGAAGCAAGCTACCACCCCAGGGCCTATTCATGCCCATTCATGATGCATGGTGGCGCATGCCTGTAATCCCAGCTCCTCGGGGGACTGAGGTGGGAGAATTGCTTGAACCCAGGAGGCAGAGGTTGTAGTGAGTGGAGATTGCGCCACTGAACTCCAGCCTGGGTGACAGAGTGAGCCTTCATCTCAAAAAAAGAAAAAAAAAATTTAAACAAAAACAGTTGAGGACTTCAATACTCAACTTTTAATAAAAGTTAAAATAACTAGCAGAAGATCAACAAGAAAATAGAAGACGTGAACAACTATAAAGCAATTAGATCTACCAGTTTTATAGACTACTCCACCTAACAACAGCAGAACATACAGTCTTCTTAATTGCACATAAAATATTTTCCAGGATAGACCATATGGTAGGTCATTTTTAAAAGCCGATAAATTTAAAAGTATTGAAAACATAAACAAATTTTTTCCAACCAGAATAGAATAAAATTATAAGGCAATAACAGAAGGAAATTTTGGGGAATTTACAGATATGTGGAAATTAAACAACACCATCCTAAATCATACATTAGTCAAAGACAAAAGAGAAATTAGAAAATACATTGATATGAATAAAAATAAAAACACAGTGTATCAAAGTCTATGGAATGCAGCTACCACTGGTGCTTAGAGAGAAATTTAAAACTTCAAATGCCCATAATAATCAAGAAGAAAGATCTTAAATGATATTGCAATACTCTACTTTCAGAAACAAAAAAAAAAAAGCAAAGCAAACACACCTAAAGTAAATAAAATAAAGGATAGAGTGAAAACAAATGAAGTACAGAATAGAAAACAAATAGCGGATATCAAAACCCACCAAAACTTTGTATTTTAGAACAATCAAAAAAATCTGAAAATCTTTAGCTATGTTAACCAAGAAAAATAAAAGAGAAAATACTCAAATCAGTAAAATCAAGAATGACAAAAGGGACAACAGTACAATCTCTATAAAAATAAACAGGATTATAAGAGAATATTATGAACAACTGTATGCCAAGAAACTAGATAACTTAGATGAAACAGACAAAGTCCTGAGAAGATACAGATGCTGAAATTAAATCAAGAAGAAAAGGAGAACCTAAATACACCTATGACAAGTAAACACATTAAATTAGCAATCAAAAAATTTTCCCACAAAGAAAAGCCCAGAACCAAATGGTTTTGCTGGTGAATTCTATCAAACATTTAAAGAATGATTTATGCCAGTTCTTTACAAACTCTTCCAGAAAACAGAGAGCAGGGAACACCTCTTGACTCTAAATAAAACCTGCATTAACGTGATACCAAAACCAGACAAAAACATCATGAGAAAACTATAAACGAGTATTTTTATGAATATAAACACAAAAATCCTTTAAAAAATACTAGCAAACCAAATTCAACAATATATGAAAAGAATTATATTCCATGACTAAGTGGGATTTTTTTTCTAGGAATTCATGGTTGGTTTAATATATAAAAATCAATTGACGTTAATACACCATAACAATAGAATAAGGAACAATAACAACTAGTCACCTCAGTAGATGCTGAAAAAGCATTTGACAAAATTCAACACTCTTCTACAATTAAAAGCCTCAAGAAACTAGGAATAGAAATCTTCCTTAACCTGATAAAGGGCATATAAAAACAAAACACAGCTAACATCATACTTAATGATGAAAAACTGAAACTTTCTCCTAAAATCTGGAACAAGACAAGAACGTCTGCTCTTAATACTTCTATTCAATATTTTGCTGTAGGCTCCATGCAGGGCAAATAGGTAAAAAAAAGAAATAAAAGGAACCAGATCAGAAAGGAGGTAAAACAATGTCTCTTTGCAGGTGACATAATCTTATCCATAGAAAATCCTGAGGAATTTAGTAGAAGACTATTAGGAATAACAAACAAATTTACAAGATCAACATACAAAAATCAATTGCTTATCTTATACTCTAGAAATTCACATTTCAAACATGAAATTTTTAAAAATTCCATTTATAATAGCATCAAAAAGAATAAAATACTTAAGTATAAATTTTTTAAATGTATAAGACTTGTATGATTCAAACAATTTTTTATTTTTCATTTTTATGGATACATAGTGGGTGTATATATTTATGGGGTACATGAAATGTTTTGATACAGGAATGCAATGTGAAATAAGCACATCATGGAGAATGGGGTATCTGTCCCCTCAAGCATTTATCCTTTGAGTTACAAACAATCCAATTACACTCTTTAAAGTTATTTTAAAATGTACAATTATTATTGACTAGTCACCCTGTTGTGCTATCAAATAGTAGATCTTATTCATTCTTTCTAACTATTTTTTTTGTACCCATGAACCATCCCCATCTGTCCCTGAGCCCTCCAGTACCCTTCCCAGCCTCTGGTAACCATCTTTCTACTCTCTATTACCATTAATTCTATTGTTTTGATTTTTAGATCCCACAAATAAGTGAGAACATGCAATGTTTGTCTTTCTGTGCCTGGTTTATTCCTTAAAAATATTTTTGAAAGAAATTAAAGAAAATACAATAAATGAAAAGACATCTGTAAGTCTATTTACAGATAGACATCTTAGACATCTCTAAGTCTATCTACAGATTCAATGTAATCCCTATCATAATCCCAGCTCATTTTTTTGTGGTAATTAACAGCATGATCCCAGAATTCATATAAACTTACAAAGAACCCAGAATTGCCAAAGCAGACTTAAAAATGATGCACAAAATTGGATAACTCACACTTCCTGATTTCAAAACTTACTGCAAGCTAATCAAAACAGTATGCTACTGGCATAATGACAGACATATCAACCAATGGAATAGAATATAGAGCCTAGAAATTAGCCTTTCCATATACAGTTAATTGATTTTTGACATGAGTGTCAACACCATCAATGCAAAAAGGACAGACTTTTCAACAAATGTTGCTGAAAAAACTGGATATCCACATGCCAAAGAACTAATTTCAACTCCTACCTCATACCATACACTATTCCAAACTCAGAATGAATCATAGACCCAAATGTAAGAGCTAAAACTGCAAAACTCAAACAAAAGAGCTAAGTATGCCCATTAACAAATGAATGGAAAATACACAATGGAGTACTATTCAGCCATAAAAAAAGAATGAGATCCAGTCATTTTCAACAACATGGATGGAACTGAAGATCACTATGTTAAGTGAAATAAGCCAGGCACAGAAAGACAAAGATTTCATATTCTCACTTATTTATGGGATCTAAAAACTAAAACAATTCAACTCATGGTCATACAGAGTAGAAGGATGGTTACCAAAGGCTGGGAAGAGTAGCGGCAGGTTGTGGGGAGGTGAGGGTAGTTAATGGGTACAAAAAGAAAAAAATAGAAAGAATGAATAAGACCTACTTTTTTTGTTGTTTGTTTGTTTTTTGAGACAGAGTGTCGCTCTGTTGCTCAGGCTGGAGTGCAGTGGCGCGATCTCGGATCACTGCAAGCTCCGCCTCCCGGGTTCACGCCATTCTCCTACCTCAGCCTCCTGAGTAGCTGGGACTACAGGCGCCCACCACCACGCCCGGCTAATTTTTTTTGTGTTTTTTTTTTTTTAGTAGAGAAGGGGTTTCACCATGTTAGCCAGGATGGTCTCCATCTCCTGACCTCGTGATCCGCCCGTCTTGGCCTCCCAAAGTGCTGGGATTCCAGGCGTGAGCCACCGCGCCAGGCCTTTTTTTTTTTTTTTTTTTTTTTTGAGACAGAGTGTCACTCTGTCATCCAGGCCGAAGTGCAGTGGTGCAATCTCTGCTCACTGCAACCTCCACCTCCCAGGTTCAAGCAATTGTCATGCCTCAGCCTCCTGAGTAGGTGGGAGGCGTGCACCATCACACCCGGTTAATCTTTATACTTTTAGTAGGGACAGGATTTCGCCATGTTGGCCAAACTGGTTTCAAACTCCTCGCCTCAAGTGATCCACCCGCTTTGGCCTCCCAAAGTGCTAGCAGTATAGACAAGGGCCACTGAGCCCAGCCAAGACCTACTATTTGATAGCACAGTAGGGTAACTATATTAACAATACTTAATTGTATATTTTAAAATAACTTTAAAGAGTATAATTGGATTGTTTGTAACTCAAAGGATAAATGCTTCAGAGAATGGATACCATATTCTTCATGATGTGCTCATTTCACATTGCATTTCTCTATCAAAACATCCCATGTACCCCATATATACACCTACTATATACCCAGAATAATTTTAAAAAATAATAATTTTTTAAAAATTGTTGTGACTTTGGGTTAGGCAATGGTCTCTTAGATATGATACCAAAAACACAAGTGACAAAATAAAGAATAAGAGATATTGTATTACATCAAAATTAAAACCCTTTCACTGAAAACTATACTATCAACAAAGAGAAAAATGCTGCTCACAGAATAAGAAAAAATATTTATAAGTTAGATCTATGATAACACATATATCCAGAGCATGCAAAGAACACAAAACTCAACAATAAAAAGAAAATCCAATTTAGAAATGTATCAACTATGTTTCTAGCTTCATGCTAGTTTCTAGTTTCTAGTTCAACTAGTTTCTAGTTTCATGCTTTAACATCTGCCCTACATGTGTGTGCTGGGCACACCTTGCTCTGGACAACTTGATAATATGCCTAAGTCACCTGCCTTCCTCATCTCCCCCATCTCCTCCCAGGTTGGCTCCTCCTCCCAGGGATGTGCTTTTCAGATGTAAACCAATCAATCAGGAGTCCACAACCCAACCACCTCCTTTATAAAATTCTCACCTTCTGGGCCACTATACACCTGCCTTGATGTATAGTGGCCCAGGGCCAGGTAACAGACAACTAGGGATAGCCTCTATACCCCATAGCTCACTGAAATTATTAAAATTAGCCAAACTAGCCTGCTTGCCCTTCTTCACCAGTTAACTTCCTGCAGAAACCACAGTAAAGGCCTTGCCCTCAGTTCCCTCCTTTCTCCTCTCTTCCTCATCACTGACCCTGGTGCTTCTTCATCTGGCCCCATGTGGTGTCGCATGCCTCCTCTCTTTCAACTGTAATGAGCTGTCTTTTCAACGGCAGTCATCTCCTGATCTATAGGCCTTGCTACACTCCTTCCTTCCTTCCTACCTCCCTTCCTTTTCTCTTCTCTTCTCTTCTTCTCCTCCTCCTTCTCCCTCTCTCTCTCTCCTTTCCCCCTCCCTCCCTCCCTTCCTTCCTTCTTTCCTTCCTTCCTCCCTCCCTCCCTCCCTTTTCTCTTCTCTTCTCTTCTTCTCCTTCTCCTCCCTCTCTCTCTCTCCTTCCTCCCTTCCTCCATCCCTCCCTCCCTCCCTCCTTTCCTTCCTTCCTTCCTTCCTTCCTTCCTTCCTTCCTTCCTTCTTTCCTTCCTTCTTTCCTTCCTTCCTTCCTTCCATGAGGTATTTCTTTGATACCCAGGATGGAGGCTGAAATGCAGTGTTACAATTATGGCTTGAACTACTGGGCTCAAGTGATCCTCCCTCACAGCTGGAACTACAGGCGCACGCCACCATGCCCAGCTAATTTTTTATTTTTGACATTTTTTAGAGACGGTATCCCGCTATGTTACCCAGGCTGGTCTCAAATTCCTGATCTCAAGGGAGTCTCCCACCTCAGTCTCCAGAGTAGCTGGGATTACAGACATGCCACTGTACCTGGCTCTAATTTTCTATTAATACAAATATTTTAAAACAAATAAAGGGCCAAAAATTTGAATAGATATATTTCCAAAGCAAATATCCAAATGAAAAATAAGCACATCAAAGGATGTTCAACGTTAGTCATTAAGAATATGCAAATCAAAACCACAGTGAGATTCTACCTCACAACAACTAGGACAGCTATAATAAAAAATACAAACAAGCATTTTCATAACAAGTTTTGGGAAAGATGTGAAGGGCTTGGAACCCTCACACATTACTGGTAGGAATGTAAAATGATTCTGCCACTGTGCAAAAGAGTTTGGCAATTCCTTAACATATTAAACATAGAGTTACCATATGACAATGCCTCGAATGTCCTACTCAATCCCATCTAATGAGTCAATTTCCCTATATTTACCCATGAGAAATGAAAACATATATCTACACACAAAAAAATTGTACATGAATGTTCACAGCAGCATTGTTCATAATAGCCAAAAGGTAGAGACAACCCAAATTTTCACCAACTAGTGAACAGATCAACAAAATGTGCCATGTCCATATAAAGAAATATTATTCAACCACAAACGTAAATGAAGTACTGATACGTATTACAACATGGATGGATCTTAAAAAAAAATTGTCCTAAGTGAAAGAAGCCTATCACAAAAGATCAAATATTGTATGATTCAACTTATATAAAATGACCAGAATAGACAAATCTATATGGAGACAGAAAGCAGATTAGTGGTTTCCTGAGGCTAGGGGGCTGGGGGTAGGAAGTGACTGCTAATTGATTTCTTTCGGGGAAGAAGAAAGTGTAAAATTAGATTGTGGTGATGGTTGCATAATGCTGTGAACTTACTAAAAAGCAATGAGTTGTGTCTTTCGGTGGATCAATTGCATAATATGTGAATTATATCTCAATAAAGCTATTAAAAATATTGAAAGAGTATGATTCCTTTGACATCCAAGGGAAGACACAAAGTTCCTAGCTGGAAATACTAATCTGATAGGTATTTGCACACAGGGAAAGAGATATGAACTCACAGAGGGAGGCAAGGAGGTCAAAATAAGGGCTCAGTTGACTTTCTTCACTTTACTAATTCATCAAAGGGAATTTTCTTTCAAACCCTGAAAAAAAAGTAAGAACTCAATACCATTTAATGAGTACATTTTTATTGTATTTATAATAATCACCGTTGCTACTGCATGTGCATTGTGAATAGCTCACTTTTCTGTGGGTTTTGCTATTTCAGTTGGCTTTGAAAGTGTCTTAATGGTATTATAAACATTAATATTCTCAAACAATGTGCCTGTTTGAGAAGTAGAGGAAAGAAAAGCAGAAGAGAGAAGAGGGGGAGCAATAGGAATAGTAATAACTTAGTAACTCCACTAACATTTTTTATTAGGATGTTCTATGCTTTGGTGGCCACCCGATGAGTGAGATATTTGGTAGCTGGTGCTGAGGCACAGGGAAAACGAAATCAACCAAATCCCTAGTAACTTTGGTGACCAAATTTCAAGTGTTATCATTCATTTTTTCATTTATGGCAATTTACAAATGTGTAACTGTATTTAAGAGGGTAATTAGACATTAAATAATTTGATTTTGTAATAATGGAGAAGCTAGTATTTCACTTTCATTTATGGAATATTGTTTTCTCAAAGACACTTTTCAGGAGCAATGGATGCATCTGAAATGCCAGCTGAGCAACACTGTAGAAGATTCTCACAGTCATGCTTGCCTCTGAGTGGGAATGATGAAGACCTTTCTAATAGAATTTCAATTATGTTTTAATTAACCTGGCTGGAGCGTACAAGTAGAATTCAAATGAAATCTAGCAAAGTTGTTTAGGTATGTGTTCAAAAAGCAGCTCATAAATTAAACAGAGGAAACCCACAAGACTGGGGACAGGTGAGACAGCTTAAAAAGTTAACTACTAACTTCATTGTTGTGGAGCATATCACAATTTCAAAGAAATATCCATGTCTAGTTACTGCAGAGGTACTCTTCACATTCTAGCTTTATGTTTTTCTTTCATATCCTCACCCACCTTCCCTACAAAGTGGGTAGAGATTGTGTGGAAGCACCCTAGCATATATTAATACTTAAGTCTGAGATTCAGTAAGAGATTACACAGTAATAGCATATCAGAATTTATATAAGAGGTTGACAAATAAAGGGTAATTTTAAAAACACATTGTATTTTATAATTTTATATTGGAAAAAATACTATTGTTCCTATAAAACAAGAAAACTATATAGAATGAGTTATCAGCTAGGTGTAGTGGCTCACACCTGTAATCCCAGCACTTTGGGAGGCCAAGGCAAGTGGATCACTCAAGGTCAGCAGTTCAAGACCAGCCTGGCCAGCATGGTGAAACACCATCTCTGCTAAAAATACAAAAATTAGCCAGGTGTGGTGGTGCGCACCTGTGATCCCAGCTACTTAGGAGGCTGAGGCAGGGGGAATTGCTTGAATCTGGGAGGCAGAGGTCGCAGTGATGCAAGATCAGGCCACTGCACTCCAGCCTGGACAACAGAGTGAGACTCTGTCTCAAAAATAAATAAATAAATAAATAAAACAAAACATCAATATCTTACTGATCAGAAAGCACATTTGGACTCTTTTACAAAGAAAACACTCTTAGATTAGAGTATTGGGAGGTGTGTGTATGGAAAGTGCAGTTTTATCTAAAGGTGAAAATGTTTTTAAAGGTTCAGAAACATTGCTGTAAATAAATTCTTAATTTATCAATATTGTAAGTTTGAATTTTCAGAGGTCTCTTTCTTCAAGCACATATATGTGTAAGATATATATGTACCCATAGACACATACTTCTACCATATACATAATTTAAGTGATAGTTTCATAAACTAATTCAAAACAACTGACTTCTGTGGGGTTTTTTTTGGGGTTTTTTTGTGTGTGGGTTTTTTTGTTTGTTTGTTTGTTTGTTGAGACAGAGTTTCACTCTTGTTGCCCAGGCTGGAGTTCAATGGCATGATCTCAGCTCACTGCAAGCATCACCTCCCACGTCCAAGCGATTCTCCTGCCTCAGCCTCCTGAGTAGCTGGAATTACAGGCAGGAGCCACCACACCTGGCTAATTTTGTATTGTTAGTAGAGACAGGATTTCTCAATGTTGGACAGTCTGGTCTCGAACTCCCAACCTCAGATGATCCACCCGCCTCAGCCTCCCAAAATGCTGGGATTACAGGCGTGAGCCACTGCTCCCCACAACTTCTGTGTTTTTAATGTAAAATATTTCCTACAGTATATGTTATAGTATTATGATTATTTAAGAATAATAAACCCATTCTATTCCTTCCTTTTAGGCAGCATATCTGGTTTTAAGGAGATGTTTCCAGATTAGATCATCAATCAAAAAGAAATTTGAGTCTCTGTCCAAATTGAACTGCGTACATCTGGTCAGAACAACACCTGAAATAATCAAACAGGTGAGACTCTACTTAAGGAAGAAATCTAGGGAAAATATGCCTATGACCTTGATATGGTTTTGGCTATGTGTCCCCACCCACATCTCATCTTGAATTGTACTCCTATAATTCCCATGTGTTGTGGGAGGGACCCAGTGGGAGATAATTTGAATCATGGGGGCAGTTTCCCCCATACTGTTCTCATGGTAGTGAATAAGTCTCACAAGATCTGACGGTTTTATCAGGGGTTTCCACTTTTGCATCTTCCTCTCTTCTCTTGCCACCACCATGTAAGAAGTGCCTTTCACCTCCTGCCATGATTCTGAAGTCTCCCCAGCCATGTGGAACTGTAACTCCAGTTAAACCTATTTTCTTCCTAGTCTCAGGTATGTCTTCATCAGCAGCATGAAAACAGACTAATACAGACCTTAACCATGGCTAATAGCTCTCCTGTCTAAAATGTCTCCTTATACTTAAAAGGAATCATTGCTGATATACTGCATTTACAACAAATTTTTTCTCTTTTCTAGAAGACAGACAATTATTAATTGGCCACCGTCGTTCAAATACCATTTTTATCATTTTTATTTCTTCTCACATTTTATTAAAATTTTTAGAATTAAAGAGATGCAAAAAAAAAACTATTAAAACCTCATTGGCTTTGGGAAAACACCAGATAGGGCTTCAAAACAAGGTTCCTCACTTATTGGATGTGTAAATTAATATTATTCAATCCTAGCTGGTTGTGTAGGTTCATGCCTGTAGTCCCAGCTACTCAGGAGGCTGAGGCAGGAGCATCGCTTCAGCACAGGAGTTCAAGTCAAGCCTGGGCTGTATATATATATATATATATTCTTAATCTCTTGTTTATAAATGGGTGTAGTCATATCTATCTCATAGGGTTACTGTAAGGTTTAAATGAGACAAAGCAAATAAGTGTCTGATATATCATAAACATTCAAAAAATGATATCTCTTATCATAGCATGGATGAAAATTGGTAAAGAGTTCATAGATTCTGTTACCTCTCTTTTCATAAGTAGGAAGTGAAAACCACAGTCAGGCAACTCTTCTAAAGTCATCAAGTATATTGATGACAGTACGAGAATCTAGGTGTCCCGAATTTCTCCTTCACCAGCCTCCAAGGGCTTCTAATTTCACACAGGAAAAATTCCAAATTCCTTAACAAGTCATAAGGCTCTTAAATGAGCTCTGCCTATCTACCTGTCCAGGTTCACTTCCTATCGTGTAGCCCTTCATCCCATACCCCAGACTGCAGAATTGTTCTAAGGTCTCCTGGGATTTCAAAATCTCGCCGGACTCCCAAACCTCCTGTGCTGTGCTGGGTGACCCCTCCACTAGGAGCTCTTCCTGATCATCGTCCTCCTCCAGATGGAACTGTCCACTCCCTCTTGCGTACTTACTACACCGTGTTCTTTTTTTATCTCATAGCACTGTGACTGCACTGCAGTGGCTTGTTTTGATGTCTGAATCTCTCTATTAGAACACAAGCTCCTGCAGAAAGCAGTACAGTGGGTAGCACTTCGGTTTCTGCGTCTGTTTCCACCCTTGAGATTATATCAACGGAGAAATGTAGGGCAGTTGGGAAGTGATTACTTTTGGCGTGAATATTCAAAAACAGCTGGGAGTGTTCCAATAAGGTCCTCTGAACAAATATGTATCTCCAAACATCATGGGAGGTAGGGGGCTGTGTCAGTTATTCAAATAAATGTTGGAGTGGAGTCAGATGATAAATATTTGCTCTCTTAGGAATAAAATGATTCCATGTATATATTATGCTCAACTGGGGATTTCATCTACTATTTGTTTACTTTTCATCGTTTTTCATACTTATTCTAATTGTTAATACTTTACTTTCATCTTTAATAAACACAGGGTTTTAAAACTCTTTTTGGGTCTATAATTGAAAAATATATACTTATTACTTAGCAACCTACACAGAAGCAAACTCTAAAACTCTGACCTATTATATATATCTCAGACCTAGTTGGTAACTGATACACACGAGCTTTCTTTATTTTCAGGAAAGTCTCATTAGTCTTCCAATTCCTCTCTCCCTCCACACATATACACAGCCTTGTTCAGTATCTCTGTCCTCCCTCTCTTGTAGTACTTCTCAGCTGCCACAGAGTGAGTGATAGAAAAAAAGGGGGAAAAAAAACCTAACAAAGACCAAAAGAGAGTACAGTGTGACACGGAGATGCAAAAAGGCAAAAAGGAAAACTTTAAGCAAAAATGAAATATGAGTGAGTGAGCGGCAGGGCTAAATTGTGAGATAGTGTCATAGATTCAAAAACTTCAAAAGCAAAGACCAAAATAATATAAAGTTTTGGCTGTGAATTAAAGGAGGAAGGAAAATCAAGGATGTGTCAAAATACATAAAAATACCTTTTCAACAGGCAGATGGTCTCATGTCCATAACCTCTGCTGCTCTACGCCTATATAATGTATTTGAGTTTGTCTGCATGTATGTATGTGTGTACACAATTATGCCTAATTTTCTGATAATTTTTACTTTCTCAAAAAGAGTGAATTTAGGAAATCAAGACATTCCCAAAGAAGTGTCATGCGCAGATATTTTTTTCATGGAGTAATTATCAGATCCTCACTCAGGACCCAAAGGAAGCAAACTAATAATTTGTGGCCCTTTCAAAATAATCTTTAAGCAATATTCATTCCAATGTATTCAGTGAAGATGGAGAGGTACCAATTTTCTATTAATAATTATTGAATTCACATATACATTTGCTTACTAATATATTGCAATGACTGAAGTAAAAAGGCAAAATGTTTTCTGATTTTTGAGGTTTACATTTCACCTCCAAATTTCTTTTCTAAACCAGGTATGTTTTGGGAAGCAACATAGTAAAGTGTTTAAAATTTAAATAATAAGAAAAATCACTTGTACTCAGTAAATAGCACCGTGCAGCCACAATTGTGTTTCAGAATTTTAGCTGCTGGTTACTGCCAAGTTCAGGTGATTGTCTACTAGCCAGTTTCAAAGTTGGCTGGCAAAGACTTCGGTGTTGGTGTTTCTTTTTTGTTTTTAATTTTCACTCAGGGCAGCACCACTTTGGCGGGAGCAGGACCAATATTCATTTTGCCAATAATATAAGGAATTGCTTGTGGAAACCTGAGTTTTTTTGGCACCGCATATTTGATTTATTCCACTGAAGTTTTAGCACCCTTACAGATTAGCACCCCTGGTGAGAACCAGCTGGCCCTGAATCCAGCTTGTCCCTCACTCAGAGAGCACTTGCTATTCAACATTGTGCTGGACTTCTTAGCACACTAGACAAGAAATAAGAGGTGTAAGGATTGGAAAGGGATAAACTAAATTCTCAGGGTTCTCAGATGCTATGAGTTTCTAAAGAAAAAAAAGGCCAAGTGAATCTATAAGAACAAATGCAAAGTTTAGCAAGCTTGTAGGATTAATGGTGTTCCTATACCTCATTAACAAACAAGTATAAAAATTAATCACATAAGATGTTTAGATTCAAAAATCACACAAAAGCTGTAATGCACCCAGGAATAAGTTTCACAAAATATATACAAGACCTTCATGTAGAAATTTAGAATATCTATTTAAAAACATAAAAGAAGATTCACCTAAATAAAGTGGCTCATGAATGAGGATGTGAATACTCAATATTTTAACAGTGTAAATTGTCTCCAAATTAATCTGTACAGTTAATACAATCCCCAATGTTTTGAATGGGAGTTTACTGATTGGAAAATTCTTATGGACTAATAAAGGCTCAAGAAGAGCCAGTAATTTAAAAGAAAAAGAATAAGAAGTTGGCACTAAGAGTCATAAAAATATAGTATAAAACTCTGGTAATTAAAACTATGTGGCATTGTGGTAGATATTAGAAAAAAGATAATTAGACTATATTAAAGGGCTGTGGAAGAGCCCCAAATGTAGAAGGGAATATGGTTCACAATAAGAGGAAAAGGATGGAATACCCAATAGATGGTGAAATTGTGCAGAGTTAATTGTCATTGTAGAAAATTAAAATTATATTTTTTCTTCCAAGCCTCAGAAATACATTCTAGATAGAGGAAAGTATAAATGGGAAAAGTAAAACTTTAAAACATTCAGAAGAAAATGCAAAGACTTTGTTTATGACTTCAGCATAGAGAATAACTTTTGAAAAAGGCATTAAAGAGCAAATTGTAATGACGTTACAATAAATGTTACTTTATGACACAAATACACAGAGACACATAAAAGCCACAGACTGAAAGAAGATAAATACAGTCCATACAACCAACAAAAATTGGTGTTCAGAATAAATAAATAAATGACTGCAAAACATAAGGAAAAAAGTAATCTGCCAAAGAAGAAAATTGGCAAAGGATATGACTATTTAATTCACAGGAGTGAAAAAACCATGAGCCCAACAAACATTTGGAAGGCCCGCAGCTTCAGTGTTCAGCAGGTGAAATGGGTGGTGTGGATTGACTCATTCTATATCCATTCTTCCCTTCTTAATTGGAGAAGGAGAGAAAAATAAAAACAGATTTCTAGACCTTCTAGCTGTGAGGATTCTAGATACAGATTAGGTCCTGTCTGTTAGGTGGACTCAAGAGAAATTCACAAGGCAAAATGAAAAGGAAGCCATTTTCCCAGTCCATTTCAGCTGTTGACCCAGGCAAGCAAGGTGGAAAGAAACAGGATCTTGCCTGCAGCAGGGTTCAAACGTCCATTCTGCAGCTACCTGTGCTTTGAGAAGTATTTGCAGCTGATGCAGCACTAGGAAGAATTTCTTGACTATGGCTTTCTGGTCACTGGTTGGCAGCTATGAAATATGTGATTTCAACTCATGATCTCCAGCAATAGCGTCAGAATTGGTAATTCTTCCAGAAGGGCAGTTCTTTGCTCTGAAATTACTCCTGAAGAGCTAGCCTGAAGGCTGCCCCTCAACTCTTACAATAATTTTGTAAGTTCTCAATTTCTGTCTGAAATCTCTTCCTAATCAGTATACCTAGAAAGTCTTCTTTTTTTCTGCACTGAACATTGATTGATACAACAGATTAATGCAAATTAAAATTATGCCCATTTCACAGCCTTCCTATAGGCAAAAATTTTCATTTCTGATACTAATCAAGCATTGCTGAGGAGAGCAGGAAGTAGTAGTCAATGAGAAAGCTATCAATTATAATTTTTAACATCAAAAAGATAGGGAACAGGCAATATAGCTTACTGATTAAGGATATAGTTTCAGATCCAGATAAGCAACGGTTCAAATCATGGCTCTCCTAGTTACCTTGGAAAGTCCCTTTATCCAAATTTCAGTGTCCTCAGCTCTAATATGTATAATAGAAAAAAAAAGCCCTAAGTATAGTGAGAGAATTAAATGCAACAATGAATAGTGTTTATTGTGTCTAAAAATATCAGATTATAATTCTAATAAATGAAACTGAGAAAAATACAATGTACATGGGAAACAAAAGTGAAATTCTAGAAAATAAAAAAACCTCTGGATATATTAGAGCTTTGGAGGAAATGAGCAATTCACATCTTCTGGAGTTTTCAGATTGTGCCGAAGAATGAGATTACCCATTCTTTTTATATATAATTTATTGTTTTATTTCCCCACTGATCTATTTGCTGTAATCATCACTCTCAAATTGTCTCCCTCAGTTTATTTCACTCCAGGCTTTTCGTCTCAATGTCAAGTTGTGGACACTGACCCTGACCTTCATGGGATGATGGGTGCCCTGCTAAGCCCTTCTCTGCTCCGTGGCGATGGTCCCACTCTGACCATGGAGAAGAAGCAGTGATCTTAAAGTTTCCCAGAATATAACTCAGACCAAAGGGAGAATGTAAACAAGGCTTGCTGTAGGCTTGTGAAAAAGGATAATACACCAAATATCTTAAAACTGCTTTAAGTTGTGTCTCTTCTTAAGACTCCCATATTGAAAGCAAAAATCAGAGCCCTTGTGTTACACTGACAGTCTTTACACAGCAGTAATCAGCTGCTCGCCGACCACCAGGTTCTCCAGTTATCTCCAAACTGTAACATGCAGGCCCAATCTCTTTTGGCCTACAGAAAAATGGAGATTTATTTCAGATCTTGCTCCAGGACAACTGTGGAACATTTTCATTTGTTTCAGGCAAAATTCTATAGCTCAATGTGAGTTTTGATGCCCCAAAATCTGTTAATAATTAAGTACAATGTTTTACACTGATAGGTATTCTGATGTTGAACTATCTTTGCTTTCCAGAGATGAGCCAAAATTTGATCATAATGCATTATTCCTGTAATGAACTACTGCATTAATTTAACATATATAATTTTACATTTAGCTTTCTAGATGAAATTATCCCTCAGCTGGCCTTTTCTGTGAAGTTTTTGTCTGGTTTTGTATCTAAACAATGCTAACTTCAAAAAGTTAGTTCTATAACATGGCATCATTTTTCATATTCTGAAACAGATATAAAAAGCAGGAATTCCTGTTTCTTGATGATTTAGTAGACCTCTCCTGTAAAATCACCTTTGCCTTGTATCTTTTTCTTTAAATTTTTGTGGATACATAGTAGGTGTATATGTTTATAGGGGTAGATTAGATACATTGATACAGACATGCAATAAGCAATAATCATATCATGAAAAATGGGGTATCCATCCCCTGAAGCATTTATCCTTTGTATTATAAATAATCCAGCTATTCTTTTTATTTTTAAATGTACAATTAAATTATTATTGACTATAATCACCCTATTGTGCTATCAAATACTAGGTCTTATTCATACTTTCTTTTCCAAAACCACATTCCACAACTGCCCTTCCCAGCCTTTGGTAACCATCCTTCTACTTTCTATCTCCATGAGATCAATTGTTTTGATTTCTAGCACCTACAAATAAGTGAGACAATGCGAAGTTTGTCTTTTTGTGTCTGACTTATTTCACGTAACATAATGACCTCTAGTTCCATCCCTGTTGTTGCAAATGACCAGATCTCATTTTTTAATGGCTAAATAGTACACCATTATGTATATGTACCACATTTTCTTTATCCAATTATCTGTTGATGGACATTTAGGTTTATTCCAAATCTTGGCTATTGTGAATAGTACTGCAACAAACATGGGAGTGCAGATATCTCTTCAATATACTGATTTCCTTTCTTTTGGATACATACCCAGCAGTGGGATTGTTGGATCATATGGTAGCTCTATTTTTAGTTTTTTGAGGAACCTCCAAATTGTTCTCCACAGGGGTTGCACTAATTTACATTACCACAAACAGCATATGAGGGTTCTCTTTTCTCCACCTCCTCACCAGCATTTGTTATTGCTTGTCTTTTGGATAAAAGCCATTTTTACTGTGGTGAGATGGTATCTCATTGTAGAACTGACTTGCATTTCTCTGATGATCAGTGATGTTGAGCACTGTTTCATATACCTGTTTGCCATTTGTATGTCTTCTTTTGAGAAATGTGTACTCAAATTTTTTGCCCATTTTTAATCAGATTATTAGATTTTTTTTTCCTGTAGAGTTGTTTGAGCTTCTTATATATTTTGGTTATTAATCCCTTCTCTGATGGGTACTTTGCAAATATTTTCTCCCATTTTGTGGGTTGTCTCTGCACTTCGTTGACTGTTTCCTTTAAGTGTGGAAGCTTTTAAACTTGTTGTGATCCCATTTGTCCATTTTTGCTTTGGTTGCCTGAGCTTGGGGAGTATTACTTATGATATTTTTGCCCGGACCAATGTCCTAGAGAGTTTCCCCAATGTTTTATTGTAATAGTTTCACAGTTCGACATCTTAGATTTAAGTCTTTAATCGGCTTTGATTTGATTTTTGTATATGGCAAGAGTTAGGGGTCCAGTTTCATTCTTCTGCATATGGATATCCAGTTTTCCCAGCACCACTTATTGAGGAGACTGTCCTTTGCCCAATGTCTGTTCTTGTTAGCTTTGTCAAAAATGAGTTCACAGTAGGTGTGTGGATTTGTTTCTGGGTTCTCCAGTCTGTTCATTGGTCTATGTGTCTGTTACCTGGGTTCTCCAGTCTGTTCATTGGTCTATGTGTCTGTTACCTTCGCATTACATCTATTGCAGGATGATGACATCACCATTTTACTTTCTCTTACTGTAATTGGTTCATTCAAGACTTTTTAAAATTAATTTATATCTATTTTATTTTTCATTTTATCTAGATTCCTTTTCCATTCCCGATGTTATGATTGCTTTCTGCTCTTGATTAGTTTTTCTATTGTCTTGTCTACTTTGTTAGTTTTTGTAAAGAAAAAATTTTTGAATGTATTGATTACCATAATTGGCTTTTGTGTCCTATTTCATTATTTCTGTCTTATATTTATCTCCTCTTTCATTTGGATTTATTTTATTTTCCTTCTAGCAGTTTCAGGAGTTGACCATGTAACTTGTTTATTTTTAATATGTTTAATTTATTAAGAAGGTTTGTATATGGTGTTTCTATGGTCATTCAATTGTAAATGTTTATAATTTCTATGTAGGTTTTCTTTTTAATCAATAAATTATATATAAATATGCTTTTTAGTTTCCAGATGGGGTGGGTTATTGGTTAGTTAATGAGTTTTCTGCAAAAAGAAAATAAGTTGTACACAT